>NC_000021.9:30524877-31154799 GCF_000001405.40 Homo sapiens
TTTGTTTATTGTTGCTGTTGTTGTTGTTTGTCTGAGAAAGCATTTATTCCCTTTCCACATTTATTCCCTAGCCATCCAGAACAGCCTAGGATTTGTTACTGATTCCCCTAGACACAAGAGTTCCTTCCATGCTTTATTCCCATGATTAATGTGACCCTGGGGTATAAAACTCAGAGTGGGCTGCTTTGGGGGGATCCCTCAGCTGTAGTACAAGTGGGGTGCATACAGTGAAGACTCTATCTTCTCCAGGCAGCTTTTCTGAGACTTGGGGGATGAACTTACAATGAACCCTAGGCTTCCATTGTCCCTTGCTCCCTATCTGTAAGTAACAGGTCTGTTTCATGTAACCTATTGCATATATAATATTCTGTCTCACCAGGAAAGGATGCAGAAGTTACCTTTCACTTGCACAACCAAGCAAACAAATGACTATGGGAGAAATGCAAAATCCACATGGAAAACATCAAAACATCACCCTCTTCTTATATAATGAAGATTTTTAGGAACTCAATGTTGTACCTAATTCAGAATAAATGTCATCAGTCGTGACAAAAAAAAAAAGGCTCTCTGAAAAAAGTCTAATTTGTAGCATTTGCTGATCTCTGTAGTATAAATACTCCCATCACGTTCTCTTTCAACTTAGCAATGTGACGCCTCTAAACACAGAGCTGGAAAGAGATGCTCAAAATTGCCTTTTGTGAGCTGGTATGAAGTGGCCCCAGCAAACCAATGAAAAAAAAATGTACATGAAGGGAAATGCCAAACTTACTGGAATTTGAAATGTCTAAATTATTTAGTTTCCATGAATATCATAATAATGGAAGTCTGCTCTTAGCAACAAACCACATTAACTAAACAATGTGTCCTCTTAAAACTTTGATCACCTTCAAAGATAAGGAATAATAGGTATAAAGTACATATTTTCATAGGGAAAATTTTTTAAATGAGAGTATTTTTTTAAATGTAAAACTCAAATGCATTGGAATGAATTAAAAAATGATGTCAGGCTTTATAGGCTTATGAAGAAAATTTACTAGAAAGTGTCTCCGGAAATATCACATAAGAATGAAGTCAGTGGCATTTTATTATTGTAGCAGAGAAGACAATACCTAGCTTGAGTGATGAAATTCTAAGTCAGAAAAGTAGGTCCACACTGAAACAAATGTGCCTTTTGCATGGTGAGATCTTCATTAAGAAAAGCCCTCAGAAAAATATCACTGGTGATACTGAAGGGCATAAAACCTTCTATCAGGGAAAGAATCCTAAAATTTTGAGTTCTAATGTGATGATCAATTTTTTTTCTTTTCAGTAGAATCCAGAGGACCAATAACTTCTATGGAAAGAGGAGCATGGTTTTAGATTCCCATAAGCAAATTTTATTAGGGAATATGTGCGGAAATATCATCAAAGGGATAAAGAAGAAAAGCTTCATGCTAATAACACAGTGGGAATGTGGATACCTCGACTAGACTGGTGCTAAGATTCCAGCTAAGGGAAACAAATCCCTGCAGATTTGGAGAATTGGTCTCCATTAGGATGTCTTCAGGGGCTCATGACTGGCTCTGAAATATGTCACTGATAACAGTGAAGAAAACAAAAGAACGAAGATGAAAATAATATAAAAGCTCTGAATTTATTTGCAATAGACTATATTTTCAAAAGGAGTGAAGATTACCAATATCCTTCATAGAAAGAGGGATAAGAATGGTCACAGCCATAACCACCATCAAGCCCATAGCTAGATCCATAGCCATAGTCCAGACTACCAAAACCACCAAGGCCATAGCCATGTCCACTGTAGTCCTTGCTGTACTAGTAGCTCATTATGTTGGGGGTTGAAGATTGGTTTGATGTTGAAGTTGAATTTCCTAAGAATAAATATCACCACCCACGCCTAGACTTTTATATTCTCTCGGGGGTGGGGGGGCACTACATAGATATTTCTCATTTTTGTTTCTTTCACTAATGTGCAAAACAGCCCAAGTATATTCTTGTTTTGTGATTTGAGAAGTTTTTTGTTTTTTTTTTTTTTTTTTTTGAGATAGAGTCTCGCTCTGTCACGCAGGCTGGAGTGCAGCAGCGCAATCTCGGCTCACTGCAATCTCCGCCTCCCGGGTTCACACCATTCTCCTGCCTCAGCCTCCCGAGTAGCTGGGACTACAGGTACCCGCCACCACGCCCAGCTAATTTTTTGTATTTTTAGTAGAGACAGGGTTTCACCGTATTAGCCGGGATGGTCTCGATCTCCTGACCTCATGATCCGCTGGCCTCGGCCTCCCAAAGTGATTACAGGCGTGAGCCATCGCGCCCGGCCAATTTGAGAAGTTTTAATGCTACTCATGTATAATTATATTTACTTATTTGCTTTCTCTGAACTTCTTAGTGTCAGCTCTTACAATAAAAGGTAATGACTGCCAATTCTTCAAAGCTTATGACTGTGCTTAACATAGCCTAACTAGATTACTTGATGCAATCTGACCTCTTGCATCATATCTAATTTTGTTAGTCCTTGTCTCTCATTCTCTCCTTTTATCAAGAACCACCGCTCTCCTCCTAATCCAGAAATTACAGTTTCCTACTTATTAATTGGCATGAGTTTGAAGGTGTTAGAGCACACTAGTTGAGAGCCCAGTATATGCAGCAATGCCTGTTGTTATTTCAAAGTCCTGTTTCTACCCACTTGAGTGAGATTCTCAATCTTTTAAAATATCCATTTTCATACATGTGCAAAGACAATAATAATTTACATCTCTGTTTTCGACATTTGCTGCAAAGCCCCCTAAGCATAGAGCAACAAACCCTTCATAACTTACCTCTCTGTCAGCTCACAAATGTAATTATATGAAAGAAAAATATATTACACTGTGAAAGCTTATCTCCTTATATAGCTTTGAGGGTCCTTAAATGGGAGCAAATTGAAAGAAGAAACGTAAATAAAGGGACAATGGCCTTTTCATTATTGGGAAAATCTGTGCTTAATTCTAAAGTTTTTGAAGTACAATAAGGGAGTATCACTCTAAGAAGGAAAGACGTTAAGTCTTTTATAAGTAAGCATTAATAAGAAATATAATTCAAAAGGAAAATATATTGTTAATTGCAAAAATATTGGCAAAACTTAAATGAAAAATGTCTATTGAGGTGAATAAATAAAATTTAAATTATGTTTGCTATATCAATAAAGCAATTTTATTGGAAACATGTACAGATATTTTTTTCCATGGAATAAGGAAGTTAGCACAATGTTACTAATGTAGCAATGATGAAAATTTTTTGACTAGATTAATGAAATTCTAAATCAGAGAAATAGAACCTCTAGTTTTAGCTTGGCCCTGAGTATGCAGTCTGCAGTATGATTGCTTCATTAGGGGTTCATGCTAGGCTATCAGAAAAGGAGTTGTTATTAAAGAGGCCAAGACTGTGCATGGTTTTGATGACACTGAAGGAACAAAAAAAGCACACAATCAACAAAATAATGAAGGTGTGAAGGATTACAAGACCAACAAATATTTGAGTGGAATGTAAGGAACCAATTTCTTCCATAGAAAGAAAGTAGTTGGTGGCCATGAAGTCCACCAGATCCTAGTTCTGACCATCAAATCATCAGGACCCATCATAGCCCCATTTGCTGCAGTTGTTACCATCGAGGCTTACAGGGGCTAGAGATTAGTTTTGATGGTGAAGGTGCCTTCTGAGTCCAAAGGACACCAACCACAGAAGTATATCTATAATTCATTTTTGAGAAGAGTGGCCAACATTACCAAGATTTATTGTAAATTTCCAGAGAAAAATGCACAAAACAAGTTTTCAGCTGCTTTATTATTTTAAGCTGTGATTTAATTTTATTACAGTTTATTTCATTTAATGTTTTTCATAGTCAGAATTCTCAATCTCAGCTTCTTTCAAACTCTGCTGCTGCTGTATCCTTACTATTTGACCTTTAAAAAGTACTTAAACTATTTCTGTATTCTTGTCTCTATTATGATGATAATTTTTAATGAAATATTGAATAGTTAAGGATTTAATTATATAAAATGCACCCTTAATAACTGGAAGCTAAGGAAACACACACACTTATTCTCTAGTTGTGTACAGCCGCAGTGAATTTACTTGATAGCAATTATTCCCAACAGAATCTTCAAAATTATGGCAGGATGATGAGGGCAGAGCCCTTGATAGATTGATAGATGAGTGAAAAGTCCTTGTAAGTCAGAGACCACAAGAACATTTTACAGTTGATCCTTGAACAACATGAGGGTTAGGAGCATTAACCCTGCACAGTCAAAAATCCACCTACAACTGCTGACACTCTACGAACTTAACTACTTACATAAGCTACTGTTGACCACATTTTTTATGTTACATGTATTACATGCTATATTCTTACAATAAAGTAAGCTAGAGAAGAAAAAATGTTATTTAAAAAATTATAAAGAACAGAAAACTCACGCCTGTAATCCCAGCACTTCGGGAGGCCCAGGCGGGTGGATCACGAGGTCAGGAGATGGAGACCATCCAGGTTAACACGGTGAAACCCCGTCTCTACTAAAAAATACAAAAAAAAATTAGCCGGGCGCCGTGGCGGGCGCCTATAGTCCCAGCTACTCAGGAGGCTGAGGCAGGAGAATGGCGGGAACCCAGGAGGTGGAGCTTGCAGTGAGCCGAGATCACGCCGCTGCACTCCAGCCTGGGCGAAAGAGCGAGACTCCGTCTCAAAAAAAAAAAAAAAAAAAAAAAAAAAAAACCCAGAAAACATATTTACTATTCATTTAGTGGAAGTCGATCGTAATAAAGTTCTTCATCTTTGTCTTCACATTCAGTAGATTGGGGAAGAGAAGGAAAAGATATTGGTCTTGCTGTCACAGGGGTGACAGGGGTGACAGACAAAATTCTTTGTGCAAGTAGATCCACTCAGTTCAAACCCATATTGTTCAAGGTCAACTGTACATAGTGGCACTTGTTACACATTAATCCCAAAGTTCACAGTTCTGTGTTACTTAGAGCAAGAAAGTAGAAATTGTGAAGACCTAAGAATTGTGAATGTAAATTGCGAAAAAAATGACTAAATTCAAGTTAGTCAAGCCTCACACCTAAAATTAGAGTATTTGTCAAGGGTGAGAAAAAGTTTAATAGTCCTAAAAGCACTTCAAAAAAGTGTCTTAGCAAAATTATTATGAAAATAATATCCAAAGACTTGGCCTAGGTAAAACAATCCTGAAGGAAAATAATTGTTCGATACAAAAATATATTGCTTAGATATTGCAACACTTATATAAAACAGGTTCATCTTAATGCATGGACAAGAAATCAAATTTACAATGGCAATAAAATGTTTATTAGAAGTATGAATAGAATTATTACCTTAAAGTAAGGAAAGTAGCACCATTTTAATAAGCCTCAATAATGAGAAAAATCAGCCCTTAGTATTGAACCTTGTTCCAGGATGAATAGTTTTGGTGGGTTTTTGATTCTTGTAGACAAAGCTGGGCTGTAAATAAAGTAGTTGAGATTAATAAGTCTAAATAGAAAATTACATTGATAACATTAAGGAAACCAGTAGAATGCTTAGACTTTATTAATATAAAAGATCTGAGGTTCATAAAATATCAGAAATTTATTTTAGTAGAATAAAAGGTACAGGTACGTTTCATGAAACAGGTACAGTAGAAACCACAGCCATATGTACTGTTACCATTAATCCATACTTAGGATCAGAGACAGAGACAGAACCCAGGCGACCACAGTAGATTCAAAGAAGCTCATGATGTCACCACCTACGTGAGTTTTTTGTTTGTTTGTTTGTTTGCTTGCTTGTGATTTTTTGGGGTTCTTTTTTTTTTGAGACGGACTCTCGCTCTGTTGCCCAGGCTGGAGTGCAGTGGCGCGCGCTCTCGGCTCACTGCAAGCTCCGCCTCCCGGGGTCGCGCCATTCTCCTGCCTCAGCCTCCGGAGTAGCTGGGACTACAGCGCCCGCCATCACGCCCAGCTAAATTGTTTTTGTATTTTTAGTAGAGACGGGGTTTCACTGCGTTAGCCATAATGGTCTTGACCTCCTGACCTCGTGATCCATCCGACTCGGCCTCCCAAAGGTGGGTCTTTTAATATTCTCTCATGGAGGGAAGAGGCCAATCATGTCCATAAATTATTATTTATGGTCTAGGTCTCAATGTTTATAAAAGCTCCCCAGAGGGAATGGAAAGGTGGAATTATTTTTGCGTGATGAAGGAGTAGTGAAAACGTTATTGTGGCTATATTTTAGTTAATGAAAAAGACAATATTGGGAGATAAAGTTAGGAAGGGGTTAGATTATGCAGGAGCTCCAGGGCCTCGATGATAATTCTTTAATGAAATTTCAGGTGTAATAGAAAGACATTAAAGATTTCCAGTTAAGGAAGTGATCTGATTGACAACTTGCTACTGTGTGGTTCATGAATTGTAAGAGTTCTAGAATAGAAGCCTAGAGTGTAAGATTATTATAGTAATTCAGGCAAGAGATGGTGGTAGACCCTATATGGGGCTTGTTGGTGGATAGGACACAGATGAGGGGGATAAGAAAACGAGAAATGCAGAGTAACACCTTAGTTTTGCGCTTAAGAAATTTGTTGAATGTCTTAGATATTATATTTAACAGGAAGCTTGGGTATAGGCAGATTGCAAAAACATCAAGAGTTCCTTTTCTAAAATATTGAATTGACAGAGATTACATATCTTCAGGGTATTCAGTGTGATGGTTTGGTATATTTAATTTTGTATAAGCACACTTTGTGTAATGATTACCACAATCAAATTAATAAACACATCCATTTACTCGTGCTATCAGTTTGGTCCCCAGAACTTATTCATCGTATAACTGAAAGTTTGTTCACTTTAACCAACACTACCCCTTTCCTCTGTGCTTACCCCGCACGCTTTGCAACCACCATTCTTTCTACTCATGGGATCTATCAAACTTTAAAAAATTTCACTTATACTACGTTTTTCTGCATCTGGATTATTTCACATAGCATAATGTCCCCCAGGTTTATCCATGTTGCCCCATGTGGTAGAATTTCTTTCTTTTCAATGGCTACATTTCCTTATTCATTAATCCATCCATGAACACTTAGATTGTGGCCATATCTTGGCTACTGTGAATAATGCTGCAAGGAACCTGAGGATGCAGATATCTCTTTGAGATTCTGATTTCATCTCCCAGAAGTGGAATTGCTGGATCATATATATGGTAGTTCAATATTTAATTTTTGAGGAACTTCCATATTGTTTTCGATGGTGACTATACAAATTTACATTCCTTCCATCAGTGTACAAAGCCTCCCTTTTCTTTACACCTTTGCAGTGCTAGTTATCTTTGCCCTTTTGGTAATAGTCATCTTAGGTGGTATCTCACTGTGGTTTTGATTTTCATTTATTTGATTATTTACGATATTGAGGACTTCTTCATATACATCATAGCTATTTGTATGTCTTCTTTGGAAAATTGTTCATGTCCTTTGCCCATTGTTTAGCTGACCAAAAAATGGTCAGCTAAATTTGCTATTGAATTGTGTGGGCTCCTTATATATTTAGGATATGAATAGTATTCCATTGTGTATATATACCACATTTTCTTTACCCATTCTTTATCTATTAGAAACTTTTAATCTAGTAATTCTGTTACACAAGTTTGGTAGCAGAAGTTATGACTACAGCCACATGGAGCTCCGTCTACCTAATTAAGTCTTTCTTATTAAGAAAACAAAACTCATAGTGATCATTCATTTCCAAGTCCTTAATAAATATTATCACCTGAACATGACAATCCTGTGAATTAGAACCAGTCCCACATAACTATCAATACCTTGTGAGATAGGCGCTAAACACAATTTGGAGGACAGAAAACGAAAACTTACAGAGGCTAACTTGTCCGAGTTCACCTAGTTAGGGGATAGTGGAGCCAAAACTCAAACCCAAGTCTCTTTGAAGCCAAACCTTTGTGTTTTAGTGCTCATCTATTTTTTTCTCCGTTATAATACACAAATATGGATGTCTGAAGACATGGTGTAATGCTATCATCTTATGGAAAGGTTGTCTTAAATATGCAGCTGTTAAATATTTGGACCAATAAGGTTTATGGTTATCTTGCAGTCTGCAGTCTACTTTGTCAAGACCACTTGGGGGACTCAGTTTTGTTTTTGTTTTGTTTTTGTTTTGTTTTGTTTTGTTTTGTTTTGTTTTGTTTGAGATGGAGTCTCGCTCTGTTGCCAGGCGGGAGTGCAGTGGTGTGATCTCGGCTCACTACAACCTCTGCCTCCCAGGTTCAAGTGATTCTCCTGCCTCAGCCTCTCGAGTAGCTGGTATTACAGGTGCCCGCCACCACACCTGGCTAATTTTTGTATTTTTAGTAGAGATGGGGTTTCACCATGTTGACCAGCATGGTCTTGATCTCTTGATCTCATGATCTGCCCACCTCAGCCTCCTAAACTGCTGAGATTACAGGTGTGAGCCACTGTGCCTGGCAGGGATCCAGTTATTGGGTGATCAAAATAGTCATTAAGGATAATCCAGAAAACAAACTACAAAATATCTGGAGTCAGACTACAGACCAGACTGTGGAAGCTGCCACATCCAAACCCTCAGTCAGAGCAAAGGATTCTGTAGAAATTTCTTTAGGTGATGACATCAGACATTAAGGATTTCGTTTGATAAACAGGGCAGTAGCTGTTGTAAGTACCTATGTGGTACTTTCATATCCACTGAAGGGTGGGTTTAAGAATCCATAAAGATGTGTCAAGCTCTCCTTTCAAATAAAAATAGTACAAACAAGTCAATAAAACCATTCCTTTCATAACTGAGAAGAGGTCGTTTTGAACTTGCTCTTAAAAGCATTCTATTAGTTTTCTTTCTGCTTAGCTTACATTCTTCAAAAGAAACCTCAGCTATGGTAAGAAATGATGGTTATATCTCCAAAGCAATCTTTTCTACATTTAGAATTTCTTGAATAGCTTTCAAAACATCAAGTAGTTTTGTAAAATAACCTGACATTTTACCAACCATTAATTACATTGCCTTGCTAAAGTATAAAATCTTGTACACTATCTACATTATTTTTACTTTATGGCTAAACGAATAGCATACAATTTATTCAAGAAAATTGTCTACAAACTACAAAAATTGATGCAACCAAAAAACTATGTTCCTCTTTGTAAAAGTGATGAAAATGTTTTAATCTGATAATTTCCTTCGTGGTCATTTAGCGGTTTTTAAAACATGTATTCTAAACTGTCTCAAATGATTTCAAATGTAAAATAAATAAATAATAACAAAGCATGTAAATCAACAGAGATTGAGTAAAGGGAAAACAAGTTCAAATTATTTAAAAACAGTTTTCAAAGTACACAATTCATGAATGGCATTAGCATTCATCAGGCGTATCTAAGTGTCCTTAATTATGGAAACGTTTGCAAAATTATTTATCTCCTTGTCCTCTAGCTTTCTCAAGTGAACAATAACATAAAGTAATTAGAAAGTTATTTTCTAAAGTTATGAAGTTCTGTTCTTGTGAACCTTTAGAGAATCTTTAGAGTTTAATACACAAAATGGTAAATCTGTGGGGATAATGACTCTCACTGTTAGACCGACAAAATTGTTGGAAGTATTGCCAGTCGTGAATACTAATGGCCTTGTACATGGGAAGTGGTAGTTTCTATTATTAAATCAAAAGGCAGGACAAGGTGATTCTGCAGTGATTCGTCAACCAATGGAGCATATCCAATAAGAAATTTGTTAAAACAATAGACTTGCTTACATGTATAGAGACGAGGCTATTGTGCTAGAAATCTTAACGTTTCCCCTCCTTTACCCCAAATCCGAGATAGTTTATTTAACTTTGATTTTTAATTGCCAGAATTTTTTTAAGTTTTGTAAAGTGATACAGCTGGAAATAAGCACTGTATTAATACATTCTAATTTTTTAAACTGTAAAAATCTTGTACATGGCATTTATGTGTGATAGAGCAACAAAATATCTTGCTCAAAGGCCCAACACACAGATTTACCTGTTTCTTATTGAAAAGTCAAAAGATTAATTGAAAAATTCTTTGGAAGTGGGGAAGATTTAATTTTCATTGGATGTAAATATTTATTTTATTATTCCTGTGAGTATACATTTGGAGAAAGCTTGAAGAAGGCTTTCAGGGTGACTAGGTTTGTCTAAGAGGTGAGAAGAAAGAAGTGGAGGAAAGCACATATATACATTAAAGAGGCTGAAATCTCTATGGCAATGAACATTTGGGGAAAGATCTTAATTTGAATAGTCAGTTTAGGCAGATAGTAAAAATCACAAACCAGTTCTCTGAAATCAATTATAAGCTGCCTTGGGGTAATGCCTCGGCTTTTGTTGATGAGGTTGCTTGACTGTACACATTTATGAGAAGATATAGATTAAAATTACAGGTTCTCTAATGGATAGTTATAAATGACCCTCTAAATGTCAGTTTAAACGCAATCCATTCTAAATCAAAAACATCATTTTCTCCTTCCAAATCTCTTTTAGTTGTAGAAATACGTGCTTAGAATTGTTGAAAGAATTTTAAGACTGAAATCGAAAGTCTTATGTTGAATCCCCATTTCTATTCAATCACTTATAAATTATATAATCTGAACAAAGTAATATTAAACACAAAATATAGATTACTGTTATGGTTGAGTTGTGTGTCCTCTCTCAAAAAGATATGTTGAAATCATAATGCCCCAGAACATGTGAGTATGACCTTAGTTAGAAATAGAGTCCTTGCAAGCTTAATCAAATTGAGGTGAGGTCATTACAATGAGCCCTAATTCAATATGACTGGTGTCCTCATAAAAAAGGTAACTCAAACAAAGAGAGAAGAAGACATAGAGAAGTACAAGAACACCATGTAATCGCAAAGGCAGAGATTGAAGTTATATACCTGCACACCAGGAAGTACCAAAGATTCCCAGAAAACCACCAGAAGCTAGAAAGAGGCAAGGAAGAATTCTCCTCTTGGCTTCAGAGGGGGTATGGCCCTTATAGACACTTTGATCCCAGACTTTAAGCCTGCAGAACTGCGAGACAATACATTTCTCTTGTTTTAAGCTATCCTGTTAACGGAACTTTGTTGGCCCTAGGAAATTAATACAATAACCTGCTATGTGTCACGCATCATGATGTATAATACTTATGTATTTGCATACATATGTGGAGGACAGTAGGTTTATTTCGCAACATTTCTTAAAAATAAAATAAAATTATCAGGCGTAATCTTGAAAATATCAGTGAAATTAACAAACATGTTTTATATCACACAGTTAACAGTAAATAGAAAATACAATCTCAATCACTTTTGTGTCCAAAAATTTATATTTTCTCCACTATTCTAACTACTTTTTGGAGTAGTTTGAGGACTTAAAATACCTCTTTTTACTTTAGTTCCTATTTTGGAGCGTATTATAAAAATTAAAATAACTATCAATCTATAAGGCACCTTACAAAATATTTGAAAAATATTAGGTCAGAAATTTTAATTATCTCATTTTCTTCACTAGTTCAGTTTATTTAACAAATATTTACTGAGCTCATATTAGGTGCTACGCTCAGTTCTAGGAAACCATTCACTGTAGGGTAGCTTAACCTCAAAACCACGTGTACAGCGTTTCCCTTTAGTCTTTGGTTTTTCTTTAGTTCAATTAATCTTCACCCAACTATGTATAAATCTTCAGAGAAATAAAGAACAACAAAATATCTCGTTTTTAATCCATATTCTATTATGACTTGTGAAAAAGGAGAGAAAAATCACACACTTAACGTGTTATCCTATCCTATATAAATAGTCTAGGACAATTCTTCAAATCAGCACCCTCCCTTCTTTCTGAACTCTTGTTTACTTCAGCTTCCCTTGCCATCTCAGGTGTGATAATTAGAGGCTTTCTAATCGGCTCTGCAAAGAAAAGTTAGCTTTCTCAGCATAACTAAGAAAAAAATAACTTTTTTCTATAAGGATGATTTTTTGTTACAAAATACATGGAAAAATGTTTTAAAAACCAGAGGAGAACATAACTTTTAAGGATTATTTTTTTAAACAAATGAAAACACCTTTAATAAAAATATAACACGAAGCCCTCTTACAAGGTCATCCCAAAAAGAATAATCTCTAAGGCAAAATATTCAGCCTGTGTGGTAATGTTAAAATTAGTATACATTATTATGAAATAAATTTGGAGTGGACTTTGTCATTCAAAGAAAATAGCTTTCTTAAAAATTGGCACAGAAATGTCAGAAGTGACCCAATTTGTGAAATCTGCAATCATGTCATGGAATGAAGTGCTGTTGTTGATCTTGAGAAAATTAACAGTAGGGTGATACCTAGATTCCAATGTCCCAAAGCACCAAGGTAATTTTTCCTTTTCAATAGAATCCAGAGAATCCATATTCTCCATAGCATAATGTCTGTCAGAGCCATATGCATAGCCTCCATAGCCAGACCATAGTCCAAGCTATAGCCATAGTCCAGGCCCTGGTTGTAGTAGCAGCTCATGGTATCAAGAGTGGGGATTTTGTTTGACGATAAAGCTGTGTTTCGGAAGTGTAAATGACATCATGTGCCCAGGAACTCTTGCATACCTCAGAAAAGGGTGTGGTAACAAAAATAAACTTGAATAATCCTTAATCCATGACCTCAATGACATAAAAGACAATCTCGTTAATCTTTTTGACGTCTAATTGAGGGCCATTTGTCCAAATTCCAATAAAATGCACTGTGTCTATGTTGACAACAATGATTATGGTATCTTCAAAGAGCACACAGGAGGTGACTGCCATCTCTAAAATTCTTTAGCCAGGCATCATAGCATCTCATTACTCTTCAAAATAATTGATACACTCTTTACTGAATGAAGGCAATATCATAAGAAACTACAGCTTATTTGCCAGTAAAACTAAAGCAAGCTGGTGATACTTGTTCAAAATCCCAAAATAGGCCACTTTTCCAGTTTACTCTAAGTTTTTTTTAACATGTTTTTAACCAAAATTGAGCTCTTTAAAAGTGTGGCCATCATTATATATCTACTCTCTTCTTGAGAAATTGTGTTCTTGGCCAGGTGTGGTGGCTCACGCCTGTAATCCCAATACTTTGGGAGGCCCAGGCGGGCGGATCACGAGGTCAGGAGATCGAGACCATCCTGACTAACACGGTGAAACCTCGTCTCTACTAAAAATACAAAAAGTTAGCTGGGCATGGTGGTGGGTTCCTGTAGTCCCAGCTACTCGGGAGGCTGAGGCAGGAGAATGGCATGAACCTGGGAGGCAGAGCTTGCAGTGAGCCAAGATCGCGCCACTGCACTCTAGCCTGGGCGACAGAGTGAGACTCTGTCTCAAAAAAAAAAGAAATTGTATTATTTTTGCTCACAATACACTTAATTTATTAACATCTTCTCAAAGAATTAAATTTAGCATTAAATTTCCATATTTAATTGACTCATATCAGGGATATATGAGTTTCACAAAATTCCTCTTTTTGACACTGACCCTGAGTTTTCAAAATTATCTGCAAAGAAAAATAATTTTTTTTCTAACACAAGACTCTTTTTCTGATTCCTTAGAAAAATGTAACTGGAATGGTATGTTATTTTATCCTTGTGTGTTACTTGTCTGTGACCTATTGGATGTTTTAAGTGAAAGCAAATATAAATCAATGAAAAGGATTCAGTGTCACTAAGAATAGGTAGATTTTCTTTGCAGGTTTTCTACAGATGGAACCCCAGCTCTACGAGTCGTTTTATAAAAACATGTATATCATCCTTTGTCTTATCAACAAGCCTCTGAGTTTTTGCTGGAAAACATGATTTCCTTCATTTTAAAAATATGCTTTTCATCTATAGAATAAAAATAGAATTTGGAAGTAGAATTATGAAAGTTCATAATAGATTATAAAAGGCCAAGAGATTTTTTAAGGTTATATTAGCAAATAACTGAGGCTTTTGACTTATATAGCTTTGCAGTTAATTAAGTGTGTCTAGAGAGAATCTATCAAAAGTGAATTTTTATGAAACAGAAATATAATAGTTAAAATATTTTTGTTTGTAAAAATGGTTTGAAAATCAATTTGTCAGTGTTTTTCCCATTTTCAGCTTGTACTTTAACTTTGTCATTGAAGGTCCCAATCAGTCCTAATCAATAACTTCCTTGAATCCCAATATTCTATTATGTTATTGATGTTTTCTTTTTCTTTTAACAAATATTCATTGAACACCTGCTGTGTGTTTGGCATCATATTAATGCAAGGGATACCTAAAGATCCTGACTGCAAAACCCATACAATCGCATACAAAAACTAATAATCATATTACAATCTATAATCATTAACTAAAATGGGCACTAATAAGTCTGTTTTTTATTTCCCCAGTCTAGAAAATAAAGTTGGGATGACTCGCTGTTGTTCCAAACTAATTTTCTCAATAAGAAATTTCCATGTTATTTCACAATAATTTGACACACTTAACTATTGATTAAAAAAGTACATACATTCTTCAATATCTAAAGGGTTAGAGAATATGCTGTTTATTTTATAATATTTTATTCAAGGTGATTTCTCTACCTTTGTACTTGAAAGAAAATAGGCAGCAGTAGCATAAAGCCTGGTTGATGAATGAGAAATTTACTTGCCAGTTTTATTTTCAATCCTATAAATTAACTTTTTAAGACTACATAATTTGCAATTTTGCTTGCAACTCAATTATTTTAGCAAGCGTGTATATGTTAAATTAAGTATCAGAGAGTATATTTTAAATGTTTTCACCACCCTAAAAAATAACTATGTTAGATAGTAGATTTGTGAGTTAGCTTGGTGTAATCATTCCGCAATGTAAACATATAACAAAATATAACACTGTGCCCTCATAAACATATAAAGCTATTTGTCAATTAAAAATAAAACTTTAAAAATAAGTTTAGAAAGAATAATTAGCATTAGGCAGATGCTTCCAAAATGCTGTCAAATGACCATACCTATAGGCAAAAAAGGCAGTTAAACAACAACAAAAAATAATAACATATAAACAGAACAGTACCATTCCCATCATTATTAATCGCTTATTTGAAATAAACATAACATGAACTCTCTAGAGGAACATGGTACTATTTTAGTTTATTATTTTGTATTTAGATGTTATTTTTACATCAAATCTCCTCCAAATCATCTTCCAGGTTTATAACGTCTTGTGCTAACTCTTACATGACATAGAGTGGAAAGTACCTGAAAGCTACTACAAAAACATTGTTCACTGGCAAGATGGTAGGAGTAGAAATGTATGTCAAGAATTACTGAAATTTAAGAAATTTAAGAGACCTTAAGTACTATCTAGAATAGTTATTTTCAAGGAAATTTTGACGAGTAGTCAGCAGACCAATAGCAAAACTAATGAAAACTAATTATCTAAGTTATCCTCCAGAAAATTAAAAATTAAATTGGTAAAAATGTTGTCATGGGGTTTTTCTTTTCTTTTTTTTTCTTTTCTTTTCTTTTCTTTTTTCTTTTTTTAAACAGAGTTTCATTCTGTCACCCAAGCTGGAGTGTAGTGACATAATCTCGGCCCACTACAACTTCTGCCTCCCAGGTTCAAGCGATTCTCCCACCTCAGCCTCCCAAGTAGCTGGGACCACAGGCACGTGCCACCACACCCAGCCAATTTTTGTTTTTTTAGTAGAGACGGGGTTTCACCATGTTGACCAGGCTGGTCTCGAACTCCTGACCCTGGGTGATCCACCCGCCTCGGCCTCCCAAAGTGCTGGGGTTACAAGCATGAGCCAGCGTGCCCGGCCTCTCTCGGTGTTTTTAATTCAGACATCCCTCAGGTTTACTTTTGAGAAATAATATCTTTTGGGAAGCAAGGCTTGAACTCTACAGGTAGGAACACAGAAAGACAAGTAATTTAACTTGTCAAGGAGGTAGAGTAGATTCTCATATGTTCAATAGTTTAAAATTGATTATACATAAAGGACATTATACATTTGATAAGTCAGTGTTGGGTACATGCGAGCTTTGATAGCATTCTTTAGACCTTACGTATTATTACAAATATTATTTATATTAACTCAATGTTTTATTTAAAATTCGCTTTCATTGATTAACATAGAATTACTGTGCTTTGAGATAAACCTCAGAATACAAACACACTAATTGGAATGAAGATTGCAATAAGTTATTGTTTAAAACTAAGTCATAAAAATAATAGTGTACATAATCATATTCTAAAAACAAAATCACACACAAAACCACTGAAAACAGATAAAAAGTAAAGACAGATGAAAGTACACAGTGATTTTGTCCATCTTATTCTTTTATATCTTCAGGACTTAGAATGGTGCCCAAATTTGGAGACACACAATGAATATATGTTGAATAAAATATATTATTGAGGCAAAACTGTTGAAATAAAAACACCAATTCAGAGGAAAGAAGACAAACAGCTTGATTGAAGTCTCATCAATGCATTTGAAATGTACTAAAATGAATTGATAAAGCCATGTTTGCTATTCAAGTTAAACGTGTTTATTTAAAACTATTTTAAAATACATGTCACAACAGATGTCAGTGACTAAATAATAATAGGTGAAACCCTGATTCAATGTAATGATTCCAGATTCTTCCATAAAAACTGATGGCTAGTTCCTTCTGGAGCATGAAGCCAAAAAATGGTAGGTATTTTCTCTACATTGAGAAAAGTGTTCGCCTTGCTGAAGCATACGGGCAAGATCTTGGAGTTAGAGTATGAGAATCAGCAAGTTTTTTAGTAGAATCCAGAGAATCCATATCCTTCACGGCATGATGGGCGGCAGCAGCCATATCTATAGCCTCCATAGCCAGAGCCATATCTGTAGCCTCCACAGCCACAGCCATAGCCCAGACCACCAAAGCCTCCACAGCCATATCCCAGGCCTCTGTAGTAGCTGCCATAGTATCTCATGGTGTCAGGGACTAGAGATTCAGTTCAATGCTAATGATGAGTTTCCTGAGTGTAGGTGTCTCTAACTTCTCAGAATGATTTTATACTCTAAGTAGTGGGTGTCATGAACAACAATGACAGGTGATCTTATTTCCACATAACAGAATAATTTTAAGTCTAACAATTGTTTATTTTTTTTCTTTTCTTATGTAACAAAGGGTCCAAACTATTATTTAAAGACTTTTAGTCTTTAGTTTGCATTCCTAAGAACAAAATATTTTGAAGATGAAAAATGATTATAGCCACTTCAAAGGCCAGGCTGGTGTTGTAATTAAAATGGTCTAATCGGGTTGATAGCTTCCAGTAACGCTGTAATTACATAACCTCATATTGCTTTTCTTTTTAATTTGCAGTCCATCGTCTTGGTTACTTCATTCCCAGAACCCAAGGACTTCTCTTCATGGTAGTCAGGGCATAGTCACAAAGTCATTAGTGATTTCCAGTAGTCAAATTTAGAGGAAACCTTGGTTTTTGACTCATTTGAACTTTAATTGACCTTTGACATTGCTAACCTTCCATCCATTCATTCTTTTGTAAAGCTTTCTTGCCTTAATTTCTATGAGAAACCTTCAATTAGCTTCCTCTGCCAATTTTTTGTTAGGCTTCTTCCCAATTTTTTATTCATCCATTAACTTCAAAAGTGTACCTTTTCCTCTGCATACACTTTTCCCATGAAGTTCCATTAAATATTATTTTTCTTTTTTCAAATTTTATTTTTAAGAATACATAGTAGAGTATATATATCTATGGGGTATATGAAATACTTTTATACAGACATGACAATGCATACTAATCACTGGTTAATGGAGTAATAATCACTGGTAAATGATAAATAGGGTATCCATCCCCTCAAGCATTTATCCTTTGTGTTAAAGCAATTCAATTACACTCTCTTATTTTAAAATGTTCGATTAAATCAATAATTTAATTTAAATGCAATTTAATTATACATTTTAAAATAACTAAGAGAGTATAACTTAGTATGGCCACACTTTTGTGCTATCAAATACTAGGTCTTATTCATCATTTCTATTCCTTTGTACCCATTAACCACCCCTACTCCTCCATCACTCACATCCCTCCCCACCCCTACCCTGCACCCACCTACTCCCCTTTCCATTCTCTGTTAACCATCCTTCTAGTCTCTATCTCCATGAGTTCAATTGTTTTCAATTTTTAGCTCCCACAAATAAGTGAGAACATACAAAGTTTGTTTTTCTGTGCCTGACTTATTTCACTTAGCATAATGACGACCAGTTCCATCCATTCTGTTGCAAATGACAGGATCTCATTATTTTTTATGGTTGACTAGTACTCCATTGTGTATACATACCACATTTTCTTTATCCATTCATCTGTTGGTGGAAAATTAGGTTGCTTCCAAATCTTTGCTATTATGAACAGTGCTGCAACAAACATGGGAGTGCACATATCTCTTTGATATACTGTTTTCCCTTCCTTTGGATGTATACCAGGCCTCCATAGTAGCTGCTGTAGTAGCTCATGGTGTCAGGGACTAGAGATTAGGTTTGATGCTAAAGATGAGTTTAGCACCAGCAGTGGGATTTCTGTGTCATATGGTAGCTTCATTCTTTGTTTTTTGAGAAACCTCCAAACTGTTCTCCATAGTGGTTGTACTAATTTCCATCCCCACTAATAGCGAATGAGGATTCCAAAACATCTATTTGGTTCTTTTGTCCATTTCTAATCAGATTATTAGATTTTTTTTTTCCGTACAGATTTGTTTGAGCTCCTTATATATTCTGGTTATTAATCCCTTGTCAGATGCATAGTTTACAAATATTTTCTTCCATTCTGTGGGTTGTCTCTTCATTTTGTTGATTGCTTCCTTTGCTGTGCAGAAGCTTTTTAACGTGATGTAATCCTATGTGTCCATTTTTGCTTTGGTGGCCTGTGCTTGTGGAATCTTACTCAAGGAATTTTTGCTGAGACCAATGCCCTAGAGAGTTTCCCCAATGTTTTCTTATAGCAGTTTCATAGTTTACTTTTATTTAAGTCTTTAATTCATTTTGATTTGATTTTTGTATATGGGGAGAGATAGGGGACTAGTTTCATTCTTCTGCACATGAATGTACAGTTTTCCCAGCACTATTTATTGAAGAGACTGTCTTTTCCCATGTGTATGTTTTTGGCACTTTTGTCAAAAATGAGTAGGTGTCTGAACTTGTTTTTGGGTTCTCTCTTCTGTTCCGTTGGTCTATGTGTCTGTTTTTATTACAGTACCGTGCTGTTACTGGTTACTATCGCTCTGTAATATAATTTGAAGGTAATGTGATCCTTCGTTTTGTTCTTTTTCCTCAAGATAACTTTGGTTGTTCTGTGTCTTCTTTGGCTCCTTAAAAATTTTAGAATTTTTTTTTCTATTTCTGTTAAGAGTGTCTTTGGTATTTTAATAAGATTGCATTGAATCTTTAGAGCACTTTGGGTAGTATGAACATTTTAACAATATTGATCCAATCCATGAACATGGAATATTTTTTCCATTTTTTGTGTCCTCTTAATTTTTTCATCAGCATTTTATAGTTTCATTGTAGACGTTTTTTACTTATTTGGTTGCACTAATTTCTAAGTGTTTAAATTTACATGTCACTATTGTAAAAGGGATTACTTTTTAAATTTCTTTTTCACATTGTTCACTGTTGGCATATAGAAATGCTACTGATTTGTGTATGTTGATTTTATATCCTGCAAATTTACTGAATTGTTTATCAGTTCTAATAATTTTGACTGAATCTTTAGGTGTTTTTAAATGTCAAATTACATCATCTGCAAACAATGACATTTGACTTCTTCTTTTCTAATTTGGATGTACTTTATTTCATTCTCTTGTCTCACTGTTCTGTTTAGCACTTCCAGTACTATGAATAAATATGGTCAAAGTGGTCACCCTCCTCATGTTCCAGATATTAGAGAAAAAACTCTCAGTTCCTCCATCCCCCCTTTTTTTGTTTGAGATGGAGTTTGGCTCTTGTTGCCCAGGATGGAGTGCAATGGCGCGATCTCGGCTCACTGCAACCTCCACCCCCCGGGTTCAAGCGATTCTCCTGCCTCAGCCTCCCAAGTAGCTGGGATTACAGGCCTGCGCCATCACACCTGGCTAATTTTGGATTTTTAGTAGAGACAGGGTTTCTCCATGTTGGTCAGGCTGGTCTCCAACTCCCGACCTCAAGTGATCCATTCGCCTTGGCCTCTGAAAGTGCTAGGATTACAGGCATGAGCCACTGTGCCCGGCCCTCCATTTTTGTAATAAAGGAATGTTGTTATATCAAATGCTTTTTTTAGCATCAATTGAAATGATCATATGGTTTTTGTCCTTCATGCTGTTGATACAACACATCACACTGATTGATTTGTGTATACTGAACTGTCCTTGCATCCCTGGAATATATCCCACTTCGTCATGATGAATGATCTTTTTAATGTGTTCTTTGATATCATTTGTTAGTATTTTGTTGGGGATTTTTTCACCTATATTCATCAGAGACACTGGCCTGTACTTTTCTTTCTTCGATGTGTCTTTGTCTGGTGTTGATAACAGGGTAGTACTATCCCTGTAGAATGAATTTGGAAGTACTTCCTACTTCTCTATCTATTGGAATAGTTTAAGTAGGATTCATATTAATTCTCTTTAAATGCTTGGTAGAATTCAGCAGTGAAGCCATCGAGTCTCAGGCTTTTCTTTACTGGAAGACTAATTACTATGACTTTGATCTCATTACTTGTTATTGGTCTGTTCAGGTTTCAGAGTTCTTCATGGTTTAATCTTGATAGGTTTTATGTGTCCAGGAATGTGCCTATTTCCTCTAGATTTTCCAATTTATTGGCATATATTTGCTCATAGCAGCTATTAAAGATCCTTTGAATTTCTATAATATCAATTATAATGTCTTCTTTTTTATAACTGATTTTAGTTACTTAGATCTTCTCTCTTTTTTTCTTAGTCTGGCTATAGCTTGTCAATTTTGTTTATTCTAAAAGCAAACTTTCATTTCATCGATCTTTTGTATTGTTTTCTTCATTTCCATTTTATTTATTTTTCCTCTAATCTTTATTATTTTTTTTTCTTCTACTAATTTTGGGTTTGGTTTAGACTTGCTTTTCTAGTTCTTCAAAATGCATTGTTAGGTTAGTTATTTGAAAGTTTGATTCTTTTTTGATATAGGCAGTTAGAGCTGTAAATTTCCCTGTTAATACTGCTTTCACTTTATCCCACAGGTTTTGGTAAGCTGTGTTTTCGTTACCATTTATTTTCATAAGTTTTTCAATTTCCTCCTTAATTTCTTCATTGAACCACTGGTCATTTAGAAGCATATTGTGTAATTTCCATGTATTTGTATAGTTTTCAAAATTCCTCTTGTTATTGATTTCTAATTTTATTCCATTGCAGTCAGAGAAGATGCTTGATATTATTTCACATTTTTTGCATGTTTTAAGATTTGTTTTGTTATCTAACATATGGTCTATTCTTTAGAATGGTCCATGTGCTTAAGAGAAGAATGTGTATTCTGCAGCTGCTGGATCAAATGTTCTGTAAATATCAATTAGGTCCATTTGGTCTACAGTGCAGATTAGGTTCGATGTTTCTTTGTTGCTTTTCTGTACAGAAGATCTGTACAATGCTGAAATGCTTTTATTGAGGTCTATCTCTTGCTTTATCCCTAATAATATTTGGTTTATATATCTGTTTGCTCCTATTTTGGGTGTGTATATATTTATAATTGTTATACTCTCTTGCTGAATTGGCCCTTTACCATTATATAATGACCTTGTTTCGTCTTACAATTTTTATTTTAAGGTCTATTTGTCTGAACTAAGTATGGCTATTCCTGCTTCTTTTTTATTTCCTTTGGCATGGAACATCTTTTTCAATCCTTTTATTTTCTGTCTATGTGTATAATAATAGGTGAAGTGTGTTTCTTGTAGGTAATGGATCACTGGGTCTTATTTAGTTTATGCAGTCCTCCACTCAATGTCTTGTTATCAAAGAGCTTAGTTCATTTACATTCAATGTCACTATTGATGAGTAAGGTCTTACTTCTGTCATTTTGTTATTTGTTTTCTGATCTTCTCTTCCTTCTTACCTTCCTTCCCGTCTTATTTTTGGAGAAGGTGATTTTCCCTTGTGGTATGATTAAATTTATTGCTTTTTATTTTTTGTATATCTGTTGTATGCTTTTCTATTTGAGGTTACCATGATGCTTGTAAATACTATCTTATAACCCATTATTTTAAGTTGATGACAATGTAACATTGATTGCACACACAAGCAAAAAGAAAACAAATGAAAACCCTACACTGTGTCCCCTTCCTTTTTAACTTTTGTTGTTTCTCTTCATGTTTTAATACACTATATCTTATAATGTGTTTGTATTTGTTATGTACTATTTTTCATTATTTTAATTCACTTTTATTTTAGGTTCAGCAGTACATGTGCAGGTTGTTATATAGGTAAATTGCATGTCATGGGGGTTTAATGTATAGATTATTTCATCACTCAGGTAATAAGCATAGTACCCAATAGTTTTTTGATCCTTACCCTCCTCCCATCACCCACCCTCAGGTAGGTCCCAGTGTCTATTGTTTCCTTCCTTGTGTCCATATGTACTCAATAATTAGCTTCCACTTTTAGCCAAGAAAGTATGGTATTTGGTTTCTCTGTTCCTCTGTTATTTTGCTTAGGATGATGGCCTCCAGCTCCATACATAATGTTGCAAAGGACATATCCATTTCTTTGTTATGGCTGTGTAGCATTCCACGGTGTATATGTACCATATTTTCTTTATCCAGCCTACTGTGGATGGGCATTTGGGTTGAATCTATGTCTTTGCTGTTGTGAATAGCTCCAATGAACATACACATGCATATATCTTTATGACGGAATAATTTATATTCCTTTGGCTATATGCTCAATAATAAGATTGCTAGGTCAAATGGTAATTCTGTTTTAAATTTTTTTCACTGCCAAGCTGCTTTCCACAACAGGTGAACTAATTTACATTCCAACCAGCAGTGTATAAGTGTTCCTTTTTCTCTGCAACCTCACCAGCGTCTGTTATTTTTTGACTTTTCAGTAATAGCCATTCTGACTAGTATGAGATGGTGTCTCATTGTGTTTTTGATTTGCATTTCTCTGGTAACTAGTGATGTTGAGCATTTTTCCATATGCTTGTTGGTTGAATGTATGTCTTATTTTGAAAAGTGTCTATTCATGTCCTTTACCCACTTTTTAATGGTGTTGTGTTTTGCTTGTGAATTTAAATTATTTATAGATTTTGAATATTAGATCTTTGTCAGATGCATAGTTTGCAAACAATGTCTCTGGTTCTGTAGGTTGTCTGTTACTGTTTTGATAGCTTTCTTTTGCTGTGTAGATGCTCTGTAATTTAATTAGGTCCCGTTTGTCAATTTTTTGGGGGGTGGGGTGGGAAATTGCTTTTGACGCCTTCATCAAGAAATATTTGCCCAGTCCAATATCCAGAATGGTATTTCCTAGGTTATCATCCAAAGTTTTATAGTTTCAGGTCTTACATTTAAGTCTTTACCTTGACTTGATTTTTGTATATGGTGTAAGGAAAGGGTTTATTTCCAGCCATCTGCATATACTTAGCAAGTTATCCCAGAGCCATTTATTGAAGAGGGAGTCCCTTCCCTCATTTTTGGTTTTTGGTGACTGTCAAAGATCAGATGACTGTAGGTGTGTGGCATTATTTCTAGGCTCTCTATTCTGTTTCATTGGTCTATGTGTCTGGTTTCTTTATGTACTCCATGCTGTTTTGTTACTGTAGCCTTATAATATAATTTGAAGTCTGGTAAATGGGATGCCTCCAGCTTTGTTCTTGCTCAGGATTGCTTTGTCCATTTGAACTCCTTTTTAGTTCCATATGAATTTTAAAATAGTTTGTTCTAATTCTGTGAGGAATGTCATTGGTGGTTTTCTGATAAGATTAACATTGAATCTGTAAATTGCTTGGGCAGTATGGCCATTTTAACAATATTGATTCTTCCTGTTCATGAACACGGAATATTTTTCCATTTGTATGTGTCATCTCTGATTTATTTGAGCAGTGTTTTGTAATTCTCATTGTAGAGATCTGTCACCTCCCTGGTTAGGTGTATTCCTAGATATTTTATTCTTTTTGTGGCTATTATGAATGCAATGGCATTTCTGATTTGGCTCTCAGCTTGGAGGTTGTTTTTGTATAGTAATGCTACTGAATTTTGTACATTCATTTTGTATCCTGAAACTTTGTGGAAATTGTTTAAAGGATCTTGGAGCTTTTGGGCAGAGACTATGGAGTTTTCTAGGTATAGAATCATATTGTATCCAAAAAGGGGTAGTTTGACTTCCTGTCTTCCTATTTGCATGACTTTCATTTCTTTCTCTTGCCTGATTGCTCTGGCCGGGACTTCCACTTCTATATTGAATAGGAGTGGTGAGAGAGGGCATCCTTATCTTGTTCTGGTTTTCAAGGGGACTACTTTCAAGTTTTACTCATTTAGTACAATGTTGGTACTTTGTAGGTTTGTCATAGATGGCTCTTATTATTGTGAGCTATGTTCCTTTAATCCCTAGTTTGTTGAGGATTTTAACATGAAAGGATATTGACTTTATCAAAAGTCATTACTACATCTATTGAAATAATCATGTGGTTTTTTTTTTAGTACTGTTTGTGTGACTATTTACATTTATTAATTTTTATATGTTGAACCAACTGCACTGCAGGGATAAAACCTACTTGATTGTGGCAGATTAACTTTTTGATGTGCTGTTGGAGTTGGTATGCTAGTATTTTGCTAAAATTTTTTGCATGTATGTTCATCAAGGATATTGCCTTGAAGTTTTCTTTTTTCATTGTATCTCTGCCAGATTTTGGTGTCAAGATGATGCTAGCTTTATACAATGAGTTAGGGAGGCATCTTTATTCCTCAGTTTTTTGGAATAATTTCATTACAAATGGTATCAGCTCTTCCTTATACATCTGGTAGAATTCAGATGTGACTCTGTTTGGTCCTTGGCTTTTTCTGGTTGGCAGGCTTTGTGTTACTCATTTAATTTCAGAAGTTATTATTGGTCTGTTCAGGGATTCAATTTCATCCTGGTTCCATCTTGGGAGGTTATATGTATCCAGAAACTTATTCATTTCTTCTAAGTTTTCTCTCTTGTGTGCATAGAGGTGTTTGTAGCAGTCTCTGAGCATTCTTTTTTACCGTGGGGTCATTGGTAATGTCCCCTTTGTCATTGCTGATTGTGTTTATGTGGATCTTCTCTCTTTTTATATTTACTAGCCTAGCTAGTGGTCTATCTAGTTAATTTTTTTTTCTAAAAACCAACTCCTGGCTTTGTTGAGCTTTTGTACTTTTTGGCACCTAAATTTCCTTCAGTTCAGCCTGCATTTTGGTTACTTCTTGTCTTCTGCTAGCATTGGGGTTGAATTGCTCTTGTTTCCCTAGTTCCTCTAGTTGTAATATTAAGTTGTTAATTTGAGATCTTTTAACTTTTTGATGTGAGTGTTTAGTGCTATAAACATTCCTCTTAACATTGACTTAGCTGTGTCCCAGATATTCTAGTATATTGTATCTTTCTTCTGATTCATTTCAAATAATTTATTGATTTAGGCCTTAATTTTATTATTTACCCAAAAGTCATTCAGGAATATGTTCTTAAATGTTTTGTAATTATATGGCTTTGAGCAATTTTCTTAGTATTAATTTCCATTTTTATTGTATTGTGGTCTGAGAGCATGGTTGATGTTAATCTGGTTTTTATAAATTGGCTGACAATTCTTTTATGTCCAAGTGTGTGGTTGATTATTGAGTATGTATCATGTGCAGATCAGAAGAAAATGTGTTCTGGTCTTTTTGGATATAGTGTTCTATAGATGTTTGTTAGGTCCATTTGGTCAAGTGTCAAATTCAGGTCCTGAATATCTTTGTTAATTTTCCACTTCAATGATCTGTCTAACACTGTCAGTCAGGACAATCTCTCACTATTATTCTCTGGCTAAGTCTCTTCCGAAGTCTCTAAGAAATTCCTTTATAAATCTGGATGCTTCCAGGTTGGATGCATATTATTTATGATAGTTATATATTCTTGTTAAATTGAACCCTTCACCATTATGAAATCCTTTTTTGTTTTCTTTGAACTTTATTGGTTTAAAGTCTGTTTTGTCTCAACTTAGAATGACAACTCATGCTTTTTTCTGTTTTTTATTTGCTTGATAGTTTTTTTCTGTATTCCTTTACTTTGAGCTTATGGGTGTCATTGAATGTGAGATGGGTCTCTTGAAGACAACATATCATTGGATCTTGCTTCTTTATCAGACTTTCCACTCAGCCTTATAACTGTGGCATTTGGCCCACTTACATTCAAGGTTAGTATTGATATCTATGAATTTGATCCTGCATCGTGTTGTTAGCTGGTTATTAAGCAGACTTGTTTGTGTGGTTGCTTTATAATGTCACTTGTCTATGTACTTAAGTGTGTTTTTGTATTGGCTGGTAATGGTTTTTGCTTTCCATATTTAGTGCTCCTTTCAGGAACTCTTATAAGGCAGATCTGGTGGTAATGAATTCTCTCAGGATTTGCTTGTTTGGAAAGGATTTTATTTGTCCTTTAATTAAGAATGTTAGTTTTGCTGGATATGAAACTACCAGTAGGAGGGTTTTGTTTTTTTTTCTTTAAGAATGGTAAATATAGGCTGGGTGCGGTGGTTCATACCTGTAATCCCAGCATTTTGGGAGGCCGAGGCAGGTGGATCATGAGGTCAGGAGATCGAGACCATCCTGGCTAACACAGTGAAACCCTGTCTCTACTAAAAATACAAAAAATTAGGTGGGCATGGTGGCGGGCATCTGTAGTCCCAGCTACTCGGGAGGCTGAGGCAGGAGAATTGCTTGAAACCAGGAGGTGGAGGTTGCAGTGAGCTGAGATCATGCCACTGCACTCCAGCCTTGGCAACAAGAGTGAGACTCCGAAAAAAAAAATGGTAAATATTGGTAAATATAGTTCCTAATTCTCTTCTTGCTTATAATGTTTCCCTGGAAAGGTCTGCTGTTAGCCTGATAGAGTTCCCTTTATAGGTTACTTGCTCCTTCCCTCTAGTTGCCTTTAAACTTTTTTCTTTCATTTTGACAATGAAGAATCTGATGATTATGTGTCTTGGGTCTTATTGTGTAGTATTTTGCAAGGGTTCTCTGCATTTCCTGAATATTAGTGTTTGCCTCTCTAGTGAGGTTGGCAAAATCTTCATGGACAATTTCCTGAAATATGTTTTCCAGGTTGTTTGCCTTATCTCCCTGTCTTTCAAGTTTGCCAACATGTCACAGTTGTGATATCTTTACATAATTCCGTATGTTTTGGAGTTGTTCTCCATTTTCCTTTATCATTTTTTCTTTACTTTTGTCTGACTGATTTGACTCAAAGAAAATTTTCTTACTCTGAAATTCCTTCCTCAGCTTGGTTTATTCTTCTGTTAATACTTGTGACTATATTCTGATATTCTTGAAATAAGTTTTTCAGCTCTATCGGCTCACTTTGGTCCTTCTGTAAAATGGCCATTTGTCTTTTGTCCCATATATCATTTTACTGTATTCCTTAGAATCCTTGGAATGGGTTTCAACTCATTTAAAGTGTCAATCGTCTTCATTCCTATCCATATTCTAAATTTTATTTCTGACATTTCAGTCATTTCAGCCTGAATCATTTCTTGGGAACTGGTGCAGCTGTTTGGAAGTAAGAAGGCACTCTTGCTTTCTTGAGTTGCCAGAGTTCTTGCACTGTTTCTCATCTGTGTGGGCTGATGTTTCTTCAATCCTTGAAGTTGCTGTCCTTTGAATGTGTGTGTGTGTGTGTGTGTGTGTGTGTGTGTGTGTGTGTGTGTGTGTGTGTGTGTTGCTTTTACCTTCTTTGGTATTCTTGGGGGTTTTGTGATGGTATAAGGTGTGTTCAATCAACTGACTTTGTTTCTGTTAGATTTCTGTGGAATCAAGGCTCGGCTCAGCACTCCTGGACTGTGTGCTCTAAATATGGGAGGCTGGTATTTGGGCTTCTGGCTATGTTCTCTGGCCTCTTGAGGTTAGGAACCTGTTGCATTGGAGGGGCCAAGCTCTTCCCAGACCTCTGGACAGAACATTCCAAAGAGTGGTGCCAGCCAAAGCACTTCATCAGGCAGTAACAGTGGGATCCATGCTCATGCATGTGCCAACAGCAGCAGCAGCATAGCAACATGCATGTTCCTCTGCTAGGGTGGGATTCTGGCAAAAGGAAGTGATAGTGTTTGTAACAGAATACTGACAAATCAAATAGTAAAAGTTTAAATAAGAAAATAAGGAACTGATGACAATTTTATTTTTAAAAAATTGGATTAATTATATTACCACTAAAATTACTATCTAAATCTTCCTAAATATCTAAAGAAATTTATAAAATATTGATTAAAGAAAACACAATGTGTAGAGAAAGAAGCATGGCAAATATAACAATGCACATGATCATTACAACATAAAATAATTTCTCAGAGATGACACCAAACAAAATAGCAGGTCATTAAATGTGAACAAGCTTAACTTACCTATTAAAATACAATGATTATTAATTGGACTCACCAAGAAAGAATCACTATGTTCAAGAGAAACATTGAAAACAAAGTGATTAAGAAAGTCTAAGAATAAAAGTATATGCAAATTAAATACAAAATGAGATACCATAATATTTCTATTAGGATGGCTAAATTTTTTTAAACTAAGTGTAATGATTGATTAAGAAAGTCTAAGAATAAAAGTATATGCAAATTAAATATAAAATGAGATACCATATTATTTCCATTAGAATGGATAAAAATTTTAAAACGAACTGTACCGATAGCTAGCAAGTATGCAAAGCAACAGGAACTCTCATTTATTGCTAGCAAAAATGCAAAATGACCCAGCCACTTTGAAAGACAGTTTGGCAGTTTCTTAAAAAGCTAAACATATTCTTACCCTATAATCCAGCAGTTGCACTCCTTAATATTTACCCAACTGATTTGAAAACTGCCTACTCAAAAACCTGCATGTGAATATTTATAGCAGTTTTATTTATACTTACAACACCTAGAAACAATGTTATTCAATAGTTGAGTAGATAATAAACTGTAGTATACCCATATTATGTATTCAATAATAAAATATTTGAGCTATCAAAATGGAAAGACATCATTAAATCTTAAATGCATATTACTAAGTGAAAGAAGTCATCTGGAAAGGCAACCTACTGTATGTAATTCTAATTATGTGACATTCTGGAAAAGGCAAATTATTGTAGTTGATGAAGTTAACACACATAAGATACATAATATACATATATATGAAAGTGTGGGTTGACAATTCTGATAATTCTTTGAAAAGAAGCAAAGAAAAACCATAAGAAATACTTGAGCCAAAAAAGCCCACATGCCTCAGTGGTTTCAAAGATTATTCTGCAAAAACTTCAGACATAATCCTTATGTGACATACATTGTTACAGAGCATTGAAAATGAATGACACCTCTATTACTTTCTATGAAATTAGAATACCATTTATCTAAACTAGCTAAGGATAGCACACACATAAAAAGAAACTTACAGGTCAGTATTACTTAAAAATATGTATGCGAAAATACTAAATAAGACATTAGCAAATAGAATCAAATGCAATGATAAAAAAATACATGAGGAAATGGGACTTATTTTAAAAAGACAAGTATCAATATTAGGGTGTTAATTAATGTAATGCATCATATTAACAGATTAAAGAAAAAGTCATGTTACCATTTCTATAAATGCTGAATAATTTTTCACAAATTTGAAAACTCATTCTGGATAGAAACTCTTAAGAATATAGAAATTGATACATAATTTCTTAACATAATAAAATTGCCTTAAAACCAGCATCTTAGTTAACTGTGAACCTCTAGAGACATTTCCACAAAAATCAGGAGAAAGGGAAGGGTATTTATTATATTCACTAGTATTAAACTTTGTTCTATAGATATTAGCTAATGCAGTTGGGCAAGAAATATCAGATAAATGAGAATTGGAAAAGAATAAAAAGAAGTAAAATTACCTCTGTTTGCAGCCAACATGACAGCATACCTGGAAAATCTCTTGAGAATCAATGGTAAGCCAAACTCAAAAATTAGAATAATTCATTAAGCCACATGACATGAAATTACCATAGAAAAAAGCAACCATTTTTATCTACACAAAGAAGTCAAAGATGTCAGGATACATAAACCACTGTTTACAAAAGTAACAAGTAATATCAAATACTTCAGAATATACTTTACAAAAAATATGAAAAATCTCTATTAGATGTCTTAACTCCTGAAAGACTTAAAAGTAGGCTTGAATAAATTGAAGAAAATATTCTGTCTTCATGAAACGTATGATGCAATATCTTAAGAATGTACGTTTTCCCCAAGTTAATTTATAAATTCAATTCAATGTCAATAAAATCACTTCTCTTTCTTATTTTTTAATGATATAGATAAATTGATACCAAAGTTCATGTGGAAGAATACATACACAAGAACAGCCAAGAAAATGTTAATTTTAAAAGGCTCCAAAGAAACTCTAGTCCTACCAGATATTAAACTATAATATAGGCCTCTATAATTAAAGTAATGTGGTAGAGATGCATGAACAAAAAGACAAGGAATAAAAGAAAATTGAGATATAGAGCCAAATAATATGAAAATATAATGTATACAAATTAGGCACCTCAAATCATTTGGGTAAAAATGGACTTCTTAAAAAGTAATGTCTGGGTAATTAGCCACTTTTTTTTTTGTTTTTTGTTTTTTGTTTTTGTTTGTTTGTTTGTTTTGAGATGGCTCCGTGGCCCAGGCTGGAGTGCAGTGGCTCCATCTCAGCTCACTGCAGCCTCCACCTCCTGTGTTCAAAGGATTCTCATGCCTTAGCCTCCCAGTTAGCTGGGACTGCAGATGTCCACCACCACACCTGGCTAATTTTTGTATTTTTAGTAGAGATAGGAGTTCGCCATGTTGGCCAGGCTTGTCTTGAACTCCTGACCTCAGGCGATCCTCTGGGATTACAGGTATGAGCCGTCACTCCCGGCCTACACAGCCACTTTTAAAACATTAAAAAGACAAAGTAGATCCTACCTCCCCATGACCAATATGTAACCATCTCCAATTCCATCAGAGTTCAAAATGTAAAAATAGAAACCACACAGTACTAAGAGAGAACACAGGTGAATTCCTGTACAAACTGAGTTTACAGTAAAAGGCTTTCTGAAACTGACTAAAAAACCAGAGGCAATAAATACAATACTTGATAAATTTGAGTTTAAATTGGAATTGTCTATTGAAATTTGTACGTAAATGTATGTGTATTGTGTCTGTGTACATGGTGTCCATTCCTATAACTATACCTATATATATTGATTGGCAAAAACACCATAAGGAAAGCGAAAAATAAAAAATGACAAGCAGACAAGAATAAATACATGCAACATATGTCACAGGTAAATGGGATCATATTATTGATATATAATAAGCATTGAGTATTGAAGTAAAAATGGGAAAAATATGAACAGATAATTCAACCAGAAGATATAACATGACCATTAGGCATAACAAATGATGTTCAACCTCACTTGTAATATGAGAAATACAAATTAAAACTAATTTATGAACCATTTCTCACCTGTCAGATTGGGAAAAAAATAGAAATATGACAATGCATTTTATCGGCAAGGCTATTGAGAAATAGTCATTCGTATACATTGCGGATGGGAATGCAAATTGGTAAAGTCCAGCTGGAGCGGGTGATAGGGAGAATAATGGCCCCGTTGAATGTCCAGATGTCAGACCTCATCATTTCCAAGTTTGTGAGCTTACATAGCCAAAGAGACTTTGAGGATGTGATTATGGTTATGAAACTTCAGATGGGGAAATTTTTCTAGTTCTCCAGGCAGGCCTGGTCTTATCACAGACAGAGTCTTTCAAAGCAGGGGAACTTTCTCTGATGTGGAGAACCGTAAAGATGGCAGCATGAGAAGGACTTCATATACCATTGCTGCTTTGAAGGGTGCCGTGGGCCACAAAATGTGGGCAGTCTCAAAGCAGGAAAAGGCATGGGAATAGAAAGAGATGCAGCCATACCAACTCTGTGCTGGGCATCTGACCTACACAACTGTGAGATAATAAATATGCGCTATTTAAGCTACCAGGGGTATGGTAATATATTACAGCCAGAGTAGAACACTAATACATAAGAGAAGCTGGAAATCACTACTAACACATAAACTTGCAAATCAACAATGCTTCTTTGGGAATTTACTCTGAAGTTACACCTTTAGCAATACACATATATGAATGTACAAGTTGAGTCATTACACCATCACTTGTAATTGCAAATAGTGAAGAAATGTAGGTGCCCATGCATAAGAGAATGGGTAAATTCACTCCAGTGTATAGAAAAAATAGAGAATTATCCAACTTTAAACATTTAAAAATGTAAATAGAGAACATGTCTCGAAACTAATATGGGATGATTTCCAGGGCACATTGTTAAGTGATAAAAGAGCAAAGTACAATAAAATATCTATAGTATGCTACCTTTTGTGTAAGAAACATAAAGAGGAAAACATGCATTTATCAAATAATTTGTATGGAGAAAAAAGGAAGGGTAAACCACAAGCCAATCTGATTTGTCACCTGCAGAGGAAGATTAAGGCAAAAACTGAAAGGACAGGAGGATGGCAATGGGGTAGAAGGAATAAATTCTAAGCTCTATTATGATAGATTTTTATTTTTGCTTTTCTTGAAATATATTTATATAATCATATAATGGATACTCTTTTCTGTATTGCTTATTTAGTTTCTGTATTGCTTATTTAGTTCAATATTAAGTCTATGAGTTTCTCCCACATCGTTGAGGACAGCAGTACTTTGTTACTTACCATTGCTATGTAGGAATATACCACCAAAATATTATTCATTTTGCAATATCCATTGTGGAAATTTAGCTTCTTTTCAGATTGAGGCTATTGAATAAAACTACAATGAATATTCTAACATTTTTTTTTGGTGGGCATATGCACTCATTTCTGTTGGATACATTCCCAGGAATGGAATTGGCTGTGTCATAGAAAATATATATGCTAAGCTTTAATAGACATGGCTAGTTTACTTTTCTTTTCTTTTCTTTTTTTTTTTTTTTTTTTGAGACCAAGTCTTGCTCTGTCGCCCAGGCTGGAATTCAGTGGCACAATCTCAGCTCTCTGCAACCTCCGCCTCCCAGGTTCTAAGCGATTCTCCTGCCTCAGCCTCCTGAGTAGCTGGGACTGTAGGTGTGTGTCGTTACACCTGGCTAATTTTGTATTTTTAGTAGAAATGGGGTTTCACCATGTTGGCCAGGCTGGTGTCGAATTCCTGACCTCAGGTGATCCGCCTGCCTTGGCCTCCCAAAGTGCTGGTATCACAGGCGTGAGCCACTGCACCAGGGGCATGGCCAGTTTTCTAAAGGGCTTATACTAATTCATTTTCTCAGTGGTAATGTGCAAAAGTTCCTGATATTCTATATCCCGGCCTACATAAACAAAATGTTGTAAGTCCTTTTAATAATGACTTTCTGGTGAGTGCATATTACTATTTCTCACTCAAAATTTAATGTTCATGTCTCTGATGACAAATGGTACTGAACTCCTTCATACATGCTAATTAGACATTTGGATATCTTTTACGAATTGGCTAATTAAGCCTTTTGCAAATTCTAAAAATTGTTTTGTTAGATTTTTTCTTATTAAATTTATAGCATATCTAAATAAGTAATGTGTGCCAGGTCCACATAACTGTGTGCTAATTGTCTTTTTTCTGTCTGTGGTCTTTTCCATTTTTTAATTGTGCCTTTTGGTAAATAGGAATTTAGAAGTTCTTAATATTTTCTTCATCAGGACTGTATTGGTTATTGCAGGTTCTTAATATTTCTGTATAAATTTTAGATCAACTTGTTAAGTTTATATGGTTTGGCTCTAGGTCCCCACACAAATCTTATCTTGAATTGTAATCCCTGTGTGTCAGGGTAGGGAACTGGTGGGAGGTGATTGGCTCATGGTTGCGGATTTCCCCCATGCTGCTTTCATGATAATGAGTGAGCTCATTAAAATTGTGGCACTTTCATCCTCGCTCTCCCTCTCCTGCCGCCATGTAAGACATGCCTTGCTTCCCCTTTGCCTTCCGCCATGGTTATAAGTTTCCTGAGGCCTCCACAGCCATGTGGAACTGTAAGTCAATTAAATCTCTTTTCTTTTTAAATTACCCAGTCTCATTATTTTGGATCTTTAAGATTTAATGACTGCCCTGTTGGGTTTTAAACTTACATGGTGCCTGTAGCCCTTTTCTTTTGGATGATTTCTCCCTTTTTGGAATGGGAGTATTTACCCATTGCCTATACCCTCATTGTTTCTTGGAAGTAACTAATTTGTTTTTGAGTTTACAGGCTCATAGGTGGAAGAGACTAGCCTTGTCTCAAATGAGATTTTGGACTGAGAACTTTTGAGTTAATGCTGGAATGAGTTAAGATTTTGGGGGATGTTGAGAAGAAATCATTGTATTTTGCAATGTGAGAAGGGCATGAGATTTGGGAGGGGCAGGGGGCAGAATGATATTCTTTGGATTAGTGTCCCCATCCAAATCTCATGTCGAATTGTAATCCCCAGTGCTGGAGGTGGGGCCTGGTGGGAGATGATTAGCTCATGGGGGCAGTTTCTTATGGTTTAACACTGTCCGCCTTGGTGCTGTCATGACAGTGAGTGAGTTCCCATGAGATCTGGTTGTTTAAAAGTGTATAGCACCTCCACTTTCTCTCTCTTCTTCCTGCTCCACCATGATTTCTTGTTTGCCCTTCACCTTCCACCTGCTTCCCCTTCCTCTTCCACCATTATTGTAAGTTTCCTGAGGCCTTCCCTGGAGACCAGTAGATGGCCTGCATCATTCTTCCTGTACAGCCAGAGGAATCATGAGCCAATTAAACTTCTTTTCTTTATAAATTACCCAGTCTCAGGTATTTCTTTATAGAAATGGAAGAATGAACTAATACAGCTAACCTTAAAAAAAAAGTACAGAAGAGTCTTAGTGTTTTATCTTATCTTATTCTCTGAAAGAGAAACTGTTCAGAATTAACTGGTGAAATCATCTAGTCTTAAATTTGCATATTTGTCAAAATGGATTCATGAATTCCACTTCTTTATGACATATAGAAATATTCAGGTTCGTATTTCTTCTTGGGTCCACTTTTTATACATTTAATTTAATCAGATAATATGTATTTGAAGATGGAATAAATTGGCCCGAGCTTTGTTTTATAGCTTTTTTTCTATGCAATTTTTTAAACATACACAAAAGAAGAAAGAATAACTATTACACCAGCCACCATATTCCCATCTCCTAGATAAAGCTATTGTTAATACTTTGATATAATTCCTTCACACTGTTGTTCTCCAATGTTATAATCTATGTGCAAGCTAAAACCTTTTCTTATTATATTGCTCTGAAATTATCAAGATATTCTCCAAGAAATAGTGAATTAAAAGATTAAGCAGAAGTTTATCACCACAGAAGCATCTTTAACCTTTTGGTGTAGAATTCCTGTTTGCCTGGACAAGAAAATATAGATATTGAGAATGTTAAAGATGAGGAGGAGGAAGAAGACAAAGGAGAAGGGGATAAAGAAAAGAAGATAAAGGAGAGGAAAGGGATGGAAAGGGAGGAAGAAGGTTTAAGGGACAGGAAGAATGACGAGGAGGAGGAGGGTGAAGAAATAATCGTGACATATAACGTATTGGTAATTTTTTTATCTATAAGAAGAAAATATCACCATGGTTGATTATATTAATGCATCACAGCACATTTATTGTGATAAAAATTTGAGGCTCAAAACACATTTACCACATGAGAAAAAGTTCATGGTTAGATATCAGATATTGAAAGACAATCTTTCTTAGAGTATAATGGCTCTCCAGCCAATAAAAAAGTGAATATCTGGAGAACATCACTAATCAAATGCCAATATCTAGTTGATCAAGTTTTCTTCACACTATTGTCAAAAGGCAGGTGATCCAAGCAGCTGTTTTGTTATGGAATATGGAATTCCATATGGTTATGGAATAAAGTTTCTTGGAAGAATTGGGAATCTCACAGAAGACTATATTTCAAGTATTTATTCAATAGAATCCAGAAGACCAGTATCCCCCATAGCATGATGGGTGGCAGCAGCTGTATCTGTAGCCTCCATAGCCACAGCCATAGCCCAGTCTGCGGAAGCTGCCACATCCACAGCTATAGCCATAGCCCAGGCCACCGAATCCTCCACAGCCGTAGCCTAGGCCTCCATAGTAGCTGCCGGAGTAGCTCATGTTGTCAGAAGTGGTTAGCTGTTGTAGGTCAGTTTGGTGACTGTGACTGGACAGGAACATTTATATATACTCTGATGCATGTGGAAAGCCACACCTTTAAATGTCATCCCTTAGAACGTGTTACCTGAAAACTATGCCAACTATCTTGTTTTGTAACACCCATCCCACTCTCTTCCTTGTTTATGAAGCTAGTTATTTAGAAATTATACAACATGTTTTATTTTCTGCTTTATTTGGATTTCTAGATAAGTGTTTTGCCTCTAATAAAATGTAGTTGCATTTATATTCACTGTACATGTATGAGTTTCTGAGTTTCAAATGCCATAAACAAATCTCTATAGCTTCAAGTATTCTTCAAATTGCATCTCATGCAATTACATTTATCCTCTGATTGCACTCTTTCCTTTGACAGTCCATGGCTGCTGAGCCTTTTCTAAGCCAAGGATGTTATCTTTATTCTGCCAAGAATTCACAAAAATTGAAACATTATTGTTCTCTGAAATGGCAATCAACTATGATGTATGTCTTTATACAATGTGCTTTTAAAGTCAGCTGGGAACCACATTTTATAGTGGAATGATGATATTTAATTTTTAAAAGAGTCACAAATTAATGTCAAAGGAATTTCTCAAATATTATGCTTCATGTAGAGCCAGCCTGCTTAGTAGATACCATTAAAGTGTGCATAAAGTCCCTGCCAATCCCTTATGAATAGTTTCCTCTCCCCAAATTTAATCTTAGTCTAGATTCTAAATTTCGTACTATCATAGGATCATATAATTATAGAATTAAAGAGACTTGAGTCATCATTTATTTCAGTGTTCTTGTTACTGATGAGAAAAATGGATTCAGAGAGACAAGCAGAGTTACGCAACAGTGAAACTTAGTGGCAGATTAGGACTAAAACCTAAGTACTTTGATTATTGGCCTTAGTTCAGCAGATGCATTTGAAATCAAAGATTGCAGGTTAGGGTATATCTTCTCCCACAATGCCCAGCTGCCTTATATTTTTGTTTCATATCATCAATATAAATAAAAGCAAATGACATGAAACCAGTAAGCATATATGCTCAGCTACTCCTGCTATATATATATATATATGTATATATATATATATACATGTATGTATGTATATATACACTTTAAGTACTGAGGTAAATGTGCAAAACGCGCAGGTTTGTTACATAGGTATACATGTGCCATGGTGGTTTGCTGCACCCATCGACCCATCGTCTATGTTAGGTATTTCTCCTAATGCTGTCCCTCCCCTAGTCCCCCACCCCCTGACAGGCCCTGGTGTGTGATGTTCCCCTCCCTGTGTCCATGTGTTCTCATTGATTAACTCCCACTTATGAGTGAGAACATGTGGTGTTTGCTTTTCTGTTCTTGTGTTAGTTTGCTGAGAATGGTGGTTCCAGCTTCATCCATGTCCCTGCAAAGGACATGAACTCATCCTTTTTTATGGCTGCAGAGTATTCCATGGTATATATGTGCCACATTTTCTTTATCCAGGAACCTCAAAGAATACAGGTTATTTTTGAACTTCATTTATACTGATTAAACTTATTTCCTTTACCAGTTTATTAAAAGTGCTACATAACTAGGTACTTAACATATTTCCATCCTGAGGGAACTTTGCAAACTACAAGTTGAAGGGAATTATTAATGGTAAAGAATTGCTGTATTTGAATTTGCTTCAGTTAAGAAAATGTAGGTTCAATATAATTTTAGGTAATTTTTTAAAAAGACTATTATCTTTAGCACTTGTCACAATCCAGATAAAACCAGATATATTTGCTTGGTAGGGAAAATATTATTATCAGGAATAGAAGATCCCAGAACCTCCAATCTAGGAATTATTTTCTAGGGTCCTCTGCTTTATTTGATTCCTAAAAGTGAAGCTAACACGTATGTGAACTTTGCCTGTCCACGAAGCATCAAGTCATCTGCCTCTTCTCATTCTCAGCTCACACGACCTCCCACTTGGCACTGATAGGACTAGACTGACCCCAGTCACCCTATGACTCACGCTGGTTTCTGTAGAGAAGAAACGCTTTACCGTCTTTTATCTTTCTGAGATACTAGTGCATTCACATTTTAAGATTTTACCAAATATCAATATTAGGAACTTCTCTTATTCTTAAAACAATTCTTTATTTTTTTCTTTAATGAGCATGTATTTTACAAAATATATTCACATAAAAGTCAACATTATTATTCTGTGGTTGTGAAACTACTGTGGAACAATCAAACCATCAAACGGAAACTTCATGAGGTAAGGAAAAAGACCCAATTCCCTCGTCATGTCTTTTAACTCAATAGACTGTGGACATCAGACACTTTAATGAGGTCATGATACGTAGACTTTTCTTTCCTCATTATTGTACCCCCAATAATTGCAAAATGAGTGAAATAACCATCTAAAACCATCTAAAAGCTAGCACAGAGTATTTTCACTGGCAATCCAGAAAAAAACACATTTTTATGGATGATTCTTCCTGGAGAGTACACATGTAAATGATACATTAATTGGCAAAAAGCCAAATAAGATGATAGATTTTTTGTCTACACAATTTGTACTTTTATTTTAAAAGTAAACAAAGATAACAGATAATACTTACTGAGAGATTCATATGGGCCAGGCAGCCCATATGAACACATATGACACCTTCCATATGTGTTATATTTAGTATAACGTATATTCAAGAGGTGTGTAGTAAAATTGTCTATCAAGGTGTTTGTTTAGTATACTAATATCTAAAATATACCTCTCCTTATGTTAATTAATTGCTCCTTGTATTCTCTTGACCAGTTTCCTAAATAGTTGCTAGTAATATTAAAGGTTCAAAAAAAGACACTGAAAAGTATTTATCTTGCTGGGTGCGGTGGCTCACGTCTGTAATCCCAGCACTTTGGGAGGCCGAGGCGGGTAGATCACCTGAGGTCAGGAGTTAGAGACCAGACTGGCCAACATCGCGAAACCCCGTCTCTACTTAAAAAAAGTAGAAAAATTAGCCAGGCCTGGTGGCACCCACCTGTAATCCCAGCTACTTGGGAGGCTGAGGCAGGAGAATAGCTTGAACCTGGGAGGCGGAGGCTGCAGTGAGCCAAGATCATGCCACTGCACTCCAGCCTGGGCGACAAGAGCGAAAAAAAAAAAGTATTTATCTGATATTGCAAAGATTGTGTGAAATATGGATTAAACAATGAGAAGAGTCGATGCTGTTTTAAGCTCTAGAGATGATAAGATGTGTAAAAATTATGAACAATGCCACATTGTTATAGAAAAATACCTGACAAAATGGTCCAAGAGCTGCTTCATAGTTTCACATTGTTTCTTTATTGCCATATACAATATCCAATAACATGTTTATTTTTGTGAATAAAATATGTTTCTATCCTTATCTAATCATTGCTGATGATTCAGGGTACGGTAGGGAAGCTCTGTTTACCCAAGAAAGAATCAGAGTCTTTATAAAATGGAATTATTAAAGCCAAACACATTAAATTTCTATAAAGATTTTGTAAATATCTAATATCTAATCTGCAGATAATTTTCTTGACACAATTCCAATTTTGATAATAATTGAAAAGGATAAAGACATGTCTTTTTATTACTAAATAGCTCTGTAAACATTTTGCTATAGGAAAATTAAATCATATTTTTATTCTTATATTGTGTAAGCTGATCGCTTCAGTTTAAGAGTCCTGTTAAATGTTTATATTCTTACTCTCACAGGTCTTACCATCACTGTGAAAATCATGCATATAATTTGCTAATGAATACTGAAATAAGGGCAAAAATTTCCACAATTGACACTGTTATTAATCATTTATCTGTAGAGTATGTCGATACGTCTGGAAGGGAAACTAGATCTAGAGATGAAACAATGGATAGTAAATATCATTATAAAACTGATGGTATTGTCACATACTTGCAGAACATAAGGAAATAAATTAATTATGCATTAGGGTAACAAAAGAGTGCAATTAGATAGATAGTTATAAGATAAACATTATAAGTTAAAGACTTTCATGCACTACTAAAAAAAGCCCTTCGTAAAATATAATTGAATAATAGCTTATTCCAATTTCAATAATGTCAAATAGAGCAATAGATTTAACAAGAAATGTGCATGACATTGGTGCAGAAATTTTATGGAAGGATATAGATGACTTGAATGAATGAAGAATTATGACATTCATTTTATTGTATGAGAAGATAAAATACAGAAATGATACAATCCTTCCTATTTTAATTCAGAAATGTAATAGGATCCCAGTCAATATCACAGCATGATTTTTGGAAATTTACAAAAGTATCTTAATATTTATCTGATAAAAAGAAGATAATTTCCCACACAAAATATTAAAATATAGTTAAGCAGCATGGTGTAATTGTTAAAATTAGCAGCTTACTGAAATATAATAAAAATCCAATTTATTATTCTGTTTATATCCTTCATTTTTCTTAGAAATTTTATAAATATACAGAAGGAAATTAAATTTTTATATTTTGTTATATTCTTTTATGTACAAGAAAAAATGTTAACTTTTGTTAAAATGTTGTTTCCTTATTGCTCCATCTGTTCTTTGAAAGTCTAGAAAAAATTAACTTAGAAAAGTTTATTGAGAATAGTTTTGTTGACTCAGAATTGCTTGTCTAATTAAGTTTATTCATTTCTTAGTGAAATATTTAAGACATTTTAATATGTTGGAGTAAAGTATGACTTTTCTTCAGATATTTTCAGTTTCTTAGCATGCAATCTGAATAATGTCCTACAATTTCAGGGGAAAAGTCTGTGGCCATTGTTATATCTTCTTGCTCATATTTAATTTCATCACACACATATACACATTGCATCACAAGATTTATTTCTGTTTTCACAATTCCTCCCATCAACTGATCAATTTACCAATTCTGCCCTTATTCTATATATTAACACTTTAGTGTTTGCTTTAATTTTTATTATTTCATCTTTCTATGTACTTTATAGTTGCCTATTTGGCCTCATCCTAACTTGCAAGGTCCACAAGCACATATCTCCAGTTTTGCTCTTTTAATTGTTACTGTAAAATGATTAACATATTTAAAGGCCTGCCCATGTTTTGCTTTATATGTTGAAATACAACCTAGATTTTCATGTGCAGTGTTCTTATTTTCTTTATTTTATAAGTATTTTACTGTCTTAGGCTTTTTTCTTCTACTCATTACATAATTAAAATACATATTTCGATATAATTTTTAGTAAACTAATCTCTAGTTTTATAGCATCGTGGGTTGGCAATGCAATGTTTGGTAAAGTATTGAAATTCTTCTGGATTGCAGACTATGCTGTTTTTCTAAATATTGTACAAATTGTTGAAAAGACCTGTGATTAAGAACATTTCTGTTTTTCTACATCATCATTTGTCATTTTTATTTGACCTATGTTTATTATTTTTATATAGTGTTTTCTTAAATTGATAGAAGTGTGATAAATTATTTAATATCTACTGTATTCCTCTTAAATTTGCTTATTTCTAATATTTGCTTTTCGATTATGTCAATCTATTTTTTGACTCACAGTTAATAATAGCTGTTGTAACCTTATTACTTGTAGCAGTCTTCTCAATGTATAATTAAAATTTGTACAATGTAATACTTTTAATTTATACTTTATTTCATAAGACTTTTGTTGCACTTGTTTTCAGCCTGCATTGCTTTTTATATCTTTCGCCAATTTTTTTTCTTGTTTTAACTATTTTTGTGTGTTTAAAGCAGATGACCACAATTGATATTTGGTGACCACAGTACAAATGGGTGAAAAATGTATTATTGGCTAGAGCTAATACTAATTAGATAAATATTACATTCGGAGCAATAAAGTAATGATGCCTTAGGCAATGTCACAAAGTTCTGAAGCTTTTATGTTATTCAGTGAGTCAAATCATTGCAAATTATGAATACTTGTCAGAAAAAATATATATCTATACAGCATTTTAAATATAATCTTGAGATCTGTATGAACACCAAAAATTCAAGGCACATAAAATTAAATGATGAAAATATTTAACAGCCTGCCCATATTTTGCTTTATATGTTGAAATCCAAACCTAAAAGCTAAGTTAGATGGCTTCATAGGCCAGGAATCTTGATGCCTAGTGTGGGACATTGAAATTACTAGGATTGAGAAATTGAAGGATTTTTTTAACTAACTAGCAAAAACTAATAACCTTATTTTTCCAATTTTTCTTTACCCATAGATAAAAGGATGATAATCATTCTCATATATAGTTTAAGAGTCAACTCTTTGAGATACATTACTTCCGGAAAGAACTATGTAGATTAGCCATTTGAAAATCTAAGTCATTATTAGAAAGAAAATTGCTCTTATTGTTTGATGAGCTTAGGACTGGGATCTTAACTCTAGTAACAGCTCTAATTGGAAGTCTTGACTAGTTTCCTGGGCATACAGGACAAACAGTTCTTTTAACAGAGTCAAAATATTTGCTGATAAGGGGCCATCAAGGCTTTAGTGATGTTTTTGGCATGTTGGAGTCACATTGAGGGACTCAAGTGTTTTTCAGGGCAAAGGTGACCTTAATAAAGCTGCAAATACTCCTGATAAACTTGGGATAATTAAATAAGTTGTCTTCTCCTGATGTCATTAAATATTCAGTTTACATAACTTCCTGTGTTCTGATTCTTTGCCAGGTACACAGCTTTCTGATTACTATGACATTCACCACTCCTTACAGGAAAAGGGTAAGTTAATTATATTAAGTTTAAGCCCTTTGGCCACTCTGACAGTGATTTCTCAGGGTAAATTAATAAATTGGCCTCTGATTATGATTTCATTTCTCATATAAAATAAAGATGACATGCTGATAAAATAGGCTTTGAGTATTTCCATTTCCCCGTGATAGTAATTTGTCTCTGTAAATTAATAAAATGATCTGATTATAATTTGGATTTCCATGTAGGTTAACTATAGGGATAATTCAAAAATCAAGCTAACGCAAATGTTATAGTTCCTGTAACAATGATTTCATGTTGTATATTAATGAATAGGCATTCTGTTTTATAGATGAGCCACTTTAACTTGTTAATGGCAGTCAGGCCCTGAGAGATGGAGTTGTTCTCAGTGTACTGACTGAGCCATCTAACCAACCCTACAAGCTAAAGAGCTAGACTTTGGATAGGGATACATTTTTAAGCGTAACTAATGTTTTCCTAGGAGGCTCCTCCTAGAGATTTGACTTTTTCTTCTCTGGAGATTCTGGAAACGTCTCTCTGTTCCCCATGAGATAAGAATTAATTATGCAATGGAATTATTTTTGTCAACACATACCTGGGGCTAAATTCTGTATCAGTGGTATTCCAGAAAATATCCTTACCCAGCTCATTTCTTTAATGAATCTATTGAACAATGTTCTGGGCTATCCAAGATACATAACCATGAAGATACAGGTGATCTGTTATTGCAGAGCCTTGTACATGCTTCACTGATGTGTCTCATTACCTGAGCTTCCATGCCAACCACAGACTGCTTCTGCTCTTGTTATTACTAGTTTCTCCTTTAAAATGTTGATATGGGATGGGGGCAGGGAAGTGCTGGGTAGAGAAGGGTGGGGTCCCTGGCAAGAGCTGTGGTCCTGTGCCCGTGGACGTAAGTAAGAACGGGCACTCTTGTTTCCATGCCCAAATGTTGCATTTTTCAAGACCACTCTGGCCCATTATGACCCCCACCCTGTGCCCATATAAACCTGAGACCTTAGCGGACACACACACAAGCAGCTGAACGTCAAGAGGAGTGGTGGAGAGCAGCAGAGAGCAGCCAGGCGATATGGCAGAGAAGGAAGGAAGACGTGCCTGAATGTCAAGAGGAGCTCGTCTAACAACAGCTGAACTGCCGGGAAAGATTATCTCCCCAACCCCTCCACCTTCCAGCTCCCCATCCATCTCACTGAGAGCCACCTCCATCACTCGATAAAACCTTGTACTCATCCTTCAAGCCTACGTGTGATGCAATTATTTCAAGATATGGGGCAAGAACTTAGGATACAGAAGGCTGTCACACTGCTCCTCTGCCCTTGTGATAAGGCAGAGGGTCCATTGAACTGATTAACACACAAGCCGCCTGCAGATGGCAAATCAGAAAGAGCTTTGTAACCCATGCCCATTTGGGCTTCTGGAGTTGCAGACACCCAGCCCTTGGCACTGCTATGGGGCCGGAGCCCAAAAGTTGTCACTCAGACTTCTGCACCTGTACCTCTGCATGCTCCCCCTTGGGGTTTGAGCAAGTCACACCCCTGTCACATGTCCTGTGAGGGGATTCAGGGAACTCTCCCATTTCAATATTTGTAGGTTAAATATCATATTTTACTCTGCAACTAGAAGTCTTTGTTTAATTTATGAAGCTTATTTATATCTGTCTTTGCCTCTTTTTAACCTCATAAACGAACCATCAGAACTACCTCGGTTTTTGCTTTACATATTTGAAAATTTTCCCTTGTTCTCTATTAATTAATTAGAAACATTTTATGCTGTAACCAGGACAATTACTCCCATGTTGGTATCCTGGTAGTCTAATTATGCTTAAGTAAATAATGAGACGGTTCACATTTAAACGGTGTCGTAAAATCAAAATATAAACTGCATCAAAATCATTAGCGCAGTTGTTAATTTTGAGTTTTCTTTAAAAACAGGTTGGTTCAAAGTTCACAGTATTGGAGTATTACAAATGTACTTATCATATTCTTAAAAGAGTTATATTCAGAGACTTTCATAAAATTCTACAGTTAATGTAACTGGCTGTTGAAGTACATGGCTTTCCAGTTAATGGCAATATCAGATTCCTCAATTTCTGGTACTCCTCTAGAAATTTAACTTCACATTTAGTGGGCTGAAATAGTTGTCTGAACTTAGAGAGAGAAACAAAATTTTACGGGATTCTTGAATGTGATGCTCCAACTTTTTTATGTAGAACATGTATTTTATGTTCTTTAAAATGTATCCTAAGATAAATTCAAAGTACCAGACTTAAATATCTGTACTATAACATTTTTCTCCAACCACAATAGAATTTTACTTATTTGTCCTTATACCATTTGCCATTGTTGAGGATTCTGTGAAGAAATGGTTTTCTGCTATTTATGTATTTATTTATTTTTATTTACTTTTTTGAGTTGGAGTCTCGCTATGTCACCCAGCCCAGAGTGCAATGGCATGATCTCAGCTCACTGCAACCTCTGCCTCCCGGGTTCCAGAGATTCTCCTGCTTCAGCCTCCCAAGTAGCTTGGATTACATGCACGCACCACCACATTAGGCTTTTTTTTTTTTTTTTTTTTTTTTTTTTTTTTTTTTTTTTAGTAGAGATGGGATTTCACCATGTTAGCCAGGCTGGTCTCAAACTCCTGATCTCAAATGATCTGACTGCCTTGGCTTCCGAAAGTGCTGGGATTACAGGCGTGAGCTACAGCACCCGGCCTGCGATTTATTTTTGTAGTTACAGGGAGAATAATATCTGACTTCAAAGAGTTTGTATTGTCACATCATGTTCTCTTTACTGTATATATATATAAATTATATATAAATTATATAGAAATATATAAAGTATATATAAATTATATAGAAATATATAAAGTATATATAAATTATATAGAAATATATAAAGTATATATAAATTATATAGAAATATATAAATTATATAGAAATATATAAATTATATATAAATTATATAGAAATATATAAATTATATATAAATTATATAGAAATATATAAATTATATATAAATTATATATAAATTATATAGAAATATATAAAGTATATATAAATTATATATAAATTATATATAAATATATAAAGTATATATAAATTATATAGAAATATATAAAGATATATAAATTATATAGAAATATATAAAGTATATATAAATTGTAGAGAAATATATAAAGTATATATAAATTATATAGAAATATATAAAGTATATATAAATTATATAGAAATATATAAATTATATATATTATATACTGTATATATAATTTATACAGCATATTAGGAATACTCATGGAATTATTTTTCCTCAGATCATAGGATTAAATGTTGAAATTCTGATGACATTTTGAAAATATATCAAAAGTTGGTCCTCTAATACAAAATACTATAAAATGAGCAAACCACAGTAGCTTTCGATTAAGTCATTCTCAAGTTTACTCATTCAGCATATATACATTGTGCATGTACTGAAAAGGGTCGTTTTAAGCTTTGGGGATACACTAATGAAAAAAAAAATGTCAAGAGAAAAAAGTCCCTTTCCTATGGACCATACGTTATTCCAGGTGAGAACAATAATATCAGATATTAAAGTACACGAAGAAAACAGCAAGCAGTGGGCTAGAAAGTGCAGCAAGGGAGTTAAAATTTTACAGAGTGGTCAGGGAAACCTCACAGAGAATGAAATTTTGAGACAACTGTCAGGAACACAGAGAAGAAAATTTTGAGACAACTGTCAGGAAAGATGAGAAAGCAAATTCTGTTGATATTTGAGAGAAGAGCTCTCCAGTTGGAAGGAAGAGCAAGCACTAAGACACTGATGGGAAGCATATGTCTGGCATATTCAGAATTAGCAGGGGGACAAAGGTGGTCAGAGGAATGGGCACTGGTAAGAGGTGAGGTCAAGGAAGTCCCATGGTGGAGGAGGGTGGCAGGAGGGGGTGGGGAAGAGTCTGCATAAATTGCCAGGCAAGTCTAGCTCTCCCTGTGGGTAGGCAACAATAGGTTTCAGCAACTGCCTATAAATAGACATGTGCTGACTGTTGAGAGATGAAGGTAATCTAGGAGCCATTGTGAACAACAACTAGGAAAGAGATCCAAGGAGATATGGGCGGAACTTTAAATGCATCTACTATGTGTAGTTTGAACAAAGACTCTTTGATGTTTGTAATGGTGTAATGGTGGAGGTGGCAAGAAGTGGTTGGATTCTTGGTGTATTTTGAAAGTACAGTCAATGTAACTTTTTGATGAGTTGGAAGTAGGCTTCAAGAGAAAGAGTCAAGAAAATCAAAAGTTTGGGGCCTGAATACCTAAAGATATGGAAATGTCATAAACTGATACGGCAAAAGGGTAAAAACAGCAAATTTTCATTAGAATAAAGATGAGAAGTTTAATTTTAGACATATTCAGCTTAAGATGACTCTAAGACATGTCGGATTTGTAGCGATAGATAGATACATGTCTCATTCTCAGGTGGGAGTCCTGGGCTGGAAAGGAGAAACACAATTCATAGGCACAGAGATATAGTTTTTTTTCATTAAGATGAAAGAGATTACTGAGATATGGGGGCTTTGTTTTATCAGTTAGATTTCTCAGACTAATAAACTCCCCAAAGGAAGAAAGTAAATGTTCCGTTTGATAAGATTAAGGAACAGTTGTTCTGATTGATTCCTGCCAACAATGAAAGTCCTGGTTATTGGTTTTCCTCGTGGACTTGCTTTTATTCAGGCAGTTGGCGTGCTTACCTAGTATCGGCATCTGGCCTGGTAGACCACGGCCTTTTCTTTCTACTGTATCCCTTCGACTTTAAAGTAAGAAGAGCCTGATAGGTGCCCAGGATTTAATGAAGTTTTTAGGGTCTACTCACATTGAATGTCTTTAAGTTACAAGAACTCATTATGTTTTCTGTTTACTTCCTGTCACTTCCTCCTGAGAAGCCTGTCACTTTTTCTCTTTCTTTTTACACTTGTACACACACGCACATGCATGTGCGCGCACACACACACACACAGTACCCATCTTCTTCATCTAGCTTCTACTCACTTCTATTCACCTACTTTTACTTCTATGCTTCTACTCATCTACTTATCTGTCAGAAATCACTCCTTCCACTTCACCGTCTCATAATCAATGATCACAGGATATGTTATATGATTGTGAGAATAACAAATCTCAACTTGTATTGCCTAGTGGATTAACAGTATCCTCCCACATAGACTGTGTATCCAAGAGAAGAGAGACCATATCCACCTCGTACATCTGTACATTTCTGGTGTCTGGATGATAACTTTACACTGCAAGCAAGCATTCCGTAAATACTTGTGTAATTAAACTAAATTGACTTGGAAGTACCAATAATATCATCAGTCACGCAAAAACAAATATAAAAACATGGAAGCAAAATTATTGCAATAAGCAAATGTAAATAAAGTCAAATTCACCTTCATAAGATCATATAATATTACATTTAAAAAAAACATGAATTTTCTCAAAAGAATAATTTAAGTGGAAATATATGGACTTATTAAAATAGTATAATTGCAGAAAAATAGATAAAAAATTTGAAATTTCTCTCGCTCAATCCAGAACCTGCAGCTAATATTCTAAAGTCATTTAAAATGTGGCTATGAGCTAACTTTTGATAACATTGATGGGACGAAGAACAGTGGAAAGAGAGCTAGCACTTCACAGGAAGGTGAGTCCAATGGGCTAAGTGGCTCTCAGGGTTGATTCCTCAGTAGAATCCATAGTATCTGCCACTGCAAGAAGAGTAGCAGCAACTGTAACAGTATCACAATACCCACAGCCATGCCCATAGCCCAGGCCACCATCACAGTTACCACAGTAGCACGTGGTATCAGAAGTGGAGGATTAACTCCAAGACAGAAATTTGTTTCCTTAGTTTGAACATTATCTCAGTAGTGGGTACAGCATCTTGGCCTTCTAATGTTTTGTTTGAATAACCCATTGTTTCTGAATTCTTCTCTGTTTCTTTCCTTTAAACAGTTCAACATGTTGACATTGTGTCACCCTGACACCTTAATATTATTATTATGTTATGACTTTGTTTATATTCTTTTCTCACGTAAAAATCTATGAGCTACTTCAGGGCACAGATTCTATCTTATCCATCCCTATACCCCATTGCCTACCAAAGCATCTGGCACATAATAGGCACTTAAATATTTGCTCAATGGGCTGAGTGTGGTGGTTCACACCTGCAATCCCAGCACTTTGGGAGGCTGAGGCAGGTGGATGCTTGAGGCCAGGAGTTCTAGACCAGCCTGGCCAACATGGCAAAACCTACCAAAAATACAAAAACTAGCCAGCCATGGTGGTACACACCTGTAGTCCCAGCTACTTAGGAGGCTGAGGCACACGAATCGCTTGAACCCATGAGGCAGAAGTTGCAGTGAGCTGAGATCACGCCACAGCACTCCAGCCTCGGCGCCAGATTCAGACTCTGTCTCAAAAAATAAAAATAAAAATAAATAAACACATATTTGCTGAATGAATTAATGCATGGATGTGTGAATGAATAGATGAATTCTTACAAGAAACGTATTAATGGCTCAGAATGATTTTAAACAAAAGGAAATCTTTTATACTGGGTAACTAAATATTAACTAATCTCTGTAGTAAAATGTTGACAGTTAAATCATGTGCCCTCAATGAGATTACCTCCCTCCTTTAAAGTTTTGGTCATTTAGATTTCAGTTTTTGAATTCATTAGTAGTTTTCACGGCATTACATGTATCCTGATAACCCCGTTTTAAGGAGACAGTTTGTAAATAACATCCAAGATTACAAGGTGATTTACAGCTTGGAGTACTTATTTGATTATAGGTAGAAGGAAGGCATATAAAGCTAAGTTTGGCAAACAGTTTTGTAGCATTAGGACCAAAATTGTTGTACAACCAGAAGATTCTCCTCTGCGCTTATATTTTAACAAGTATTGATTACTTGGCATGAATTCCACCTGTGTGACTTTATTTTTTCAGACATTTAAGCATTGATCGAAGACCTGGATGGCCAACATCATTTATGAGATCTTGATATACACATAATTTATATTTAGGATTCCAGTAATGCTGACCATGTTTTGTCACTCAAAAGCATAATCGTTATTGTTGTGAATGTGTTACTGTCATTTTTTATCTGGAGAATAGAATGTTTAGTTAAGCCCATTACCTCATGCTCTTGGGCCTTAATACCAGGATAAAAGCAAGATACAGGTGCTTGGATAGCTGTGATTAAACAGCTTAGATACTTCAGTAAGTTTCAAACATATTTACATAAAAACAATTAGAAAAAGATAGTTTAAAAGCTTTCAGAAAAAATAAGATAATTTTCTTTAAAATTATCTTTAAAATAAATTTCTTTAAAAATAAAAACATTTCATAGTATTTTAATGTGACTTGTAATTGGCACAAAAAGGAAATATCTTGCACCAAGATAAATTTAATTATTGTTAAATATGTGCTCAATAATTTTATTCTAGTCTGTTATTTATTAATTTCTTAAAGAAACATACCTTTAGATACTAACATTTTGCTCAGAGCCCAGGTTCCTTTTCAATCTAATTAATTTATTTATGTCAACACATTTGACTAAGAGCAGTTCTTTCTTGCAAGTAACTTCTCCTCCAGAGATCCTAAGGCTTTGCTGGATTTTATTCATAGAGCTCTTTCAGCCTGCCATCTCCTTTAACAGCCCTCAATGACAAGATAGCTCATTCTGGCAAAATAGAAAAGGAGTGCTTTGATTTAAGAAGAAGGACATGTGAAACAACAGAGGCATGTTTGCACTATATGTTTACAAATGTAATACAAAATCTATATAGTAGCTTCTTGTGCATCCCACTAAAGTGAAGTTCTACCATATTGGTTCATTAGTGATACAGCAAGTCCAAAGTCATCTATCCCTTGGCATGGAAGCGATGATAGCAAACTTGGCATGTGAGGTACAATGAATCTCCCTATTCCACTGGCTTTGAATTTATTAAAAATTTGTATTAATGTCCAGAACTATTGGGGAACTAACACTTGTTGAGTACAGTTTTATTTCTTATATCATTAAAACATCACACAATCCAAAGAGAGAAATATATCCTCACTTTTACAAATTAAAAAACTGAGGCAAAAAGAAGTCGAGTAATTGGCTAAAAGTCATATGAAAAGTAAGGAGAACAGTGATGGTCCAAACTCAGACCTACCCAGCTATGTGACGGTAGCATCGCTTTATAAAAATTCATTTTTTATCTGTTCCTTTTAACTTAAAAAATGCCTACTACCATACATATCACTTGTCCTTTCCTTGGAAAAATCAAGGGTTAAAATATTTGATGTTTTCTCAGCACACCTCTTTAGAGCAGACATGAACACAATGTGCCTTGAAATTTACTCCACTCACCATTTAGAAAGATGGAAATTGGAGTGATACCAGATTTTTTTTCTAACCTATCCTATAAAGACACACTAAAAATCACCTTCTAATAAGGGAATACCACACTGGGCATGAGTAAACAGGGATTACAACAAGCTGACCAGCTATAAACCATGAGACATACTGCATGGTTTTTCAGATCTTCTGCAAATAAGCTGAAGAACGACAGTCAAAAGGATGTGAAGTACAAAACACGAATTATGGCTGCAGGGAAGCTCAACATGAGATGATGCAGCGAACATACAGTCTGACTGAAAAGGCCAAAAGCCAGGGTATGTAAGGAAAATAAAGCTACTGTTTTGGATAATAGCATTGGTTGTGCTGTGACTAAAATGACTAAATGAGATTGAAAATCTACCATGATTAAAATTAATTAATATAAATTATTGCAGTACCATGGAGGACCTGGTTCTTAACAATGCACACTCTGTGGAAGAAAGCATTCATTCATGTATTGGTATTTTTAGCTGACATATAATATCCATATATATTTTGTTTGTTTGTTTGTTTGTTTGTTTGAGATGGGTTCTCACTCTGTCACCCAGGTTGGAGTGCAGTGGTGCGATCTTGGCTCACTGCAACCTCTGCCTCCCAGGCTCAAGTGATCCTCCCACCTCAGCCTCCTGAGTAGCTGGGACCACATGCATGAGCCACCGTGCCCGGCCAATTTTTTGTATTTTTGGTAGAGACAGGGTTTTGCCATGTTTCCCAGCTGGTCTCAGACTCCTGAGCGCAGGCAAGCAACCTGCCTCAGCCTCCCAAAATGCTGGGATTACAGGCATGAGCCACCGCACCCAGCCTATATATTTATAATTTGTAATTGATGTGTTAATTCATTATTTGGGAGTTAACAAACTCAGGAGCCAGAACACTGTTAACAGGGACTCTGCTAAGTGCTGAGAATACAAACATATATCAGGCAAGAACAAAGGCTTCAATAATTCGTAATTATGATTTATACTTCCTGCTTTGTACATTTGTGCCTTTATGTACACAGTTTTCTCCACCTGAAATGACCTTCCATCTTGACTTCATCTGGCTACTTCATCATTGTCATAGAAAACCCCCCTTATTTGTCTCTGCACCCTGAATGAGTCACCTTATCCTCTATCTCTTGTCCATATTTTATGTTTCCATAACACCCCTGTGGTCTTTCCTCTCACAGCGCTTACCTGTAATGTAGACTCACCTGTCTACTAACTTACTAAACTATAAGCTCTTTCATGGTAGGGATTATGTCTTGTTTCTCTTTTTATAATAGATGCTCAGTTTACACCATGTGTGTAAATGAATGAATGAATAAATCTTATTGGGATAGATCTAAAATAAATGGTAAAAAAACAAAGTCTATGTCTTATAATTAAGTAAGGGAAGAGTTCTGTGGGCAATGAGTGAAGAGATCATCTGGGTCTGCCTGACATGACTAAGTAGGTTCTGTGGGAGGCAGGCAAAGAAACACTTCTCAGATAATGCAGTGCTCCAGTGAAGACTTCACAGTTGACTCAGCTATAGCTCATCAGGCAGAATAGATTTTCTCATAGATGTTGTGAGTTATCCACAGATAAGAAGGACTGAGAATGCATGCCATGGTCAGCAAATTTTTAGTAGAAAAAACAGGATAAAATGACTGTTGGTATATGAAGGAGAAGCAGAAAATGACACCAGACTCTGATATGGTTTGGCTCTGTGTCCCCACCCAATTCTCATCTCAAGTTGTAATCCCCGCGAGTCCAGGAAGGAACTTGGTGGGAAGTAGGTAGATATGGGGGCGGTATCCCCCACGCTGTTTTCATGAGAGTGAGGGAGTTCTCATGAGATCTAATGGTTTAAAAGTGGCAGTTTCCCCTGTGCTCTCTCTTTCCTGCTGCCATGTAAGATGTGCCTTGCTTTCCCTTCACCTTCTGCCATGATTATAAGTTTCCTGAGGCCTCGTCAGCCATGCAGAACTGTGAGTTATATGGTTTCTGTGTTATATAGTTTCTATATAGTTATATAGAACGGTGAGGATATAGTTTCTTCTGAGACTAAGAAGCCAGCTCTTACCTTTACAGATTACCCAATCTTGGGCAGTTCTTTATAGCAGTGTGAAAACAGACTAATACAAACACTAACCCAGACTGGATCATGAAGGAGTCTTATGCCCTGCTTATAAGGTCAGATTTTGTGCATTAATTGATGGAGCCAAAGAGCAAGGACAGACCTCCCGCTGACAGCAGGAAAACAGTCTTTCAGGTAGACTAGTAAGAAGCACCAAAAATGCAAGAGAACCAAAGTAAGAAAAGCATATAACAGAAGCCAAGGAATGAAGTGGCCGTTAGTGCCAAATGACACTAGGAGGGCAAACATGAGATATCAAAAAGACTGAGTAATTAGTGGGCCATTGGTGACCTAAATGAGAACAATCCTTGGGTTACAGTGAGAGGAAGAGACAAGTTAGAGTGTATTGAAGACTGAATGAGAAGCATCAGAGAAAACTATATCAAACCTTAGATTTAAAGAAGGTTAGAGAAAGCTAGCCAGGAGTGATCTGGTGTTGAGACAGGCTTTTTTAATATCAAAAGACTTGAGCATGTTTATAGACTGACTGTAAGGTGTCAGTGGAAAAAAAAAGAAGCTAAAATATAGTAGACAGAGAGGAAAATTTATCAAGCAAGGCGTTGAAGGAGATGGCATTTAAAGCAAAAGTGGAAGAATGATTTTTCTGAAGAGGAGAGAGGATATAGTTTCTTCTGAGACTAAGATAAAAGGCTAAAAGACAGGTGCAAATGTAGATAAGTGTGTGGGAAGAGAGTTGATAGAGTTTTCCCGTGATAGATTCTCCTTTCTCCATGAAAAAGAGGCAATTGTTACAAGCAGAAGGAGGAGCAGAAGGCAGAAGTAAGCTTTGAACAAGGGGCTTTAGAGATAATAGTGAAGGGGTGGAGTAGCTGCACTGAAAGCAAGAAAGAAAGAGTCCTGAAAACAAGTGAAAGGATTCCCAAATAGCACCAAGGACTCAGTCAAAACAAGAATCCTGTAAATGCATGGTGGCAACATTCCATGAGGTTCTGGGATTTCCTCCAATAGCAGCGAGGAGCCTGAGTTTGGAGGAGAGAAGCCTTGGATTAATGCACAGATGAAGGTTTGCAGCATAGGGGAATAGGAAGAGGAGATAATTTGCTGAAAGAGGTGTGATTGATGAGACAAATAGGATAGATCAAGGGCCATATAGTTTATGGTTTAAACTGGACATGAGTGGTGCACTATTAAAAATAATGTCAGGACAGTAGATATAAACCAAAGGACACATAGGAAATTAAGTGAAGAACATGACAGATTAAAAGAGGTGTCGGATAAGGAACAATCAATCTATATTATTTCAATAAAATGGCATGGCTATAATAGAGGTGTGAAGAACTGGGACAATTGAGATTTACTGACTTGGGTTTCATTTTTAGAAAAAGAGAACCGTCTGATATTAAGTATGGCTCAGGGAATGACTTGCTAAAGTAGAACAGAGGTGATGAGATTGAGGAATTTTGAGGCCAGAGTGCTTAAATTGGTTGTCTACCTGATAATTTGATGAACTAAATGTAAGAATAGAATTTGGAGCCCGGTGCGATAGTCTTTGAAGTATGTAAGTTAGAGACTGTGATGGTGGTATAGTAGATGGCAGTTACTGGAAACCGTGATAAGGTGCTGGATCAAATAAAGTAAATATATAAGGTACCTAAAAGAAAAGCCTGATAGTGCCCAATGAGCAGGAAGTCGTCTTTGTTATCTGCCAGGAAACCCAAGCCTGTATGCCAGCTTTATCCATCTGCTAAGCACAGAGAAAACAAAGGCAGCCAGCCAAAGAAGATTGTCCTAGCCCTTACTGTTCCTTCTTCCCTGCTTTTTGACTCAGCATAGGGTACAGAAAGCAGCTAGTTTGTGGTTAAAGAGGTAAACATTAAAAGTAGAGAACAAAATGATCATGCTCCATTCCGCTCTCCTACCACAGGTTGCTAACTCTGTGTCATCTGGACCATTGTTTTTTACACTTGTGCTTTGGTTTTCTTATTTATAAAATGACAGTAATATTTGGATTTACTTAATGAGGTTATGGAAAATATAAAATGAGTTTATAGACATCAAGCACTTAGATGAGAGATTTGCATGTAATAGTAAGTGCCATGTGGCAGGTACTACCATTTATCATCATCATCATCACCATCATTTGTCATCACACATTGAGTGTTGGGTCTGCAAGCCTTTCCCTCTCGCTAGCCTAGAGTTTGCATGTGCTACTCACATAGGGAGTTGTGTTTGAATGGGTTGTGAATACCCAAAGTCAATCTAGAAAGGGCTAGAAGAGAAGGCAGCAGCAGGAGAATAGATTAGATGGGAAAAAGCAGAGAACAGACCAAGGAGCATTTGAGGCCCAGATGCCTGGAGGATCTGCTATTTAAGTGAACAGTAAGAAGTCACTGTGTAGACAGATTGCTACCCACATCTCAAGTGTATTTGATCAAACTTTCACCAGACCAGCATCTACAGCTGCACATGAATGTGCAAGTGTAGTAAATTGTATCATTATTCCCAAGTATTCTTTCTTGTTTGCTCTGTAAAAAAAGTATACATTCAGAACTCCACTGAAGCTGGGTTTATTATGTGACCTGTTTGCTCAAGGAATACAAGGAGATGTAATTGACATCACATCTGAACACACCCTTTCGGAGATACAACTAGTTTTGCCAGCAATCTTGCCTTTCTCTGTTGCCACAAAATGTCCTCAAGCAAGGCTGTTCCTTCTGCCTGGGTCCCAGGAAGGGAAAACAGGAAAAGAAGACACACAGCAGTTGACCCAAACATGTAACATGAGTGAAAAACAATGACTTGTTTTTGTAGTTAGCTGTGAGGCTGAAATTGTCACCTGAGCAAAGCTTACTATGCAGAAATTGTTACAAAAGGTAGAATGTTAATATATTTAAAAACAGATATCTGTAATTGCTTTTAGATTAATGTGGTGGGCAGGGGAGAAAGCTCTAAGTGGAAGGTGGAAAAATGTTGACCCATTTTACACAGTGCAAAATATTTGGTAGAATTTTGGTTTGTAATAATTTTGAAAGACGGAAATGAACTTCTGGCTTCAGATGAAGAGATCATGAAGCAGAATGCATTACTGTGCCTTTTTTTGTTATTTTTCCATTTAGTCAGCTTTTTGCAGTGTTATCAGAGGTTAATATGCTATAACTAACTTTCTATAAATAAATCATGAATTATTAGGTATTAAATTGTTAAAAACTTTATGTAATTAACTTCATTTTTATGTCAACAAATGAAATTCCTTGGTTTTTGTTTTGTTTTGTTATTTTGTTGTTGTTTTGTTTTGTTTTGAGACAGAGTCTCACTCTGTTGCCCAGGCTGGAGTGCAGGGGCATGCGATCTCAGCTCACTGCAATGTCTGCCTTCTGAGCTCAAGCAATTCTCTTGCCTCAGCCTCCCGAGTAACTGAGATTACAGGCACGCACTACCATGCCCAGTTATAAAATTCCTTGTTTTATCCACTATTATTTCTTGTGATGTTATCTCTGGAGGAAAAGGTGAATAAATAGAAGATATATTTTACATCTATAAAAAATTTTATTGAACTTTAAAATCCCAAGAAAAAAGATTGTAAGAAAAAGAAGTAAATAAGTACAAACCAACATTCATTTTGCTCATTTCAGCTTATATATAGTTAAAAAACTGTTAGTATCAATAAGAAGAATCTCATTTTAATGCGTAATATCATGGTTCTTTTATTTTCTGGTACGTAATGTGTTGTCATTTAAATTCAAATAAAATTTAAGGCTGATGTGTGAGTTTAATAAATACAATTTATGATTAGTAAAATGTGGATATTTATTTTAGGAAAAAATAGAAAATATTAGATTGGCACAAAAATTATTGCATTTTATGTCATTACTTTTAATAGCAAAAACCTCAAGAACTTTCGCACCAATCTAATAAATGAAAAGGAAGTAAAACTTTTACATTTCCATTGCCCTACAATAATCAATACCAATATTTTCATGTATATTCTTCCTATATTTTTCCATTTCTATTTTAACATTTTGAAATTATTCTGCATACACATTTTTAGGCTGGGTTTTTTCTTTGGTATTAATATTTTCTAATGGCATCAACATTTTCTAAAAGATCATTTTGTTGACTGTATAAGATTCCCAAAATATTTTATGATTTAATGATTTTTGAATCAATCCCATATTGTGGAATATCATTATATTTCAAACAACAAGGAAATTGACCCTTTGGGGACAGTACCTACCGTCATCACATTGAGCCATGTTTTTTGCTTCCTTTAAACAGACGAACATCTGTGACAATTTTCTAGTATTAATTAGCAGGCTGCTCCAAGATGGGCATTTTCTTCTCCCAGAAGATAGAAAACTTTGAGGGAGAAGACAAAGAAACACCTGCAGATTATATATATTTTTTCTGTTAAAGAATTTTAACGATGCTTTTTAGAATACCACATGAAATAAGAGAGTTGAAATTGGATGTCAACAAGGGCACACCACATCTGTTGTAAGAGAAGGTAATGAGGAGAGCCTGACAAAGGCCCCTATTCAGAACATGAACTCACTTAACTTTCAGAGTCTCACTCAGCTGCACAGTGTGAAAATCTTTCTGCTGACAACCCTAACCAATGAAGGATAAATGCTGTTCCTATGCTAGACACATTTGAAAAAGCCAGTCTTCATGCAGAGTTATTGAAGTAAAGAGAGAACAGGCTCAATATTGGTAAGAAATAATGTATCAATAAAGGACAAAAAAATACTTTTTTGACATTTACCCTCTTGCTCTAAGAATTACATCTTATTACCATTTAAGGAATCAATCATATGAATTATGTCTCAATAAATGTTAAATATTACATTTGTTTTATGAAAATTGTGTGATTTTACATAGTATTATTCAACCTGCTTTTTGACTTAAAATAGAATGTAATTTTCAAAATAATGATAATAGAATTCTATCTCATTATTTTTTAAAAAGTATATAGAAGAAAAACCGTAACTTACAGCCACATCAGAATAACTAGTCTTGGACTTGCCTTCCCACTACATTAAGCTAGACAAAATATGTGAAATAATTATTCTCAAAAATTGTACCTCAGATAGTTTAGGACAACAGTGCCCTAAAAAGGGAAACAAGCTATTTGAGTCCTAAAATCACCAAGCTTTCTACCCATAATTCTCTCAGGCCTACTCCCTTAGTTCATTTTGTGCTCCTCTAACAGAATACCTGAAATTGGAGCATTTACAAAGAACAGAGATTCATTTTTCACAGTTCTGGAGAGCAGAAAGTCCAAGGTTGAGTGTCCCAGAGCTGGCAAGGAAGATCTTGCTGTACCATCCCATGGCAGAAGGCAGAAGGGCGAGAGGGCATGTGAGAGTGAAGAAGGGCACCAAACTCATCCTTTTATCTGGAGTCCACTCCCACACTAACAGCATTCATTCACCAATGAGCCCCCATGACCTAACAAACTCTTAAAGGTCCCACCTCGCAATAATGTTGCATTGATGATTCAGTTTCTAATATATGGACTTAAGGGGACACATTCAAATCATGGCACCTACATTTCAGGGAGGGAAAACCCAGTGACAGCACAATGATCTTACTGTGTTGAGGACAAAGATGTCAAAGTCTAAAGAGTGTCTGTACATTTAAAGTAAGAACAGAAAAAAGGACTACACAAAGAAAGAAATCTAGTTATTTACAGAGTGGTCCTCACGAGCAAGCTTTGTTGAACACTAAGACACAAAGTGAATAGCGAAACTCCCTGAGAAGGAGAAAAGAACAGCTGAGCATGTGCAAGCCAAATAATCTCCAGAACTCATGGAGGACTGGGAGATACATTTGAGTTCTTCGAATCGGAGTGGAGAGACTTTATTGAAAAGCAGACCCCCAAAAAAGGGCACCTCACTAGTTAGGTCAACTGGCATTGCAGTGAAGGTTACATTGGATGCACCAAGTTGTGAAACTATCAAAGAATACAAAAGTAACTACCAGCAAAACCGACATCCACACTAAAGAAAGACAACAAAATCTACGTTCTAAACAACATGTCACTAACGTTGGCATGTATTAAATATTATTAGGCAAGCAAAGAAACAGAAAAGAGTTGTGAATGTTTGGAAACAAAATAAGTCAGTAAAACAAAACCAGAAATAACAGAGATGATAGAATGAGTATATTGAGACCTTAAAAGAAGTGTCATAAATATGCTGAAGGATGTAAAGGAATTCATGAAAATGAGAAGATAAGTGAAAGATAAAAAAATTTTAAATCTACATCTCAAAAATACATGTCATACTGACGTAAAAATTCAAAGGATGATATTAAAATCGTATTTAACACTGCAGAAGGAAAGATCAGTGAATTTGAAAATTGAGCAATAGAGATTACCAAAACTTACATACAGAGAGAAAAAATGAACTTAACAAAAATAACGATCAGATCCTCAGTTATCTGTGGAACAATATTGACTAGTGGACTATGTATTTATACATTGTATAAACATGTACAGGACAGAGAAACAGGACAATTTACATATGTACATATATGTTTATTTATGTATAGTTGAGAATGAGGAAGAGAGATTGATTGTACGAACTGTCTCTCATACAGCTGTGGAGGCTCGGAAGTCCCATCGCCTGCCATCTGTAAGCTGGACAGTCAGAAAAATCCAGTGGCAAGATTTAGTCCAAGTCTAAACGTTTGAGAACTGGGGTGAGAGGGCGCGGTGTAAGTCTATGTCTGAGTCCAAAACTCTGAGAACCAGGAGCACTCATGTCCAAGCACAGAAGATAGATGTCTCAGCTTAATCGGAGAGTGAATGTGCCTTTCTTTTGCTATTTTATTCTATTTAGTCCCTGAACAGACTGATTTATGTCCACCTGCGTTGAGACATAGATCCATTGAGAGGGATCTTCTTTACTCAGTCTACTGATTCAAATGCTAATCTCTTCTGGAAAACCTTCATCAACACACCCAAAATAACATTTTACCAGTAATCTGAGTATCCCTTAACCCAATCAACTTGACACACAAAATGAAACATTGTGTACATTTAGAAGAGGGGGGATCAGAAAAAGTACTTGAAAAATAAATGGCTGAAATATTTCCCAAAAAACACCTATAATTCTGAAGAGCAAAGAAGCTGCACAGGAACCAAGTAACAAGAACACACACACACAACACACACACACACGGAGATTATCATAATCAATATACAGGTAAAATGAAAACATTTTATAAAATGTCTAATTTCTTGAATAATCAACCTTAATCAAAAAGAATAATCATAATTTATGGGGTTTATGACATATAAAGGTAAAATTTATAACAACGATAGCAAAGGGTGATGGCAAGTAAGCATACTGCTACAAGGTTAATATATCAAGCATGAAATGGCACAGTGTGTTAATTAAGATGCATACCATAGTTCTTAAAGCAGACATTACTGTAATAAATTTAGGCATATCTAATAAATAGTGGCAAAAACAAAATGCTAAAATATCAATTAATCCAAATAAAAACAGGAAAAAGAAGAAAAAGGAAAAAACAGATGAACCATAAACTGAGAAAATAATCTATACTTATTTGTTGGCTCATCTGTTCTTTCCCTTTTCCCCCTTATTTAAAGCTTGTATAACCAAATAATCAGAAGAAAACCAATTCAATAGAAAAGGGCAAAAGATTTAAACAAGTGTTTCACAAAAGATGATATGTGGATGGCAAATGTGCATATGAAATGATGCACAACATTTTGAGTCTTCGAATTAAAGCCAAAATGAAATAACACTAAACACTTTATGAAATGACTGAAATGCAAAAGAATGACAATACCAAGTGATGGTGAGAATGTGGAGGAATTAGAATGCTCATGCATTGATTAAGGAATGCAAATTGTACATCCTCTGAACAAAAGTTTAGCAAATAAAGTCAAGCATGCTTTTACCATATGACCCACGCCCCCAAAAAGCATATGTCCATCATATTCATATTAACTTCAACCTTTAAAAAAAGTCAGAAACAGGTAAATGGATAAATAAATTATTTAATTCATTCAATGGGATGCTTCTCAATCATAATAACAAAAGGAGTACAGACACACACCAAAATAAGAATAAATCATAGAAGTACTCTGCATTATATCATCGTTATGTCCTTTTAGAAACGACCAAAGTAATGTATCGTGGTACAAATCATATCAGTGGCTACTTGGGGACTGGTTTAGGGTAAGGATTTACTTCTAAGATGTATCAGAGAAAGTTTGGGATTATGGAAAATTTTGATATCTTCATTGTGGTGGTGGTGACAGTTATACAGTTATATATTTGTCTATGTTCAGAAAAATCTGATCTTAGAGTGCATTTTATTTTATATAAACCATATTCCAATAAAGTTTATTTTCAAATTTCTGGTATTTTCCTAAATGAATAAGCCATACATATACATTTATAGACATATATACGGTGTATAATGTGTCTATATAATGTGTTATGTATGTATATTATATATATATGTGTTCATATATAATATTTATTCTTTTGTTAATGCTCCTCTGGAAGGTCTTCCTAAAATGTTTCTTTAAAATAGGTACAATTGCCAGGCATGGTGGCTTGTGCCTGTAATCACAGCTACTCAGGAGTCAGAGGCAGGAGGATCTCCAGAGACTAAAAGTTAGATGTTGTGGTGAGTTATGATTGCATCACAGCATTCAGCCTGGGCAACAGCGTGAGAACCTGTTTCAAAATAAATAAATAACTAAATAATAAATAAAATAGCTAAAATTATTGAAAATTGGCACCACGTGTTTATAAAATTCTATATCCTAAAAATACAATAAAACACTCATTTTCCTCTATCTGTGCTTTTATATATTATCAGTTATTTTAATTGTTAACCAGTCAGTAGAAAAAATTTTGTACTGTGATTCAATATCAGTATATTTCATTACTAGATAGAGTAAAAACCTTTGTATGTAATTGTTGGTTGTTCACATCTTTTCCTTTTGTAAATTGCATATATTATAGAGATTATCTTTTTTTAACTTTTATGCTCGGGGGTACAAATGCAGGTTTGCTGCATAGGTAGATTTGTGTCATGAGGATTTGTAGTACAGTTATTTTATCACCCAGATATTAAGCCTAGTACCCATTAGTTATTCTTCCTGGTCCTCTTTCTTCTCCCACCTTCTACCCTCCAAAAGGTCCCAGTGTGTGTTGTTCCCTTTTTTAAAATAGCTGATACATAATAATTAACTTTTTACAATCCAGGATTTTATTTTAGTCTTGTGTAACTGACTTTTGCAATGGAGGAAAGAGTTAATATTTTTATAAAATAAAGTCAATCAATAACTTAGAGTGATTGGATTTTACATTTTCAGTAGGCAGGTCACTCCTAGAATTTTAGCAATGTTAATATTTATTTTCTTATGTTTAGATATTTATTACCCCTGAAAATCATGGTTGTTACTGGAAGAAAAAAATATTTTTTCACACACACACACAAAAATACATAAACACAAACACTTTCTCAAAATGCTGGACAGTTCTTACATTATGTACCAAAATGTCCATCTTTTTTCCCCCTGGAATTTCTGTATTAATTAATTTTCTGTCCTATGATAGTGCCGTAGTTTTAAATCTCTCATCTCATTTCACTGTTTCAGTTTTTAATTCATTCCTAATATGTATATAGTAAAGTGCACTAATCCTACATATACAACTTAATGGATTTTTATATATGTATACACTCATATAACCATTAGCTAGATCAAAATACAAAACATTTCCTCCACCCAGAAGATTCCACTGTGCCCTTTCTTATCCAATACTCTCCTGCCCAGAGGTACCACTATTCTCACTTTTATTACTGATTAGTTTGTTCTTTTTTTGAACTTCCCATAACTAAATAAATAACAACATATGATGAGTATATTTTGTACCGATATGCATGTTGTTTCATTTTTGATACATAATTTTTTATTGATTTTTAAATCTGGTGTTCCAAACTGCCATAATGAAAGCATTGATACCCATTTGCACAATAAGTTAATAATTATGAAATACTATACAAAATATAGCAACCTCCGTCATTCTAGAGCACTAACTTGTATTGAGAATCAGAACTGTGTACAGGACTAAACACAAATTTTCAATCCTGCACAATCTCACCAAGAATCTTTCAGCTTTACCTTTCTAAAAGTTGATTTAATTTGGCATGACTGCAATAGAAATTAAAATGTTTAACCTTTAAATTTGTTAATCCATTAAATGGGATAATTTATGCAAATAATGAGCAGAGCCCCAACCTATATCTTAGTAAAAATGGAATCACTTCCCTCTTATTTTCATTTTTCACCAGAGGAATGATCACCAACTTCTCTGCCCAGTCACTGGTTGGGCAAGTTGGGTTGGAACTGCTAATGGATTGACTTTTTCACTCCAGGGAGGAAGGAATAGACAGCAATACAGTATTTTCACTTCCGTTTGCTTTCAGAAAGCCTGCACTTGGGGGCTGGGAGATACTTCACTAGTCTCATATTGATCTATAAAGTGTGATCCCTACGTTGATCGTTGGTAGTTCTGCTACATTTAAGAGTAGCAAATGAATTAATATGTACTATTATCTGTTTATATTTTATTCTGATTGCTTTATCATAATTAATGACTAATCATTAATAATATTTAATAAGTGGATGGAATAAACATGATAAATTATCACAGGGAGTTTCATAGAAAGTCAGCTCTCATAATTAAGACCTATCACCAGAATGCATTTGGGCCAGAAATGTGGTTTGCAAGATGTTATTCTATCCAAGTCACCACTTTAAAAAATAGTAACAGGAATTCTGCTAGAAGATGATCAGAGTTAGAAAAACTCAAAAGAGTCACTTAGATCTCTAAATGAGGTGATCTTTGCTGTGGAAACACAGGATTATCAGGCATACCAACCAGCTTCATATAGAGGATTCTTATCTATAAGAGTGAGTGAAAAGAGGTCAGAGTACTCAATGCAGGGCTGGAGTTGTATCAGTACAGAAGCACATGTTTAAATGTAGACTATTAGGAGAGAGAAAATTGCAGTAGAAAATAGCTTGGTGGGTAATAGTGCTACTGGTTTTGCCAATTACCTAGGTCAAACATTGAATTTTTCTAAAATGAAACTTGCATTAGATCAATATAGAGAACAGTATTCTTGAAACTGAACTTGAAATTACTTTTATACAAACATTTTTGGAAAAACATCAGTCATGAGTTGCCTGTTTTGTCACATCACTGACTAAAATAGCCACAGGTAGCAATTTCACTCTCTCTTTCTATTTCTCCCTTTCTCTCTCTCTCTCTCTTTCACACACACACACACACACACACACACACACAAATACACAAATGATAAAGAGAAATGAATATATATGATAAGCAATACATATTGTGAAAGTGATTATATTTATTAAAATGCAAATTTATAAGTTTTCCTGCATGGAAATTGTTAATATTATAACAGACATAAACACATAAAACTAACAAAATATCAAAGGATTTTCCCACTAACTGGTAGGAAATTCCACTAATCCAATGCAAATATGACCTGTGGTAATCAATAATTAGAGTTAGTTAAAATTGGAGAGACAATAACGAATCCATAAATAACCCTGTTGATGCAATTAGTGCATCACAAGAAAATGGCTCAAAGTGATCAGCAATCAGAATTTCTTTCTAGGAGCCAATAGGAATCTTCCATAGGAGCACGGAAAGTTGCAGGCATATCCAGAGTTACCATATTCAGAGCCATAGCTGCAACCATAGTCCAGGCTACCATAATAGTTGTGGTAGTAGCACATGGTGTCAGAAGATGGAGTTCAATTGAGGCAGATAGTAGTTTCTGAAATTTGACTCTCCTGATTTGTACAAATTATTTTATCCAACCTGAGTTATATGTGAAGGAAACCACAATCTACATTGGACTCATTCTCACAACTAATTTGCATTAAGATTAAAAAAACCCTCAAGAATCTCTTAGCCATATGTCCAGGAAAATATTAATATTGCTATGTGTCAGGATGCCAACAAGTAAAATCATGAGCCTTAAGGAGATATTCTCTTAATTTTGTGGCTTTTGCTTACTTAAAATCCCAATTTAAACTTGATGATTAGCTTCTCTGTGATCACATTAAGCTTATATTTCCTGCCTCTTGAAACATTTCTTTTTTCTTTTTCAATATCCTCCTCTACCTCCATAAATGCAGTCCTTAAACCACAGAGTGGCCAGGAATGGTTAGGGAAGGTTGGCTATGCAGTGAGGAAGCCGATGAAAATGTCTTTATTTACTTGCAAATATGCCTGTATGTTTTGACTAATTTATTTCTTAATCAATGGGACTAAAAATTTTCTTCCAAGTTCATATGTAGCTTATGTTCTTGGAGTAGTAAAGTTTTTTCTCTTCCATCATCCTCACTTTGGTTATATTATTAGTTGTGGTGTTCTCTTTGCATCTGAGAAAGCAATTAGAAACAATTACCCACCGTATCTCAAAATTCATGTTTTCCTCTCCTGACACATAATATTCACATATTTTACCTTCTTTTTATATTTAATGAATTTGCTTATTTTAAAATATATTAATTCCAAATTTCCAAAAGTATTGTAAAAATACTTTTCATCTTCTAGCAGAATTCCTGTTACTATTTTTTAAAGTGGTGACTTGGATAGAATAACATCAGCAAACCACATTTCTGGCCCAAATGCATTCTGGTGATAGCCTTAATTATGAGAGCTGACTTTCTATGAAGCTCCCTGTGATAATTTGTCACGTTTATTCCATCCACTTATTAAATATTATTAATGAATTATTAGTCATTTATTATGATAAAGCAATTAGAATAAAATATAAACAAATAATAGTACATATTAATTCATTTGCTACTCTTAAATGTAGCAGAACTACCAATGATCAACCTAGGGATCATACTTTGTAGATCAATGTGAGACTGGCAAAGTATCATATCAATAAGAGGCAAGTAGAACATTTAGTCAGAATTTCGGAACTGCACACAGTAGTTCATAAACTTTAGTGGATATATACCACCACCTTAACAATCGGAAAAGGCATGGATTCTCAAACCAGAAAAAAATCACCATGATAAATTCCTCCACTGGTTTGCATATGATCCAAAAGGATCCCAGAGTACATGAATTTATCCCCAGTTACCCCAAGCATAGAACAAAGATTGTGATTATTCTACACAGAATTTGAGTATAGAAAGTTGCATCATGTCATTCATTTGGTTATTTTTTCACTAATTCATCAAATCTTTATTAAGAATCTGCTGTATCAGGCACCGTTATAAGAAATGCAGATTGAGCAGATGAACAAAATAGACAAAGTCTCTACTTTCTGCAGGTTACAATGAGACAGAAGGGATAGAGAGACTGATTTTAAAAATGAATGAAATAGATTCTAACAGTGAAGAATCCTGTGAGAATAATAAAACTCAGTGAGTTACATTAAGTTCAGTTACTGGAGGTAGACTAATTAATATAAGGTGGCCATTAAAAGTCTCTCTGGGAAGTGAACATTTCAATTGAAATAGAAAATGAGTCAAATATTCCTGGTATTATTTTAAGAAAGAGAAATCAGTAAGTGCAGAGGCCAGGGCCTTATTGTGAGAAGAAACCTGCTGCATTTTAAAAGACAAAAAGCCAGCAGAGTTTGAGCATTATAGATAAATGGAGGAGAGTAGCAGGATATGAAATCAGAGAGATACGTAAGGGCCAGAACTTCTCAGCACAATGAAAGGCCTTTAGAGATATTTTTGCAGGGGCACGCTATGTTCTGATTCACTGAGGCATATAAAAGGCCCTCTGCGGAGAAGTGTCCATACTGAAGTCACCTACACTCCTTCCTACCCAAGGATGACCTCAACAACCAACACCATGTGTGGCAGCTACTACAGAAACTACAATGGTGGCCATGGCTATGGGTGCTGTGGCTACGGAGGCCTGGGCTGTGGTTATGGCGGCTGTGGCTATGGGTGCTGTGGCTACGGAGGCCTGGGCTTTGGCTATGGAGGCCTGGACTGTGGCTATGGAGGCCTGGGCTGTGGCTATGGCTCCTTCTGTGGCTGTGGCTACAGAGGCCTGGACTGTGGCTATGGCTGTGGCTATGGCTATGTCTCCCACTCCTTCTGTGGCTGTGGCTATAGGTGCGGCTCTGGCTATGGCTCCAGCTTTGGCTACTACTATTGAGGACACCATGGGAGACTCTCACCCTCTATCCTGTGACATTGCAATTCACCAATTCTGAAGCCCACATGCTCTGAGCCTTTCCCTTGATTGATGATATCCTGCAGTGGAAGTCTAATATGATCTGTTGTTGATCTACCATCTAACCCAAAAATACCCTGAGTTTCCATCATGAAGTGGGATAAGGTGAAGTTCACCTGTCACTTCTCCTTTTATCAGGATGATGGTGTCACAGTGACTCCTTTGATGACTTTCATGCTGTAGTTTGTTTCTCTGCTGACCTAATAAACACATTTAATCCACAAGAGAAATCTTGGTGTTTGTATCTTATTTATTGTCCAAAATTTTTTTCTTTGATTTTTTGCTTTTATCGTTATTTTTTTCAACTCTTATTTTAGGTTCAAGGGTTATATGTGTATATTTGTTACATGGGTGAATTGCATGCCACTGAGGTAATATGTGAAAGGTAGTTTTTCAACCCTTACCACCCCCCACCATCCCCACTCCAAGAGTCCCAGTGTCTATTGCTTTCATGTTTATATACATGTGCACTCAATTTTTAGCTCCTACTTATAAGTGAAAACCTGTGGTATTTGATTTTCTGTTCCTGCATTAATGTGCTTAGGATAATCACCTCCAGCTGCATCCATGGTGCTGCAAAGAATATGATTTCCACTCTTTGTTGTGGCTACATAGTATTCCATGGTGCACATGAAACACATTATCTTTTGTCAACTATTGTTAGACATCTGGGTTGATTCCATGTCTTTGCTCTTGTGAATAGCACAGCGATGAACAGACAAGTGCATGTTTCTTTTTGGTAGAACAATTTTTTTTTCTTTGGGTATATACCCAGTAATGGGATTGCTGGGTCAAATGGTAGTTCTGCTTTAAGTTCTTTGAGAAATCTCCAGATGCTTTCCAGAGTGACTGGAATAATTTAATATTCTCATCACCAGTGTATAAGCATTCTCTTTTCTCCACAACCTCACCAACACGTTTTAGTTTTTGACTTTTTTAATAGTAACTATTTTGACTGGTCACTAATGTTATGCATTAACATATATATTTGTTATATATAACAAATATATGACAAATATATATGTAACACATATATAATTTATATATGTATTTGTTGTATATAACAAATATATAAAAATATATTTGTTGGCTGATTTTATAGTCTTTTGAGAAGTGCCTGCTCATGCCTTTTGCCCATGTTTAAAGGGGTTATTTGGTTTTTGCTTGTTGATTTGCTTAGGATCCCTATGGATTCTGGATATTAGACTTTTGTTGGATGCAGAGTTTGTAAATAATTCCTCCCATTCTGTAGCTATATGTTTACTCTGTAGACAGTTTCTTTTGCTGTGCAGAAGCACTTTAGTTTAATTAGGTCCACTTCTGTTTTTGTTGCAATTGCTTTTGAGAACTTAGCCAAAAATTATTTGCCAAAGCCTATGTCCAGAATCATATTTCCTAGGTTTTCTTCTAGGATTTTTATAGTTTTAGGTCTCACATTTAGATCTTTAACCCATCTTGAGTTAATTTTTGTATATGGAGGAATGTAGGTCACCAATTTAAATTTTCTGCATGTGGTTAGTCAGTTATCCCATCACCATTTATTGAATAGGAAGTCCTTTCCCCATTGCTTGGTCATTATCAACTTTGTCGAAGTTTAGATGGTTGTAGGTGTGTGGCTTTATTTCTGTGTTGTCTATCCTATTACATTGGTCTATGCATCAATTTTTATACCAGTATCATGCTGTTTTGGTTACTATATCCTTCCAGCATAGTTTGAAGTTGGGTAGTGTGATGCCTCTAGCTTGGTTATTTTTCCTTAGAAAAGAAAGGAAAGGCTCTTCTTTGATTCCACATAAATTTTAGAGTAGATTTTCCTTATTCTGTGAAAAATGATTTTAGTAGTTTTATAGAAGTGACATTGAGTCTGTAGATTGCTTTTGGCAGTATGGACGTATTAATGATACTGATTCTTCCCATACAAGAGCATGCAATGTTTTTTCATTTGTTTGTATCACTTATTATTTCTTTCAGCAATATTTTGCGAGATCTTTCACCTTCTTGATTAAATGTGTTCCCAGATATTTTATTTTGTAGGTTGTAAATCTGTTTGTCCTACACGATGGGTCATAATAATTGGATAAAAGCAGCGTTTTCAGGTATACACTGAAAGTTTCAGGGTCTCACAATGAAGCAATCAAGGTGTTGGTCAGGTCTGCAGTTTTATTTGAGGTTCTCCTGAGGAAGGACCCACTTCCGAGCGCATGTACTTGTTGGCTGAATTCAGTTCCTTGTGGTTGAATAATTGCAGGTCTCAGCCCTGACTGTTGGCTGGGGGTGTTTGCATGCTGTCTGCTGGAGAACCCAAGAGGCTTCCTTAGTTCCCTACAATGTGGGTTGCTAAATATGGTCATTTGCTTTCTCAAATCAAAGAATAGAGGGAGAGAGAGATTCTAACAAGATGGATGCTGCAATCTTTTGTGGCAATAACATACAATCATATATATATACATGTATCTGCATATTCAGTCACCTTTACTATATGCTATTTGGTTGAACCAAGTCACAGGCCTTGCTCACACTCAAGGACAGGAGATCACATGAGGGCATTGAACATCAATGAATAGAAACCATGGAGCCACCTTAGTAGTCTGCCCACCACTGAAATAAATGTTGTACATCCTTCATCATAGAAATTATGATGGTAGACTTTCCTGATAAATATGAATCTGGGGCATTTTTACAAGACATTTCTTTAATGATTTTCTGTATTTTTTCTAAGGAAATTAGTCCCTTTGTCAATTTCTAAATCCAGAGTTATCAGTTTTGGTAATATGCATCCCCCTAGATTTTTTTTTACAACTAGGTTTTCAAATTTATGTTCATGAAGATCTGTGAAGTATTCTCGTATAATTTTTAAAGTTTCTTCTGTTTCAGTATTTGTTTCTTGCTTTTGTATGTGCTTTTTCTCTTTTTTCTTAAGAACATTAGCAAGTGGTTTATAAATGTTAATTATTTCAAATAACAGTGTTTGGAATCATCTTAAAGTGTATTTTTGTTTTCAAATTTCCATGGATTTTTAATTTTTACTATTATCTTACTTGAAAATCTGTTAATGCAGTAGATATTATGTTACATGTTCTTATCACAAAACAAAGCAATAATAATAGAGAGTGTGGGAGGAAACTTTTGGTCGTCATGGATATGTTTATAACATAGATTGAGATGATGCCTTCACAGATGTATATTTATCTCCAAACTCACCATATGGTATATATTAAGTACATACAGCTTATTATATGTCAATAATACTTCAATAAAGTGGTTTAAAGACTCTTAGTATAATACATCTAAAAACTATTGTAATATTTAAAAATAAATTATAGTATTTGCCATAAGTCTACATATAGTATAAAATGGATATTAATCCATTAAATAAAAATAATAATCTTGAGAGTATTTCTTCTTGACATATTGACAAGATTGGATGAGAAAAAATGCCAATAGATTAGAATTTTATATAAGAAAGATAAACACCTAGGGAGAAGATTGAAGGAATTTGAAGTAGAACATCACCAACGTGTAACCAGGATCCGTCACAACAAACATGTACAGAAAGGCCTGTTACATGGTATTGGAAATGACTACCTTCACTTGCTCACACTAGATGATCACCCTTGAAAGTGATGGGTATTGCTAAACAGGCAAAATAAAATTAGAAGTATTAACACTTTTTCTTTACAATTGTTTGTATGCAAAAGATTTAGCATATCTACGCAAAAGTTCTGATGGAACAAATCTTTATCCTAAGTAGTAGATCATTCTTTTTAAGGGTAAAACCATATGAAATAAGTAGCTATGAAAATCAAAGGATCAGTCTAGGCACTCACAATGAGCCTACTTTTCAAAAATAGTACTGTTGCAAAAGGAAGAAAACCTCTTCAACACATTTTTTTCAAATTCTAAAATGTATAATATTTGAGAGCCCTGAAATGCATAGAGCTACAGCAACTATATAAGCAATTATTAAAATCTAAAAAGAGGCAATAGGTATTTGTCATGATAAAGTTAATTTAAAGAAAAAAATGCTGAAGGGACAAAAGTTAATAAGAGATGAGATGGGGAAAAGGGATTGAGAAATTTTCCTAGAATTTGGAGAAAAGGCATAAAAAGATTGTGCCAAAAAGTAAGAGATGTGCATGAAAGATTATAAACGTCTAATGTGTGAGCTGAAATTTCGTAAATAGAGTGGTCAGTATAAATTTAAAAAGCAGAGAAAAGTGGAATGGAAGATTTTCGTTGGGTAAAGAGGTAAAAAACAAAATTGTTCTTCAGATAATTTTAATTTAAGTCAATAACATTAAATAACAGTAATAACTAAGCCTATCCCGGGAGATAACTTTGCATTTAGTGGTTAAACAATCCCTGCAATTATCTAGAGTCAAAGAAAATAAATACTTTAGATGAATCTACAAAGAGACAACAAACAGGTGGGTATGAAATATCTCTTTTGCCACACCTGCCAATGAGAAAGTTACTCCATTCTCTTTACTTCTATCTATTCAGCTCTAAAATGGGGATAAGTTTTTTTCTCTTTTTTTTTTTTTTTTTTTTTTTTTTTTTTTTAGATAGAGTCTCACTCTGTCACCCAGGCTGGAGTGCAGTGGCGCGATCTCAGCTCACTGAAACCTCCCCCTACCAGGTTCACGCCATTCTCCTGTAGCTAGGACTACAGGGGCCCGCCACCAAGCCCGGCTAATTTTTTTTTATATTTTTAGTAGAGATGGGGTTTCACTGTGTTAGCCAGGATGGTCTTGATCTCCTGACCTTGTGATCTGCCCGCCTCGGCCTCCCAAAGTGCTGGGATTACAGGCATGAGCCACCATGACCGGCCAATTTTTTTTTTCTTTTTCTTGAAAAAGATGTCACCCAGGCTGGAGTGCAGTGGCACAATCTCGGCTCACTGCAACCTCTGCCTCCCGGGTTTAAGCGATTCTCCCACCTCACCCTCCCAAGTAGCTGGGATTACAGGTGTGCACCACCATGGCCCCTGGCTGGTTTTTTTGTATTTTTAATAGAGACGGGGTTTCACCATATTGGCCAGGCTGGTCTTGAACTCCTGACCTCAAATGATCCACCTGTCTCAGCTTCCCAAAGTGGTGGGATTACAGGAAAATGGGGAAAATTTTAACACATCATGCATTCATTCTGAGGCTCATTTGAGATGATGTACGTTAAAAACTTGGCACAGTGATTGCTCTATGCTAAACGGCTAATAAATGCTACTTAATTATGGTTATTTAGATTATAAATTATTTATGTAGAGTTGTGATATGAACTACATAGAACAAGTTTGACAGTAAATGATTTTCATACGCAAATAATCAACCCATAAATGATGCACGGTTTTCTGCTCTGTTCATGCTCGGTTTTCTATTCTATTGAAGCAGTGATAACATGGGTTACGTTGAGACATTGTTAGGTTAACATAAATTGGGAAGAAAGCTAAAAAGATAAATACTGGATACTAATGAAAAGAAAATCAGGATGGTAATTCCAGATTGAAAAAGTGTATTAGGAAAACAGAAAATAAGTTCCTGCATGAAAATCAAAAAGCAAGATCTATAACAGCATCATCTTGATGAGAGACCACAGGAGTTCATAGGATGAATTTTACATTATTTTAATTTTCATGCATTAAATGCAGAAAAGGAAGTTGAAAATACTAGATCCAGAGGGTACTGGGGGTGGGAGGGTCAGTCTTCAGATAAATCACATCAGAAACTTTTAATATAAGATAATCTTCATCCAGCCCCGAGCTCAGAGCATACGGGGTTCAGAATTGGTGAATCCCGATGTCACAGGATAGAGGATGAGTCTCCCACGGTGTCCTCAATAGTAGTAGCCAGAGCCGCATCCATAGCCACAGCCACAGAAGAAGCGGGAGCCGTAGCCATGACCATAGCCACAGCAGGAGCTATAGCCACAGCGCAGGCTTCCATAGCCATAGCCTAGGCCTTCGTATCCACAGCACCCATAGCCATGGTCGCCGTAGTAGTTTCCGTAGTAGCTGCCGCACATCGTGATGGTTGTGGAGGTTGTCCTTGGGTAGGAAGGAGTGTAGGTGACTTCAGTATGGATACTTCCTGTAGAAGTCCTTTTATATGCCTCAGGATGGGAATGATCCAGCAGAGGTAGCATACCACTGGCTAATTTTTTGACTAATATAATTAGTTTGTTTTTTCTCAATTGTAAGATAATGCTGCAGAGGTATTAAGGAGGCTTGTTTTGTTTGGCCTTGCAATTTGGGCTCCCCTTATCTGATTGAGGGCTCTGATGAAAGGAGACCTCACACACTCACACTCATATAATCCTGCCTCAAACTAGACTTTCTATAGCCATCCTTTACATCAAGAAAGACTTTTGTTAGTTACACTCTTATTTGCTCTAGGCCCCAATTAATTGTACTCTTTTGCACAACATTCAGCAAACAATAACTTTGCCCTTTTAGTATTTCTGCTCTCTTTATCCAAATAATACTTTTTTCAGGGATTTAGTGTCTTTTCTATACTAAAGCCATGATGTTGATAATAATTCAACTAATTAAAAATTCTAGAAAACCAGATCTGAGAAAAATTTGTTGTATTTTTCTACTTATACCAGTGAGTCTAATTTTCCTTTATGTTCAACCTCTACGGAAGAACAAGAAAATGTAAGTTATTTTCTTGATTTATAAAAGAATTAATAAGTGACCAAGTCAATGAAATGGAACAATAGTTTTATATTCTCTTTTAACTTCTTATCTTAAAATAATCTCAGGCATAGAGATAGTTGTCAAAATAGTATAGAAAATTTCCATATATCCATCATTCAACATCCCTAATATTAATATCTTTCATAACCATAATCCACTTATCACACCAAAGAAATTAACTGTGTACAGTATTCTTAACTAAACTGCAGACTTTATTTTACCATTTTTCTGTTATTATTAACTTATTTTATTTTAAGTTCTAGGACCATGGTTCATTGTAGCACTATTCACATATTTATTTTAATGTTCTTTTTTTCTGTTCTTGGATCCAATTCACATTGCATTTGGTTTTTATACTTCTTAGTCACCTCCAATTGCTCATGGTTCATTCGTCTTTTCTTGGCTTTTATGACCTTACAATTTTAGAGAGCCAGATATTTTGTGGAATATTCCCCAATTGAATCTGTCTAAGGTTTCCTCATATGTAGATTGAGGTTATACATTTGGGAAGAGATGTAACTCTTGTCTTGTGCCATCTCAGGGAGTCATGATGCCAATAAATCTTTGAGTAATTCTGGAATTGTTTTAAAATTCAGATTTTTAATAGAAGTCCTTTTCTTACTATATACCCAGAATCAACGAAGTCAAAAATCAAAGTCTTTGCCACGGTTTAGAATCATATATAAAATGATAGCTACATGTGAAGTATAAACCAAAGAGAATGATATTGCTCCACAAAAAGTGATGAAACACCTTATCACTCAACATTTTACAAGTGAATGCTGCCACCATGACTTCTCTTACACGCTTATCATCCTTCCTTATCACTTTGGAGCTACACTCTTATTCCCAAGTCTGCATATATGTATTTAGGCTGAAGGATATTATTGGGTGAAAGTAGGATTTTTAAAAAATGGAAGCCATCACGTCCATAACCCCAGGCTTTGGGAGGCCGAGGCGGGCGGATCTTGAGGTCAGGAGATCAAGACCATCCTGGCCAACATGGCGAAACCCCATCTCTACTAAAAATACAAAAATTAGCTGGGCGTGGTGGCACGCACCAGCTATTCATAAGGCTGAGGCAGAGAATCCAGGAGAATCACTTGAAACCAGGAGGTGGAGGTTGCAGTGAGATTGTGCCACTGCACTCCAGCCAGGCAACAGAGCTAGTCTCTGTCTCACAACAACAACAACAACAACAACAACAAGTGGAAGCCATGTGGGTTACTCTTGGTTGCTGGTAATGTAGTTTAAATTTGACATCTGAAATAAACGAGTCATCAAAATAGGAGATGGATCTCTTATTAAAGGTACATTATTTCATTATATTCAACATTCCTGAGAAACAGCAAAGTTGTCTTGGATGTATTGGTTACAAGGAATATTTTAGATGGTTTCAATGCTAATTAGTGTGGAATGTGAATCTAACAGTGCCTGTGATTTGTCCCACATACCATTCATGTGGCATTTAAGGCCCTTATTATAAGCTTAAAACTTTAAACTTAAAACTCTATAAACTTAAAACTCTAGAATCTGATCCTGCTATACAACTGAGCCTACCTTTCTTGAAACCATGAGCTTTGATAACAACTACCATGGTGGCCAGGGCTATGCCAAAGGAGGCCTGGGCTGCAGCTATGGCTGTGGTCTTAGCGGCTATGGCTATGCCTGCTACTGCCCATGGTGTTATGAAAGATCTTGGTTTTCTGGCTGCTTCTGAGAAATTAGAGATTGCTGATCTGTTTAGGCCATTCTCTTATGAGCTATGTTTTCTTCCCGTGTTTTTTTCTGTTCAAAGAGTGACAACTAAAATTTAGCCCACATTGCCAAGTCAGAATTTATTTGATCAATTAGCTGGAATTTCCAACAATTTAATCAAACGAAAAAAGAACCTTTGATGTTGTGTTACTAGTATATGATTAAGTACAAATAATGTTAAGCATTTTCATTTGGGAAAAAGTCTAAATTTATTTTTCTTCAAAGGTAATTTATTTTGCAAACCTACAGCATTTTCCTACCTATATTTATTTATCTAGAGTACCTATATTATTTGTGATTGTGTGTGTGTGTTCAGGAGCACATATGTAAGGTTGCTGACCCATTGGAAACTTACAGTTGATGATGTGGATGTGTTAGGTCTGACCAATAGTACTTTGATAAAATGTATTCTCATGGGCAGAGCCAAGTGGTACTATAATTTACTTTGATCTATCAAAGCCTCATCTTCAGTGTATCCAATGTTTGACTAAAATCATTGGCAAAAATAGTACCTCCCTTCTCATCACTTTATTCTGTTGCACATACATTACATTTCTTGATACTTAGTTGCATTTTTGGCTCTAGATAGCTGTAACTTTTTCTCTAAATCCTATATTATGGCTGTTTCTTTTAACTCTGAAAAAATATACTCTTGAACTCATCCTATGCCTGGTGGCTGCATAGACAGCACTTCCAAGTGTCAGACCCATGTGGCCACAGAGAGTCCATCAAATTTAAGTATGTTTCTGTGAACCTTTTATCAAGGTCAATATCTGCTACCTCAGGTAATACTTTCTTCTTGAAGACACAAGTCTGACCCAAAATACAAGCTGAAAAATATAGACTTCAGTTTGCCAGCCGTGCTCAAGTTAAGCAAAGCTGTTCTTTATTCACTCTACTTATTATTTATCAGTCGACATTGATAAAAATATAAAGCAAAAATATCTTCTAATCTGTTAGTGACTAATGTTAACATTTGGAGTTTCTACAACTAATAAAATATTCATACAAAATTACTTTGTTAATGGCTATTATAGTATGAAGTTGGCTAAACTCTTAACTAGCTTCCAAATACATGATTTTTTAAAACATCTAGATGAAACAATAATAAAGAATTTTTTAAAATTCTTCATCAATTAAAGACAGACAACATATAGAGCCGTATCACTCTGACATCTCCAAGTATTGACAGGCAGTGAAACTGAAGGGAGACTGAAGAAAGCATCTTTGTCACAGCCTTGGCTTTTGTCCTGCCATAGTGGGCAGGAATCTTAGGAGTCAGATTCCCAGAATGTCCTATTTTAGCATGGTCAAAAAAGCCAGAGTAAGAACTCTGTAAAACCTGACTTTGGACTCAATAACCCATCATACTCAGAAAACTGCTCATCAAATATCAGGCCCTCATCAGACTTAGTATATACTTTAGAAAAATTAAAATATTTGGTAATTATCCTAAGGCCACACAGCAAATAAAGACACATTTATTCAAGAAAATCTACTAAATATAGGGTTAGTGAGAGACTTCATTCACTTGTTCACAATCAGCTCTTTTCGTACTTCCTCCTCCAGCTCACCATGACAGACCCACCGCTCTGGGTAGTGAGACCAATTTATAGTGCTTCTTCTATCCCCATCTGAAGGGCTACAGTATCTCTCCTCTGTGTGCAGGTGATTAGCATATCTCATGTCCAGTTCTGTGTGGCAGTGGCTAAAGTCCAAGTGAATCTGACCAAGAGGTATGTGTCTCCATTCCTCTACCTTTTTCCCACTTGTAGTGCCAGGGATCTACCAAAGGCATGACAGGCCAGTTATCTTAAGCTTCTATCACTCTCTCAACCACCCTGATCATTCATAAGAGAGATTTTTCGTGACAGATATTGCAAGCTTAAAAAACTAGAAGCTACTGCCCAAACCCAGAGAGTGCTAGTAATGATGTTATGTCTCTATGAGAAAATAAGCAAGTAGTTGTTCCTATTCCCAGTTCTGGAGTAGTTGCTTCAATATTTTGCACAGACAAAAGGCAAGCCATAAGAACATAAAGATCTGAATCTTTTCTCAAGTGAACTAGTTGATTTAGAAGAGTGTGTAGAAGATTTAACTTAAGTTTAGACTTTGAAACAATGGCGATTTTGGTGATAAGTAATTAAGAGAAAACTGGTTTCACCATGTGATATGGTTTGGCTGTGTTCCCACCCAAATATTACCTTGAATTGTAGCTCTCATAATTTCCATGTGTTTTGGGAGGGACCCATAGGGAGATAATTGAATCATGCGGGTGTTTTCCCCTATACTGTTCTCGTGGTAGTGAATAAGTCTCACAGGATCTGATGATTTTATAAGAGGTTTTCCTTTTCACTTAGCTTTCATTCTCTCTTGCCTGCTGCCATGTAAGACGTGCCTTTTGCCTCCTGCCATGATTGTGAGGTCTCCCCAGCCATGTGAAACTGTGAGTTCATTAAACCTCTTTTTCTTTATAAATTACCCAGTCTCGGGTATGTCTTTATCAGCAGTGTGAGAACGGACTAATATACCCTGAAAGCAACCAACTAAACCATAGGCCAGCAAGTGTATCAGAGAGAACCAGAAAAGATAGCCAGGAGAAGCCCTTCTGGGTTCAGAGCAGATTTCAGACTGGCCTCAAAAACTTTGACAAAGAATTCAAATTTATTCATTTTTTCCAGCTTTATTGAGGTGTCATTGACAAATAAAAATGTATGTATTTAATATATACAATGTGATTTTATACACACACACATATATATTAAAATAATTACCACAAACAACCTAATTAATATATCCATAACCTTACATGATTACCTTTTCCACCCCTGTGGTGAGTACCCCTAATATATACTCTGTTAGTAAACTGATAAGACACAGAGTAGTATGGTAGTTGCCAGGAATGGAAGTTGGGGGAATGGAAAATGTTATTCAAAGAGTATGAACCTTCAGTTATAAGATGAATAAGTTCAAAATATCTAATATACAGCATAGCTACTATAAACAATAACTGTATTTTATACTAAAATTGTGTTATGAGTCTAAATTTAATTGAATCAGATTGTGAAGCAATTTACATCCAAGAGCATTGTCAAAAATAATGACACAATCCCCTAAAAATTATTGTGCCTAACAGCTGAGTGTAATACCAACAAAGTCCAACTGCTTATCAGAGAGTGGAAGGAAAGAGAAAATCTAAGAGGGTTCAGACAAAACCTCAGAAATACAGTACACATGCTGTAGCTGTGCCTTTTAAGGAATAACATCAAAAGTTTCATGCTGAACTCAATAACATAGCCCAGCCTAGTCTCTAAGCAAATAAGGAAACAATAAGCTCTGGAGCAGGGGGGAGAGAATATCTACAGTTTATAGAATATAAAATCTAAAATGTGCAGTTGAGAGAGAAAGAGAGAGAAGATGCAAGAAACAGGAAGATGTGACCCATATGCCAGTGAAAAATCAAGCAACAGAAACTGTCTCTGAGAGCATCCGGATGTTAGACATACCAGACAAATATTTTAGCCATTTATATATGTTCAAAGTACAAAAGGAAACCATGCTTCAAGAAACAAATGAGAGGCAGAGGCAGAGCAAGATGGCAAGATAGAAAGCTCCACCAGTTGCCTCCCCTCCCCCAACAAGGACAGCAAGTTAACAACTATCTACACCAAAAAAAAAACACCTTCATAAGAACCAAAAATAAGGTAAACACTCATAGTACCTGGTTTTACTTCATACTGCTGAAGGAGGTACTGAACAGATAGAAGACACAGTCCTGGATTGCTGATGCCAACCTCCCCACATCCCCAACAAGGGCAGCCTGGTGCAGAGAGCATCTCTGGGTGCTGGAGGACAGAGAACACAGCAATTGTGAGGCATTAAACTCAGTGTTGTTCTGTTAGAGCAGAAAGGAAAGCCAGGGCAAACTCAGCTGACACTCACGGACACAAGGGAGCATTTACACCAGGCCTGACCAGACAGGAATCACCGATCCCTGTGGTCCAAACTTGAGTGCCTGCAAACCTCTCCATCAAGGGCCAAAGTGTTCTCTCTCTCTAAGTAAACTTGAAAGGCAATCAAGGCCATAAGGACTGCAACTTCTAGGAAAGTCCTAGGGCTGAACCAGGCCAAGAGCCAGTGGACTGGAGGGGAGGGGAGAATGCAACATACTGAGACACCGCTTGGACAGTGAAGGGAATGTTGGCTTCATCTCTTCCATAACCTTAGGGGCTACACAGCTCACAGCTCCAAAAGAGTCCTCTTCCTTCTCTTTGAGGGGAGGACTTTGTCTTGTATCTTGGATTCCAGCTCAACCACAGCAGAATAGGGCAGCAGAGTTGTGAGGCCCCCTTTCCAGGGCCTAGCTTGCAGACAACATTTCTAGACACACCCTGGGTCAGAAGGGAAACTACTGCCTTGAAGGAAAGGACCCAGCATTTATCACCTGTTAACTAAAGAGCCCTAGAGTCCTGGATAACTAGCAGTGATACCCAGGTACTACACTGAGGGCCTTGGTGAGCCTCTGAGATTTGCTGGCTTCAGGTGAGACTCAGTACATTCCCAGCTGTGGTGGTTACAGGGCAAAACTCCTTCAGCTTCAGAAAAGCAGAAGATAAAGTAAAGGGGACTTTATCTCACACCTTAGGTACCAACACTGCCACAAGGGGATAGAGCACCAAGCAGGCTCTTGCGGGTCCCTGAATCTAAGACTTGACACTTGGATGGCATTGCTGGGCCTGCCCCGGGCCAGAGAGGAATCCATTGCCCTAAAGGGTGAGTCCTAGGCAAGGCAGCATTCACCACAGCTGACTTAAGGAAACTTGGGCCTGAGGGGAATACAGGAGGTACTCTGTCAATACTCCTCATGGCCAGGGGTGGCAGTGGCTACAAGATGAGGCTCCTCATCTTTGGAAAGGAAGGGAAGAGTGGGAAGGACTGTGTCTTGTGGTTTGAGTGCCAGCTCAGCCACAATACAATAGAATACCAGGAAAACTTCCAAAGTTGTTGACTCTAGTCCCTGACACTCAGATGGCATTTCTAGACCCACCTGAGGCCTGGGGAACTTCACTGTCCTGAAGGGAAGGACACAGGCCTGGCTGGCTTTGCCACCTGCTGATTGAAGAGCACCCGGGCCTGAGCAAACATAGGCAGTAGCCAGGGAGTGGTTACAGCAGGCCTTGAGTGAGAATCTTAGCACCGTGCTAGCTTCAGGTTTGACCCAGTGCAGTCATAGTGGTGTTGGCCATAGTGGTGCCTGTGTCACTCCACCCCCAGCTTTTAGTGACTCAGAACAGAAACAAAAACTCTGTATATTTGGGAGAAAAAAATAGAAGAAAACAAGAGTTTCTGCCTGGTAGTCCAGAGAATTCTCCCAGATCTTGTCTGGGAGACATCAAGAAAGTACTTCTATGAGTCTGCAAGAACCACAGCATTACTGGGCTTGAGGTGCCCCCAAAAGTAGAAACAGCTTAGATCACAGCACCCAGGTCCTTTCAAATATCTGGAAAGCCTTCTCAAGAAGGACAGCTACAAATAAGCCCAGGCAGTGAGGACTACAATAAATACCTAACTCTCTAATGCCCAGACACTGAAGAATACCTACTAGCGACAACACCATCCAGGAAAACATGACACCACCAAATGAACTAAATAAGCCACTGGCAACCAAGCCTGGAGAAACAGAGATATGTGACCTTTCAGAGAGAGAATTCAAAATAGATGGGTTGAGGAAACTCAAAGAAATTGAAGATAACACAAAGAATTAATTCAGAATTCTATCAGATAAACTTAACAGAGATTAAAATAATTAAAAAGTGTCAAGCATAAATTCTGGAGCTGAAAAATGCAATTGGCATACTGAAGAATGATGCCTTGTTTAGAAAACCTCATCGTTTTAGCCCAAAAGCTTCTTAAGCTGATAAGCAACTTTGGCAAAGTCTCAGGATACAAAATCAACGTGCAAAATTCATTAGCATTTCTATATATCAACAACAGACAAGCAGACAGTCATATCATGAATGAACTCCCATTCACAATTGCTACAAAGAGAATAAAATATCTAGGAATGCAGCTAACAAGGGAAGTGAAGGACTTCTTCAAGGAGAACTACAAACCACTGCTCAAAGAAATCAGAGAGGATGCAAACTAATGAAAAAACATTCGATGCTCATGGATAAGAAGAATCAATAATGTGAAAATGGCCATACTGCCCAAAGTAATTTATAGATTCAATGCTATTTCCGTGAAACTACTGTTGACATTCTTCACACAATTAGAAAAAAATATTTTAAAATGTATATGAAACAATAAAAGAGCTCAAATAACCAAGATAATCCTAAACAAAAAGAACAAAGATGGAGGCATCATGCTACCCAACTTCAAACTGTACTACAAAACTATAGTAATCAAAACAGCATAGTACTTGTACAAGAACAGACACAAAGATCAATGGGACAGAACGCAGAACTCAGAAATAAGACCACACACCTAAAACCAACTGACTTTCAGCAAACCTGGCAAAAGCAAGCAATGGGAAAATGATTCCCTATTTAAAAAACAGTGCTGGGAGAACTAGAACCATATGCAGAAAATTGAAACTGGACCCCTTCCTTGCACCTTATGCAAAAATTAACTCAAGATGGATTAAGGACTTAAAAGTAAAACTCAAAACTCATGTGGCTTTGGGTTGTTTGTTTGTTTGTTTGTTTTTTGAGACAGGTTTCATTCTGTCACCCAGGCTGGAATTCAGTGGCATGATCTCTTCTCACTGCAACCTCTGCCTCCCAGGTTCAAGAAATTCTCCTGCCCCAACCTCCTGAGTAGCTGAGGCTACAGACTTGCACCACCACACTTGGCTAATTTTTGTAATTTTACTAGAGACAGGGTCTCACTATCTTATACAGGCTGGTCTCAAACTCGAGGCCTCAAGTGATTCTCCCACCTCCACTTCCCAAAGTGCTGGGATTACAGGTGTTAGCCACCACACCTGGCCTTTCTTGCTGCTTTCAAGATCTTTTCCTTTGTCTTTACTGGTCATGGTTTAGCTATGATATTTGGGGTGTTAATTTTGTTTTGTTTTGTTTTCTTCTTTCACTTGAATTACTTATTGACATGTCCTAAATAGGGACAGTGAATATTAATCTAGAATTACCAATTATAATATAAACACTATTAAAATATTAGATTTCAATGATAAACAAACACTGAAAGCTCTCAGGAAAACCATTACATAATTTACAATAGGAAAATAATTAGGCTATTCATCGGAATTTTCAAAAGTGACATTCAAAGAAAGACAAAAAGAAAAGCATTTTAAAGAACCTAATAAAAGAAAGCGTTATCCAAGTTCTTTATATTTAACAAAGCTGCCCTCCATATATCAATGGAGTAGAACAACAGCTTCCTACATACAAAAAGTAGACATTTTTGCATCCACAAGCCCATATAGAGTAACACCCTAGAGGGTGAGCATCATCTAATCAAGGGATGAATGGGAAGTGTTAAGCAAAGTATTGAATATATATGTGTGTATGTGTGCATCTGTGAGTGTGTGGGGATACAAACATATGTGTTTTGGTATGAATGTATGTGTGTATGTATGTGTGTGATGATATGAATTTGGTGTGCTACCAAATATAGGGATTAGATGGGAGGATTAATAATACATAAATAATATATTTTGTGATGGAAAAGTAGTTATAATCCAACTAAATGACAAAGGGATAATAGAAGAAGAATGGAAGAGGAAAAGAGAACAAGCTAATTGTTGTTTTATAGACGAGAGGAAGTTAAATAATATTAATATAAGCTATTGTGTCAGATAATAAAATGTTAAATTTAAAAAGAGGGAACAGAGAACATTAAAATTAGTATATATACAAAGGTAACCAGATAGCCACTAATATAACTACCAACCATCAAAATACCATTTAAAAATTTTTTTTATTTTTGTGGGTATTCATTAAAGCATAAAGAATAGGACCAAACATACCAGTCATGGCAATACATGTGAATTTAATTAATTAAAATAAACATTTTAAATTTGGCTGTTGAACTAAGCCTAACTATATGTTTTATATAAACACCTGAAACAAAATGATTTCAAAATGCAAAATTAAAGCCATGCACAAAGGTGTCTGGGAAAAAAATCCCAATAGAAAACATAACAACTCCACTGTCAGATAGATAGAAATGAGGGAAAAGGCATTAAAAGTGATAAAGAAGAAAACTTACCAAGCAAGAGACACGCAAATCACAAGATATCTATTATATATATATATGTATATTTATGCACCAAATAATGCTAAGACCCCCTTTATGAAGACACAGATACCAGATACATGCCACTGAGAGACATAAGTAGAAACACACTAATAAGCAGCACTCTTGGAACAAGACAGATCAAGTGGAAAAAATAAACAAGCAGAGATAAGATCTAAACAATATATTCAAAAGGTAGCTCTCATTTATATAGACTGACCTTTATGCCTTGATAATAATGACCTTTATGCCCTGATAATAAATAATATACCTTTTTTCTCCAGTTCTCATGGAACATCCACACAAAGGTCATACATAATGTCCGGCAGAAAAGATTCGTTTTATAAAACAGAAATAATGGGAAAGGTACTCTCTGATGTCACACAACAATATTAATAACTACTAACAAGAACAAAGAACAGAAAAATCCTTTAACCTGGAAAGTAACAAGCCTTGTATTTAAAAAAATGTTCTTTGTTGAAAGAAGACATACAAATATAATTACCAGTTTTCAATAATTAATGATAGTTTAAATAATCTGTAACAGGGCCTATGAGAAATATTTTTAAAGTGGTTAGGAACAATTCATAGCACTGACATGTTATCAGTAAAAATAGAAGAAAATAAATTAATATTATGAAATATTAATTATATTTCATTAATTATGTAATATGAATTATGTTTTAGCTCAAATATTTCCCAAGGGACAATTAAGTAAATGAAAAATACACACAGATTAAAATAATAAATAGAGAAGGAGATATTAATGAGGTACAAAAAGAAAAAATACATGTAATCACATGAAATGCTATTATTTGAAAGATTAACAAAACTTGTAAACTACCTGCTAACTTGATCAAAGAAAAAAATCGAGAAACCATATGCGCAATTAATAGTAAGAGGGAAATAAACATTGAAACAGAAGACATTTGAAATACCATATAAGACTGGGTTTCAGAGCTCTATGTACGTAAATTGATAATGTCCTGGAGAAGTGCAGATGACCAAAATGGACACCTTTCAACTTAGAAATCATAAACAGATTCATTTCCTTAAAGTTAATGAAAAGAATTAACAGACCCTCCTCAAAAAAGACATATATGCGGCCTACAATCATATGAAAAAAAGTTCAACATTACTGTTCATTAGAGAAATGCAAATCAAAACCACAATGAGATACCATCTCACACCAGTCAGAATGGCTATTATTAAGAAGTCAAAAAATAAAAGATGCTGGCGAGGTTGTGGAGAAAAAAGAATGCTTTTATACACTTGGTGGGAATGTAAATTAGTTCAGTCATTGTGGAAGACTTTGATGATTCCTAGAAGACCTAAATACAGAACTACTATTTGACCCAACAATCCCATTACTGGGTATATACTCAAATGACTATAAATCATTCTATTATAAAGACACATGCATGGATATGTTCATTACAGCACTATGCACAATAGCAAAGACTTGGAATCAACATGAATGTCCATCAATGATAGACTAGATAAAGAAAATGTGGTACACATATACCATGGAATACTATGCAGCCATAAAAATGAAGGAGATCATGCCCTTTGCAGGGACACGAATAGAGGTGGAGGCCATTATCCTCAGCAAACTAACTCAGGAACAGAAAACCAAACACGGCATGTTCTCACTTATAAGTGAGAGCTAAACGATGAGAACACATGGACACATAGAGGGCACACAATGGGGACTAGCGGAGGGTGGAAGGTGGAAGGAGAGAGAGAAGCAGGAAAAACAACTAATGGGTACTAGCTTATTACCTGGGTGATGAAATAATCTGTACAACAAACCCCTATGACACTGTGACACAAATTACCTAAGTAGCAAACCTGCATGTGTACCCCGAACCTAAAATAAAAGTGTTTTTGTTTGTTTGTTTGTTTCTGTTTTTTTGTTTGTTTGTTTGTTTTGGTTTTTTTTTTTTGAGACTGAGTCTCACTCTCTCCCCAGGCTGGAGTGCAGTGACGCAATCTCGGCTCACTGCAAGCTCCAACTTCCATGTTCAAGCGATTCTCCTGCCTCAGCCTCCCGAGTAGCTGGGATTACAGGCACGCACCACCACATCCAGCTAATTTTTGTATTTTTTGTAGAGACAGGGTTTCACCATCTTGGCCAGGATTATCTCAATCTCCTGACCTCATGATCTGAGCGCCTAGGCCTCCCAAAGTGCTGGGATTACAGGCATGAGCCACAGCACCCGGCCAAAGTTTTTTAAAAAAGGACTTTAAGGGACAGTTTTTAAATAAAGAAGAAAAATAAAAATTAACAACAGAAAAGCCCAAACCCAGATGATTTCTCAGGAGACTTCTACCAAATATTTAAAGACAAAGCAATCCCAATATTGTACAAATTGTCAAAGAGCACTTAAAATGAAGGACAACTTCCTAATTCCTATTATGAAGGGTGTATAGTCATCCCCACTTATCCCAAAGGATAAGTTCCAAGATGCCCAGTGAATACTTGAAACCAAGATAGTAACAAAGCCTATATGTAGTATGTTTTTTCTGTATACATACATACCTGTGATAAAGTTTAATTTACAAAATAGTCACAGTAAGAGATTAACAACAATATCTAATAATAGAAGGAACGTATAACAATTACTGTAAAAACAAGTTATGTAAATACAGTCTTTCTCTCTCCCCACCCATCTCTCTCTCTCTCTCTGAAAATAGTTTAATATTTTCTCACAGTGGCTGATCTTGGGTAACTGAAACTACAGAAACTGAAATTATGGTTAAGGGAAAACTACTGTATGCACTGAATTTGCAGTGAGAAGAATCAACATGCCCAGTGATTGCTGCCTCCACATGTCCGTACTCTTGTGTAAGCCCCTCTCTGTGAGTGAGGGTGAGACCTGTTGCTTTTAGCCAATAGAATATGGTGTATGTTTATGATTATGTGTGCTTATGTGATTATGTTACATAAGACTGTAGTACCCATCTTGCTGGAGTCTCTTGCCCTCCCTTGCTGGTTTTGAAAAACAAGCAATTATGTTTCAAAACCCCTTTGACAAGGAACTGTGAGCATCCTTTTGGAGGTGAGGGTTGCCTCCAAAAGATAGCTAGCAAGGCACTGCAACAAATGGCCAACAAGAAAATGAAAATGAGCCCTTTAGTCCTACAACTGCAAGGAACTGAATTCTGCTAACAAAGGCATGACCTTGGAAATGGATCCTTCCCCAGATAAGCCCTGGGTACAATCAGCCCCATTTAAGATCTTGAATTGCAGCCTTGTGAGACTTTGAAGCTTCTCGGTTTATACCTGAAATAGTGTTTTTATTTAATTATTATGGCCCACTATGCAGGTCAAATAGCTTTATAACCTATTACTAGCTTAGAGTATACTAGATTATAAAACTATTCCTTTGGTTATGTCTCATTAAAAAATAGTTTCTTTAAAATGGAAGATTCAAAATGAAGGATATAGTAACAAGCATTCATTTATTTTAGGAGATATGCACAAGAAGGCTTCGGAAAATTAAATTTTTTCTTTGTTATGTGACAGACAGCAGGCAATGCATAACCCAACATATAAATGATAGGTACTTAATTTAGTATTGAGAATTACTCAGCACAACATAAATTCTTCCCCTAGAAGCAAAGGAGGAAACTGAAATTTATTAAAAAGCTTACTTTTCTAAAACAATTGAGCTTTGAATTGGCAAAGAAACCTCTCTAGAAATTGTAAGAAAAATATCTCCCAAAGAATTTAATTGTTAGCTTTCATGCAAACTGAAACAAAAACTATTGGTAAGAAATTTTAAATATTAAATGATTGACATAAACACCAGGTTTCTCTTCTGGATTAAATGTGTTTATTAGGTGAACAGAGAAAAAAGCTCCATCATAAAAGTCATCAAGGCAGATGATGTGACACCATCATTCTGATGAAAGGAGAACTGACAGGTGAATTTTACCTTATCCCGTTTCATGATGGAAATTCAAGATATTTGTAGGTTAGATGGTAGCTCAACAACAGACCATATTAGACTTCCATTGCAGGATATCATCACTCAAGGGAAAATCTCAGAACATGTGGGCTTCAGAATTAGTGAATCTCAGTATCACAGGATAGAGGGTGAGAGTCTCCCATGGCATCCTCAATAATAGTAGCCAGAGCCAGAGCCGCATCCATAGCCATAGCCACAGAGGGAGCGGGAGCCATAGCCATAGCCACAGCCCAGTCTGCGGAAGCCACAGCCACAGCAGGAGCCATAGCCACAGCCCAGGCCTCCATAGCCATAGCCCAGGCCTCCATAGCCACAGAACCCATAGCCAGGGGTGCCATAGTAGTTTCCGTAGTAGCTGCCACACATGGTGTTGGTTGTGGAGGTTGTCCTTGGGTAGGAGGAAGTGTAGGTGACTTCAGTATGAACACTTCCCCTGCAGAGGGCCTTTTATATGCCTCAGTGTGGGTGGGAACCATACACAAGTCATGCCATTGGCTAATTTGAAGGACCAGCATGAGTAATTTGTTGACTCTTGGTTTTCAATCGTGGCCTTGTGGCATTTAGAACATTTTCTATTGTTCAGCCACATCTGAAACATTTGTGCATCTTTAATGAGCATCAACTGTCTGATCTTTAAAACTCTACTCACACCAGACATTCAAATTACCATTTTCCAACCAGCCTTTATGGCAAGAAATAGCATTTTAGTAAACAAACTGACCTGTTCTAAACAACCAATAATTTTACCTTATTTTTGCTGACATTCAACAGGTCATGGTAATCTCCCTTGAGCTTGAGTTTCTCCATCTCTTTCCTGCTGCTCCAAACCCATTGTTTTCCTTTAGGAATTCTTCTCATTTTCACATGAGAGATGGTTTTCTTTTAAAAGCCAGAAAGTGTCACTCAGCTTCCAGAGACTGTTGACACAAAGCCAATAGTTTGAAATTCTAAAATACCAGGCATGAGAAAACTATACTTTTCTTTCTCACATCAATATTTCCTTTTGTGACTGTTTTAAAACAATAGTTCTTTCCCATAGTTTCAAATTCGTAATCAATGAGGTTTCATTTTATTTATAAAATTGTATTTTTATAAAAATTTTCCTGAAATTTCAAGGCATTTGTTATATTTGTGTTCTGGCTCAAAAGTAAGTATAGGTATTTTCATATTTAAAACAATAATACTGGCAGAAGTATCTTTTCATGCAACCTACTATATTTCCACCATCAAACAAGAAGTCTTTGGCAAAATATGAGACTATGAGGAACATGTTACTATAGCCTAATCTTTTTTCAAAGCAGTGAAGATCAGAGCTAAATTGAATGATTAAGTCAAGTAGCCCTCTGGACTTATATTCTTAGTAAGATGACTTTATAAGAGTGAGTTGAATATAGTAAATAAGAGTAAAATATCTGTAATGTGCTTTCTAGGCTCAAATTTTACCTCTACTATCCATAGCTGTCTGACCACTGTTAACTACATGCTTCAGCTGCCCTATCTGCAAATGGGATTGTAATAATGATACCTACCCCACAAGGAAATTTAGAAAATCAAATCTTTTGATACATACCAGACACTTTGAATAGTGTTTGGTTCATAGTAGGAACCAGAATACTAGAATAAATTTTGCTGTCTTTACTTATTTCATCCCATCCCTGTTTTTCTGGATAGAAGCTTCAGTAGAGAGTTGATCAATTGAATAAGAGAACTCAGGCATGCTTAAGTTCTCATTTAGGGGCATTATGTCCTTGAAGCTGAAGGGAAGAGAAACTCTGCATTGAGGATGTACATCTAACAACAGAGAAAGTCACATCCTGGTTTTACTGAGAAGGGGAAAGTCCTACCAAGTTCCCCAACACACATAGCACAAGCAGGGGGAGATACAATGATTGGTTCTCACCCAGGTGGATCTGAGTGGAGACTCATTGATTTCCTTACTACAACCAAAGACTGTTCTGGCTGTAGAGACCCAAGGATGTAACACTTCATGCTAGGTAATGGATTGAACAGAGTTTTATTTTTGTGGCAGTGGAAAATGGCAATATGTGTTATGCCATCCAAAGGTGTCAGTGCAGAACAGGTATGGTCCTCCTCAAAACCAACAGCATATCACTGCACATCGAAGCACACCTCAGGCAGAGAATGAGGAGTGGTAATGTCTTTATTGCAATTGTATTTTAATACTGACAACCAGAAAGTGATTGAATTTTGTTGAGTTTACCTGAAAGGGACAAGAATAAATGTTTTGCCATTTAGTGGAAATAATGAATCAAGATAGAATTTGGTATAACAGTAAAATAAAGTGCATTTGTACGTTTGTAAAGTTGTATCCTGTAAAAATGTTACCTGACTTATGTATTTAAAGTGAAATAAACTGTTCTATCTCTGAAGAAATATTGGGCAATATTACAGATCTCATACTCGAAAGACTTGCCCCTTAGGCACATCTGTCTCCCCAAAGCCATGCAGACAGACTTCTTCAACTGCAACTGGTAGATGAATGTAAAGGAATTAACAAGCCAAAACCAATTTGAATCAGATGAGATTTGCATAGTTTCTGTTATTTCATAGAATCTCATCATGAAATTTTAGTATGTGCTCTCAGGAAAAAAGGATGTTAAAACCAGGTTAAAAAAAATCTGTCATTCAAATCACATTCTTTGATTGTGAAAATCTTGACACAACACTAGAGGAATCCTAGCTATGAAGGCTTCACTATGCCTAATGAAATAAGAGATTTATGAGAGTGTTGCCTTGGCGGTGTTAGCGGTCAACCCAAAATAATTCATAATAAGAGCAACATTGCCTGTGATTTGCCACACCTACTACTGAGGAAGTATAAAAGACCTGTGAAGATGGAGATGTTCAAATTCAAGAACATCCTCTTCTACACCTGAACCATCCATTTCTGACACCATGATTTACTACAGCAACTATTATGGTGGCTATGGGTATGGTGGGCTTGGCTGTGGCTATGGCTGTGGTTATCGTGGCTATGGATGTGGTTATGGTGGCTATGGAGGCTATGGAAATGGCTACTACTGCCCATCTTGCTATGGAAGATATTGGTCATATGGTTTCTACTGAACAATTCTAGAGCTCACCAGATTTGTCTGCTTGTGAAACCTGGATTCTCATGCTGCTCTTGTTCATCTGATCCTGTGTCTTCAAAACAGCAGAAACCTAAACTAGGCTATTATCAAAGAACTACAGATGCTGTCTTTCTCTGGTTCTGTTGTGCAAGATGATAAAGAATAGGTTTTAAAATGCAATTCTTTGATTCTTAAGTCCTTTAAATAAATTTAGTCTGTTTGCAAATATAGTGTGTTTTCATGTTTATTATTTTCATTGTCAACTTTGCATGTGGATGATGGTAAGATGGAAACCTGTGGATAATTACTATCCCAAGGGGTTGACACTACATCTTATTTCATTTTCCTATTTTTTGTCCTTCTGTATATTTCTCACACTATTTAAAACTGAGCTTCTGTAGGGACACAGTTGATTGCTTTCTCTTCAAATAATTTCTACTTGAGCTTGACAAGCTACACACCTAAGGCTGGTGGCTGCATGCTGCTGACTGTCCTTGTTTCTCCAGAGCACATAGAAACACATACACATTTTAAGTTGTGGCTTCCATGAGTTTTCCAAGTTGTCTGCCTTCTGGTAGCTTCATCACTATGAAGCCTCTCAGTTGCCTGATGTTGTTGATATAGATCCTGTATACAGGAAGTGCTGTGCCATGTCTGGGAACCTGGATGTCTTTATAGGAAATCTCTTTATGATAGGCGATTTTGATAATGAAGTTCATTTCATATTTCATTGCATTCATGCAACAGCTCCTAAAGTATTCTAGGCATGCTGCTATATTGGGAGAGAGCATCTTTTCATGAATATTCAAGATTATTTCTGTTGTAATATTACTAAATTTTATCTAGTTGTATACTTTATAAAACTGGTATTTGTGTACTATTAGAATATTCTAATTGGGTTTTACATTTTTTCCAAACGGAAGAGTTTTAGTGAATTTTTACCACATGGTATGAAAATCAAACTTCTCAATTAATCTGTAAAAATAAACTATTGACATTAAGGAAACTATATTAGGGAAATTTAAAAAACAAGTTATACAACTAGATAATGGGATTAAAAGTTTGTATCATGATTTAATGAATACAGCAAACAATATATCTTTTCCAGTAATTAGAATAAAATGAATCTAGAAACAGAACTCCAAATCTATGCATTGCCAGTTCTTAAAATTTTCTAAAATATCAAAACATACCTAAAATAATATATTTACTATTATACATATTGTATATGTGTTATTGCTAATGATTATTAGCAATAACACATGTATAAAATTTATAAATAAATGGTTGAATTGAAATTGGGAATGCAGGTTCAAAATATTTACAGTATGGTTTTCTCATCTCACAAGTTTGAAGATCTCTGCTCTCGACCAAATTTTCTCAAGGTGTGGTCTAGGGACGCATGTGGGAACCAAAGACCCTTTTGAGGTCTCGATAAGGGCAAAATTATTTTCATAATACATTTTTCATTTTTACTGCCATACATTCATGAATGAACGGTGGAATTTTCCAGATATATGCATGTTATCACAACAGACTAAAAGCTAAATCAGATATGAGAAACTGTCTTCCATTAAGCGAGACATTAAAGAGATTGACCAAACATGTAAAACATTCCACTATTCCTAAGAAGTTTTTGCTCTAAAAAAATTATGTTTCTAAAAATATGAAATTATGACTGTTATTTTGAAATTGATTAACTCATATTTTAAAATCATCAATTTTAATTTTAAAAAGATGAATATCAGTAAATATAACACATAAAGAATGGCTTTTCAAGATCCTCAGTAAGTTCTTTTATGATCGAAGAGTTTTAAAATCATTACTCCAAACAAACTAATCCTATCCACCATTATTTCTTGGTGGTACGTTACTTGAGACAGAAGCATGCCTGAAATATTTTGGTTTAAATCCTCAAATATGGGAGTTATTTAATTAGGAAATAACACTATGCTCTTTGACTCTCTGTGTGTTGGTTTTAAAAAGTATGGTTCAAATAATAGATACATATTCCAACAAGAATTTTAAAAGAAAAGTGACAAAGTCTTCAATATCTCAAATATAAGAACTCAAGTGACTAACCCTACTTAAAATTCACTTTCTAGGGGCAATTAATCTGTATAGCATAAACGAGATTCTTTTAAAAGAGAATAATATAGCCCATGGCTTTTCTTTTCTTATATTTGCTGCCATCGTTCCCAGGGATATATTTAATTTTTAAGTGGAAACACTGTCTAAAATTTGGTTCCTAGCAGAATTTTCTCATTCCTTTTTCTATATTGTTGTATTAGATAGGAGTAGAATTTATTGCAAGTGATAGAAATAGTGTACATTTTAAGAATGTATTTCTCTTTCACATAATCAAAGTCTGGATTTAAGTCATCTCTAGCTGGTTTCTAGTCCTCAGTGACCCAGACTCATTCTAAATCATTGCTTCATCATTCATAAGATGTAACCTTCATCTTCATAGTCAAAGATGGTGGCATTTGTGTCCTAGGGAAGAGGACCAAGAAATATACAAAGAAGATGATAGACTCCATGCAACTTGAATCTTAAGGAAGGATCCAGAAAGCCGTCATATTATACCTTAAATTTTATGCATTGTTCAGAACTTCATCACATGACTAGAGTGGGTTTCAAAGAAGCTTGGGAAATTTAGAGGATTTTTTTCCTAAGTTGATCATGCCCAGCATAAAAAAAGAACTATTATATTCAAAGAAGGGGAGAATAGTGAAAACAAAGCAACTATTCATCTTTATTACCACTAGAGTCCATCAAGTTTGGCAAACAATATTGGTAACCAGCATAGTACTATAATGAACATCTCAGGTCAGTTATATCAAAACATCATAATAAAATTCTTTTTAATATATAAGCACCTTTTAAAATGTACATATATATTTATGTATGTCCACTTGCTTGTTACTGCAGATTAGTATGTGATCTTGTTTAGGCAATAAGAGATCCACTGTATGTTTTATTTTTTTTAAATAACAACATCTATTGGTTTTAAGTTTGTCAGAAAAAGCACCAAATTATTAAATGTAAATATTTAAGCTAAAAGTTGGAACAGGAAGTCCTCTAGGTCAAGCTTAGCACTTAGATGTGTGTTTACTTAGATGTATGTACTAAGTACTTATCTTAGTCCTCAGATGTGTGTCCTTACTTGTTTACAACAAATACTCCTTATTCCCCCAGGTGACTGCTATATGGATCCACTACCCTATTTCATATATTTATTTTCCACTGTCTCAAAAACGCTTTCCTGGAGAAGTCCAAAGAGAACATCAAAACAAATGTGAAAATACGGGAACCCGAGAGGTGAGATGTGGGAGATCTCACACCAATACTTCGATTTCTAAATAAATGTTTACAGTGATCTGACATAGAAGCAAAATCATGCTAACAAATAAATAAGACTCTCAAGATAAAAAAAAACATATGTGACTTTATATTAGCATTTTATTGTAAATGTGGTCAGTTCACTGTTAATAATCAATATAAAATATTATTTGGGATGAAAAGTTATTTACCCCAAGGAAAGAAATTGTGTAATTTACAAGATATTTTACTTCAGATAACTTTCCACTTGTATCACTTCCTCACTCAAATAAATATACTTCCAGTTTCTGTTTGCATATTTGACTCACCAGTAGAAATCATTAGAAGTAAAGAAAAAAATCTGGATCAGAGGGCTTGCATATTGTTAACATTTTAAGGAACCTGAGTCTAGACTTTAATAACAAACAAGAGTGAGAAGATCACCAAGACACAGGAAGCATCTTCTAATTAAGGGCATGTAACATTATTATTGAGTTTCAGACAAAATAGTTACATTTTTATAAGGATATCTGTACTTACTGAAATAAATTTCGTCAAGTTTTATTATGCAGCTTTCTCTGAAATATGAAACCAAACGGCCTCATACACTATTGAAGATGTATAAAATTTCATTTGCAGATGGTGACATTCAAACTGAGAAAAATAATTCCCTGATCCACAACTGAAACATCCACTTCTGAACACCATGTCCTACTACAGCCATCTTTCTGGTGGCCTGGGCTGCGGCTTGGCTGTGGCTGTGACTATGGGAAGGACTGTGGCTGTGGCTGAGTATGGCAGGTGCAGACATGGCTGCCACTCATCTTACTCTGCCAGGTAATGACACCATGGATTCCACTGAGGAACACCTAGAGCAGTTCAGTCTACTGCACTCCTCCAGCTTGATTTCCTGATTCTGTTTCTATAATTTTTCACGTGAGTAATTATATTTGCTATACAAACTCTGATAGCTCATCCTGGTGAACTTGAAGAACACAAAGTTCAGACCTGTCATGCTTCTGAATTCATGAAAAGAGCCAAAAATTCGTCAAAAATTATAGGTAAGTTTTATCTTTAATATTGTGCTACCAATAAATTTATTTTATATTTTCAATCAGTATCTTTCATATGAAAAAAATTTAAGTTCTATTTTAATTGATTGTTTTCTCATATTCAGGATGGTTCTACTTTATTCTACATTAATTTGTATAGAACTGTGAGGAACTGCTTTTGGGCGCTGCCTTTCATGCTATTCTGAGATGACACTGTTTCAAAAAAGATAAGCATAAAATCATCAGTCCATTATAATAACATGGGTATAAAAGCTACTTTCAAATGTACCTACAGGCAGCATTATTACCTATACATAAGGAAGCAAAATGTCATTTGACACAATAATAGTCCCATTTCCTGTTAACATATGCTAGGGCTATCTTTCTAAAACCCCACAGCTAGGTTGTCTCATTCAGATCTGTGCCTTCAGGTGGATAGAAATTGTCTTTTCTGCTTTCCACACTTCTTGCTGCTCCTCTCAGTTCTATAGCAAAAGAGGACAACACGTATCTCAGGTCCACCTTTCACTTGCATTGGGATATATTAACCTTGTTCATCCAATTTCTAATTTAAAGAAAACAAAACTGCTTTTTTGAATTATTCTAGCTTTTTTTTTTTTTTGAGACAGAGTTTCACTCTTGTTGCCCAGGCTGGAGTGCAGTTGTGCGATCTTAGCTCACTGTATTCTCCATCTCCTGGGTTCAAGTGATCCTCCTGCCTCAGCCTCCCAAGTAGCTGGAATTACAGGCAAATGCCACCAGGCCCTGCTAATTTTTTGTATTTTTAGTAGAGACTGGGTTTCACCATGTTGGCCAGGCTAATTTCGAACTCCTGACCTCAGGTGATCCACCTACCTTGGCCTCCCAAAGTGCTGGGATTACAGGCGTGAGCCACCGCACCTGGCCTTAATTATTCTAGTTTTCTTCTCCAAGCCAACCTAATAAGGAATAGGAATCTCCAATTCATAAAACGTCAGTGAGGAGCAATGTTTCTCAACATCCTATGTATGATTCACACAATATTCTTAAATATCAATACACGTGATGCAAGCACTCCAGAGAGTTCAAAGAAAAGTATTCATTATTTTTAAAACTTTTAATGGCATGATGTGGGAAATGTATTTTTTCCCATATTTTAAGAAGCCCTATTTTACTACATCAACAACTGATTTAAAATATCCTCCTCCAGTGTTTTATCTGATACAGTGGATTTTTCTCAAAGTCTCTTGCCTAACTGACACATTCTCAAGTGATGAATAATAAAAAAACACATTATTCCACACCCTATCATTGATAAAGGATCACAGCCCTGCAGCTAGAATAGTTGCCGCCTAATAAATATTTTGAATAAATAAATGAATGACAATGAATCATGTTGAAAATTTCATGTCTTTCTAGAATTTCTTATTTTTTATAGCAGAATGTGGAAGTAGGAATGAACTATCACAAAAGTCTTGATATACAAGTAAAGTTATTTTGCCCAGAGTATTGGCTGTCTGTTTGTATGCTCTGTGTGGAGTACTCGGGATAGAGCATAGCTTTTGCATAAGAGGAAATATGGACATTCCCAGTGTCTCACTCGTCTATATTATGACTGTGAATAGACTGAGAAACAAATTATATGCATCGCTCTTTGATCATTCTGTTAAACAGATCAAAACCATTTCTTCAAAATGGAATACAATAACTGCTTAATACATGATGTATATATGCATTACTTCAGCCATATTTAGCTATGCTATCCTTCAAGCAATTCCATGTGAATATCATTGTGTAGCTATGTTTCAGTCAACTAGACACATCACTGTGTCTTCTCTATTCGTTTTTTTCAAATCCACCTCTTTTGCTTCTTACATCTGCTATCCAGCCTGTCAGTGAGAAGTACTTCAAATGCTGTTCATCTTAAAGCCTAATCTGATTGATAGCTTCTTCTTGGAGAGAATCTAAGCTCTTTCACTAGAGAGAGGTGTTCTGTGGGCTGGAAGCAGTGGCTGATGCCTGTAATCCCAGCACTTTGGGAGGCCGAGTCAGGCAGATCACCTGAGGTCAGGAGTTGGAGACCAGCCTGGCCAACATGGTGCAACCCCATCTCTACTAAAAATACAAAAGTTAGCTGGGCGTGGTGGTCCACGCCTGTAATCCCAGGTACTCCGGGAGGCTAAGGCAGGAGAATCACTTGAATCTGGGAGGCGGAGGTTGCAGTGAGCCGAGATCATGTCACTACACTCCAACCTGGGCAAGAGAGTGAGACCGTGTCTGAAAAAAAAGGAAAAAAGAGAGAGGGGTTCGCTCTCTGCATTAGGCACCTGCTTCATCCAGTTGCCTTCTGAACAGAATTCGAAACTCACATATGTAATTATGTGTTCCTCGTGTCCATTTTCAGTTGCTTTATTCAAATACCTCACTCCATGGTGTGTACAACACTGTGCCAGGTTCTCAATACCAGAGGAGGACTCCCACTTCCTGGAGGATAACAAAGCTCATCCCAATGCCAGCATTAGGAATAAAAGTCCAAACACTTTTGCCCACTGCATCTTGGTAACAGAGTTGCCAAGGGAAACACAACAGCATCAAGCACAGGATGGAGCAATGCTTTTACTCACATCAGAAGAGACAAGGTGAGATCAGCTCCAACAGCGTGTGCCCATCCCTCATAGCTAGCGGGTCCCCAGGTTGCCACACAAGGCAATGAGACTATGCACACCCTTCTGGAGCCACAGTAAAAGGACCCCTCCCCATCACCCATGGAGTCTGAGATACTGAAAGCTAGGAGCACGTCTTGCCTGAGAGCCATTGACTTACAATCTTAGGCACACACTGAGCTTCAAACAGGTAATGCATCCCTACACAAGATGATAAACCTGGCACTGATTATATAGGCCTTTTTTTTTTTTTTTTTTTTTTGGACGGAGTCTCTCTCTCTTTCCCAGGCTGGAACGCAGTGGTGCAATCTCGGCTCACTTCAGACTCCACCTCCCAGGTTCAAGGGATTCCCCTGCCTCAGCCTCCTGAGTAGCTGGGATTGCAGGCATCTGCCATCACGCCAAGCTAATTTTTTTTTTTTTTTGTATTTTTGTAGAGACAGGGTTTCACCATGTTGGCCAGGCTGATCTTGAACTTCTGACCTCAGGTGATCCACCTGCCTCGGCCTCCCAAAGTGCGGGATTACAGGCATGAGACACCATGCTCAGCCCTGTAGGCTTTTTGTCTTTTGGCAAGGAAGTGTTCCAGGAACAAGACCCATTTTTATAGCGTTAAGTGGGAATCAAAAGACTGCATGCAAGCGACCAGCTTTCCCAACACACCAGAGCACGAGGACAGCTGTAGACACTAGGAACTGTATTAGGCCATTCTTGCATTGCTGTAAAGAAATATCTAAGACTGCGTTACTTGTAAGAATAGGGGTTTCATCGTCTCATGGTTCTGCAGGCTGCACAAGAAGCACTGTGGCATCTGTTTCTGGGGGTTGCCTCAGGAAGCTTCCAATCATGGCAAAAGGTGAAGAGGGAGCAGGCATATCATGTGTCAAAAGCAGGAGCAAATGCAGAGCAGGGAGGTGCCAGATACTTTCAAATGACCAGCTCTCATGACCACTCACTATCATACTATCACAAAGACAGCACCAGGCCATAAGGAATCTGCCTCCGTGATCCAAACACCTCTCACCAAGGCCCACCTCCAGCAATGGGTATTACAATTCAATATGAGATTTGGGTGGGACCACATAGCCAAACTATATCATTCCATCCCTGGCCTCCCCCAAATCTCATATCCTTCTCACATTGCAAAATATAATTATGTCTTCCCAACAGACCCTCTTAAGTCTTAACTCATTCCAGTATTTGCTCAAAACTCCAAAGTCTCATCTGAGACAAGGCAAATCCCTTGCACCTATGAACCTGTAAAATTGTTTTTTAAAAAGTTATCTGCTTCCAAGATGCAATGGGGGTATAGGCATTGAGTAAACATTCCCATTTCAAAAGGGAGAAATTGGTCAAAATAAATGGGCTACAGGCCTCATGCAAGTATGAAACCCAACAGGGTAGTCATTAAATCTTAAAAATCCAAAATAATCTCCTTTGACTCCATATCCTACATCCAGGGCACACTGGTCCAAGGGGTGGGCTACCAAGGCCTTGGACAACTCCACCCCTGTGGCTTTGCATGGTGCAGTCCTGGTAGCTGCTCTCATAGGTTGTTGCAGAGTTCTTGTAACTTTTCTAGGCATAGAGTACCATCTGGAGAGAGATGGCCTTTTCACAGCTCTACTAGGCAGTGCCCCAGTGGGGACTCTGTGTGAAGCCTCCAATCCCATATTTCCCCTCCACACTGTCCTACTAGAGTTTCTCTGTGGGGGCTCCATGCTGTAGCAGGAATCTGCCTGGACACCCAGGCTTTTTCATACATCCTTTGAAATCTAGGCAGAGGTTACCAAGAATCCACCACTCTTGCACTCTGTGAACCAGCAGGCTTAACACCATTGGAAGCCACCAAGGCTTATGGCTTGCACCATCCAGAGCAGCAGCCTGAGCTATACCTGAGCCCCTTTGAGCCAAGGCTGCAGTCGGAATAGCAGGTATGTGGACAGTGTTGTCCTAAGGCTGCACAGGGGCAGCAGGGCCCCGGGCATGGTCCAGGAAACTGTTCTTTCCTGCTAGGCTTCTGGGCCTGTGATGGGAGGGGCTGCCGTGAAGGTCTCTGAAATATTCTTGAGGCCTTTTCCTCATTGTCTTGGCTATTAGCACTTGGCTCCTTTGTAATTATGCAAATATCTCTAGTAAGTGGTAGCACTACAGCCTGCTTGAATTCCTCTCCAGAAAAACACTTTTCTTTCTTTGGCACATAACCAGGCTGCAACTTTTCCAAACTTTTGTGCTCTGCTTCCTGTTTAAATATAAATTCCAACTTTAAGTCATTTATTTGTTCCTGCATCTGAATTTAGGCTGTTAGGAGCAGCCAAGACCACAGCTTGTATGCCTTGTTGCTTAGAAATTTCTTGCCAGATACCCTAGGTCACTACTCTCAAGTGAAAACTTCCACAGATCCCTAGGTTATGAACAGAATGCAGCCAAGTTCTTTGCTAAGGCATAACACGTGTGACCTTTGCTCCAGTTGCCAATAATTTCCTCATTTCCATCTGAGATCTCATCAGCCTGGCCTTCACTGTCCATATCACTAACAGAATTTTGGTCACAGCCATTTAATGATTCTCTAAGAAGTTCCAAACCTTGCCTTATCTTCGTGTCTTCTTCTGAGCTCTCCAAATTCTTCCAACCCCTACCTCTTATCCAGTTTCAAAGATGCATCCACATTTTCAGATATCTTTATAGCAATGCCCCACTCCTCAGTACCAATTTTCTTGTTAGGGCATTTTTGCGTTGTTATAAATAAATACCTGAGGCTGAGTAATTTACAAGAAAAGAAGCTTAATTGGCTTATGATAAAAGGCCCTGGGCAAATAGTGACATTCAGACTGAGCATCTGGGTTCCCTGATCCTTGACTGAACCTCCCACTCCTAACATCATATGCTACTATAGTAACTACCACGGTGCCCTGGGCTATGGCTGTGGCTGCTATCTCCCATCTTGCTGTGGCAGATATTAGGCTATGGGGCTATGGATTTTTTTTTTTTTCCCAGAGACGGAGCCTTACTCTGTAGCCCAGGCTGGAGTGCAGTGGCACAATCTCGGCTCACTACAACCTCCACCTCCCAGGTCCCAGTTCAAGCAGTTCTCCTGACTTAGCCTCCCGAGTAGCTGGGCCATGCCCAGCTAATTTTTTATATTTTTAGTAGAGACGGGGTTTCACCATGTTGGCCAGGCTAGTCTTGAACTTCTGACCTCGTGATCTGCCTGCCTCGGCCTCCCAAAGTGCTGGCATGAGCCACTGTGCCCAGCCAGGCTATGGATTCTACTAAGAAACTTCTAGAGAAACCCCAGGACTCCTTTCCCTATGTTACCCGACTCCATATTCTGTGTTCTTCTCTTTTTAAAATACTGATTATCTCATCTTAGGCTACTTTGGGAAGAGATAGTAGTTTAAATTCTACATCCATCATTTAAATTGAATATAATCATCTGGAATAACTTACTTTATAAAAGAAATGTTTTCTCTTCATACCGTATTACGATTATTGCTCCACATACATTTTAGTTCAACATCCTTCATGCGAAAAAAAATTTTGTGTCAGTTTTCAAAAAAAATCCTATATTTACAATATTACTTATTTAACATTACTTTGTTAGACCTGTTGCATGCACATGTGTGTGTGACAGAGTATTATTGTGACAAAAATATTGCTTACATGCTGTGAAACTAAAAGTTCAAAGGCTTAAAATTAGTTATTTCTAAATGAAACTTGCTTTTGATGAACCTGCAATTACTGCAGCCTTGCATATCTGATCATAAAATATTAGCCTATATGCTAAGTTTTTACCTAATGAATAAAACCCCACAACAGCACCCCTATTTCTAATCACCATATTCTAGGTACATTGGTCTTTGGCTGCTTTCTTGTACGCTACATTTGAATATTTTGGACTGTGGTTGTGTTTGGAATTTTCATTTCACATTATTCTAAATGATCCCCTTCTATTTCCTAGCAGATATATTTAAGTCACATCCCATATCTAATCGTCACACACAAAGTGGGTCTGAACATCATTTTTGTCTTTGAGAATCTCTGGAAAGTATCACCCTCTTACCATATCAGCACATTAACCATACAAAATTAGATCACTGCTTTCTGGGAACAGTGGTTTTGAGTTTTGTGTTTCCAATTTCTGTTTTAAAGATATACAAACAAACTTACTTTTATATTGAATACAACTTTCCTTCAGACTCTGTTTAAAGAAAAAATGTCAGAGTTATATTATTTCTACATCATTCCCTTTAGGATTCCTTTTGATCTAACATTACATATTATTTTGACCTTTATTTGAAATTATAAGCTTTCGCTCAAATGATTGATAGAGTTACAGCAACTTTGAAATATCAATACGTCTCATGTTGCAGACATTATTCTTTAAAAGCAATATGTGTGTCCAGGCAACTGTTTCAAAATTGCAAATTTATATTAATTTCTTAAAATAGCTTATGGTATTAAGGACATTTGTGATTTGCCATAAAGTTTTAGAATTCATGCCCCTTTTTCTCAGCTTATAAAGCATTTTAATCTATCTTTCCTTCTGGGATAAAGCAATTTTCTCAAATGGCCTTCTACAAATATCCTAGGCTATCTTATAAGAGAGAAATTAAACACTAGTCAGGGCACAATACCATTGACAGAATTCACATGGTTCAGTACCGAGGACAGCCCCCGGCAACAGTAAGGATTGTAGTTATTTTTTTTTTATATAAATGAATGAAAAACAAATTAATTAATGGATAAAGTTTATAAACTTTTGTTAAGGTTTTATATGATTTCCATACTTTTAAAATTAAAAACACGTGCAAAAACATGACTATTAAGATGTTCACACATTTATCTCGCTCCAGAGCCCCAATGCCCGAATTATTTTATTCTGTCCAAATGGTACTATTCAAATCTTTCCCAGGGTAAGCTCAGAGAGGAAGACAAATTCACTAGAAGTGGAAAGTGAGGAGGAGTTTGTACGCCATCATCCTTCACCCTATATTACTAGGGCCATGAATACATGGAAAACAAATACTTTATACCAAACCCTCTGATGTTTCTGATGAAAAAATTGGATTGCACACTTAGGACTGTCTAACAAAATAAAACAAATTACTTTTAATAAGTGGTTTTTCATCCAATTGCTCACATGTTTCTGTACGATTTGCCTTTAAATAATTGCTTCAGTAGCTTTCATGAAAATGGAATTTTGTAAATAAAACGAAATATCATCATTTCCATTTTCTGGTTATAGTTTCAGAAGATAAATTTGAAACCATCAAGAAAATATTTGATGTTTTAAAAGTAGTCAGAAAAAGGAACACTACAAATATTGGAAGGAAAACTCCAGTGAATCTGGTAGCATCAAATTTTAAGTATTGGCTTTCTGTTGATAGTCTCATGAAGCCAAGTGATATCTTTTGCCTTTTAGTAGTAAATAATTAATCATGTAAAAATGAGGATACTCTCAAGGAAAAAAAAGGTGGGGGAGTTGATGTAGCAGGGAAGAGATGGAGAAAGTCAAGCTCAAAGAAGATTATCACGACTTGCTGAATATCAGCAAAAACAATAAACTTATGTCAACTCTATTGCTTGTCATGAGTCTACTCGTGAGCTGGGAAGTTTTCTGTTCATGGATGACTCCATTCATATCTCTCTTGTTGGCCACAGATTAAGTAGCCAGTGCTCTAAGATAGGAGGATCTCTCATATGTTTGAGGTTTTCCTGGCTGGAGGCTTAGGTGTCTGTTTCCTATCATGTGGTCTGTTATTCTCTAGGAGGTTTAGCAAGAGTTGTTCTTGTGAAAGCTGTGGAAGGATTCCAAAATAGTGAGTAGAAAAGCTTAATATCTCCTGAGGTCTATTCTAGAAGCTGGCACTTCCAATGTATTTTATTGGCCAAAACAAATCTCAAGACAAGCAAGGATTCAAGCAGTGGAAATGGGCTGCAGTCCTTGTTAGGAGAAGCTGCAAAATCATATTGCAAGGTGCCTAGATACAAGAAAGAATGAAGAATTTACATTATTTTAGTAAGCAACTTACAACACCACAGAATATCATTAATCTCTTTATATAATTTGTTGGGTGGGCAGGGAAGCTTGAGAGACATATGGTTCATCAGCATGGTAAAATAATGTGCTCTGAGAAACCTCCTATGACTAAGAATAAGGAGAAAACAAAAAATAACAAATTTATTTTGATGTCTACTTTGATTTAAAAATCATTAGATAGAACAAACTTTGTATAACTAACTCTAAATAAAAAAGCATTTGTTTATTTACACATTACTTATAAACATACCTATGTTGAAAAATATGATATATATATACATTACTGCAATAAACAACAGTTTAATCAGAAAAACTAAATGAATTCTACATATTGCAAGCAGAAAATAATACTTCATCGTCATTGGAAGTGTAGGAGAAGCAAAGATGAGAGAAGACCCCTATTATCTCATGCATTCTTTGCTAGGCCTCAAATCAAGAAATTGCAGGAACCAGAGGAAAGCACAATTTTTTTTTTCCTTTTGAGATGGAGTCTCGTTCTGTCACCCAGGTTGGAATGCAGTGGCGTGATATCGGCTCATTGCCACCTCCCCCTCCTGGGCTCAAGCAATTCTCCTCCCTCAGCCTCCCGAGTAACTGGGATTACAGGTACATGCCACCATGTCTGGCTAATTTTTTTGTATTTTTAGTAGAGACGGGATTTCACAATGTTGGCTAGGCTGGTGTCAAGCTCCTGACTTCAGGTGATCTGCCAGCCTCAGCCTCCCAAAGTGTTGGAATTACAGGTGTGAGCCACTGCGTGCGGCCAGAAAGCATAATTTTCAATAGGTGGACTTCTCTCTTTCCAAGGCTAGTGATTCATAAGGAAATGTTCAGAGGATGCTGCAAAACCTTACATCCATGAAAAGCCATGAATATCATCTGCTTTGGCCACAGCAATGATATAGTTTTGGTCTCTTTTATCTTTCAAACTTCTTAAAGCTACTCTCATTGACTGAGAGTAAACACAATTCTTGTTCTGAGCAATCAAGTTCCTGAGAGAGTATGGAATGGTGCTAAGCTGCCTAAATATGATCCCACTAGGATTTATAAAATTTGTATTTTTTACAGATAGATAATAGTTGTACCTGTTTATGGGATACATGTGTTATTTTGATTCAAGCATACAATGTGTAATGATCACATCAGGGTAATTGGGGTATCTCTTATATTAAACATTTTAATTTATGTTAGTAATATTTCAATTTCACTCTTCTCATTACTTTGAAGTATACAATAAGTTGCTGTTTCCTGTGATCACCCTACTGTGCTATCAAATACTACACATTATTCCTTCTATCTAACTACATTTTTGTACCCATTAACCAACCCCTTGTTTATCCTCCCCACCGCCTCCCACTATCCTTCCCAGCCTATGGTAACTATCAAACTATCACTCTGTTCTCTTTCTCCATATACACCATTGTATTAATCACTTTCTCCATGAATATCCCTTGCTTCCAACACCTGCATTTGGATGGTGCTAGTAAAGAACATCTCAAATGTTAAATTTATTCATCTGAAATACACCATGCATTATAGTTGCCTAATACAGCCTAGAGTTTACATGAGTGGGATATTTTTTCTGTCTTCGTAAGGTACTTCTGACTCCCACAGGCAGGTGACTGCCGAGTAGGACTAAGACCCATCCCATGGCACTTTTGGCTCCTTTGCCTTGGATCAAGACCATGTGGGAAACACCTTTCTTCAGAACTGGTAGAACAACGGTGAGGCCAAAGGTGGGTCCTCGATTCCAGTCAAGGTAGGGGTAGAAAGTCATTCCACACATATACCACCTCAAGTGGAGGACCCAAGGAGCAGATCTGAGAATACCAGCCAAAACAGGTCATAGGCTAGTGCGAGGAGATGAAGGGAGTTCTGAAGGAACTATGGGAGCCAAGGCTCTCTGGCTCTTAAAAAGACACAATGAATGGGAGGTGGAGGCAGGAGAATTGCTTGAACCAGGGAGGCAGAGGTTGCAGTGAGACGAGATCACACCACTGCACTCCAGCCTGGGCGACAGAGTGAGACTCCGTCTCAAAAAAAAAAAAAAAACACAATGAAAAGATGGAGACTCATAAGGAAAAATTCTGAGTACAGAAAGTACACAAATTAATCATGGCAGGAGCAAGAAGAGAGAGGTTTCAGATCTTTTGGAAGGGAATTCAAACAGACAGAAAACAGTGAGTACTGGCAAAATAGTATTTGGGTTTATTTTTCCTGTTAGATTGAGGATTAATGCAAGGATAATTTATCAAACGTGATTCTGTGAGCAGTGAGGGACACCTTCTCACCATTTTAGATATTTCTCACTCTCAACAAGCACTGCAGTTGTAATGTTTCTTTGCTGCTATGTAGCCCACACCTTCCTCCTGGATGGTGAGATCCTGTTTCCCTAGCCATTTCAGGCCATGGTTGCTGCAATTTCTCATTAACAATTATCTCTGGGCATGGAAGAACACAGAACCCTTCAGTGAGACCCCTGAATTTCAAGTTTATTTCCTTGCACATAATCATTTATGATGTCATCTATTGTCTAAATACAAAGGAAATAATTCTGCATAAGATATATTATACTTACACAGTGAAGTTGTGATAGTATGTTCAAAGAGGCCTAGTTTCCATAAGTATCCACTTTGCCATCAATATATATTATTAATAAATTATATATTATATTGGTATATTACATAATTTATAATGTTAATAAATATTTACACCACAGTGATGTTGCACATACATACACTGTTAAATTGATGGCCCCATTCTCAGTCCTCCCAACTTAGGTGGGACAGCTAATTTATTCCTCTACTATGGACTCAGTGATATATGTGACTTGTTTTGATCAATGGGAGGTTAGCAAACTTGATATAAATAGAAGCTTTAAAAAAAGTTCATCCATTTCAAAAATTGAAAAGCTTAAATCAATGCTCTATAATTTTTAATTTGAATTGAAATTTTTAGTTTGAACTCATTACTTTTAATCTTTTTTAAAAAAAAAAAAAACAGAGGGTTTTTTGGCTCTCTCCATTGAAACAGCATATAAGCAATCACAATGTAGCAACAGTGAACATCACTAGTGTCCAGAGAGTCTTCTCCAAATATCAGTGTTTCTTTAAAGAAAAATAAAAGACCTCTTCCTAATCAAGGGCAGGAAAGATAAAAGATGAGTCTGGAAGATCTTCTCATATAAGAATTAAATAATTTACCGAAGATACTACTAAAGTCTTGTCAAAAAATACTTAAACCAAATTAAAAAGGTTTCTACCAGCCCATGATAGGACAACTTGACATCAAAAAGAGAAATAACTATAATTGATGGATACACGTCAATTAATTAAAACACTATGCTATTGTCATAAAGACAGACATATCGACCAATGACCAATGGAGCAGTATGGAGAGCCCAGAAATAAACCCATATATATGCAGTTATTTGATCCTGGCAAAGATAATTATTATACACACTAGAGAAAGTGTAGTTTCTTCAACAAATGATGCTGGGGTAACTGGATATTCACATGCAAAAGAATGAAATTGGACCCTTATCAAACATCCAACAAAAAACTCAACCTGACATAAATTAAAGACTTAAATATAAAGCCTCAAACTGTAAAACTATTAGAAGAAAACATAGAAGATTGTTGATATTGGACTGGGCAATGATTTCTTAGATACGATGTAGTGACTACAGTTTACAATAGTGCATTGTGCACTTAAATATTTAGGGTGATGTTATTAAAACATCTATGAGGCTGGGAGTGGTGGCTCATGCCTGTAACCCCAGCACTTTGGGAGGCCAAGGCAGGCAGATCACCTTAAGTCAGGAGTTCACGACCAGCCTAGCCAACATGGTGAAACCCCGTCTCTACAAAAATTAAAAAATTAGCTGGGTGTGGTGGTGCACATCTGTAATCCCAGCTACTCAGGAGGCTGAGGCACGAGGATCGCTTGAACGTGGGAGGTGGAGGTTGCAGTGAGCCCAGATCGCATCACTGCACTCCATGCACTCCAGCCTGGGCAAGACAGAGACTCCGTCTAAAAAAGCAACAACAAAAAAAGTCTATGAGTGCATAAGAATGTTTAAGCATATTATTTTCGCAACTGCTAAATTATATACTCATTCTGGAAATTGATAAATGAAAAAATCAACTATTTTCCTCTCCTGAATAAACTCATAGATGAGAATTTTTTTTCTCTTTATAGGTTTCTATCTTCTACAGGTAGAAGTAATGATAGAATTGTAAAATCAGCATTTTGAACTTCTGGCAATAATGGGTCTAGGTAACTATTACTGAATATAAAAAACTGTAGCTAAAAAGTTTATGGGGGAGATTGTAAAATGAACCCAATCCACAATCCCAGCCTTACTAAATGTGAAGCAATGGGCCACCCAGACACCATTTACATCCTAATATTATGTAATAAAATGTACACAGAGCAACTATAAAATATCACTCTTGTCAACAAATAGTAAAAATAACCAGAATCACATCAACCTTTGTCATCTACCTGTAGATGGTATGAGGGATAGAGGAAGATATGAAAAGGGAAAACAAGAAAGAAATCAGCCACGTCTAAAATGTAAGAATTCTATAGGACAATAACAAAGTTTCCTCGAAACAATAAAATACATTAAAAAGGAAAAAAAAGAACCATCACATCTCTAAAAAGAGTTAAAGACATGCCTAAATGTAATGAATGCGTGTCTTAATGTAAAAAAAAGACTATGAAAATATATTTGGGAAGCAATCAAGGAAAACTGATCACGAATTAACTATTAGGGGATGCCAAATAATTTTGTAATGTCATTGGTGTGATAACGGTATTGGGGCTCTCTCTATACATATTTTTTTAGACTTCTGTTGTGATAGAGATATTCACTGAAGTACTTATAAGAAAAATGTTGTCTTGCCTGGGATTTGTTTTAAAATGTTCAGCAGAACTAACTAACTAACTACAAAAAATGTACAGGGAGAGAAGGAACTGAAGACAGAATATTGATGATTATTAAATTCCAGGGATGTGTTTATAAAGCTTCAAAATACAATTCTATTTACTTTTATGTCTGAATGAAATTTACTTATTAAAGCAAATAATGAACAAGAAAAAAACTTAGCTGAGTATGCTAAATAAACTCTATTGTTAAAGTTATTTTTCTTTGTAGAAGATTCTCACATAATGTATGCACAAGTAATCACAGAATTTTAAACATCAACCTTTTACAACCCATTCAATGATTAAATTAGACACAAAGTTGTCAAATATTTTAAGCTAAACAAAGTATGAGTAAGGGCTTTAAAATAAGAATAAGAAAAACACATTAAAGGCATTTGATCATGAGAAGGCTGACACAATAGCAAAGTCATCTTGTTTATAAAGGCTTCACATTGTTTAATAAAACAAATATTCAGGAAGTATACTAATACAAATTAATAGAAAATATGCAATCAACAGGTCCTGTGGTGGGTCCCACCCACCACTGAGGGTGTATATAAAAGGACTGCCTGGGCATATAGGGATATTCAAACTGAAGAAACTGATTCCTTGCTCCTCAACCAAATCCTCCACTCTTGAAACCATGTGCTACTACAGCAACTACTATGGTGGTCTGCGTTATGGCTATGGAGTCCTGGGCGGTGGCTATGGCTGTGGCTGTGGTTATGGCCATGGCTATGGAGGCCTGGGCTGTGGCTATGGCCGTGGCTATGGTGGCTATGGATATGGCTGCTGCCGCCCATCTTGCTATGGAAGATACTGGTCCTGTGGCTTCTACTGAGAAATATCTGGCAACTCAACCTCGTGGTCTCTTCCACATGGACTTCCTAAATTTGCCTTCATAATTCTTCATATGAGTAATTCATTTTTCTGTTGTAAAATGTCAACATCATCCTTAAGTATCTGGAAGAAAAAATAGGTCAGATGCTGCAAGCCTCATCTAGAGTAACTGAAATCATTTGACATGTTTCACAGATTTTTAAAAAGCTTTGTTTTGATATTGTACTGTCATTAAATTGTTGATTTTTGATCAACTTATGTGAGAAGATGTAAAATTTCTTTTAATAAACATCTCATTGAAAGTATATTTATTTGTTGCATTTTAATTATGTTTATTGTGCATGTGTGTGTTTGCATTTTGGTGTATTGGCAAATGGAATGGGAAAGAAGAAAATATGAGAAAAAGAAAGAACAATTCTTCGGAGCATCCCAAGATGACAGTGATGTTTAGGCTAGTCCAACTTCATGCATATTTCTGTTTTTCTATGAAATTATATTTTGTTTTATTCCTACTCTTCTTAGTTTTAGCGTCAGTGTTTGAATAAGTCTGAGTGAATTTACTATATTGTGTGCAATTTATCTTTTATTTATGAACCTATTATCTTAGCATTTGTTGACTCAAATACCTCAGATGAAATAACTACTTTATTGGCAGATTCCAATCATGTGTTATACTTTTGTTTGTTATGGGGATTTAGAATCCCATTGTCCTGATGTAAATATTTCAGAGGTATCTGTTCATCATTCCAACTTTGGATATATTCAATTAAAACAATTGAATACAGTTCTTTGGGGATACTTTTAATATTTTCAAATGAAAATTTGCAACATTGCTACATCTTATAGCACATGATGCTATCAATGAGAAAACATCCTATAGGGACACATTATCACAATAATAGAAGTAATATAATCCATTGTCTTAAAAGTGACTGGCACATAGTAGGCCCTCAATAAATATCACTTAAATGATTAAATGTCATTTGCTTAGATGATGGAACATTAAAAAATCTATGTTATTTTAATGAATTACATTAATTCATTTGGGAGCATAATATAAATTGAAGCTGTGCACACATATACCTATATCCATGTCCAGAGTCTCATTGTCCAAATGATGACATTGTGTATAAAGGCACTACTTTAGGGAACCTGCTTGCAGGAGACATGGAGAATTCAGGCTTGGGCAGCTCTTTTCCGTCAACCAACTCTTAAAACTTTTCCATCAACAACTCCTATGTTATGTAGATAATGGTCACTTTTTTTGGCTAATACAATAACAATAAGATTGGGCTAAACTAAAATACCCTTAAAAAGAATAAATTATAATTACTTGTTAACACAAGTGAAAAATACATTAATACATTACCTACATGGATACTTAAATTCAACTGTAAGTTAGCTGCTAACATTTTATTTGAGTGATTAGTCTGAATTATAAGGTCAGTAATATTCATGGGTTGTGCAACCAACAACAGAAGATTGAAAAGTCCCTGAACTGCGCCATTGGTGACATTCAATCTGAAGAAACAGAGTCCCTTCTCTTTACTGAACTTTCCATTTCTGACACCATGAGCTGAAATGGCAACTCTCTGATGCCTTGTCTCTGGTTCTGGGCTGCTCATCTAACAGTGTAATATTCTGGTCATACAGACTCTATCAGGGTTTCTCTTGAGCAACTCAACCTGCTGGACTCTTCCTGTTGGGCTTCCTGACTCCACTTCCATACCCACATCGGAAATACTAATTTCATCTCTAACTACTAAAGAAAAATGTAACTCAAATTCAGCATGCTGTATTTTGATTAACTGAAATCAACGGGATGTCTTGTAATTTACAGAAAAGTTATACTCTTTGTTTTGTATTGACATTATTCCTCTTCATATATGTTCTTTTCTTTTTCTTTTTTCTTTCTTTTTTTTTTTTTTTTTTTAGACAGGGTGTCACTCTTGTCGCCCAGGCTGGCGTGCAGTGGCACGATCTAGGCTCACTGCAACCTCTGCCTCCTGGATTCAAACAATTCTCCTACCTCATCCTCCTGAGTAGCTGAGATTACAGACACCCGCCGCCACCACGCCTGGCCAATTTCCTTGTATTTTCGGTAGAAACGGGGTTTTACTATGTTGGTCAGGCTGGTCTCAAACTCCTGACCTCAGGTGATCTGCCCGCCTCGGCCTCCCAAAGGCCTGTATGTAGGGGTGGCTCTCCCCTACAGGCGTGAGCCACCATGCCTGGCCTGTATGTTCTTTTCATATATTTCATATGAGAAAATAAAGTTTATGTTAAAATGTACACTTGATATGATTTGGCTCTTTGTCTCCACCCAAATCTCATCTTGAACTGTAATCCCCATAATCCCCACATATCAAGGGAAGGACGGGGTGGGAGGTGATTGGATTATGGGAACAGTTTTTTCCCCATGTTATACTCATGTTAGTGAGTGAGTTCTCACAAGATCTGATGGTTTTGTGTTTTTGACAGTTCCTCCTTCACACTGTCTCGATCTCTTTCTTGCCATCTTGTGAAGAAGGAATTTGCTTCTCCTCTGCCTTCTGCCATGATTTTAAGTTTCCTGAGGCTTCCGCAGCCATGCTGAGCTGTGAGTCAATTAAACTTCCTTTATAAATTACCCAGTCTCTGGTAGTATCTTCATAGCAGTATGAAAATAAACTTACAATGCTCCTGTAAATTTTGTTGATTATACTTATATTAATTTCTCTCTATTATTTTTGCTTTTTCTGTTTGTGTGCATGTGTGTATGCGTTTTTCAGAGTGAAGCAGCGAGAGAGAGGCAGAGAGAGAGAGAGAAAGAGAGAAAAAGAGAGAGAGGAATAGAGAGATTCTGATATCTCCTGCAGTTTTGATGGCCCTGAAAATTTGTTCTGAACATCAGTTCCTTTTACCTAAGGTCATATGCAATCCAGTTTTCATGTGATTCAGCAGCCAGTGTTACATTTGGTCAGACTTCCAATTTACATTCATATAAGAACATTTTAAATGACATTTTTGCTCAGCAAAATAGTCTTTTTTCCTATCACTATATATAACAACCCCTGGGTTTGTCTATTTCTCAACACCCTGAGATTTGGCTGAATTACTTTGCACTGTGCTTCAGAAGAGAGGTAATTCGCTCTTCACACCTCACGTCATCTGGATGACATGGAGAGTATAGATAGAATCCCCTGTCGAGTGGCTGCTGACTGCTTGATATTTGATGTTAAAATTCTCGGGAAAGGATCTGTTGTTCACCAGCTCACCAGGACAGTGTCGAATGCACTGAGTCACTGCCTCCCTCTTATTCCACTGTTCTTCACATCTGACAGCTCCTTTATTTTTCTTTTGAAATCCCCAAACAGCAAATGTGTCCATTTATTCCACTTGTCCTTAAGAATCCCCATACATTGGGAAATGGCAATGAGACAACAGAATCTTACGCAATAAGATATCACTTGGGCAAAAGATGCTTTGTAATTATGTGGACTTTCTATTTGATTTTCAATAAATTACAATATTTTTTCCCAAAAGTGGTTTAGCCATCATTGGATTTAAAAACTCAACACTATTAGTGAAATTCTGAGTGATCAACATAGGTACCAAGCATTTATTTTTATTTTTATTTTTATTTTTATTATACTTTAAGTTTTAGGGTACATGTGCACAACGTGCAGGTTTGGTACATATGTATACATGTGCCATGTTGGTGTGCTGCACCCATTAACTCGTCATTTAACATTAGGTATATCTCCTAATGCTATCCCTCCCCCCTCCCCCCACCCCACCACAGGCCCCGGTGTGTGATGTTCCCCTTCCTGTGTCCATGTGTTCTCATTGTTCAATTCCCACCTATGAGTGAGAATATGTGGTGTTTGGTTTTTTGTCCTTACGATAGTTTGCTGAGAATGATGGTTTCCAGCTTCATCCATGTCCCTACAAAGGACATGAACTCATCCTTTTTTATGGCTGCATAGTATGTCATGGTATATATGTGCCACATTTTCTTAATCCAGTCTATCATTGTTGGACATTTGGGTTGGTTTCAAGTCTTTGCTATTGTGTATAGTGCCACAGTAAACATATGTGTGCATGTGTCTTTCTAGCAGCATGATTTATAATACTTTGGGTATATACCCAGTACTGGGATGGCTGGGTCAAATGGTATTTCTAGTTCTAGATCCCTGAGGAATCGCCACAGTGACTTCCACAATGGTTGAACTAGTTTACAGTCCCACCAACAGTGTAAAAGTGTTCCTGTTTCTCCACATCCTCTCCAGCACCTGTTGTTTCCTGACTTTTTAATGATCGCCATTCCAATTGATGTGAGATGGTATCTCATTGTGGTTTTGATTTGCATTTCTCTGATGGCCAGTGATGATGAGCATTTTTTCATGTGTCTGTTGGCTGCATAAATGTCTTCTTTTGAGAAGTGTCTGTTCATATCCTTTGCCCACTTGTTGATGGGGTTGTTGGTTTTTTCTTGTAAATTTGTTTGAGCTCTTTGTAGATTCTGGATATTAGCCCTTTGTCAGATGAGTAGATTGCAAAAATTTTCTCCCATTCTATAAGTTGCCTGTTCACTCTGATGGTAGTTTCTTTTGCTGTGCAGAAGCTCTTTAGTTTAATTAGATCCTATTTGTCAATTTTGGCTTTTGTTGCCATTGCTTTTGGTGTTTTAGACATGAAGTCCTTGCCCATGCCTACGTCCTGAATGGTATTGCCTAGGTTTTCTTCTAGGGTTTTTATGGTTTTAGGTCTAACATTTAAGTCTTTAATCCATCTTGAATTAATTTTTGTATAAGGTGTAAGGAAGGGATCCAGTTTCAGCTTTCTACATATGGCTAGCCAGTTTTCCTAGCACCATTTATTAAATGGGGAATCCTTTCCCCATTTCTTGTTTTTGTCAGGTTTGTCAAAGATCAGATAGTTATAGATATGCGGCATCATTTCTGAGGGCTCTGTTCTGTTCCATTGGTCTGTATCTCTGTTTGGGTACCAGTACCATGCTGTTTTGGTTACTGTAGCCTTGTAGTATAGTTTGAAGTCAGGTAGCATGATGCCTCCAGCTTTGTTCTTTTGGCTTAGGATTGACTTGGCAATGTGGGCTCTTTTTTGGTTCCATATGAACTTTAAAGTAGCTTTTTCCAATTCTGTGAAGAAAGTCATTGGTAGCTTGATGGGGATGGCATTGAATCTATAAATTACCTTGGGCAGTATGGCCATTTTCACAATATTGATTCTTCCTACCCATGAGCATGGAATGTCCTTCCATTTGTTTGTATCCTCTTTTTTCACTGAGCAGTGGTTTGTAGTTCTCCTTGAAGACGTCCTTCACATCCCTTGTCAGTTGGATTCCTAGGTATTTTATTCTCTTTGAAGCAATTGTGAATGGGAGTTCACTCATGATTTGGCTCTCTGTCTTTTATTGGTGTATAAGAATGCTTGTGATTTTTGCACATTGATTTTGTATCCTGAGATTTTGCTGAAGTTGCCTATCAGCTTAAAGTATCTCAAAATAATAAGAGCTAGCTATGACAAACCCACAGCCAATATCATACTGAATGGGCAAAAACTGGAAGCATTCCCTTTGAAAACTGGCACAAGAGAGGGATGCCCTCTCTCACCACTCCTATTTAACATAGTGTTGGAAGTTCTGGCCAAGGCAATCAGGCAGGAAAAGGAAATAAAGGGTATTCAGTTAGGAAAAGAGGAAGTCAAATGTTCCCTGTTTGCAGATGACGTGATTGTATATCTAGAAAACCCCATCATCTCAGCCCAAATTTTCTAGCCCTCTTATTCAGAAAGTTGAGCATACACACCAGCTCTCTGTCATCAAGTGAAGGTGGGGAACATAAGGTTGGGCTTAAGGGAGTTGTGAAAGCACAAACAACTTACAGAAGCAATTGGCTTGGATTCTCATGGTTTCCTCTCTGCTGAGTTGTCTCTTCTTTCTCAACATACACCTATGAATTTATGCTGATTTTCCAGTTGGAGAAGGAAAAATTAGTCCTGGATTATAGATGGTTCTGCCAATATGGTAGCACTGCCTAAAAGTGGATGACTGAAGTACAACAGATCAAATCGGGGATTACCCTAAAGGTCAGTGGTGAAGGAAAATTTTCAATTATTTTTAATCATCTTAAGAAATGATAGTATCTAGATTCAGCCTGCCTTTGAGAACTTAAGTCTACATATAAGTACATGATACAGACAGAGTCAATATCCCTACAGAAAAATTAATAGTCATGCCTTCTGTTATATTTGGGTCTCAAAAATGTCTACTTTACGTTCCTGTGACTTTGGAATCAGATAAGATTCTCAATGCTTTTCTTTTCTCCGAAGAAACATATCTACATTGCAGTGCAGGTACAAGATAATCAACCAAACAACTTTTTAAAGAATGCTTAAGGTGTGGAGAAGAAGGAACTAAACAGGCAAGAAAAGGGCACTACTTTTAAGAGAGCATAGCAATAGGAAAACTACAGAATAATATGTGATTGGTGGGAGTTTGTACAGAATAAATCACAGTTGATCCTTGAACAATGCAGGGATTAGGAGTGCCAACCTCCACGCAGTTGAAAATCTGAGTATAACTTTTGACTCCCCAAAAACTTAACTACTAATAGCCTACTGTTGACCAGAAGCCTTACCAATAACATAAACAGTTGATTAATACATGCTTATGTTACCTGTAATGAGAGATTATACTCCTATAATAAAGTAGGCTAAAGAAAAGAAAATTTTATTAAGAAAATAAAGAAAAAGAGAAAATGGATTTACTATTCACTAAGTGGAAGTGGATCATCATAAAGGTCTTCAGCCTTATTGTCTTCATGTTGAGTAGGTTGAGGAGGAGAAGGAGGAGGAGGGGTTGGTCTTGCTGCCGGAGTGGCAGAGGTGAAGAAAATCTGCTTAATATAAGCGTATCTGTGCAGTTCAAACTCATGGTATTCAAGAGTCCACTGTATTTGCTACTAAGTTTTATAGCGATAACATCACAGCTGTGTTGATTAAGATTTAAATATGCATATAAGAAGAAGGGTATTATTAGCAAAGTGATCGGAAGAGGATGGCATTTGCCTCCTCCACGTGATGTCATCCAACATAGCTACAAAGGTTAAATTCGGCATCAGTGTGAGTAAGGTCATGGAACTCAGTATTTTTTTTTCCTTTAAAGTCTATCAGCTGTTTGGCAGGATCATAACATACTGAGAAGAAAATCTCAATTTTATCAGGATAGGGAGTCTTTTTTTAAAATCTAAAGATACAAGATTAATGAGATTTTTAAATACAGGTTGGTCTATATGACAATGTCAGGAGTGCCTGTGGTTTGTCACACCTCCACTGAGACTGATAAAAGACCCAGTATTTTAGTGTTTTTATGCACTAAAACTTATGCTGGCCTCTCAGGCTAGAGACTTAAATCCTGACACAATGAGCTACTATGGCAACTACTACGGAGGACTGGGCTATGGCTATGACTGTAAATATAGTTATACCTCTGGCTTTGGTGCCTTTAGAATCCTGGACTGTGGCTACAGATGTGGCTGTGGTGGGGTATGGATTTGACTGCTGCCACCAATATGATTATGCTACATGCTTATTATCAGGCACTGACTGAATAATATCTACAATTGGGTCCATTTTCTTATGAGACAGGGGTGCTGTTCTACTACACTTTTTTTAATTTGTTTAACCCAATTAGAATTCTTAATGATTCCCTATAATCCCAGCACTTTAGGAGGCCGAGGCGGGTGGATCACCTGGGGTTAGGAGTTCGAGACCAGCCTGGCCAACATGGCAAAATCCCATCTCTACTAAAAGTTAAAAAAATAGCCAGGTGTGGTGGTGGGTGCCTGTAGCCCCAGCTACTGGGGAGGCTGAGGCAGGAGGATCACTTGAACCCAAAGGCAGAGGTTGCAGTCAGCCGAGATGGCACCACTGCACTCCAGCCTGAGCAACAAAATGAGATTCCATCTCAAAAAAACAAAAATAATGCTTAGTTATTCAATCTAATTCTAGGCAAAGAACACACATCATTAAATTCACACTAAATCCACATCAGTGCCCCAGATTAACTACATTTTTCTCTTCCAAACTGATGTGTTTTCATAATTTACCAAGCAAATTACTTTTTGATATGTTTCAGGAGTAGGGAGCTCTAGGTTTATTTTTAATTAAACTTACTTTGGCCAGGCCAATGTCATTCATTTTTTAAATTTATTAATTACTCACTTGTTTAATAAGTCCTCATTAAGTAATTTCTATATAGGGCTTCCTGTTAAGTCTTAGTGTTACTTATGGGAGAAGAGTTTTTAAGCAGAAAAACAAATGTTTAAATAAACATGTATGCTACAACATGATAGGTGATGTAATAGCCACGTAGGAACACAGAGGAGAAGCTCATGTTTGGATGCAAAAGAGCGAGATTGTAGAGCAAACAGATCAAAAATATTCTCATTGAAGGTTACATTTGAATAAATTTTTAACCAACGAAAAATACATTGGAGGTAAAGTGTATGCCAGGCAGGGGAAACAAATATGCAAAGCCATGAAAAAAGTATTGCACTGCAAAGTCATAAATTGATGTTATTTCTTGAGAGAACAGTGGGCAAAGTCACTGGCAGGAAATGAAGCCCTGGGCAGTGAAGAGAAACTAGAACATCAAGGCCATATATATTTTGCAATGGGTGTACTGGATAATGTTTTATAAAGTTGTAATATTTTCCTTTACCTGGATGAGATTGGAAACTATTATTCTAAGTGAAGTAACTCAGGAATGGAAAACCAAACATCGTATGTTCTCACTGATATGTGGGAGCTAAACTATGAGGATGCAAAAGTATAAGAATGATACAATGGACTTTGGGAATGTGGGGGGAAGGGTGAGAAGGAGGTGAGGGATAAAAGACTACAAATATGGTGCAGTGTATACTGCTTGGGTGACAGGTGCACCAAAATCTCACAAATCACCACTAAAGAACCTACTCATGTAATCAAATACCAACTGTACCCCAATAACTCATGGAAAAATAAAATAAAAATAAGAAGCGCATGTTTTATACAAATAATTATGGCATCCAATTGAAGGAAAGGTGGCCAAGGAGTATGACCACAGACCAAACGACCATTCTGGAGGCTGTGTAAGCAGCCAATGCAAGGTCTTAATGTAAAAGCGGCAACTAAGATTCCTATGAAGGCCTAGATCAAATAGATTATTATGGGATAGAAGTTAAAGAACATGCCCATGTGGTATGAGAATGGAGGGGGCTAAGGAATAAAACAGAGCACAAAATAAACAAGGACTTGAACAGTCAACGACTGACTGTGGAACTAATGGCACATGTGATACGGGAATCGGAACATTTGGGGGACAATCAAAGTGGAGCCGCAAAAGTTTACTTGAGTACACGTAAATGTCATCTGTGGGAGGGCCAAATAAAGATTTTTCCTGGCAGGTTGTTACAAAAATCTACAACTCAGGAGAAAACTGAGTTTTAAATATAGAAAATAATTGGATAAAGTTCGTCGTAACTTCAGAAATACAGTGTATTAGTCCGTTCTCACTCTGATCTGAAGAAATATCCAAGACTGGGTAATTTATAAAGGAAACAGGTTTAATTAACTGACAGTTCTACATACCTGGGGAGGCCTCAGGAAACTTACAATCATGGCAGAAGCGGAAGAAGTCACGTCCTTCTTCACAAGGCAGCAAGAAGGAGAAGAATGAGCACAAGGGGGAAAATCCCCTTATAAAACCATCAGAAGTCGTGAGAAAGTACTCGCTCTCAGGAGAACAGCAGCATGAGGGTAACCACCCCATGATTCAATTACCTCTCTCTGGGTCCCTCCCATGCCACCTGAGGATTATGGGAACTGCAATTCAAGATGAGATTTGGGGAGGGGGAACAAGGCCAAACCATATCATAGAGTATTCCAATAATTATAGGTGAATTAAAAAAAAAGGTGTTTGCAAATCAGGGAAGGAGCAGATAAAAGTTAAAAAGGAAATGAAAAGGGAGTCATGGCAGGAAAATCAAGGGCCCACCAACTTTCTGGGAAGAGAAACTTCTTAATCTTCCTCTCTTCAAACATGGATTTTTTCAGAAAGGATTTCTAGAGTAATAACGTAAATTCTGACGCTGAGCTAGATGCTGACAATTACACGGTCAGTAGTATTGGCATGTTCCCTGCCTTCACAAAGGTTAACATCAAGAGGGGTTGACAAAATATCATAAATGCAATCACAGTAAAGCAACAGAGGCCTTAGTGCTTAGGTATGGGAGAGTCTCTCCAGTCCTCCATGTGTTGGTATGGACCCTAAACTCCATCCACATGATTGCCATGGGAGCAGCAATTTTGAGTATGATCTTCATGCCCTGACAGGAGTTGATGGGTCCAGATATGGCCATTTGAACAAAATGAAGCAGAAAATTCCCAGAATTTGCAAACAAAAGCCAATATGTTTTCTACCTGATGAAGCTTTAAGGTCTAACCCTTGTGATCTATTAGAATAGTAGCTATGTGCTTCTCCTTGTAGAATGCCCATTTGAAGTTTATTATAAGGTACCTGCTTATGTTTTCTGCTGAAGAATTCTATGTATGTGCTACTCAGAGTTGGATCACAGAAAATCTTTTTTAACTTTTGTACACTGGCCATGTCAGAGATATTCCATCAAGTCTAAGATGTAAGATGTTCAGCATCCTAAAATAAACAGATGAGTGAGCTTGAAAACCATCACTGCTCTCCAGACCTACACAATGATCACAAATGCTGTGCTCTGTTCATTCATTATACACTTGTTTACTGCAGAGTTACCAACTCTCAAGCTGGTTTGCTTTGTATGGGAGTGGATAGAACATCGTTATAATTGAGTTATTATGCAGTATCCAGAAACCATACTTAGTAAATTGTGGCAGGAAGCTTAAAATTTTCTGATAGTTTAGAAATATAGCACCATGAGATATCAGAGGGGTCATTTTCTCTAAAGTTGTGATAGTGATAACAGGTTAAGAAAAGACTGTGAAGAAATTCTCTAATACATGACAGTCTGGAGCAAAATTTCTGGTTTGGTAGCAAAAGGCAATTGCAAAAATTACACCTTAACAAGGTTGAAAGGAAAAATATTGACGGGGAAAACCCAGAACGCTGAGTTCTTCCAGTCTCTTTTAAGAGCCTTAAAACCCTTAACACCTGTGGGATTGAATCATGTTTGGCTCCTAAACAGAGAGATTTTACTCCAATTCCCTGTACGGACCAAAGTGGTCAGTAGATCTATAGCTCTAAAAGGAACAACAGCTCAAAACTTAAAACATTAAATAAAACATTTACTTATATCTATATGTCTGTATCTGTTTATGAAATATATACATTTATATATATATATCGAGAGAGAAATATGGTAGATAATTAAGTATCCAGTCATCTGGATGGGATGGGGTAGGAAGATGATGTGTAGTGTTGGATTGGTAGGTGGAGATGAGAGAGGGTAAATTGGTAAGCAAAAGGTAAGCAATTTAAGAAGACAGAAACTTAACTGAAAAAAATTCCAGAACAATGAATATATCGTGTATATGTTTACATTTATTATGTCATATATAGTACACATAGAGACTGCATCTAATTACTTACAGCATATCCAAAATACATACCAAGATAAAAAGGGCAAGGGCCTCATATGTGTAATGCAATTCTTTTTTGTCTGAAACAACAAACTCCAAACCCCCATATGTGTGTATGCATGGGTGGAGATAAAATTGCATATGTATGTATGAGGAAGTAGAAAGTAATGGAAGGTCATTTGAAGGGAATGCCTGTGGGCAGCAGCATGAGACATAACTAACACCATCTTTATGCATATTTGTATTGCTTTACTTATTATTACAGATGTGCATTATTTTCTGAATAAAGAAAACATCAAATGAATGAAAAATTTGAAAATAAAGGGATGCTTTAAATTTGAAAACTAAAGGGATGCTTTAGATAATGGAAAACTTAATCATGAACCTATGGAATTGGGGAAAGCTCTAGGGAACATAACTTTATTAACTTTTGCTTGATCTACAATGTATTTGTCAATTTTTACTGTAAAAATTGTTAGTATTTGCTTAGAAACAGTTGACACTTTTTAATATTTATTTACATTTGGTGTACCTTTTTGACATATCCTGAAGAGAAGGGCTACTTGCTCATAGCACTCCAAACAACAGCAGATGATAGTCATAAAATCCAAACAAATGAGGTAATGTAAAATGTAATGACAATGTAAGCATAAGTTTTCCACAAGCATACCAGATCTTATTCTCAAGAGAGATTTCCTGCCTTTGTTAGCACCTACTTCCACCATGCCACATTGGTATATAATTAGGACCAAGATTATTTCAGGAAACATAACACAATAATTTGCATTTATATACAGCTACCCAGAAACAAAGTGTAATGCTGTTTAAAACCCTCAAGAGTTGAGCAATGTTATTAGTCAGGCAGAATGGCAGTTTTATTTACTTGCTAAGCCAATTCCATATTATGAAGAACTAATGACTAGAGTTGATACATACTTTATTAGTTTGTTTCTGAAAACTCTGCTAGAGCCAAAAGAAGAAATATAGGAAGAGCTCTGAGCATCAAATAGGAGAAATAAACCTCCAGAGATCATCAGCTGACTTAATTCAGTGAAGACTCCCTTAACAGTTGCAGAAAACTGCACATGCATTTAATTGCATGCTAGGTGCTTTGTTGCGGAGATCTTTACAGATTATCCTTGGTAGAACGTCTTTACTATAGAAAATTGTTAGGGAGAACTACTTAAATAGGTTTCTGGTTGCCATAATAATCAGTAGTCGGTTTACTCCTTTTAAAAAATAGTCCTGATATACGACAGCACAATAGTTTTCACAGTATAAACAAATCAAGCAAGCATCATTCATTTGTTCAGACAAATATTTATTGAGTGTGGTCTCTGTGCATAGTCTCAGTACCTACATGGTTTAAGCATAATGGTCTTAGTATCTACAATTATTCTTGTTATTGTGAGTTATGTTTGCTCTCGCCAGGTTTGGTTCCTCTATAAAATATAAGTAACATGAACAAAGAATATATCTATATTTAATTTTTTATTTTAAAAATAAAAATGATATGAATAGGCTTCTGTGGAATTAACCATGGTATCAAAAAAGAAGTTATATAGTGAAAACCTACAACATTCTTATTGCTATAGGAAAAACATATATTTGGGGACTGAATTCTAGCGACCTACAACCCATTTGGACAATTTTAGCACAAAATAGAAAATATACTTCAAAATGGCATATAGTATAACATAAAGATAAGTGTGAAATGCTGTAATATATTACAGAACATAACTATCACAGAAGTTCGGAGGAAGGAAAAAATCAATGAAAGCTAGAAAGGAGTATGATGCTTCATAGACGGGATGGGGAAACCTGAAGCATAATTAGAGAAATGAGAATGGTTTAGATTAAAAGAGGGCTGAAACAACCAATGTGTGCAGCGAAATACACTGCATCACCTCTGCATACTTGCCAAAGTATCAAGCTTGCCTTAAACCAAGACTTACAATCTAACCTACTATTTACAGAAAATAAAGGAGTTACAAGAGGAACAAGTTAAACATCATGAGTAAACAACTAAACAAATAAAGAATGTGCCTTATTCTAGAAGGCAACTGGTCTAATTTTTTCAGCAAGCCAATGGCATATAAAGGCAGAGCTGTTCTGAATTTGAAGAGACTTAAAATGTATAACAACTAAATGCAATGTGTGGAACTTATTTGAATCGTGAGTTTAAAAACAGAGGGGAACTTCCTCAAGTTGATAAAGAAAAAATAGCTACAAGAAACCTACAGCTAACATCATACTTAATGTTACATTGTCATTACATTTTACATTACCTTATTTGTTTGTTTGGATTTTATGACTATCATCTGCTATTGTTTGGAATGCTGTAAGCAAGTAGCCCTTCTCTTCAGGATATGTCAAAAAGGTATACCAAATGTAAATGTAGTGAGAAACTCAAAGATTTCACACTAAAATCAGGAATAAGTCAAAGCTGTTCCCTCTTATCACAACTTTTCAAATGTATGTCCTAGCTAATGCCATTAAACAAGAAAAAGAAATAAAGACATACTGATAGGAAAGGAAAAAATAAAACTGCCTTTCTTCACAAGATCATTTATGTAGGAAATCCAAAAGAATCAACAAGAAAACCTCTGGAATTAATAAACAGTTATAGCAAGATTGTAAAATACCACACTAATATGCAAAAGTAAATTGCTTTCCTATATGCAAGCAACAAACAAGTAGAATTTGAAATTTTAAAAGAGAAGGACCCTACTATTTACTTTAGCACCCCCAAAAATGAAATGCTTAAGTGTAACTCTAAAAAAATATATACCAATCTAAGTGAGTAAAAGTCCAAAACTCTGCTGAAAAAAAAATCAAACAAAAACTAAATAAATGGAGAGATATTCCATGTTCATATATGAGAAGACTCGATGTTGTCAAGCTGTCAGTTCTTCCCAACTTTATAGATTCAATGTAATCACAATCAAATTCCAACAATTATTTTCTGGATATCAACGAATTGATTATTAAGTTATATGGAGAAGCAAAAGACCCTGAGTAACCAACTCAATATTGAAAATAAAGAACAAAGTCAGAGAACTGACACTACATGACTTTAAGACTTACTACAAAGCTGCAGTAATCAAGACAGTGAAGAAACAAACAGGTCAATGAAACAGAACAGAGAACCCAGAAGTAGATGAACATAAATATAGTCAACTTTCTTTAACAAAGAAGCAAAAGTAATACAATGGTGCAATGATAATCTTTTTTTTTCTTTTTTTTTTTTTTGAGATGGAGTCTCGCTCTGTTGCCCAAGCTGGAGTGCAGTGGTGCAATCTCGGCTCACTGCAACCTCTGCCTCCCAGGTTCACGCCATTCTCCTGCCTCAGCCTCCTGAGTAACTGGGACTGCAGGCACCCGCCACCATGCCCGCTAATTTTTTGTATTTTTAGTAGACATGGGGTTTCACTGTGTTAGCCAGGATGGTCTCGATCTCCTGACCTCGTGATCCGCCCGCCTCAGCCTCCCAAAGTGCTGGGATTACAGGCGTGAGCCTCCACACCTAGCCAGTGATAGATCATCTTTTTAACAAATGGTGCTGGAACAACTGGACATTTGTATGCAAAAACATAAGTTTAGACACAGACCTTATAAACTTCACAAAAATTAACTCAAAATGGGTCATGGGACAAAATAACATGCAAAACTATAAAACTGCTAGAATATAACATAGGAGAAAATCTAGATGGCCTGGAGTTTGACAATGCCTTTTTAGTTATGAAACCAAAGGCATAATCTAAGAAAGTAAAATTTGATAAGCTAGACTTACTTAAAATTAAAAAAAAGTTTTTTCTGCAAAAGACACTATAAAGAGAATGAAAAGACAAGCCACAGACTGGGAAAGAAGTCTTTGCAAAAGACTTACGTGATAACGTACTATTATCCAAAATATACAGGAAATTATTAGGACTCAACAATAAGAGACTAAACAACCTGATTTTAAAAGTGAGCCAAGACTTTAACAAACACCTCACTAAAGAAGATTTACAAATGGCAAAGAAGCAGATGAAAAAAATGCTCCATATCATATGTCATAAGGATAATGCCAATTAAAGCAGCAAAAAAGATACTGCTACACACCTATTGGAAAGGTTGAAACACAGAACACCAACAAAACTAAACCCTGACGGAAATGAGGAGCAACAGGAAGGTTCATTCATTGCTGGTGAGAATTCAAACTGATATAGCAACTTCATAAGACACTCTGGCAGTTTTTTATATAACTAAATATACCCTTATTTTATGATCCAGCAATTGCACTCCTTGTTATTTACCCAAATGAGTTGAAAACATGTCCACACCAAAACCTACACATAGATGTTTGTGGTAGCTTTATTCATAGTTGCCAAAACTTGGAAGCAACCAAAATGTCTTTTAGTGGGCGAATTGATAAATAAAACAGTGGAACATTCAGACAGTGGAGTATTATTCAACACACAAATGAAATGAGAGCCATGAAGAGACATGAAGGAAACTTACATTCATATTACTAAGTAAAAGAAGCCAATATAAAAAAGTTGTAAACTGTATGTTTCCAACTATATGGCATTCTCATAAAGGAAGAACATAAAGGAAGAACAGAGAAGAGAGAGAGATAAATAGGTGGAGGACAAAGGATTTTTTAGAACACTGAAAATACTCAGTATATTAATATAATGGTTGATACATTTGTCAAAGTTTATAGAATGTGCAAGAGCACAGGTGAACGCTTATGTTAAATATGGACATTGGATGATAATGATGTATCCATGTAGGTTCATGGAGTGCCACAAATGTACATCTGGTTGAAGGCATGAGGGAGGCTTTGCATGTATTAGGGCAAGAGATATTTAGGAAATTGTGTATTTCCTCCTCAATTTTATAGTGAATTAAATCTGCTTTAAAAAATGGACTTGTAAACACAACTAAAACAACTTTTTAAAATAATTAGGAATTTTTAACTACTTCATTAGGGATGTAAAGAAAATATTAATGTTACCAGCAAACTGTCACAAGGACAAAAATCAAACACCGCATGTTCTCACTCAGAGGTGGGAATTGAACAATGGGAACACTTGGACAGAGGAAGGGGAACATCACACACCGGGGCGTGTCATGGGGTGGGGGGAGGGAGGAGGGATGGCATTAAGAGATATACCTAATGTAAATGATGAGTTAATGGGTGCAGCACACCAAAATGACACATGCATACATTTGTAACAAACCTGCACATTGTGCACATGTACCCTAGAACTTAAAGTATAATAAAAAAAGAAAATATTAATATTGCTATTATAATAAGAAAATGCCCTTAGTTTTAGAGATGCATAATGAACTATCTCGAAATATGAAATATCACAATATTTGTGATTTATTTTTAATATTTCAGAAAAATGATGGTCAAGCATTTCAAAATGCTAATGAGTGTTAAAACAAGGTAGTAAATAAAAAGGAGCATGGTATTCTATTTTTCTGCTAATTAAAAGTTTTATAATGAAAAGTTTATAAAGCATAGCAAAAGGAGAGGGCATTCATGAACGAGATAAAATGAGCAACAAGTCATGAGTGGGACTATTCACGTCCTAGCCACAGATTCATAAAACCTTTACTGAAGCTGAGGATTTGAGAAAAAGATTCACGAGAGCTAAACTGGAAAAGGTAGACATGGGCTATCATTACTGAAGACCTACATCTGTGAGGATTACATTTCCAAAAAAGACGATGGGGGAAGGTGAATCATCATGGAATTTTGAGCAGTGAGATTTTTCATTTGTTGGGTTGGCTTGGTTTAATTTTCTTAAAAAGATTAAATAGCTTATGGGTTAGTGAAATGAATCATGAAGAAAAAATACAAAGTAGGAGAAGAATTAAGAGATTGCTCAAAGGACCTAGTATGTATTTATTGAAGCAGAGGCTAGGGAAATATGAATCAAGAGAAGAATGGAAAGACATCAAAGATAAATTAATGGGGCTCAGACATGAGAAGGCATGGGGATAACAAATAAAATGTGGCCATAAATTATTTTGAGATTTCAAGCCATTAACCATTGGAGAAAGAAGGGAGAAGGGTGAGGTCAATTGTCTGCAGCAAGATCTGGTGCCCATAAATAATGAATCTGATTGTAGACAAATGTGAATGTCCTACTGAACAGGGATTCACTATCAGCCACTTGGCTTTGAAAATTCTGAAAAAGCCTTCAGTTTTGAAACTCTAAAAAGCATTTTACTCTACTCCCTTTTAATCAAACTTTATGTCAACAAGTAGTATTCAATTCCCTTATTGTCTGTCATTGTCCTGTAACTTAGATAAAACTGAGAAATATGTGATAAACCATAAAAAGTAATTTTAATTTGAATATGATTGACCAAACATAAAAATCCCTTACTGAGCAATCATAACTTATTCTTTCTGGAATTTCAAGTGATTTGAATATCCTCTACAATTGTCCTTTTGAATTTTTTAATATTGTACTTATTTGATTAATATACTTACTTCTCTTTATATATTTACTAGCTATACCATGCTCCAATCTGGACCAAAAAGATAAATAGGGCATAACCAAGTCTTTTGCATTTCAGAGGCAGACATATAAAGAAATGATTGCACATGTGTGTGTTAGTTTTCAAAGAGTGGTGTACGTAGTGAAAAACAATTAAAAATTGCTTTATGGGATGTTACGGTAGGCATTATAGGGGCCTGGCTTTTAAAATATTAGAGGATCTTCTGGCATATAAAGCCTTTAAGAACACTCTAGTCTAATGGTATTCCCTATTTTTGTGTTTTTAGCATACATGTCAACTCGGTAGTCCCTCTAACAGACATGATGAGGATCAAGAGATAGCCTCCATTAAGATCATTATAAACATGTCATATAAATTAAACTTTATCGACTTATATGTGAAGGTTATGTGGTACACAGTGCTATGGTACATACTTATTGAGAACTCATCCTATCCAGAAAGGCAAATTAGTTATCAGAACATTAGGAGAGTTCAATATTAAAACTTTGTAAAAAGGAGAGTTATCCAATTAAACTATGAAGTTAGAAATGTCTTCCCAGAGGAAGTAACCAGTCAAATTATAGATGCATATGGCTCCAGGTATTTGGACAAAGATAGAGAAGGCACTTTGGCCAAAGAGAAAAGCCCATTGTAGGTAGGAAATAGTATAATGCTAGAAAAATTTAAAGTAACTCACTATGGTTACAACAGATGAATGGAATGGAATAGGAGCAGCAGCAGTGGTAGCTGAGCTGGCACAGATTTTTTTTAAAAAGCAGCAATATAAGCATAAAAAATGGTGCACAGGACAAGCATCATGAAAAGAACACTGAAATCAATGGAGATGCCTAGTCTGGTTTGTGGGAAAAGAAGAAAGAAAAACAGGGGTGGCTACCACACATACTCACCACATCAGTATGTTTCTATTTCCACTCTTTCACAGCTTCTGAATTTTAGAATCCAAGTATGGACATCGGTTAACTTATTATTTAATAGTTTTCTGTGTTAACAAAATGATTTTTTATTTTATACTAAAAGTTATAGTCTTTCCTTGAAGAATTTTAATTGTAAGTGTGGCATACTCAGTTTTGCATTTTAAAAGAACACTATAACTGCTTGTATGTGTTTATGTGGTGTTATGGTAGACAATACCATAGCTCACAATCTATTTCAATAATCTACCATAAGGTGACAATAAAAACTAAGCTAATGTCTTTGAGGACATAGAATTTATTGGACTTGAATGACAGTGCATTCTCTCATTTAGGTAATATAGGTGAAGAAAGTGCTAATTTGAGAGTATTTGGGAGACAGAAAAATGCTGAGATGGAAAGTTAACTTTTGAATACATTGAGTTTGAAGTACTTATATATCTAAATAGATTTATCAAGAAAGCATTTCCAAGTGATGTCAGCAGGAATGGCAGAATATGGAACTCTGAAAATCTATCCTAAAAAAAATTAAGACATTTTTATATAATCATAAACTGAAAGAATCTATAGTTAGCATACCTTCTCTACCAAAAACAAAAACAGAAAAAGACTAAAGAGAGTACTTTAGGCTGCAATAAAAGGACACTAGATAGTAACTCAAATTCGTATGAAGAAATGAAGAGCACGAGTAAAGGTGACTACACAGGCAAATTAAAAGGCAGTAAAAATGTAAGAGAAATTAGAAATACTTTGATATGAATGAAAACTAAAACACAAAATACCAAAACTTTTGACATGCAGCTAAAACAGTACATAGAGGAAAAGTTATATGTATATAAATACCTATACTTTAAAAATAAAGATATTAAATCAATAATCTAACATTCTAACTTAAGAAAGTAGAAAAGACAACAAGAACTAAATCCACAACTAGCATAAAAAAGGAAATCATTATTCGAGTGGAAATAAGTGGAGGACAGTAAATTAATAGAGAAAATCAACAAAACCAAAGTTGATTGTTTCAAAAAAATCAACAAAATGGACAAACTTTCAGCTAGACAAACCAAGAAAAAAAAGATTCGAATTACTAAAATAAAAAGTTATTAAGATTGCACATGAAGGGAACGTCACTGACTTACAGAAATAAAAGGGATTATAAGGGAATATCATAAACAACTTTACATCAACAAATTATATAACTCGTATAAAATAGCTCAATCCCTTGATTGACACAAACTACTGAAATTAAGTCAAGGAGAAATAGAAATTTGTTTTGATGTATAATAGGTAAATAGATTTAATTAGAAATTTTAAAATTTCCCCCCAAAAAAGCCCAGACTCAGATGGCTTCACTGTTGAATTCTACCAAATATTTACAGAAGCATTAGCATCAATCTACACAAACTCTTCCAAAAGTTAGAAGACAGAACATTTCCCAGCTCATTCCATGAGTCTAGTATAACTCTAATACCAAGACTGGGCAAAAACAGTAGAAAAAAAAGAAACCTAAGACTAATAAGTCTCATGAACTTAGACGAAAAACGGGTCAACAAATACTAGCAATCCAATTCCACCAATAATATATAAATAACATTTTACACTGTGAACTTTACACAAGTGGGATTTATCACATAAATCTGAGGTTGATTCAACAAATAAAATCAAAGAATGTAATACAGCATGTAAATAGGACAAAGGGCAAAAAAAAAAAAAACCCATATGATCATCTCAATAGATGCATAAAAAACTCTTGGCAAAAATTCAACACACTTTCATAATAAATTACATTCAACCAAAAAGAAATGGAAGAAAACTTTACAACTTGGCCGGGCGCGGTGGCTCACAGCTCTCAGTGGAGCTGAGATCGCGCCACTGCACTCCAGTCTGGGCGACAGAGCGAGACTCAAAATCAAAAAAAAAAAAAAAAAGAAAAAAGAAAACTTTACAACTTGATAATGAGTAGCTATAAAATACCCCACAGCTAACATCAAAGTTAATGTTAAAGCTTTCCCTGTAAGGTCAGGAATAAGATAAAGATGTTCAATTTTGCCACTTCTATTCAACAAACTACTAGAGATCATAACAAGGGCAATTAGACATAAAACTAAATACAAAGGCACCCAAATTTGGAAAAAAGAGAACTGTTTCTATTTGTATTAGACATTCTCTTTTATGCAGAAAATTCTAAGAAATATACATACACACACAATTAGAACTGATAAATGAATTCAGTAACATTGCAGGACACAAGACAAATACATAAAAATTAATTATTTCTACATACTTTCAGTCAACAATTTGAAAATGAAATTAAGTAAACTGCAATAGCACAAAAAAAGAGTAACATACAGATTTTCTTTTTAAAAAAAAGAGTGTAAGACTCACACACTGCGAACTACAAAATATTGCTGAAAGAAATTACAGAAGATTTGTATCATTTATTTGGGTTGGTAATATTAAAAATCCTCTCTTCTAGGTATCTGAAAAAAATACAATAAATTATTGTTTACTATAGTCTCCCGACAGTGCTATAAAACACTAGAACTTATTCTTCCTATTTAGCTGTAACTTCGTATTCACCAACCAATCTCTTCCTATCCCTCCTTCTCAGTCTCTAGTAACCACTATTCTACTCCTTACTTCTACTAGATCAAATTCTTCAACTCCCACGTATAAGTGAGAACATGCAGCATTTATCTTTCTGTTCCTTACTTATTTCTCATAACATAATGTCCTTCAGGCTCATTGATGTTGCTGTGAATGACCGAATTTTATTATTTTTATGGCTAAATAGTATTTTATTGGGTATATATGTGCCAAATTGTCGTTATCCATACATCTGTTGATGGACTCTTAGGTTTATTCTATATCTTGGCTATTGTGAATAATGCTGCAATAAACATGGAAGTGCAGACATCTCTTCAACCTACTGGTTCCTTTTCTTTGGATATATACCCACTAGAGGAATTGCTGGATCATACAGTAGTTCTACTTTTAGCTTTTTGAAGAACCTCTGTACTGTTTTACATAATGACTCTAACAATTTACATTCCCATCAGCAGTATATGAGTTTCCTTTTCTTCACATCCTCACCAGCATTTTTTTAAATCATTTTAATAATAGGGAAAGATGACCATCAGGATTGAGGCGATGGATATGATAATTACCCAGATTTGATTATTACATGTTGCATGCGTTGATCAAAATATCACACTGTATACCGTAAATATGTACAATTATTACATCTCAACTAAATATATACATTAAAAATATGGAAGATCTAAATAAATACAAAAATTCCATGTCATGAAGTGGAAGAAAATATTGTTAAAATGGCAATACTTCTCAAATTGATCTGCAGATTTAACACAATCTCTATCAAAATTCCAGATGTGCATATTATAGAAATTCACAAATTGAATATAAAATTTACATGGAATTGAAAGGTACCTGGCATAGCAAAAATAAAAATAAAACTTTAAAAGAAGTTGAAGTCTTGCTATTGTGAATAGTGCTGCAATAAACATACGTGTGCATGTGTCTTTATAGCAGCATGATTTATAATCCTGCGGGTATATACCCAGTACTGGGATGGCTGGGTCAAATGGTATTTCTAGTTCTAGATCTTTGAGGAATTGCCACACTGTCTTCCACAATGGTTGAACTAGTTTACAGTCCCATCAACGGTGTAAAGGTGTTCCTATTTCTCCACATCCTCTCCAGCACCTGTTGTTTCCTTTTTAATGATTGCCATTCTAACTGGTGTGAGATGGTATCTCATTGTGGTTTTGATTTGCATTTCTGTGATGGCCAGTGATGATGAGCATTTTTTCATGTGTCTGTTGGCTGCATAAATGTCTTCTTTTGAGAAGTGTCTGTTCATATCCTTTGCCCACTTGTTGATGGTGTTGTTTTTTTCTTGTAAATTTGTTTGAGTTCTTTGTAGATTCTGGATATTAGCCCTTTGTCAGATGAGTAGATTGCAAAAATTTTCTCCCGTTCTATAGGTTGCCTGTTCACTCTGATGATAGATTCTTTTTCTGTGCAGAAGCTCTTTAGTTTAATTAGATCCCATTTGTCAATTTTGGCTTTTGTTGCCATTGCTTTTGGTGTTTTAGACGTGAAGTCCTTGCCCATGCCTATGTCCTGAATGGTATTGCCTAGGTTTTCTTCTAGGGTTTTTATGATTTTAGGTCTAACATTTAAGTCTTTAATCCATCTTGAATTAATTTCCCAAATGTCCATCAATGATAGACTGGATTAAGAAAATGTGGCACATATACACCTTGGAATACTATGCAGTCATAAAAAAGGATGAGTTCATGTCTTTTGTAGGGACATAGATGAAGCTGGAAACTATCATTCTTAGCAAACTATAGCAAGGACAAAAAACCTAACACCACATGTTCTCACTCAGAGGTGGGAACAGAACAATGAGAACACTTGGACACAGGCAGGGGAACATCACACACCAGGGCCTGTTGAGGGGTGGGGGGAGGGGGGAGGGATAGCACGAGGAGATATACCTAATGTAAATGACAACTTTATGAGTGCAGCACACCAACATGGCACATGTGTACATACGTAACAAACCTGCACATTGTGCACATGTACCCTAGAACTTAAAGTATAATAAAAAAATAAAATAAAAAAATAAAAGAAGTTAAAGTACTTATACTTCCTTATTCAAAGACTTACCACAAAGCCACATTAACTATGTGATACTGACATAAGGATAGACATATCAATCAGTGGAATAAGGGAAAGTGCCCAGAAACAAACCCTTACATTTATTATCAATTGATTTTTGACAAGAGCGTCAGGACCAATCAATGGGAAAGAATAGGCTTTTCAACAAATGGTGCTGAAACAACTGGGTAATCATATGCAAATAGGTGGAGTTGGTGTCTATCTCACATCTCACGCCATATGCAAGAATTAACTCAAATTTTACCAAAAACCTAAATGTTAGAGCTAAAGTTATAAAACTCCTTATATTAGTTGTTCTCACACTGCTAATAAAGACATACTCAAGACTGGGTAATTTATAAAGCAAAGAGATTTAATGGACTCACAATTCCATATAGCTGGGGAAGCCTCACAACCATGGCCAAAGGCAAAGGAGGAGCAAAGTGAAGTCTTACATGGTGGCAGGCGAGAGACAGAGAGCATTTGCAGGGGAAGCCCACCTTTTAAAACCATTAGATCTCATGAGACTTATTCACTATCATGAGAACAGCATGGGAAAAACCTGCCCTCATGATTCAGTTACCTCCCACCACATCCCTCCCACAACATGTGGAGCTACAATTTGAAATTTCGGTGTGGACACAGCCAAACCATATCATTCTTTAAAGAAAACACAGGTGTAAATGTTGATGGCCTGGGAGTTGCCAGTCATTCCTTAGATAGGACAGCAAAGGTACAAGCCACAAAATAAAAAGTAAATAAATTGCACTTTATTAAAATTAAAAGCTTTTCTGCTTTAAAGGACCCTATCAACAGAGGGAAAAACAAACAATAGTAAGGTTCCAGAAAGTATCTGCCTTTCATATATTCTATAAGGAATTTGTAATATAAAATACTCTTACAACTCAAAAATGAACAATATTAAATAGTAGACAAAGGATTTGAACAGACAGTTATTCAAAGAAGATCTTCACATGGTTAATAAACACATTTAAAAAGCTGCACAACATTATTAGCCCTTAATGAAATACAAATCAAAATCACAATGAGAAAACACTTCGCATCCAGTAGGACGTGTATAATCAAAATGACAAAGAATAACAAGTATTGGCAAGGATGTGGAGAAATTCAAGGCTTATACATTATTGGTGGGAATAAAGAATGGTAAAACCACTTAGAGAAACAGTTTGACTGCTCCTCAAAAAATTAACTAAAGAGTTTCCATATGACCCACGATTCCACTCTTAAAGACTTTCACCCAAAAGAATTGTAAACATATGTCCACACAAAATATTACGTATGAATGTTTGCAGCAGCTTTATTTATAATAGCCAAAAGTAGAAATCATCCAAATGTCCATCAATTCATAAATGGATAAACAAAAGTGACAAATTCATATAAGGGAATATTATTAAACCACAAAAAATAATGAAGTACCGATATGTGCTACCATGTGGATGAGCAGCAAAAACATGCTAAGTTAAGGAAGCAAGATATAAAATGCCACCTGTTACACAGTTCCATTGGTATGAAATGTCCAAATACTTAGAGACAGAAAATAAATTTGTAATGACTAAGGACTGGAGGAAAGTGGGAGTGCAGCATGACTGCTAACAAGTACAGGGTTTCTTTGGCAACTGATGAAAATATTTTAATATTAGATAGTGGTTATGTTTTAACACCCCTGCATGTATTAGTCCATTTTCACACAGCTATAAAGAACTATCTGAGACTGGGTAATTTATGAAGAAAAGAGGTTTAATGGACTCACAGTTCTGTAGGCTGTACAGGAAGCATACTTGGGAGGCCTCAGGAAACTTATAATCGTGGTGGAAGGAAAAGGGTAAGCAAGCACATCTTTACTATGGCAGATCAGGAGAGAGAAAGAGCAAAGGGGGAAGTGCCACACTCTTTTAAACCAACAGATCGTGGGAGAACTCATTCACTATTGTGGGAAAAGCAAAGGGGGTGCTCGCCTCCATGATTCCATCACCTCCCACTAGGCCACTCCTCTGCCACGTGGGGATTACAATTTGACTTGAGATTTAAGTAGGGACACAGAGTCAAACCGTATCACTGGATATACTAAAATTCACATATAAAGCGCACTGAATTGTGCACTTTAAAAGGCTGAATTTGATGGTGTGTGAATCATTTCAAGTTTTTAAAGCAATACCATGGGTAAGTTTGAAAAACAGGAAAAACACCGGACAGAAGATATAATTTTTTGGAGGAATCAGTGGATGATAAAAAGTTGATAAATATGTCACTTTTTTGTAATATCCCTATTTATTTGAGGGACGATTTTGCCCCCCCGGGGGCATTTGACAATGTCTGAAGACATGCTCAGTTGAAGCAACTTGAGGGTGTTACTGGTATCTAATGGGAAAAGGCAAGAAATGCTGTCCTACATTTTACAATACACAGGACAGCCTCCCCAACAACAAAGAATTATCTAACTTGCCATGCCTATAGTGCTGAGGTTGAGAAACTGTGACCAAGATATAGTGATTTGTACATACTTAAAATTCACCTAAATTTCTGTATTGTAAAATAGAATTTACTTGATGATGTTAATATAAACAGCAGGGTCCAGAGAAAATTTAGAATAGTTTATTCACTAGCTAGTAAGTCTCATGGAGGAGAATGACAAGAACACTGCTTATACTAATTTAGCTAAATTATTTGTAGGCCATAGGAGTATATATTACACATATAGAAGTCACTTTCCTCCCTCTATGTGAGTTGTGCTAGACATGCTCCCTGTACCTCCAGAGATCCACCCTTTCCCCTTTCCTCCTTACATAATGTGTCTGGAAAGTCACCTTCACCCATCTTATCAAGGCCCCCTTGCTCTCTGGTTTCCCATTATGTTCAATTAATTGGAAAGACCAGCAGGAGAACTGGAGAGTCTGAGTACTTATGTCCCTGGTTCTCTCTCTGCAAGGACTCTGTTAGTTGGTGGTTGCATTTCTCTACCTAAGGAAACAGCATTTGGGGTGTCCACTCATCTTCACTGACAGATCTCACTAGATTCTGGAGACCACTCCCTTCCCTTGGAACCTCAGACATAGGCATGGTGGAGACTTCCTACAGTTCCTAGCCCTGAGTGCTTAATCATAGTTTATGGGTTTCTGCTGTGATCTGAATATGTGTCCTCCAAAATTCATATATTAAAATTTAATTGACAATGTGATCATCTTAAGAGGTGGGGCCTTTCAGAGGTGATTAGCTCATGAGGGCTTCATTTTTGTGAACCAGATTAATGCTCTTATTTTTAAAAAACAAGAGCAGGTCACACAGAGTTTGTCCATTTTTGCCCTTCCACCGTCCACCATATGTCAAGCCAAACACTGAATTTGCTGGTGCATTGACCTTGGACTTTCCAGCCTCCAGAAACATGGAAGATAAATTGCTATTGTTTATAAATTACCCAGTTTGTGGTATGTTCTTATAGCAGCAGGTTTAGACCAAGACAGTTTCCTTAGATAGCCACCCTCCACCCCCCGGAAAAAAATTTGTATACAGTTATCTTTACAAAACTCTCTTCAAATGTCCCCTTTGAGCACATCATCTCCTCCTGGCCAAGCTTTTGAGTGACATAGTAAAGCTTGTTTTTAATGATCCCACTATCTTTTTAAATTAATAATCCTATAGCCAGGACTGTGGTAGAATGTATTTTTCCAAAAGTGACTATGGCACCCCTATACCCAATGAGTATTCAAGTACCATGCCACCCTGAAATTTATACCTAAGCTTTGGCTGACTTTTGTTTAAGTCTTATAATTTCAAATCTTTATTTACAAGGTTTGGTTCTTTGTATATTACTCTGCAAAGTCTGTGTAACATCAACACTACAGGATATGCCACTGTTAAAGGTACATAGTTAATACTAGATTAATGCTTACAAGTTGATTCTTTAAAATTATTTGAGCTTATTTTTCTGGTAAAAGATAAATCTCTTTAGAAAAATACATAATCCAATTAAATGGTATTAAAAATCAATGAAAACAAAGAAGATACAATTACCAATAATATCTTAGATTCTAATGGCTATTATTTTCAAATTGTACCACATTTTCCTAAATATCTTCCCATGAATGCCTAATTAGGATTATTTTTGCTTACAAGTTATTTTTAAATTATTTTTCTTTGTGTCATTTGTTTTATTGTTTTATTTATAATAAACTTTGTTATTTTTAGAATAACTTTAGGCTTATAGAAAACTTGCGAAGACAGTGTGGAGGTTCCTCAAATATCTCACACCCTATTTCTTTTATTACCAACATCATCATAGTGGGTTGAATAGTGGCCCCAGAAAGATCCGTCCAAATCCTAATCTGTGGTACCTGTGTAAGTGATGTTATTTAGAAAGAAGATCTTTGCAGATGTAATTGTTAAGGATTTTAAGACAAGATCTTCCTGGATCTAGGGTGAGCCCTAAATCCACAGACACTTTTTCAACAGCCTCAACTAATAGAATGAGGCAAAACTGCCACTATAGGACTTCCAAGGCGAAGTCAGAAAAAGCAGTGTTGCTCATGCCTGCTGTCTCTCAGGATGCTCCTTTTTAGAATTCAGCCATCTCACACTGTGAGGAAGCCAGGCAGTAACTGAGACACCACGGGTCAGTGTTCCTGCTGACCACTGTAGTCTCAGCCCACAGCTTGCATCAACCACCATACATTCGGGTGAATGAATCCTCAGATAACTCCAAATCCAAGAGACTTTAAGCTACTCAAGCTGATTCCTACTGGAGTGAAGATGAGCTGTCACAGCTGAGCCAAATAAAGAATTGTTGTTCTTTATGCCAGTGAGTATGTGCTGGCTTGTCATGTAGCAAAACAAAATTGGAAAGAGCACGTAATGTGTCTCTGTGCTAAGTACAAAAAGACCCCTTTCTCCAGGCTGATATAGTTTCATAGCTTGGCAAATGAAGTAGGGTCATTTCAAGCCCCACTCACACCCTTGAATGGGTACCTTGATGAAGACACAACCTGCCCACTATACTAAGAGGTGACACATGTAACACACCAAATGTAAACAGGTCTTGTTCAAAAAAGCCCGTTCGGGTTGCTCCTTGACTTATATTTTCTACCCAGTCACAGGGATCTCACCAGTAACTGGGTCTACCTGATTACGTTTCTCATATGGATCTCTTTCCAGAGAGCATTATACAAAGAGATAAAACAATTAATGGAAGTTTAAAAACACAATATAATCAGTTATATTCAATTCACTGATTTGTTATTTTAAATACAAACATAATATAAATATAACAAAATCTTGATCTATGGCGGTATGGATCTGTTGTTAGCTTCTGGCGCCATATTCCGAAAATGCAGTGGATATTTAGACCAGTTAAAATTAGTAAAAGGGCTACTGTCCTGGTTCTTTATGGATTTATTTCTTGTTTTGAGTGTCTGCTCTTAATCATTCTTCTTGCCTCTTCAAAAACTCTATGTTCTGTGTTTTAAATCTATTCACATCAGTTCTCATTAAACTGGTCAATTCCTGGTATCATTTCTGACACACTAATGATAGAAATGCTCAGTTTCAAGCATTTTCTCAGTTTCCAGATGTCATTGATTCACAGGATTTCTATAGCTCTTTACATGGTGATTATTATTATCTTGGATTGCATGACTTTAAGCAACGCTGAAATGTAAAGGTGATGATTCGGCTCAGAAAAGTTTTTCAAAATTGCCTACTGCATCTGCCTAGGAAAAGCTTTCTCCCCACCTAGTGCTGTGACCACCAAGACTTTCCAAAGATCAGGATGGGTTTTTCCCCGGCGGGGAAGCTACTTTCACGTGGAATTCATTCTCAGAAATACTTCCCTATCACTCAATTTTTCCCGTAAGTTCCTTGCAACAACAGCCACCAGTCTTGTTATTACTTTCCTTGTCACGTACTTGAATATTCTCCACCCAGAGGAATTTTTTAATCCATGTATCTATGCACCACGTAAGCAATGATAAAATATCCACATAAACTCTGGCAGAGCCTGTCATCTTGTAGACTCATGGGTACTTATCATTTTCCACGGCCCAATGTTGTTGGCAAACTCAGTATTTTGCAGAGGACTTAACAAAATAAATGCATATGAATCTGTCTTCAATGTGCCCTTATCTTAGAGTATTTCTAATGGGTCTCAGGCTAACTCACTTTTTTAAGTTTCTGCTTCTTACAGAGAATATTTATTCCCAACATCTCAACTTACAAATGCTGAATTTTATATCTCTTCATAGTTTTTCTGTACATTTTAAAAATGCAACATGCCTGCATTGTATTGTGTGAAGCTGGAATCATTATTTTTAGGGAACAGTATCTCAACAAAAATAAAATCCAACACTCTCAACTGAAGAACATTATAATACATCTTAGGATGACTGTTTTAGCTTGATATCATGAGATGGTATTAAGAAGCAGTGTGAGCAGAACTGTATTTGAAATTTATCCTCATCTTTTGACTGATTTAAATAAGTTACCTCTGCTTTGAATATAAACGAGTCAGCAGGCATAATTCCTGTGGTTAGCTGAGTTACCCATCCCTAGGAAGGAACATATTCAGTTTATACATGAATCTGTAGATTCATATGTAGGCTATGGATTTTTCATTTTGAATTATAGGTTACACAAAAATGTATAAAACTCAATCTTTTTGTTTTTATGTGGAATCCCAATTTTGCCATAAGGATTCCAGTACCATCTTAACCTTTTGTTACTCATATGTAGCAGAATTAACTATTGTTTTGACACAAATTAGTATATGGAATTATACATTAGAGACCTGGAATTTTCCATAGCCACCCTTCGTAGTATAGAAAACTCTCACATTTGGTAATAAAATTTGCACATTGATCCTCGCTCAAAAATCATCTTCATATTCCAAGACTATGCTGAAGCTATTACAAAAACTGCTCTGGGGATCATGGTGGTGAGTACTCTGGCTTAGGATGTGGGAGCTTAGAGTATGGGACTTCAGAGGCCAGGCCAAGTCAGTGAGTATGGTTCCAATGAGTGTGGCTGTTGTCACCCATTCTTCTGTGAGAAAACAAGTCTTGTGGCTTCTACTGAAAACTTTGATAGCTCAAAGCGATTACCATGAGATTAATCAGCTCAATTTCAAATGATGAGAAATCCTCTTCTTTTCACCCACCGTTTATAGAACTGGTAATCACCTCTACATCGCTGAGTAACTCTCCACTGCTGGCCACAATTAACATGGGAGTTAGCCTACATCAATCATACTGATCAGATTCTCTGACATCTGAAACATTTGAACATTTGAATTGCAAATCTCAACATTTTAATTGCAGCTCCTCTTGTCAACTTATTTTTCACTCTAACATCAACTATTTTTTCTGCATTCCATGTCTCAGAATGCTTACATTTTCACTTTTTCAATAGAAATGCTTAATCTGCCCTAGGAAATATTGTTCTTATTTGTGTTTATTCAGTTCAGTAGGCTTTTGATGTCACAGGTACATTATTTGGAACTCAAACATAAATTTCTCTTCACTTGCAGCTGCAGGTAATTTATCCCCTAAGAATGGCTGAGTATATGTATGAAAAAGTTGAGTCACCTAATATCTTGTAGCTTCTTATAAAAGAAGAGATGAAATTTGGCTTCTTGTTTACTTTTGCCTTTTTCATGAGAAAATGTATTTTCCTCTTATTCTTACATTCAAACACAGCAGATGCACAGGAGATTTTAAAAGCCAGAGATAGTAAACAGGAAGAACAGTCTTGCCTTAGTTTCCCATGGCTGCAGTAACAAAGTACCCAAGCTGGATAGATTTAAACAACAGAGATCTATTTTCTCACAGTTTTAGAAGCCAGAAATCCAGAATCATGTTGTTCAAATGGCCATGTTCTTCTGAAGACCCTAAGGGAGAATCTACCCCATCCCTTTCTCCTAGTTTCTGCTGTTGCCAGCAGAATGCTTTGAATTCTTTGGCTTGTAGACTCATTACTCCAATCTTGCCACCATCGTGATATGGCATTCTCTCTGTGTATCTCTGCATCTCTTCTCTTCTTATAAGGACATCAGTCAGATTGATTTAGGGCCACCCAGAGTACGACCTCATCTTAACTTGATTGCATCTGCAAAGGCCCTATTTTTCTAAATAAGTCCTATGCACAGTACCAGGGGTTAGGAACCCAAAATATCTTTTTGGAGAACACAGTTACAACCCACAATAACACCCATGGTTATTGAGAGTTTCTCAAAATATTCAACCTCAGAATGAGCGAAAAGGGCAGATCTCCCCTCGTATATTTGCTTCTGTGAGAATTAGGGACCACTTGTACTATTGACCAAGAATAAGTAAAAACCTTAAGACATCAGGAAAAAGAAGCACACACTGTATCTGTCTTGGAAAATAACAGTGCTAAGGCATCAAAGTCTACTGATAGGAAAAATTAATGACTATAAGCCTATGAAAAACAAAAATACCAGTTTGGCCAACTGCCTGAGACCAGGGAATTAGGAATCAGGCTGACCTGGCTTCAAGTCCTAGCTCTGCTATTTAGTTATCTGTATAATTCCTAATAGCTGGTTTTACTAAATTTTCATTTATTTATTGGTAAAGTGGTGATAATATGCCATCTTCACTGAGTTTTTGTGAAAAATAAATAGGTTAGTACCTGTAAGATGCTTAGTAGACTGGCTGGCACATAACAGCACTCAGTAAAGATCATATACATCTATGTTTATCTTCCCACAAAGTAATAAGCTAAAGATAATTAAATTATCTATTAATCAGAGTTCACAAAAAAAATAATTTTAAATGATCCAGGTATATGATTTGCCTGTGCCTCCACCCAAATCTTAATTGTAACTTTTATATTTCCCACATGTCATGGGGAAAAGCCGGTGGGAGGTGATTGAATTATGGGGGCAGGTCTTTCCTGCACTGCTCTCATGACCAGTGAATGCGTCCCATGAAATATGATGGTTTTAAAAATGGGAGTTTCCCTGCACAAACTCTCTTCCCTTGTCTGCTGCCATGTGAGACATGCCTTTTACCTTCCACCATGATTGTGAGGTCTCCCCAGCCACATGGAACTGTAAGTACAATTAAAACCTATTTTTCTTCCCAGTCTCAGGTATGTCTTTATCAGCAGTGTGAAAACAAACTAATAGAGTAAATTGGTACCAGTAAAGTGAGGTGCTGCTAAAGATACCTGATAGTGTGGAAGCAACTTTGGAACTGGGTAACAGGCAGGGGTTGGAACAGTCAGGAGGGATCAGAAGAAGACAGGAAAAATGTGGGAAAGTCAGAAACTTCCTAGAGATGTGTTGAATGGCTTTGACAAAGATGATGCTGATAGTGATATGGAAAATAGCATCCAGGTCGGGGTGGTCTCAGATGGAGATAAGGAACTTGCTGGGAATTGGAGCAGAGGTGACCCTTCTTATGTTTTACAAAGAGACTGGCAGCATTTTGACCCTGCCCTAGAGATCTGTGGAACTTTGAACTTGAGAGAGATGCTTTAGGGTAACTGTCAGAAGACATTTCTAAGCAGCAAAGCATTCAAGATGTGACTTGGGTGCTCTTAAAGACATTCAGTTTTAAAAGGGAAGCAGAGCATAAAAGTTTGGAAAATTTGCAGCCTGACAATGAAATAGAAAAGAAAATCCCATTTTCCAAGGAGAAATTCAAGCTGGCTGCAGAAATTTGCATAAGTAGCAATGAGCTGAATGTTAATCCCCAAGACAATGGGGAAAACATCTCCAGAGCATGTCAAAGGCCTTCACGGCAGCTCCTCCCATCACAGGCCCAGAGGCCTAGGAAGAAAAAGGTGATTTACTGGGCCAAGCCCAGTGTCTCTGTGCTGTGTGCAACCTAGGGACTTGGTTCCCTGTGTCCAAGCCACTCTAGCCATGGCTGAAAGGGGCCAATACAGAGCTCAGGCCATGACTTCACAGGGAGCAAGCCTCAAGCCTTGGCAGCTTCCTGGGGCTGTGAAGCCTACCAGTGCACGGAAATCAAGAATTGAGGTTTGGGAACCTATGCCTGGATTGCTGAGCATGTATGGAAATGCCTGGATGTACAGGCAGAAGTTTGTTGCAGGGTCAGGGCACTCATGGAGAACCTCTGCTAAGGCAATATGAAAGGGAAATGTGGGGCCAGAGCCCCCACACAGAGTCCCTACTGGGGCACCACTGAGTGGAGCTGTGAGAAGAGGGCCAATGTCCTCCAGACCCCAGAATGGTAGATCCACAGACAGCTTGCACCATGTACCTGGAAAAGCTGCAGACACTAAATGCCAGCCCATGGAAGCAGCCAGGAGGGAGGCTGTACCCTGCAAAGCCACAGGGGCAGTGCTGCCCAAGACCATGGAAACCCACCTCTTGCATCAGCAAGACCTGGATGTGAGACATGGAGTCAATGGAGATCATCCTGGAGCTTTAAGATTTAACTGCCTTGCTGGATTTTGGACTTGCGTGGGGCCTGTAGCCCCTTTGTTTTGGCCAATTTCTCCTATTTGGTATGGCTATATTTACCCAGTGCCTGTACCCCCATTGTGTCTAGGAATTAACTAACTTGCTTTTGATTTTACAGGCTCATAGGTGGAAGGGACTTGCCTTGTCTCAGATGAGATTGGAATGTGGACTTTTAAGTTAATGCTGAAATGAGTTAAGACTTTGGGGTACTGTTGGGAAGGCATTATTGGTTTTGGAATGTGAAGACATGGAATTTTGGAGGGGCCAGGGGCAGAATCATAAGGTCTGGCTCTGTCCTCACCCAAATATCATCTTGAATTGTAACTCACACAATTCCCACGTGTCATGGGAAGAAGCCGGTGGGAGGTGATTGAATTATGGGTGCGGGTCTTTCCTGTGTTGCTCTTGTGATAGTGAATGAGTCTCATGAGATCTGATGGTTTTAAAAACAGGAGTTTCCCTGCACAACTCTCTTCTCTTGTCTGCCACCATGTGAGATGTGCCTTTTACATTCCACCATGATTACAAGGCCTCTCCAGCCACATGGAACTCTAAGTCCATTAAAACCTCTTTTTCTTTCCAATCTCAGGTATGTCTTTATCAGCAGAATGAAAACAGACTAATACACCAGGAAAAATGTAACTCAAATTATAATGTGTCTTATATGTTTCTTAGAATTTTCTGTTTTATCTAACTATACATATCCCTCTGCAGTATTCTAAAAAACCAGACCTATTTAATTGAAAAGTACAGTCCTATAACTGGATACTCAGTATCACTGAAATAAATGAATAAATTTTAACTGGTAATTGAAAAAGAATTATTAGTTGCAGCTCATGATGATGATGATGACTATGATGAAATCAGAAATTTCCACATGATCTAATGATTGTCACTGAATTACTGGCACAGCTAATATATATCATCTCAAGAAACCTGTACCCTTTCCTTATTACAGTGTTCCATTCACTGTAATAGAGCTTCCCAGGAACAGGCTATTCAGTACGTATGTGCTGGACTTCTCAAGCATCTACTTTCATGAGCCATTTAATCTGTCCTACTATGCCACAGAGAGCTTAGCACACGTGAAACTACTTGAGGGGGAAAAAGACGCAATTTCTATGAGCATATCAAATTCCACCCAAACTGACATTGGCAGATCATAGCGCACTACAGAAACAGATAGTATGGGCACCAAACCCAGAATAAGAATCTGTGATATTTGTTAGAAAACAGGACACATAAGCTAACTTTTCAATGATGAGCAGGAGTTAGCCAACATATTAGTCTATTATGTTGCTGATAAAGACATACCCAAGACTGGGAAATTTACAAAAGAGGTTTAATAGACTTACAGTTCCTCATGGCTGGGGAGGCCTCACTATCATGGCAGGAAGGCAAGGAGGAGCAATTCATGTCTTACATGTATGGCAGCAGGCAAAGAGAGAGCTTGTGCAGGGAAATTCCCATTTTTAAAACAATCAGATCTCATGAAACTCATTCACTATCACAAGAACAGCACAGGAAAGACCCACACCTATAATTCAATCACCTCCCACAGGGTTCCTCCCATGACACCTGGGAATTGTGGGAGTTACAATTCAAGATGAAATTTGGGTGGGGGCACAGCCAGACCATATCATTCCACCCTGGACCCTCCCAAATCTCATGTACTCACATTTCAAAACCAATCGTGCCTTCCCAACAGTCCCCCAAAGTCTTAACCCATTTCAGCATTAACTCAAAAGTCCACAATCCAATATCTTATCTGAGACAAGACAAGCCCCTTCCACCTATGAGCCTGGATAATCTGAAGCAATAAAACTTCATCAACCACTGCAGTTCCTTTATGTGACATGAAAACAGATCCCTGTGGGAATTACAGGGTCCCATAAAATATAAAAGACTATAAAGTTTTTGATGTGTGTTAATGAAACGAAATGTCTGGTTTGCTTACCTAGGTAAGTTTATTAGGAAACTGATTTAGATTCACTCGCTCACAGATATAACAAAACATAAATGATATAACTAACACAACTAGGGGGTTATAAAAACCAACTTTACTTATTTGAGAGTAGGTTTTTCAGGCAGTCTGATTTCAAAGTATCTCAGGGTGGAAGACTATGGTTGTGGACTCTGCTCCTTAACTGCTAAGGTGAGGACAAGAGAAAGGGAAGCTGTAAGAAATATTAAAGCATCAACTATATTGCAGAAGTTTTACATCAGAGTACATCATAATCTGGAAATATAAGAAGCTACATAACTAATAAGGTAGAAAATGATTGCTTACCTTGTCAAGAAATATGGATGCCACTGTAACTACAGTTGGAGGCATAACCACAACCAGGTCACCAAAGATTCCATGGTCATTTAATACCCAGGTGTCACAAAATCCATAGACATTCCTATAGACAGAGCCACATGCACATTCCCCATAGACATTTCCTTGTGTGGCAGACAGACTTTTGAAATGACTCCCAAATGATCCTCACTTCCTGTTATACATACTCTTGTGTAGTCCCCTTCCCTTAAGTGTAGGATGAGCCTAGGTTCTTGCTTCTAATGGATAGAATACACAAAATGAGACGGGATGTCACTTTGAAGATTAGGTTTTCAAAGACTGACTTTCATCTTGCTGGCACTCTCTTTGACTCTTTTCATGAGTTCTTTGATGGAGATGCCCACATGGCAAACAACTGTGGTTAGTTAGGAACCTAGGGTTCCAGTCCAACATCCTTCGAAGAACTTAATTCTTCCCACAGCCATGTGAGTGAGCTTGGAAGAGGATTCTTCCCCTGTGCAGACTTCATTTGGGACTGTAGCCCAAGCCAACCGCTAGCGAAAGCCTTTCAAGAAACTCTGAAACAGATAACCTAGCTGAACCATGCCAGTATTCCTAACACCCAGACACAATGAGATAACTCTGGGTGGTTTTAAGGCACTCCATTTTGAGGTGACTTGTTACACAGAAATAGGTAACTAATACACTTTGGTAATTACAACCTATGATGTCAGGATTAAAAAATTTAGTCAGACACCAAAGAAAAAGTTATTTGAGTTTAAATCCCATCTTCTTCAGAGATCATATATTTAATTTCAAAAGTGATTTTCATGCATGAACATTGCTTCACTCTGGATAGGTTGGAGTACTTTGTAAACTTTCACTGCCCTAGAATAAGAGTGAACAGCCCAGTTTCTGGAAAAAAGCACAGCTCAAACCCAGACCCACCACTTGTTAGATTCTTAATTTCTTTCTTCTTAAGTTGCTTCATCTGCACTACGTGGATAATGATAGCCCCTATTACAAGGTGCCCAAAACTCTGTCTTATACATATGAAGAGTTCAATAAGTGATTGCTAGTCTTGTTTTAAAACATTTAATTACCTTTAGTCACAAGTGTCTTGTCATTGCTAGAGAGTTTTCCAATCTATTTTCAGCTAGTTTGTGAAGGCTTTTTTTTTGATGAGCTCACTATAAAATGAGAGATGAACACATCATTGGAGTCACTAGATTAATCTCCTGTGTTTAATATTCACGACCTTCAGTAGAACTCTCTGCAAGTTCAGCAACAGCAAACAGTTATTGAGGTCCTGCTCTGTGCAGAGAATCATTACACATGCTCAGATAAAATAGTAGAACAGCCTGCCTTTTCAGAAGTATAAGCAAAATAAGTCAGATTTGTAAATGAAAGAAATTTCATTAATCTAGTATACTGACTTTAAAAACTGGATATTCCTTAGAAATACCTAGGGCATTTAAAATATGTACACACCAGTGCCAGGGCCCTACTCACAGAGAATCTCATTCAATTTAAGATGGAACCTAAAATTAAATGCTTTTTAAAAGCTCTCTGGGGGATTATAATGCACAAGCAGAGTTGAAAATGATTGATTTAGCGCAAACCCTCCACTTAAAATGTTAAGACTTACAGAAGCTTATTTCAGGTGACATGGTTAAGTTAGTGCTATAACTAACACTAAATGTTGTGCCTTCTGATACTGGATAAATGGTTGTTTAATTACCAAATAACATCTGCATTTCACTGTACTTATTTATATATTTAATCATTCATAAAACAAATATTTACTGAGAATTTTTTCAATGCTGGAAATGGGCATACAATGCTAAGCAACACAGAGTCACCCAGTGATTTTTTTCAAGATTAAAATTTTCTAGAGGAGATTGGCAGTAAAAACTAAATTAAGAAAACAACAATATCTATAAGTATATGACTGCAGCCCTGAGACTGCACTAAAGGCAGAGTATCAGATTCATTAGAATAGTAGGAGACCTGATTTAAATTAGGAAGAAAAAGAATCCTTTTGGGGGAGTGATTTTTAATCTAGAGATTATATGTAACTGGATTTTAGGATAGGCTGCTAAAAATTATACCCTAGAGGTAACTCTTTTCCCCCCATTCCCCCACAAAAAAGATCAATCTCAGTAAGGCTTGCAAAAATTTTCTTAAAAGATTATCTAAATGATAATGATAATAACACAAATTGTCTCTTAAATACTTGATTAAGTGCTTTGTGTGCATTATTTTATTTGGTCATCACAGTAATCCTGTTACTATAGATCTCTTCTTAAGAGCAGCTCTTTCTAAAAACCTCAAACTAAATATGAATAGTGAAAAAGTTCACATTTTCTTCTTGGCATACTGTCTTCACCAACACATATATTTCAGTCATTAGAATGAGATGATGACTCACTAAATCCTCAACTTAAATAAGCATCTTGAAAGGCATCCTATTCTAACAACCTCATTTTGCAGATGACATTTGCAAGGAGCTAGGCAGCCCTGCACAGCCAGTGAGTTCAGAAACTTGCATGATCTCAACCACTCCCTTGATGGATCTTACAATCTAAGCATAGCATCTGTGAAGCATATAAAATAGAAGGCAGAGAATAGCAGGCAAATTATGAGTGACATTATTATATAAATTCAAAATGATGAGTGAATACCAAGTGGTAAAGATGACAGCAAATCATACCTCTGGAAACTATAAAGGCAGAAGCAGGGACTCAGTTTAATAGCTAACCGATGCCCTCTTGAGAACCAACACACTTGGGCTGCAGAAAGGCAAGAAGGAGTCCATTAACAATTAGATTGAATGTTGATAAACTGGAACTGATTATTTAGTTAGTGATATGGACAGGAGGCAGGGAAATACTGGGTAGAAGAGGGCAGTTCCCCAGCAAAGGCCCCACCCTCAAGCCTGGAAACCCATGGCACTGAATGGGAACAGGCATTCCTGTTTTTGTGCCCAAATGCTGCCTTTTCTAAGACCACTCTGGCCTGCCACACCCCTATCCTGTCCCCATATAAACCCCAAGCTCCACTGGCAGAGCAGCAGAACAGTGTGGCAGAGAAGGAGAGAAGAGAAGGAGTATCTCAACATCAAGATGAGTTCAGCTAAGGATGATCAGAAAGGAGATCAGTAGTAAGATGGAGGAACACCAGGGAAAGATCATCTTGCCACTTCATCCCCTTTCCAGCTCCCCATCCATCCCACAGAGAACCACCTCCATCATTCAGTAAAATCCCCACATTCGCCATCCTTCAAGTCCATGTGACCTGATTCTTCCTGGATGCCATACTAGACCCGGGCACCAAAAGGGCAGGGTATAAAAGGCTGTCACCCTGACTCTCCACCAAGCTGGTTAACACTTAGCCATCCATGGACAGCAAAGATAAAAGCACACTGTAACACACCTAGACACTGCCATGGGGCCAGAGCCCAAAACTGCTCACCCTGGCTCACCTGCATGCTTCCCCTCCCACAAGAAGTTTGAGTGCATGGAGGCTGAGGAAATGAGCCACACCCCTGTTCCAAGTCCCACAGAGGTGTCAGGGAACTCTTCTGCCTCACTAGGGCTATTCAAAATCAACGTTTTTTTTCTTATCACTTTTATCAGGTTCACACATATATGGCTCATTTTATTTAAGTATAAAACTTTCTTTCCAAATCACAGGGGCTATGTCTAAGACAATCTATGTTTGGCAGGTGAAAAAAAATGCCCTGAATTGGGAACAAGGCTAGAGAGAAGCAAAAGGTGCCAATATTAACTTACATAAAGATAACCTAGAGTCATAAAATATTACCTAAGAAAAACATTTTTGCAAGTGTTTGGGGGCACCTATTCCAATAACTGTATGTGTTAGTGTTTTCTCACATGTATTCAAAGCTTTGCATAGCAAAACAATGTCTGTAGGTTTTAGTTAACAGATTATATTGTGGTGTGTAAATACAAAACTATGGAAATATATGTAGAGGGTGAGGAAAGACTTCCCAAAAGAAGTGGGGTCTAAACTTTGTTGGCAAAAGAATACAGGTACTTTGGGGTGATGAGAAGTCAAAGAAAGAGAAGAATGTAGAGGCTGAAAAGAAGTTCAGACGATTGCAGATAGACTAGTTTGGCTGTTGTGCAGTGCTAGAGAGATGTAAACGCATGAAGATGTATCATGGCAAGAATAAAAAGCTAAGGTAGCATTGGAGACCTCCTAAGAATTTTATTAGGTGGATCTCATGATGATTATTTTACTTTTAAATAACATTAATTTGACTGTGTTCATGGGAGAAATTAAAGAGAGGAAAGATTGAACCTAAAGAGACCCATTGAGAGACTCTTGTAGTTACATTATGATAAATCACAGAGACATAGAGGAAACTGCTGGAATATTAAATTCAGGTGTCTGTCATCCTCTATTTATCTGAGACTAAGTATGAAAGTTCCAGAAGATGTCCAGTGTTTTTGTATGTTCATATTCACCTGGAAGAGAGAATTTGCTAATGAACAGAAAGTTATATTTGATATGGGTAAAGTATCTGGTGCAAAACAAATTTTTTCGTAACAGCAAATACAACTGTAGGGGACGACCAAGATTGTCAGAAAAGTATCGACTGACAAAAAAAAATACAATGATTAAAAACACATTTGCTATATATTCCTCTTTTTGTAGCTCAATATAAAATACTGGCTTGTCTGGCAGTTTTTGCCCACCTTAATTTATAATACTGTCCTGCGACTTCTCTCCAAATTATGAGATCCATGAAATGGAGCCATCATTCTGGCATCCTGGGATATTTGTTCAAGAACCACAGGACACTAAGGGGTTCAACTATAAAGCATGTAGTTCAGAGCAAGTCAGCTCATTTTATGCAAGGCACAAAGATTTCCTGTAGAAGGCTTCAACATCCCCAGGCCACTTTGTCCTGTAAGAGACCCAAGCTATACTTTGGATAGTTTAACCAATTAAAAAGTAAAGGAGCTGCCCAGAGGCCAGTGTTCTGCAGTCATCTCTCAAGTATGATATGACAAGGTCTTTAAAGAATGTGTTGTAATTCTTCCCTCTTTGGTCTTCAATGCAAAGTGTCTCATTTTAAAACCCTGAGGCTCTATACTCAAAACTATAGAGATCAAAAAGTTTGAAATTCCCTGATATTCTCTGTTTACCAATGATAAAACTTTGATTACCCACATTTTATCTTTATAAAGCACCTGAATGGTAGATCATCATGTTATTAACACCAAGAGCATGGTTTTACCTGTTAGGGATTGCAACGGATTCAAAAGCTTCCCTTTGTTCATGTTCTCAATTTCTTCCAAGAGCTTTATTTTATACAGGGAAATAAATATCATATTATTTTTTCTAGAATTAGGAGTACAGGGGCAAAGTAACGTTTATCAGAAAATAAGAACATGCTGGGATAAGAAATGGGAAGTTAAATGAGCCACCAACTCTTGGTTGCCCTGTACCGTTTTCTTGATATATCTATTCAAGGCCACTTGGGAAAATTTTCCTACTGAAACAGTCTGTAGTAGTGCATCCTGTACCCAAAACGTTGCTCTACTTAAAGTGAGAAGGAGAAGGATGAGCAGTTTTTCAACCAACCTTACCTAAAAACAGGTCAGGTCCAAGTAGAGACTTGCAAATATAAAAAGATGTAAAAATTCAATTTTCTATTAAATAACAAAAATGAAATATCCCTAAAAAAATCCTTGAAATGCTAAACCAAAATTTAGGTTTGTCCAAGATTATCACTGAAACTCAAGTCCAGAATTCATGGATTCTGTCACACACTTTGAGAATATAAATCAGTCAAGAAGGGAGAAGAGAAGGGCAATAGTAGAGACATTTCCTGGAGATTTCTATTGACATGCTGTGAGTTCTCACTTCTAAATCCCAGGGAGGGATTTCTTCCTTCTTTATTTCAGACTTGGTGAGGGGTCCCTCCACTGCATGACTGGGAAAGCTTAAATACTCTGCTGCAGGTGAGGAGATAGAGAGCTGGTCCTGATCGTTACTCGAGAAAAGCAAAGGCAACCAGGGGCAAGTGGGAGGTGGATACATTTCTAGAATTTGGTAAGAAAAGTATGTGTGTTATACATGAAAAAGATAAAGTTCACATGGGAGGAAAAGCCCTTCTAGGGTCATCTGTTTGGGAAGTGGGAAGACACAGAAGGCCCCCATGCACAAGAAGTTAGAGATCAATTTCAGATTCCTCCCTATGGAAGAAAACATGAGTCGTCACCATGAAAGAAATACTTTTGCCTGAGTCAAGAAATGTCAAGAGAATATCCACCAATAATGGCCATCTCCAATGAACCCATGAATTTTCTGCTAGGAAACAGGAAGACCACAAAGTAAGCAGTGGTTTGAAGATGGTGAAATTCAGGCATGCCCTTTCCCAAGCTTTTACCACTTTTGATCAATAACTTGTACTTAACATTTAGCCGCTGATTTTTAAGACACTTTGCAATACTCTATTATCTTTTCCAGATGACAAATTTTATCTGACAGTTTTCATCTAGAGACAGAGGAAATTTACATATACTAAATACATGTTAAAGAAACAGCAAGAGAAAAAAAAATGAGGTTACATTTTTATATTGCCATGAGTTTTGTTTTTCAGTATCTTGGTTGAGGATGTAGATTTCTACATAGAGACAAGTTCTACAATAAAGTAGAACATTTGAGCTAAATATTTCAGAAAAGTAAAAGGAAACATGCTCCAGTGTGATTGGTAGCTGCCCATAGAATACTTACAAAACTTTTACTTACAAAATGTCATTTTTTTTAAATCTGGAAAGTTTTCTTTATTTGAGAGAATGCATAGCTTCCAGGGATGTTCATGGAGTCCTAAGGAAGGAAAGAGAAAGTCACTGCAGAAGATTGCAAAATGTTTCCAATTCAACTCTCATCCTTGAATTCATGTCCCTTCTGATGTAATTTTTTAGTATCCTCCAACTCTAAGGACTCAACCATCTGATTTTCTTTGGTCAGTAAAATGAGACAGAGGAATAGTATGCAAGTTCTGACCCAAAGAATCATATGGGAAAAGCTCCTTGATATTGGCCTTAGCAATAATTTTTTTTTGGATATCACAACAAAAGCTCAGATGACAAAAGCTAAAATTAACAAACGGTAATACATCTAACTAAAAGGTTTCTGTGTAGCAAAAAAGAGAAAGAAAAGGCAGCCTACTGATTGGGAGAAAATATTTGCACACAATATATCTGATTAGGGGTTAATATTCAAAAGATAAGAAATTCACATAACCCAATAGCCAAAAATACAACCAGTTTTTAAAATGGCAAAGAACTTGAATAGACATTTCTTCAAATAAGACAGAAAAGTTGCCGATAGATATATGAAAAAGCACTCAACATCACTAGTTATTTGGGAAATGCAAACCAAAACCAGAAAATATCACCCCACACTTGTTAGACTGGCTATTATCAAAAAGACCAGAGATAAGTGTTAGAAAGGGTAGACGTAAAGAAAAGGGAAAACTTGTACACTATTGGTAACAATGTAAATTGGCTCAGCCATTATGGAATGCAGTGTGGAGATTCCTCACAAAAGTAAAAATAGATCTACTATATGACCCAGCAATCCCTGTTCTGCATATATATGCAAAAGAAATGAAATTAGCACCTCATAGAGATATCTGCACTCCCATGCTCATTGCAGCATTATTCACAGCAGCCAAAATATGGAAACAACCTTAGTGTCGATTGGTGAATGAATGGATAAAGAAACTGGGAGATATATAGATATATACATGTAGATGTGTACATAGATACATATATAAAATTAAATCATATATAATGAAATATAGTAAGTATTATTCAGCCTTATAACAGATGGCAATCCTGCCATTTATGACAACATGGATGAGTCTGGACATTATGCTAAGCAAAAAAACTCAGATTCAAAAAGAAAAATATTACATGATCTCACTTATGTGTGAAATCTAAATATATATAATTTATATATATTTATATATCACATATAAAAATTATATATCTTTGATATGTAATTTATATATATTTATATATCATATATAAAAATTATATATATATTTCATATATATTTATATAAAAATCCTGTTGTATACCTTAAATATATATCTTTTAAAAACAGAGACATCTAGGAACCTTAGTGCATACATAAGTCTGTTTTTCACCTTTCAACAGCAGAGTGACTATCACATTAAATATATGATGCCTAAAAAGCATCTCTAAAATAAAATAAATGTTGGTTATCTTTCTCAACTCCTAGCAGTATTTTGTTAATGTATCTATAGATACTTACAGTAAAAAGAAGAAATTGTACAAATAGACATGAAAAGAAAAGCAATAGCCCATAGATTAATAAGAAAAAAAACAGAAGGATTAAAAAGCAAGATAGAAAGAACATTAAAGTGCTCAGTTTTAAATGAGATATGTCATGAATTTCCCAACTTTAAAAAATTGGGCTGTGCAAAGAAAAATTTGTGTGTGTACGTGGTGTGTGTGTGTACAGAGAGGCAGAAGGAGAGACATATAATACAATAATATGTTTATAAATTTATAGATATGTGTGTATATATTAAAAAAGTAAAATAAACTATTGTATTCATACATTATTAAATGTTAATTATGTATTTATCAATCAACTAGTGAGTATTTTTAGTCCATTTGGACTGCTATAACAAAACGTCATAAACAGTAGCTTAAAAAAATAAAAATTCATTTCTCACAGTTCTAGAGACTAAGAAGTCCAACTTCAAAGGTCTGGCAGATTCATTGTCTGGTGAAAGCCCACTTCCTTACAGATGGTGGTTTCTTACTATGCCCTTTCATGGTGGAAGGCATAAGGGACTTCTCTGTTCTCTTTTATAAGGACACTAATCCCATTCATAAGGGCTGTACTTTCATGACCTAATCCTTTGCAAAGGCCCTACCTCCTAATACTATCACTTTGGGGTTAAGGATTTCAATATATGAATTTTGGGGGAACACATATATTTAGACCATAGCAAGTTCCTACTATGTACTCAATGTTGGTACAGCAAGACATAGTCCTATACCACAAGAAGGTGGCATTATATAATAAAATATAAATATGTTTATAAAAATAAATATAACTCACACATATACTGAAAGGCAGGCAAGTGAACCAAATCAAATGCTGTGTTGGCTATGAATATTTAGCATGCTCCGGAAGTCAAGAAGGATTTCAGATACTGGAGCCACTGGTGAAGATGAGGCTTAAACTGAGATGTTAAGGGTCAGTTGGTTAGATGAGAAAGGGCTATCTATTCCCTGCCCTGAAGGAACAGCCTGAGAGAAGCAGGGGAGGTTCAGCAGCATGAAGCATTGCAGAAAATCCATAGGTACGAATGTGTGGCAGGCATGAAGCATGGGTGAGCAGGAAGAGTAGAGGGAAGGGGGAGAATGATAGCAAGAAACCTGTGATTAAGGACTTTGCATGGCAAGTTAAAGACTGAGCATATTTCCATAAATAGGAAGGAGCCTTAACAGTGGATAAATGTGATTTTTTATGCTTTGAAAAGATCACCTTGTCACCATCTGGAAGATGGATGGGAGAGGAACCAGACAAGAGGCAAGATGGCTTAGGGGAAGGAAGAGGCGATTCTGTGGGCATAATCCAGGAAAAGCATAATAAGAACTTGTCCAGGACAAGAAAAAACTAAAATCGAATAAGTGGGGCTGTACCAAAGAAGGATAGAATCAAGGTGGTTTCAGCTCATTCAATATTTTAAAAAAATTATACACATATTTTTGTGAGTACATAACTGATGCATGCATACTTCATTTATCCACATAAACAAGAGAGGATATACAAAAAGTAAAAGTTCTGTGATAATGTGGAGGTAGTATGGGTTTATTGGTTTAATTGACAGCATTTCTTTTTGCACTTAAAATATAATAAAGCTTATAGCTTGGTTTGGTAATACCAAGTGCCTCAAAAAAAGTCTGTATATCTAAATAAGTCTATAACAGATTTAGTTTAATATTTAAATCCAAGAGTAATAGAATTACAAGGGTAAAGTGTGTTTCCCTGGAAGAATTACTTGAAGGTGGATAGACATGTAGAAGAATTGAGCCTTGCAGGGAAATCATTGATTAGAAACAATAATAATGGCATATGCCAGATCACATTGTCGGAAATTTATTTTTGATTTTGCTTAGGCACTAGAAGTAGGAGTCTACAAGAGGAATAGAGGCATAAGCATAAAACTTGAAAGGGCAAATGGAAATTTCCCTTTGTAGTAAGGAGACAGACGTTTCTTACTAAAGAAAAGATAAAAGGCTGCTTTGAAGCATCCTGAGAAGACTTTATGCACAAAGCTCAGAGAGGTCTCCAAGCTACAGACAAATGCTGGCTCTAATACTAAGAACGGTATGTTCAATGCTAGACAGAAATGTTGGAGGGCTATTCAAAGCAATGATCAGTAATGGTTGAAAATTAGTAGGAAAAGTTTTGATTGTGTATAGTAGTTTTTTATTTTTCATTCTTGCTCAAAATTGGATGCCATCTTTTTAAAATATAGCTACTACCTATTTTGTGATTATCATTAGATAGCACAGATAAAATTAATACATAACTTTTAAATTTTTCAACTTTTATTTTAGATATGGGGATACATGTACAGGCTTATTACATGGGAATATTGCATGATTCTGAGGTTTGAGGTACAGATCCCCTCACGCAGGTAGTAAGCATAGTACCTGATAGATACTAATATTTCAATCCATACTCCCCTTCTTCCTGCCCCCTTCCCCACTCTAGTAATCCTCAGTGTGTATTGTTCCCACATTTATGTCCACGTGTGCTCAATGTTTAGCTCTTATGGATATGATTTCATTCTTTTTTATGGCTGCATAGTATTCTGCGGTGTGTGTGTGTGTGTGTGATATCACATTTTCTTTACCCAGTCTACCATTGATGGGCACCTGAAAATGATCAAGGACATCATTTGAGCATAAGCAGGAACATTTTTGCTAAAGTCTACTGTTAACTAGAAAGTGTCAAAAAACACTTTATGGATAGTAAGAACACAGAAGATTCATAAAGTTTTAAAACATCCCTAAAAAGTAAGCAAGGTGGCTTACTATGCTCCAGGCATTTGAGATATGTCAGTGAATCAAACTTACAAAGACCCATGCTCTCATGGAGTTTATACTGTAGCAATTGCATTCATTTTCTATATCTGTTGTAACAAATTACTACTATCTTGAAAGCTTAAAAGCACAAATTTATTTTCTCACAGTTCTGGAAGCCAGAAGTCTGAAATCAGTATAATTGGTCCCAAATCAAGGAAATCAAGGAGTCTCCAACACCTCATTCCCTCCAGAGGATCTAGGGGAGAATCTGTTCCTTGCGTCTTCCAGCTTCTGGTGTCTACAATTATTCCCTGGCTTGTGCCCACATCACTCTAGTCTCTGCCTCTGTGGTCGCATTGCTCCCACTTATGTCCATCAAATTTCCATCTGCTTCTCTCTTACAGGAACACTCATAGCTGCATTTAGAGCCTATGTAGATAATATAAGATAATCTCTCCTTCCTAAGATCCTTAATTTAATCACATCTGCAGAGATCATTTTTCCAAACAAGGTAACATTTCTTAGGTTCTGGGCATTAGGACCTGGTGTCTTCAGGGGCGTTATTCAGCCTGCCACGGCAATGGAAACGCGCAATTCACCAAGTGATAAATAAATAATATAGTAGTCAGGCCAAGAACAGTGGTTCACGCCTGTAATCCCAGCACTTTGGGAGGCCAAGGCAGGCAGATCACTTGAGGTCAGGAGTTCGAGACTAGCCTGGCCAACATGGTGAAACCCCGTCTTTACTGAAAAATACAAAAATTAGCTGGGAGTGATGGCACACGCCTGTAGTCCCAGCTTCTCGAGAGGCTAAGGCAGGAGAATCTCTTGAGTCTGGGCAGCGGAGGTTGTAGGGAGCCGAGATTGCGCCACTGCACTCCAGGCTGGGAGACAGAGAGAGACAACGTCTCAAAAAAAAAAGAAAAAGATAGAGAAAATTGATATACACTTGAGCCCAGGAAAGGGAGGTTGCAGTGAGCCCAGATCGTGCCATTGCACTCCAGCCTGGGCAACAGAGCGAGACTCTGTCTCAAAAAAAAGATATGGTAATTAGATGGTGATAAGGGACTTAGGGGGAAATGTAGAAGATGGTAAAGGGACCAATGATTCCAGGAGTTGGAGGATAGAGAGAGGAAGAAATTACCTTTTAAAGTACTTTCTTTGGATAAGCTTCATTGAGCAAAAAGAAGGAGAAAAAGGAGTAGACCTCACTGATACTTGCAGGAAGAGCTTCCAAGCAGCAGACAGGAGCAGCCGGAGTCCAGCCTTTAAGGGGCAGCTGGCTTGCAGCATTCTCGCTACTAAAAGTTGTGAGACCAAATGAGCTTTTAGGATGACAGTGAAGCAGATAGAAATGGAGAAATCAAGAGGTCTAAGACTGGGACAGAGGCATCTTAACATTCAAATGTCAGAGAAAATAGAGATAGGAGAAAGGAGACCGAGAAAGCTTGGCCAAGGAAACAGGGAAAGGCAAGAAAGGATGGAGACTTGTAGGTCAAAGGAAGAAAGATGTTCAAAGAGAAATGAATAATGGACTGGCAAAGGCTCGTGATAGGTCAAGTAAGTTGAGAACAGAGAACTGATCTTCGTTATTTAGCGGAAGGCATTATAGATAAAGTACACAGGATCGGATTTGGCAGGCAACTGTGGGCAAAAAGCTGACTGCAATGAGTTTGAGACTCTTCTGAGTCATGGATCAGCAATCATTCCACTAAACCGTTCTGCCTAAGCGTAAGATAATATCTCATTTGCTGTAGAGTTCATAATTTGCCTCTTTAGGTAGTTCTACAGAAAAAAAGAGCTAAGTGGCTCTTTTCTACTTAAAGTGCATATGTTTCTCTCATGATTTTCCAGATGTTTGATTTATTTTCTGCAAGCTCGAGTATCATCAGACTAGATGCTTTGCTCTACAAACACAGCTGTGTGAATTTGAACACTGATGAGAGATTCACCCTTATGGAGGCATTGTCAAGGGTCACCTCCTTATCCTGGCCTAGATGGCCAGTCCATAGTGAATAGAACAATGGAAGCAAAATTATATCGATCTCTGGCAGGGCAAAGTGTGATGAGGATAATTTGGAATAACTCCACAGAATTTTAAAAAGTACTCCAATTTCTTTCTTTCTCTCTTTCTTTCTTTCTTTCCTTCTTTCTTTCCTAATTTCATTGTTTCTTTCTTTGTTTCTTTGACAGAGTCTCGCTGTGTCATCTAGGCTGGAATGCAGTGGTGCGATCTCTGCTCACTGCAACCTCCGCCTCCTAGGTTCAAGCGATTCTCCTGCCTCAGCCTCCAGAGTAGCAGGAACTACAAGCGGGCGCCACCATCCCTGGCTAATTTTTGTATTTTTAGTAGAGACAGGGTTTCACCATGTTGGCCACGCTAGTCTCGAACTCCTGACCTCAAGTGATCCATCTCCCTCGGCCTCCCATAGTGCTGGGATTACAGGCGTGAGCCACCGCTCCCGGCCATACTTTCTCACATAGACACAAATGCACAGAGACAGGAACAGAGGCAGAATGGGTAGCCCTGCACAGGCTTTGTATCATTCTCCCTCTGGCACAGCAATGGCTATTTTCCACTGTAGTAACTTCCTGGCTTAACACATAAGATGATAAACTTTATGGATTGTTTAATCCTGCTTTTTCCATAAAAGCTTTCAAGCAGCTTTAAAAATATGATGATTCTGGAGGAAAATGTGTAAAATAATCTGGACCAGATAAGATGTCAAATGCAAAGACAGTACTAGGAGTAATATTTCACCATGGGGATGCTGGTCACAAGAAACTACATAACCATTACAGGCATCTCTGAATTTTTCTTCAAATTTCCTGACATCTACCATAGAGGTGTTGTATTAGCAAGCTCAAGTTCCCGTAACAGAATACCACAGACTAGGTGGCTTAAACAACAGAAATTTATTTCCTTACATTTCTGGAGGCTCTAAGTCCAAGATCAAGGTGCCAGCAAGCTAGGTTTCCGGCGAGGCCTCTCTCCCTGGCTTAGAGATGACTACTTTCTTGCTGTGTCTTCATGTGGCCTTTTCACTGTTACTGTCTCTTCCTCTTCTTATAAGGCCACCAATACTTCTGGACTAGGGCCCCACTTGTGGATTATAACCCCATTTAACATTACTTACCTCTTTAAAGGCCCTACCTCCAAATACAGTCATATTAGGGATGAGGGTTTCATCATCTGAATTGGAGGTTTAGGGGAGGAAGATACAATTCAGTTATAACACGAGGCATGAATTTCTGGGGTCTCCCTTTTGCTAAGTTACATAAACCAGGGGGGATAGTAGGACTGGCACCTCATTGTAAACCTTTAGGAGGCTAATCAAGGTTCTCATCTGAAGGAATATTGACTGCACCTTTAAATAGAACTAGGATGTTTTCATTAAAAGAAAATTCTGGAACATCAAACAAATATTCACGGTCTCCAGATTCTTTTCTATTGATCCATATTCACAGACAAAGTTTTGTTGTTATTTTTAATTAAGTAGTGTGTATGCTTACAAAGGAATATATGTAATTTATACATGAGTTCTGAAGCATAATAATGAACACACCACTCACTGTATGAGCTAGAATTTTAACCATACCATTGAATTAGCCTGTGTGATCTGACCTCATCCAAATACCTCTATGTATGCCCACAAGAGATGTGTTATTTTGCAGTTTCAAATAATACTGCTCTAAAGGGTCTTCCACATGTCTCTAAGCACCGGAGTGTTTACCCAGGGGGAGAATTGAAGGTTTTCATAAAGTATGTTCAGATCTAGTTTCAGGAAACAATGCTAAATTGTGATCCAAAGCAGTAGTATCAATTTACACTCCCACCTACATGACATAGACGTTTTCATTGCTTTACCTTCTCAACAACTCTTAGAATTATCTTTTTAGTTTTAAATATATATCATTGTGGTCTTCATGTTTCTGTTTATTCATAAGTTTGAGCATCTTTTAAAATGTTTATTTGTCTTGCACGTTTTCACCTCTGTAAAATACCTGTTCCTGTCTTTAGCTCATTCTTACATGTTTTTATGTGTCATCTATACACATACATATATATGTTATATACACATGTTTATGTGTCACATTAGTATATTTTTCCTAGATATTTGATCTAAGTCATTTATATATGACACCAGTAATTTCTCCCAATTTATAGGTATTTGTTTTTACTTTTTTTCACTGTTGTCCAGCATAATTGGTGGGAAAAAATTTCAATTCTAGTAAAATAAAATGTATCAATAATTTATTTTGTGTTCTAATGCCCTATGTAATTGAAAAAATTCAATCTTCAGTATGGAGATATCCTATATTTTCTTCTGACAGCTTTAAGTTTATGACTTTCACTTTAACTCCAATTTGACTTGCATTTATTGTATTGCAGCATCTCTCAACCTTGGCACCATAATATTTTGGGCTGAATAATTCTTTGTTTATGGGGTTGTCCTGGACACTTTAGGATATCATGCAGCATCACTAGCCTCAACCCACTCAATGCCAGTAGCAACCCACTGCCACTGGTGACAACAACAAATGTGTCTAGGCATTGACAAATGTCTCCTGGATGGAAACATTTGTCATCCAGAGAGAGAAAGGGGAAGTCTGGCTCTGTCACCCAAGCTGGAATGCAGTGGTGCGATATCAGCTCACTGCAGCCTCGACCTTCCCAGCTCCAGTGCTTCTCCCACTTCAACCTACCAAGTAGCTGGGACTACAGGCACATGCCACCATGTCTGGCTAATTTTTTTTTGCTTTTTGTTTGTTTGTTTGTTTTGAGACGGAGTCTTCCTCTGTCACCCAGGCTGGAGTGCAGTGGCACGATCTTGACTCACTGCAACCTCCGCCTCTCAGGTTCAAGTGATTCTCCTCCCTCAGCCTCCCAAATTGCTGGGATTACAGTTATGCGCCACCATGCCCAGCAGCATTAGATATTTTAAAGTCATTAATGCCATTCAATAAAATGTCCCACAAAATGATGTATGCCTCATTTATTAGATTTATTCCAAATTGTCATATTTTTGCTATTGTAAATAATATATTTTTAATTTTTTTCTACTGTGATTGGCATATAGACATGCAATAGCTTATTGTAAATCAAACTTATATCTAGCCATCTTAATACTTACTACTTCTTATAACTTGTTTATAGGCTTATTTGTGCTATTTTTATAAATACAATCATATAAACTACACTTTATGAGTTTTGTCTCTGCTTGTCTAATCTTTACGCTTCTTATTTCTTTTTTGTTGTTGTTTTGGTATTGTCCTGGTTACAATGTACAAACCATCACTGAATAGAAGTGGTAATGAAGCCCCAAATTTAAAACAGAAGTTTCCAACTTTGCCCTGTGTTTTGATCAATTTTCTCAACTTGGCTAGGTTATAGTAGTCAGTTTCTTGTTCAAACATCAGTCTAGATGTTGCTGTGAAGGTGATATTAAATATAATTAACATCTAAATCAGAAGACTTTAAGTAGAGCAGGTTACCCTCTGTAGCCTGGGCGGTTCTCATCCAATCAGTTGAAGGCCTTAAGAGAAAAGACTGAGGTCCCCCAAAGAGGAAGGAATTCTGCTCACAGGCTGCTTCAGACACAAGACTGCAACATCAATGCCTGCAAGAATTTCTAGCCTACTTTCCAGCTTTATACATCTCAGACTTGCCAGCCCACAGAGCTATGTGAGTCAATTCCTTAAAATGAAACTCTCTACATGTATCTCTGGCTCCATATCTATATATGCTATGAGTCTATGTGTTCCGTTTCTCTGGAGGAACCTTAACTAATACACCCCATGAAGAATGAAGTTTCATGTGGGTTTTTGGCAGTTACTCTTTGTCAAGTTAAGACAGTGTGATGGGTTAAATTGTGCCTGTCCACAATATGTTCATTGAAAACCTCAGATGTAATTAAAGTAAGAATCTCATCATGAGATCATCCTGGATTCACATAGGATCTATATAACATGATGAGAGAGATAGGAAAGGAGACACAGAGACACAAGGAAGAAAGCCATGTAAAACCAGATTGAAGTGTTGCTGCCACAAGCCAAGAAATACTAGGGGCCATTAGAAGCTTAAAGAGGGAAGAAAAGATTCTCCCCTAAAGCTTTCAGAGTGAGTGTGGTCTTTCTGACACCTTGATTTCATTATTCTGGTCTTCAGAACTGTGAAAGAACTTTCTGTTGTTTCAAACCAACAAGTTTGCAGTAATTTGTTCCAGAAGTTCTAGAAAGCTAACACAGTTTCCTTCTCCACCTAAAATTCAGAAAATTGCTGAATTTTATAAAATGTTTCTGCATTTATCAGTATTGGTAGGGAAAGGAGGCAGGGACATTCTGGGCAGAAGAGGGCAGGTTCCCAGGGAGTGCCCCACCCTTAAGCCTGGAACTGCAGCCCAAAGTGAGAACTTACATACCTGTTTTCCTGCTTGAACGTTGCATTTTCCAAAACCACCATGGCCTGCCCCATCCCCTATCCTGTACCTATATAAACCCCAGGTTCAGCCAGCAGAGAGGAGAAGCAGCAGGATGTTAGAGACTGTGATTGGATGTCAGGGAGAAGTGGCTTGACTTCAGAGGGATGACTTAATGGTGTAGCTTTGCAGAGGAGTCCAACCAGGGGATGGGCAGACTTCAGGGGAAGATTACCTTCCCTCTCTGTCCCCTTTTCAGTTTCTCTTCCTGCTGAGAGCCACTTTCATCAGCAATAAAATCCCCTGCATTTACCATCTTTAATTTGTTCATGTGACCTCATTCCTCCTGAACACCAGACAAGAACTTGGGTATGGGTGCAAAAGACTGTCACACTGACACTCCACTGAGCTGTTAACACTTAAGCCGTCTGTAGACAGCAGAGCTAAAAGAGCATGAGCAGTTTTGCTCCCACCGACACCCAAAAGCGCTCACCTCAAGTCCTGCACCCGCTCACCTGCATTCCCTTTCCCACGAGGTGTGAAGCACAGCGGGTCTGAGTGAATGGAATTCATCCCTGCCAGCACCAAAGGGGCAGGCTGTTTCCAGCACCCCTGTACTCCAGTTCCAACCTGCAAAGCAGCCAGGGAAATATCCTGCTTCAGTATCACGATAGGCAGAAATTGTAGCAAGTATTGCTAAAGACCACTGGTTAAAAGCACAGAAGTACTTAAAACAAACTGAGCTATTTATTCAAAATGCACAAATTTATATGCTAAACTGACTGCCTTAGAAAATTCTACAAAACACATTGGCCTTCAGAAAAAGGATATCATCATATTTCATGTACCTTCTGGAAAACTAAACTACATACTCATGAGACAATGAGAGTAAATAAAGCAAATAATGTCCTAATATTATTATAAGATTAATTTTGACCTATAAAACTAGCACTCTAGGAGAAACATGGGGACCCCCAAAGTCTCACCCCATACTTATGAACTGCTGCTACATTCTGTTATAGTGGTATTAGGGAAAAAGTTATATGTGGAATTTCTTCCAGGTATGTCATTCAAGAACACCAAAACTATTTATAAATACATTTGGAGAAAATGTTTCCCTTTAAATTTAGCATATCTGTTTCTCCTGAAAATACCCACAGGGACACAGTCTTTTATTTTGAATCAACTTCCAAAAGTGCTGCATCTCCTTGTCATGCAATTGTAGTGTCAGGTCTCCACAGGTAATTATATCTGCATCAAAATGCATGGAATTGATATAGGAAACCAGAACATAACCAAACTTGGCTCATGGCTTGCACTTTAGGGTGAGTTATATGAAAAAGAGATCTTTACAGGATAAAGCAAATTTCTAGTTTATACTATCAAGGGAGCTTGAGAGCAGTTTATTTGAAATTTAAAAAAAAATGAAAAGAAAAGAAAAATGGCCAGCACAATTTTAATAAAATTTTGCTAACTTTTTGGCTAAAAAGAGAGACTTAAAGTCTTGAATATGGCAACATATATTTTTCTGGTCTCAATCAGAAATATTATAGTAAAAATCATAACAGAAGGTAACATATCATGCCCTAAAGCAGGTATGTTTTTGTGCATAAAAGAAGCAGATAGTTTTTTTTAAATTACATATAAAACTAAGTACATTTAATTATGATGAAATATTTTTCCATGATCCAATTTAAAGTAAAAACTGAAATGAGGTAAAGGGAAGAGTACTAGAAATGCAGTAGCATGATACAGCAAGCTGAAAAGATTCGGAAATAAGCATTTGCTCTGTTTCTATTAACGCTGCTAGGTTCTCTTTTTATCAGCCAGCAGGGAGCTCTTCACATTTTGTGTATTCTTGAAGTATTCAGTAATAATAAGCATATAGTTGTCTTTTAGAAAAGGTCAGCTACAACCATAGCTTTTGTCAGATCCCGTAGTAGTAACCAGCCATGGTCAGAACTACAGCCAATCTTATGGTCTCCTAAACCTTCACCTCTATAGCTACAGCCGGGGACATAATTCCAGCATTAAAGGTGTTTATACAATAGGTTCCATGTATGGTAATAGGATTTGGAAGATTTAGGATGGTCTCCTAAACCTTCACCTCCGCAGCTATCGCCAGGAGCATAATTCCAGTATCTAAAGGTGTTTATACAATAGGTGCCATACCTGGTAATAGGATTTGGAGAATCACTGATAACTATTCTTAAGTCACATGTCACCACCTCTCCAAGAATCCATACCACTAATACTTATGAAAGCATATCTCTTTTATTCACTCTCCTAAATCTCCACAATAATCTATACAAAAGCATTTATTATCTTGGCCTCTTACATAACAGGATTCTTTTGTGATTGTAAAAGTGTTCCCTTTGAGTTTTCTGGGGAGTTAGGCATTTCCACAAATCAGTTTTGTGCATTTAATGAGCAGTGAATTCCACGTCCTCAATGTCCTTGTCTTCACTGAAATGTATTCATGACAGTCACAAGCAACCTGAGTGTGCTGTGGTTCTCTAATTATACACCTGATCTTTCAGTCAATGCAAATGATGAGATTGTTCTCATAACTAAAAACCTCATTCACCTTTTTCTCTAGAGCCAACTCATGTCTTGAATTTATTTGGAAACAACTTTGTATTTTTGGTTTCTACTTTATTTTCTTTTCCTGGAAGACCTGTAATTTATTTATTTTTTTAGTTGCTGTAAAAACACTTAACATGAAATTAACTCTCTTAACAAATTTTTAAGTGCACAACACAGCATAGGTAAATATAGGCATTATGTTGTACAGCAGATCTCAGAGCTTATTCTTCTTGCATTACTGACACTTTATACCCATTGAGTAGCAATTTCCCAGTTCTCCCTTCCTTCAGCCCCTGGCAACCACCATTCTACTTTCTGCTACTATAAGTTTGCCTATTTTAAATACCTCATGTAAGTAGAATCATACTTATTGGCTTATTTCACTTAGCATAATGTCTTCCAGGTTCATCCATATTGTTATATATGCCAGGATTTTCTTCCTTTTTAAGGCTGAAAAATATTCCATTGTATATATATACTACATTTTCTTTATTTATTGATCAGCCAATAAACATTTAGGTAGTTTTCATATCTTGGCCATTTTGAATAATGCTGCAACAAAGATAGGAGTGCAAATATCTCTTAAGTTCCTGATTTCCATTATTTTAAATAGGTGCCCAGAAGTGTGATGGCTGAATCATATGGTAGCTTTACATTTTAATTTTTTGAGGAATGTTCATACCATTATCCATACTGGCTGCACCATATTTTACATTTCCACCAACAGTGTACAGAGGTTCCAATTTCTCCATGTCCTCATCAATGGTTGTCTTTTTTATAATAGCCATCATAATAGGTATGAGATGGTATCTCATTGTGGTTTTGATTTGCATTCCCCTGATAATTAGTGATGTTGAGCATCTTTTCATGTACCTGTTGGTCATTTATATCTCTTCTCTGGAGAAATGCCTGTTAAGGTCTTTTGCCCATTTTTAATTATTTGTTTGGGTTTTTTTAATTTAGTTATTAGGTTGTATATATTGTGATTGTTAATCTCTTAACATATATATGATTTGAAAATATTGCCTCTGACTGCATAAGTTACCTTTCAATGTTGTTGGTTATTTCCCTTGCTGTGAAGAAGCTCTTTAGTTTGATATAGTACCACTTGTCTATTATGCTTTTTTTGCTTATGCTTTTGGTGTCATATCCAAGGTATCATAGCCAAGACCAATGATGTCATGAAGCTTTTCTCCTATGTTTTCTTCTACATGTTTTACAGTTTCAGGTCTTAGGTTAGTCTTTAATCCATTTTGAGTTGATTTTCATATATAATATAAATTAAGGGTCTGATGTTATTCTTTTTCATGTAGCTATCCAGTTCTTCCAACATTGTTCCTTGAAGGGACTGCTTTCCCCATTGTATATTCTTGCCACAATATGACAACTCCCAAAAGACCAGGTATAGAAGGAATTTACCACAATACTATGATGGTCACGTATGAAAAGCCCACAACTAACATACTCAATTGTAAAAAAAATGGAAAGGTTTTCCTCTAAGGTCAAGAACAAGTCAAGGATGCTCATTCTGGCCATTTATATTTAAAATGCTACTTGAAGTTCTAGACAGAATAATTAGACAATAAAAATAAATAAAAGTCATACACATCGGAAAGGAAGAAGTAAAATTATCGCTACAAACGGCATGATCTTATGCACAGAAAACCCTAAAGACTTCACAGAAAAGCTGTTACAAGAAAATCAAAAACTTCAGTAAAGGTTCAGGATACAAAATCAACATACAAAAGTCAGTCGTGTTTATATACACTGACAACAAACTATCTAAAATGGAAATTAAGAAAATAATCCTATTTGTGATAGTATCAAAAAGAATAAAATAGGAATAAATTTAAGAAGATGAAAGATTTGTGCATTGAAAGCTACAAAGCATGTATGAAAGAAATTAGACAAAATAAATGGAAAGATTTCTGATGTTTACGAATTGGATAACAATATTATTAAAATGTCCATATTACCCAAAGTGGTCTACCAATACCAATTTTAATGCAGTACCTATAAAATCCCAGTGACAGTTTTCATAGAGATAAGAAAAACAATTCTGAAATTAATATAAAACCACAAAGGACCCAAAACACCCAAAGCAATTTTGAGAAAAAAGAACAAAGCTAGAGGCATCACAATTTCTGATTTCAAAATATATTATAAAAATACAATAATTAAAACAGTATGAGATGGCATAACAAAGACATATAAACCAATGAAACAGGCCAGGTGTGGTGCTCACGCCTGTAATCCCAGCACTTGGAGGGCGGAGGTGGGTGGATTACCTGAGACCAGGAGTTTGAGACCAGTCTGGCCAACATGGCAAAACCCCGTCTTTCCTAAAATAGAAAAGTTAGCTAGGCATGGTGGAGCATGCCTGTAGTGTCAGTTATTCAGGAAGCTCAGGCAGGAGAATCCCTAGAACCCAAGAGGTGGAGGTTGCAGTGAGCTAATATCACGCCACTGCACTCCAGCCTGGGTGACAGAGTGAGACACTGTCTCAAAAACAAGCAAATAAAAAAATGAAATAAAAGAGAGACCCCAAAAATAAACCCATGTTTATACAGACAACTGATATTGGCAATTAACTTTGAATAAATTCTGTATACCTTGTCCTTTCACAATTTTTGATTTAGCAATTTATCAGGAATTATTTTAATAACTGCTTCACGTGGTAGTTTTTAGGAGAAGAAATAAAAAACTCATTGTAAATTATAAGGCTTCATACAAATATAAGATGTTATGACTCATTATAACTTTCCAAAGTTATCTTTTATTTTACATTAGGTTGAAGACATTAATACTCAGAAAATTCGGCTTGGAAACTTAGTTGAATTTGGCCAAAAAATTTTTTAAATCAGCTTTTTAAAAATGACCCTGTTAAACATTTACACAAAAAGCAACTTTTATTTTTATATTAGCTAGTTTGGCTAAATTTGAATACTTCTAGTAAATTAATAAAACTAGGTTCAGTTATAGCTTGAAGATTTTTTTTTCAGCGTTTTGCAAATTATCATGTTTTAATCCCTTGAAATAGTAAGCAAGTAGAATCATTGTAACATTATGCTGGGAAGCTCTATTTTCAGAGAACATAAATTTAATTGATAGCAGCTCAGCTTTTTTCCATTTAACACTATGAACTTGTTGGTAATATTTTATTAGAAGTTAGATTTCTATGGCTAAAAGTGAGTTTGAAAAATACTGCTTTGTGTTATATTTTATAGACTCCATAAAACCTGTCATATAGGCCGAACAAGGTAGCTCACACCTGTAATCCCAGAACTTCGGGAGGCCGAGGCAGGTGGATCACAAGGTCAGGAGTTTGAGACCAGCCTGGCCAACATAGTGAAACCCCTTCTCTACTAAAAATACAGAAATTAGCTGAGCATGGTGTGCGCCTGTAATCCCAGCTATTCAGGAGGCTGAGGCAAGAGAATCACTTGAACCTGGGAGGCGGAAGCTGCAGTGAGCCGAGATGGCACCACTGCACTCCAGCCTAGGCAACAGCATGAGACTCCATCTCAAACAAACAAACAAACAAACCACATGTCATATAGTCTTACTTTTAGATTTATCCTTTCTTTAAAAAACTACAGTTATTTTATTAATTTATGGGGGAGCATATATAAATTACTTAATAAAATTTATTTTTAAAGTAGTTCTACATTCACAAAAAAACTGAGCAGAGCACAGAGTTCCTATACATACCCTTCCCTCACCTATGCACCCCCATTATGAACATCCCCACCAGGGTGGTACATTTGCTACAATTGATGAACCTATATTGACACATCATCACCAAAATTCCATAATTTACATTAGGGTTTATTCATGGTGTTGTACATTCTATGGATTTTGAAAAATATATAATGACATGTAGCCACCACTAAATATACAGAATAGTTTCACTGCCCTAAATCTCCTCTGTGCTCCATCTATTCATTTCTCCCTCCCCTCAATTCCTGGCAACTAATGAGCTCTTAACTGTCTTTATAGTTTTGCCTTTTCCAGATTGTCATGGGGTTGGAATGATACAGTATACAGCCTTTTCAGATTGGTTGCTTTCACTCAGTAATTTGCATTTCAGCTTCTCCAGGTCTTTTCAGGACTGGACAGCTCATTTCTTTTAAGTTCTTGACAGCTCATTTCTTTTAAGTCCTGGATAGTATTTCGTTGTCTAAATGTAGAACAGTTTATTTATCAATTCACCTATTGAAGGATGAAGGACATCTGGTTTGCTTCCAAGCTTTAACAATTATGAATAAATCTGCCATAAACATTAGTGTGCAAGTTTTTGTATGGACATATATTTTCAATTCCTTTATGCAAATGATAAAGGGTGTTATTACTGGGTTATGTGATAAGAGTATGTTTAGTTTTGTAAGATACCACCAAATTGTCTTTCAAAGAAACCACAATTTGGCATTCTCACCATCTGGTAGGTGAGAGTTCCTGTTGCTCTACATCCTTGTCAACGTTTGGCATTGTCAATGACCATTCTAGTCGGTTTTTGCTAATACCTCATTATAGTTTTAATTTGCAACTCCCTAATGAAATATGATGTTGAGCATCTTTTCATATGCCTATTTGCCATCTGTACATATTCTTCAATGAGGTGTTTGTTCAGGTCTTTTGTCTACTTTTGAATCTAGTCATTCATTTCTTATTGTTGAATTTTAAGAAAGTTTTGTGTATTTTGGATAAGAGCCCTTTATCAGTTGTGTCTTAGCAAATATTTTCTCCCATTCTGTGGCTTATTTTCTCATTTACTTGACATCCATTAACTTTGAAATCAAATCTGCACTCTGTATTTCAAACCTTACACAAATATGTGCTATGGATTGTTTTAATACCATCTCTATTTGACTTCACTAACAACCATTTTGTTCTTCCTTTTAAAGTCATTCAAATCTCACATTCTTACTGAGGATATCACTAAGTGACCACGTTATATCTTCTAAACAAAATGCAAAAGAAATGGAAACAGAAGACACCAAAGGAATATCTTTCATTCTGATTACCTAAACTCATGACATTGAGAATACTGGCATTGAAAAAGACCTACCGTCCTATGACAAAACCACCATGTTTCCAGATACTTTTTAAAGTATAAATATAACATTGGAGATTTGTTTCATTTCATTATGCTATGCACAGTAACAAGCCATCAGTTTTCATATTTAAACTTTTCCTGATCAAGGACATAATCTGTATTCAGTATGTTGGCTGGCCACAAGACATTCTTTGCTAGCAAGCAAATTACTTTAAAATATTTAAAAATAATACCTTAAAGGAAAAAGCACAGAAACTTACCTCCATTTAAAGTACATAAGGACAAATGGGAGGAAAATGTTTGGTTCATTATTTTACTGAATCGTGGTTGAAGTTATGGCCATAAATAAATTAGAAATTATATTCATAACTGTATCTTACTCAAGACCCTAGGACAATTGGCGCAATTACACATAATGGCAAGCACATTGCATTTCCCTCGTGTTGTTTTATGTACAGAGAGGGTAGTTTTACTATATGCAATGATCTTTTAATATTGGAAAAATACTTGAGAGTATTGGAGATCACATTTGTACCAGTGAAAGTGGATAATAAGTGCTTTAAAATTAAAAAAAAAAAGTACCAGTGAAGGTCAGAATTTGAACGTGTATGTAGGTGGTAGAAATCTTGGCCCACAAACTCGAATGTGAAAAACACGTTTTCATTATTTGAATCAGTGTATTATGTTTCTAAACTCCTGTGCCAGTACACAAAAATAGAATGTATCCCTTCTTTGGGAGAGTCCACCATTTTAACTGTATTCAGCCTCTTTAAAAATTACTCTGAGTCTCATTTTTTTAATCTAAAAAAAGAAGCATAAATGACCTATGTTAAGTCACAATAAAAATTAAACATACTAGTCAGAGATATGGATAGCAATTTATACCTCTGTTCCCCTTCATTTTCACTGATGACTGATTCTCTGTCTCAGCATTTTCTAAATTTACTATGCCGAAATATTTTCCATCTTAAGAACAATTTCCTCTTTGCCTTGTATTTTCCTTTACCATATCCCTTTTCTTTTTATTTTTACAATAAATTTCATTATTTTTTACTTCATAAATAATTCATGAGCATATAATTTAAAACAAATAGATCATTACAGAAAAAGCCAAAGACCATTTTGAAAATGACTACTAATCAATGTCCCCTCCTCCTCTGCAAATAAAGCAAACTAATTTACCAATTGGAAAACTTACTGCAAAACTTATTTTTCTTCTTCTCTGCATTTAACATATAAATAACTAGCTTTAGAAAATACATTAGGAAGTGGTATACTTTAACCCCAAATGAAATATTATGTACAATTCTCCCATTAAGTTTTCCTCTTAAAATACCTTTAAAAATCTTTCTAGCTATGTCTCTCATTAAAAATCAAAACAATAAGGCATTGCATAGAATTACATAGCATGAATATGTCATATTAATAGTTTATACACACTTATATTGCTAAACATGTAGGTTATTTGTAATTTTTCCCTGTCAGAAACACTATTACATTGTGTTACAAATGTGAAATTCTATGTATTAGTTTGCTTCCATGCTGCTGATAAAGACACCCTAGACTGGGTAATTTATACAGGAAAAAGATTTTAATAGACTTAGAGTTCCGCATGACTGAGGAGGCCTCACAATCATGGCAGAAGGCAAGGAGGAGCAAGTCACATCTTACATGGATGGCTGCTGGAAAAGAGAGAGCTTGTGCAGAGAAACTCTCCCTTATAGAACCATCAGATCTTGTCAGATTTTTTTCACTACCACGAGAACAGCACAGGAAATCCTGCTCCCATGATTCAATTACCTCCCACTGGGTCACTCCCACAATATGTGGGAAATCAAGATGTGATTTGGGTAGGGACACAGCCAAACCATATCATTCCACCACTGGCCCCTCCTAGACCTCATGTCCTCACATTTCAAAACCAATCACACCTTCTCAACAGTCCCCAAAGTCTTAACTCATTTCAGCATTAACTCAAAAGTCCACAGTCCAAAGTCTTATCTGAGACAAGGCTTCCTTCCTTCCCTTCTGCCTATGAGCCTGTAAAATCAAAAGCAGGTTAGTTACTTCCCAGATACAATGGGGGTACAGGCATTGGGTAAATGAAGCCATTCCAAATGGGAGAAATTGGCCAAAACAAAGGGGTTACAGGGCCTGTGCAAGTCTAAAATCCAGCAGGGCAGTCAAATTTTAAAGCTCCAAAATGATCTCCTTTGAAACCATGTCTCACATCCAGGTCACACTTATGCAACAGATAGGCTCTCATGGCCTTGGACAGCTCTGCCTCTGTGGCTTTGCAGGGTATAGCCCCCATCGCCATCCTGGCTGCTTTCATGGAATGGCGTTGAGTACATTTCCAAGCACACAATACAAGCTGTTGGTGGATGTACTATTCTGGGGTTGGGGGGATGGTGGCCCTCTTCTCGCAGGTCCACTAGGTGGTGCCCCAGTAGGGATTCTGTATGGGGTCTCTGACCCCACATTTCCCTTTCACACTGGTCTAGTGGAGGTTCACCATGAGGGCCTCACTCCCACAGCAAACTTCTGCCTGGGCATTCAAGTGTTTCCATATATCCTCTGAAATCTAGGTAAAGTTCCCCAAACCTCAATTTTTGACTTCCATGCACCCACAGGCTCAGCACCACATGCAAGCTGCCAAGGCTTGAAACTTGCCCCTCTGAAGCAACAGCCCAAGCTGTACCTTGGCCCCTTTTAGCTGTGGCTGGAGCAGCTGAGACACAGGGCACCAAGTTCCTAGGCTGCACAGAGCATGGGAGTCCTGGGACCAGTCCATGAAATCATTCTTTTCCCCTAGGCTTCTGGGCCTGTGATTGGAGGGGCTGCCACAAAGGTCTCTGACATGTCCTGGAGACATTTTCCCCATTGTCTTGGGGATTAACATTTGGTTCCTCATTACTGATGCAAATTTCTGCAGCTGGCTTGAATATCTCTTGAGAAAATGAAATTTTCTTTTCTATTGCATTGTCAGGCTGCAAATTTTTCAATCTTTTATGCTCTGCTTCTCTTATAAAACTGAATGCCTTTAACAGCACCCAAGTCACCTCTTGAATGCTTTGCTGCTTAGAAATGTCTTCTGCCAGATACCCTAAATCATCTCTCTCAAGTTAAAAGTTCTGCAAGTCTAGGGCAGGGGCAAAATGCTGCCAGCCTCTTTGCTAAAACATAGCAAGAGTCGCTTTTGCTCCATTTCCCAACAAGTTCCTCATCTCCATCTGAGACCTCCTCAACCTGGATTTCATTGTCCATATCATTATCAACATTTTGGTCAAAGCCATTCAACAGGTCTCTAGGGAGTTCCAACGTTCCCACATTTTCCTATCTTCTTCTGAGCCCTCCAAACTGTTCCAACCCTGCCTGTTACCCAGTTCCAAAGTCACTTCCACGTTTTCAGGTATCTTTTCTGCAGGTCCCCACTCTACTGGTTCCAATTTACTCTATTAGTTCATTTTCACACTGCCCATAAAGACATACCTGAGACTGGGTAATTTATACAGGAAAGGGGTTTAATGGACTTACCATTCCACGTGGCTGGGGAGGCCTCACAATCATGGCGGAAGGTGAAATGCATGTCTTACATTGGTGGGAAGCAAGAGAGAGCTTGTGCAGAGAAACTCCCCCTTATAGAACCATCAGATCTGGTGAGACTTATTCGCTATCACAAGAACAGCACAGGAAAGACCTGCCCCCATGATTCAATTACACTTCACCGGTTGCCTCCCACAACATGTAGGAATTCAAGATGAGATTTGGGTAGGGACACAGCCAAACCATATCACTCTATATATGTCTCAGAGTAGTTTTTAGTGTTCTGTACAACATATATATTTTTAAAAAAACATTTTGTGTTGTAGGGCATGTACATTTTTAAAAATAGATACTAAAAAGAATGTTCTCTGATTCTCTTATTATACTCTAATTCACAATGTATGAGAATACTCATTCACCCACACTTTTGCTTAATATATGAGGAAGTTTTAATTTTAATAAATGCGATTGGTGAAAATGGTTTGTTAATCTCTTAATTTGCATTACCCCATTATTGGTGAACTTGAGCATCATTTTAATTTTTCTGGATACTTGAATTTTCACTTCTTTAAATTTCTCTTCAAATCCTTTGCTTATTTGTTTTTTGAGTTTTAATTTTTTATTGCTGTAGAATATACATAACATAAATTCTACTATCTTAGCCATTTTTAAATGAACAGTTCAGTGTCATTATGTACACTCAATTTGTTGTGTATCCATCACCACTCTCCATCTCTAGACCATTTTCATTATCCCAAACTGAAACTCTGAACTTAATAAACACTAAATTACCAATTCCCTCTCCCCCAGGCCCTGGCAACTACTATTTTACTTTCTGTTTCCATGAATTTGGCTATTATAGATACCTTATATATGTGGAATCATACAATACTTTGTTTACCCATTTGCATCTGGCTTGTTTCACTTAGCATAATATATTCAAAGCCTTTGCTCATTCATTATTGAGTTGTCTTTTCTTATTATCTTTATGACTATAGATATTAGTAATATATTCTTGATTGATAAATTCCACTGCTCAAAAACCACCTGTAGTAAAACAAAGTTAGATCTATTAATTTGCAGCATCAACAAAGAGTATATAATGTGTGTGTGTGTGTGTGAGTGTGTGTGTGTGTGTGTGTTGAGGCGGTGGGAAGTTATCTTTGAGCATCACAAAAGATGGGGGAAGGTCAAGTGTTATGGACTGAATATCTGTGTCCCCCAACAAAATTTATATGTTGATATCCCGACCCCTAATGTGATGGTATTAGGAGATGGGATCTGAAGAAAGTGATTTGATTATAAAAGTGGAACCCTCATGAATGGGATTAGTGCTCTTATTTAAAAAGATTCCAGAGACCTTCCTCACTCCTTCTGCAACATGATGGTACAGCAGGAAGGCATCATCCATGAATGTGGCAGATGGCTCCTACTAAATCTGCTGGTAATGTGAATCTTGGACTTCTCAGCCTCTAGAGCTGTGAGAAATAAATGTCTGTTTTTTAATAATCTACCCAGCCTATGATATTTTGTTATAGCAGCTCAAACAGACTAAGACATCACCCGTTGAGGAAGAATATTTATAAAGTTTTGAGGGCTGATATTACATCATCAGATTGCATTGGCAAGAATTGGTATGATTTGTAAATTAGGATGTTACTGGAATATTCAATGGCTTTCTTTAGAATATATAATCTCTGTAAAGTCACTTTTAGACAAATTTGTCTGTGGTCTTATCTTAAACTATTTAAATTTCATTAAAATGGTGTTAAAACATTTTGAACTTAGTCTGTAATATACGTATAACTTAATCTGGTCATGATGTGTGTGACTCAGGATATGTTTTATAAGTTGTGATTTATGCTTAAATTCTCAGTTTTCCATACAGTGTAGCTTCCACAGGGTCATGTTTCACTCTTTAGCATAATAATTATTTGTTTATTAAATACAATAGAAATATTTTCTCAAAGTTGCTACATTAACTTTATTATGTGTTTTCTTTTAGTCAAATTATCTTATATTTTACTTTTTTCTTAAGACAATCTTTAATTGACCTATAAATTCGTAAGATATTCTTCTATGTTTTCTTTTTTAATTAAGGTGAAATTTACATAATATAAAATTAATTATTTGGAGTGTAATTTAGTGCACTGACAGTGCTGTGCAATCACCACTTCTATCAAGTTCCAAAATATTTTCATCAACCCAAAAGGAAATACCACACCTACTCAAGGGTTGCTTCTCTTTCTTCTCTTCCACAGTTTCCATATTTTGTTAATGTTTTCTAGTTGCTAAATTTTATTTTTAGAACTTTAATCTATTGGGGAATATATTAGGTTTGGTTCCGATTTTTTAATTGAATTGTAATTGCCACATTTATTACATACCAAATATTTCTTTTACTGTAAGTCCATTTCTGCATGTTCTACTTCATTCACTTCATTAATCTATCAATTCATCTTCCAAAATATAATTCCAGTCACTATACCTTTACTACATGTCTTAATATCTGGTAATACAAATCTTACCTTTATGTTCTTTTTATTAATTTTTTTGCAAATGCCTTTAAATGTCAAGGATGACAACTTTAAAAGAAGAGCTAAAAAAGACTGAAAAGCTGAGCAGAGCTTTCAGTGGTCACCAGGCACTCAATAGAAGAAAAGTACATTTGAGAATTTGCTAAAAGAGAAATTTTACTAAAAAGTCAAAGCTGTCTCACCTGATACGCCTAGAAGGCTATATCTTAGGGAAAGTGGTTAAATCAGAGGTAGAGAAAGTTTTACAAAGTGTAAAATCCGGGTTAGTTAATTTCCTGATTGAACTGAGGAAATCTGTCTTTATGCAAGCTGTTGGAAGGTAGAACTAATCATATCAGTAGGAAAAATATTATACAGTTCTTCAACAGTTTTCTAAATATACAATGTTTAGTACTCAAAAAATTACTATGAATGCAAGAAACAAGACTAAGAGAAAATAACACAATAGATCAAGACCCAGAGGCAATCCAGATAGCATAAACATCAGTTGTGATATATAAAATACTAGCGATTAATAGGATCAAAAAGTAGATGAAAAGAGTAAGAATTCTACCAGAGAATTGAAATTTATTTTTAAAATCAAGTGTAAATGTTTTAGTTCATTTTCTGTCATTTATAACAGAATACTTGAAACTGGGTAATATATAAAGAAAAGAAATTTATTTCTGACACTTATGGAGGCTGAGAAGTCCAAGGTCACTGGTCCACTTCTGGTGAGATATTCTTGCTGGTGGGGACTCTCCTCAGAGTTCCAAGGCGGCAAAGGGCATCACAAGACAGGGTGACTCAATGGGCTAGGTCAGATCTCTTCCTTTCTTATAAAGCCACCAGTTCCATGCCATGATAACCTATTAATTCATTAACCCATCAGTCCATTAATTCATAAGTCTATGAATGAATTAAGCCTTCATGAGGGCAGAGAACAACATTTATTTATTTCATAAAACATTATTATTTTATCTTCAAAATAAAAATACAGTAGAAAGGTATTAAAGCTAAAAGTTTATTCTTTTGAAACACTAATAAAATGAACAAACTTTGTACTATCAAAGGAATAGAAAAAAACAAATAAATTACCACTATTGCTAGTAATAGATATATGACAATATATTCTGCAGAACATAAATGTAATAAGAAATCATTCTAGGTAACCTTATACCAGTGCATTTGAAAATATAAAGAAATAGACATGACTTGAAAGTAATAAAAGAGGAAATACAACACTTAAATAATTCTATATCTATTACAAAAAGTGAATCTTTAATTTAAAACATCTCATAAGGTAATATCAGGCCTAAAGGGCTTCAATGGGCTATATTCTCAATCACTCAAGGGAGAAATAATGCCAACCTAATGTAAACTAAACTAGATTATAGAAAAAGAGGATAGCAATGGTCATAATAGCCTTGATTTTACTTTTCAACCTCTATTTTAGGTTCAGAGGTATAAGTGCAGGATTGTTATATAGGTAAATTGCATGTCACAGGGGTTTTGTGTACAGATTCTTTCACCACTCAGGTAATAAGCATAGTACCGGATAGGTAGTTTTTTTAAATCCTCACTCTCCTCTCTCCCTCCACCCTCAATTAGACCCCATTGTCTATTGCTCCCTTCTTTGTGTCTATATATACTCAATGTTTACTTCCCATTTATAAGTGGAAACATGCACTATTTGGTTTTCTGTTCTTGTCTTAGTTCACTTAGGATAATGACCTCCAGCTCCATTTATGTTGTTACAAAGGACAAGAAAGATCTCATTCCTTTTATGGCTATGTATCATTCCATGAAGTATATGTACCACATTCTCCTAATCCAGTCTACCACTGGTGGGCATTTAGATTGATCTGATGTCTTTGATATTGTGAATAGTGCTACAATGAACATAAACATAGATGTGTCTTTATGATAGAATAATTTATATTCCTTTGGGTATATACCCAATAATGAGATTGATGGGTTGAATGGTAATTCTGCTTTGAGTTTTTTGAGAAATCGCCAAATTGCTTCCGCAGTGGCTGAACTAATTTACATTTCCACCAGTAGTTTTTAAGTGTTCCCTGTTCTCTGCAGCCTTGCCAGCATCTGATACTTTTTGACTTTTATGTAGTAGCCATTCTGACTGTTGTGAGATGGTATCTCACTGTAGTTTTGATTTGCATTTCTATAATGATTAGTGATGTTGAGCATTTTTCATATGCTTGTTGGCTACATGTATGTCTTCTTTTGAGAAGTATCTGTGCATGTCCTTTGTCCACTTTTTAATGGGTTTTTTGTTTGTTTTTTGTTTGTTTTGCTTGTTGATTAGTTTAAGTTTCTTATAGATTATGGGTGTTAGACCTTTATCCGTTGATTAGTTTGCAAGTATTTACTCCCATTCTATAGGTTGTCTGTTTATTCTGTTGATAGTTTCTTTTGCTGTGCAGAAGCTCTTCGGTTTAACTAGGTCCCATTTGTCAATTTTTGTTTTTGTTGCAGTTGCTATGGCATCTTCATCATGAAATCTTTGCCACATCAGATGTCCAGAATGGTATTTCTTAGGTTACTTTCCAGGGCTTTTATACTTTGAGGTTTACATTTAAGTATTTAATCTATCTTGAGTTGGTTTTTGTATATGGTGTAAGGAAGGTGTCTAGTTTCAATCTGCATGTGGGTGGCCAGTTATCCCAGAACCATTCATTGAATAGGCAGTCCTTTCCCCATTACTTGTTTTTGTCTACTTGTTGAAGATAGATGGTTATAGGTGTATGGCTCATTTCTGGGCTCTCTATTCTGTTTCATTGGTCTATGAGTCTGTTTTTATACCAGTACCATGCTGTTTTGGTCACTGTAGTCTTGTAGCATAGTTTGAAGTCAGGCATAATGCCTCTGGCTTTGTTCTTTTTGTTTAGAATTGCCTTGGTTCCATATGAAGTTTTTAATAGTTTTTTTCTAATTTTGTGAAGAGTATCATTGGTAGTTTAATAGGAATAGCATTGAATCCGTAAATTTCTCTGAACAGTATGGCCATTTAAACAACATTGAATCTTCCTATCCATGAGAATGGAATGTTTTTCCATTTGCTTGTGTCATCTCTGATTACTTTGAGCAGTGTTTTGTAATTTTTGACATAGAGCACTTTCACCTCCCTGATTAGCTGTATTCCTAGAATAACCTTGATTTCAAAACCAAAGTCTTGACGCAAAGGAAGATTGCAGATCAATCTTCCTCCTCAAGATACATCCAAAATATTAAGCAACTTCTTAGGAAATTATCAAATTAACTCAAATTTGATTGTATGTAAAACAATGATATCTTTTTCCACTCATAAATTATGTAAAAAGTAGGCAGTGAGGTAAGTATTAGGAAAGTTTAGAGGAATATCGAGATCTCATACACTGTTGTTGTGTATATGGATAACACTTCTAGGTGATGATTTGACAGTACTTACTGAAATGAAAATGCATGTAACCCATGATGCATTAATTTTATGCTAGGGAACATAAACCAGAGGATTTATCACATAGATCCACAAAAAGACATTCACAACAATGTTCACCGCTGTATTGTTTATGGAAGAAGAGATTAGAAGACAATACAAGTAGCCACAGCTATGATGCATGGAATACTACAGAATATGGTGAAATGCTATGTAAGGGCTAGAAACAATTCATTAGGTGTACATGTATCCTGAGCTAATGTTAAGCTGATTTGCGTAGGTATAATTACAGCAGTTATTTATGCCAATGTCTGATTTCACTAATCAATATCCATAGCATATTAAAAATATTAAGTATTTTTACTATCACGCTTGCATCTAGCCACATGGGATGGCTTTTAAAAACATAGTCTGGCCAGGCGCAGTGGCTCACGCCTGTAATCCCAGCACTCTGGGAGGCCGAGGCGGGCGGATCACCTGAGGTCCGGAGTTCGAGACCAGCCTGACCAACATGGAGAAACCCCGTCTCTACTAAAAATACAAAATTAGCCAGGCGTGGTGGCATATGCCTGTAATCCTAGCTACTCCGGAGGCTGAGGCAGAAGAATGGCTTGAATCCGGGAGGTGGAGGTTGCTGTGAGCCGAGATCAGGCCACTGCACTCCAGCCTGGGCAACAAGAGTGAAACTCCGTCTGAAAAACAAAACAAAACAAACCACCGTAGTTTTAAGTAGAATACAGTCATGTACCACAGAGCAACATTTTATTCAATGACAGATCACCTATATGATGGTAGTCACATAAGATTACAATACCATATTTTTAGTATACCTTTTCTATATTTAGACATGTTTAGATACACAAATACTTACCATTGTATTACAGTCACCTACAATATTCAGCACAGTAATGTGCTGCACAGGTTTGTGGCCTAGGAATGATAAATTATACCATATAGCCTGGGTATGTAGTAGGCTGTATCATCCAGGTTTGTGAGTACACCCTAGGCTGTACTCACATTCTGTGTACAACCACAAAATCACCTAACAGTGCATTTCTCAGAACATATCCCTGTTGTTAAGTGACACATGACTGTGTCAGAGTGACAGTAAATACACTGTTTGTTTTAAAATGAGGATCACATTCACATCCCAAAAAACACAATGTATATTTTTGAAATATTCAAGCTATTCCACAATTATAATACATACAAGGAAGAAACAAGGAGGTAATGGGATAGAGATTAGGGATAATCTGTATAATAATATTATAAAATAAAACAGGAGAAGATATGTTAAGGGAAATATTTTTATTATTATATTTTTTGTTTGTTTGTTTGGAGACAGAGTCTCACTCTGTCGCCCAGGCTGGAGTGTAGCGGTGCAATCTCGGCTCACTGCAACCTCCGCCTCCCAGATTTAAGCAATCCTTCTGCCTCAGCCTTCCAAGTAGCTGGGACTACAGGCATGGGCCATCACACCCAGCTAATTTTTGTATTTTTAGTAGAGACAGGGTTTCACCATGTTGGCCAGGCTGGTCTCGAACTGCTGACCTCAAGTTGTCCTCTCACCTCGGCCTCCCAAAGTGCTGGGATTACAGGCGTGAGCTACCGTGCCTGGCTGGAAAATATTTTTATACTGAGCCACTAAATTAATCCTATGTATCTGAGGTCTAAAACACACAAGCCAACAAATTAATTCTTCCATTTCCATATACCTTCCTTCTTGTATTTCATTTTTGTTTTAATTACAAAAGTAATGCATTGCAAACAGATATTATTTTAATTTTTATTAAGTTAATTTCCCCATTATTCTCTATTTCTGCTAACCAATGTTGACACTTTAGGGTTTCCCTTTTCTATATGTATCCAAAACAGAATTAACACACTTTGGGTTTTTTATTTTTATTTACTTAACAAGAATGGCATTATGCAACGATTTCAAAAATTATTAACTTGTAAATACTTTCCACATAAGAAGTTGTCTGTCATCTGTTTCTCTTTTGTTGACCATCCTCAGTGGGACCTCTGTGAAGCTGAGTCAGAGTATGAAGAAAGATTGACTCGAATAGTGAAGCTATAGATGGAAAGGAAGGACTTACAGAAAAGAATAGTCACTCCATTTAGACAAGCACTAAAGTGACAAGAGAGCAGAAGCAGTGAGAAGCTGTGGGAATTACTAGGAGATTTAGATAATGACACCTTCACTTTATTAGGGACTTGCGGCAGGCTATGAATTTAATTCTCTTTAATGTTTTGGGGGAGAAACATAGCTAAAGCTTATATTTTGTCATTTATGCTGTGTTTTGGCTGTTTTAGCTGTGATGCTTGGATTGTTATTTTAGACACTGGAATCAGGGGGTTCAAAATTTATAAAGTTTACATATCCCTATTTCATTTTCTCAGTTCACAATCTTTTGCTTTATGTAGACATCATTTTCATATCAATATAAAAAGTTACAACTCATTATTTTCTATGCCTACCTAATATTGAAAAATACTGATATACCATAGCATTTGCCATCACTGTATTGTTGACCAATTATATTGGAAAAAACTAAAATGGATCAATAATATCCAGTGCTTGAGAACATTTCCCAAGATCAGCACTTTTATACCTTGCTGGTGGGAATCTGAAATACTACAAAACTGCTGGAGAGAAAGCTGGCAATTTCTACCCTATGGAAATCAAAGCACCAGTCAATAATACTTACAAGGAAGTGTATCATCACAGTGCTTTTATGCTAAATAACGTGATAAACATTTTTCTGCTGAACAATTATAGATTTGTAAGCATCATGTTATATTTAGTTGCTTCTTATTCTGGGCATATATAAAACAATGCCATATGTTTTATTCCTGTGATTTATAAGGTCAAGGACGACATCTGTTTCATTTCTACTGTGGACCACTAAGTTCCACCATTAGCACAGAAGGTGGCTTAATTAATATTACTCAAAAATAATGATAATGAAGCACACAGCAACCCTCCCTTCATCTGCTAGAGTCCATCTCCTTAACTGTGCATGAAGGGAACTAATTATGATATTTCGTGCTTTTTCTGAAGTGATGTTTAACTACAGCTTAGAAGGCAAAAATGAATGCTACAAGAGATGTTTTGTGTGACTCAAATTTTCCTCCTAATCATCCAAGTTTTACAAACCCTTAACTCTTTGTTAGAAATTTTAGATCTTTTGTTATATTTACTATATTTCATATATTTATATAAAATAATTTAGTTTTAAATTTTACTGATGCACATCTTTTCATGAATTTTGAAATTTCTACTCATAATTTAGCCTTGTGGATTCCAAACATCTTCACTAGCTTCTGAAATTGATGTATGCCTTTCTCTCCAACTTTAATGAATCCCATTTCCATGTGAGTTCATTAGGGCTCTCTTTGCTTTCTCATTCTGCTCTTCTGAGGACCCTTTATAAATTTTTTGTCCAAATAGTTTGTGTTTTTATACAGATTGTATAGTTTTATCTAGAAACAGCCTCCCAAACCTACTGAGCTGTAGGAAGCAATGACAAACACGAGAAAAGAAGCCTTAGGCCAGACAAATTCTGATTCTCTTATCTTCTGAATCAAGGCTTTCCAAAAGATAAACAAAAGCTACCTATGAGTGGATAAATATGTAAGTAGTGCTGTTATATTGAACAACTATTTTCTCAGATGAAAGGGGTAAAATTTTACTTACAATAAACATTTCAGCCAAAGATAGTATAGTTCAACAGTAAAGCCAGAATTGCTTATTTTGCCCATTTTATCCAGTTACTAACATGTTCAGTGTTTCATTTAACAAATATAAATCATATATTACCATACTCTTCACATTGTGTCCATGAGGCGTGCTATCATGCTGTAAGGGAAACAAGTATGTGCATGCAAGTAAAAGAGAAGGGAAATGTATTAGTCCATTCTCAGACTGCTAATAAAGACATACCCAAGACTGGGTAATTTATAAAGGAAAGAGGTTTAATTGACTCACAGTTACAGACAGCTGGGGAGGTCTCACAATCGTGTCAGAAGGTCAATGAGGAGCAAAGTCACGTCTTCCATGACAGCAGGCAAGAGACAGCTTGCCTCTAGGGGAATTCCATCAGATCTCATGAGTGTTATTCACTATCATGAGAACAGCATGGGAAAAACCCACCCTCATGATTCAACTACCTCCACCAGGTTTCTCCTATGACACTTGGGAATTATGAGAGCTACAATTCAATAGAGATTTGGGTGGGGACACAGCCAAACTATATCAGGAAACGAAGGGGAGAGGAGAGGAAGAGGAGGAGAGGAAAGAGGAGGGGAAGGGAAAGGAGAGGCAAGAAGGGGACGAGAAAAGAAGAAGAGAAGGAAAGAATACAAAAAGGTTAGGTAATATAATAGGCATGTTCATGGGATACTATGAAACCAGAAAACTAAAAATAGGTGAAAAATACCAATAAAGATAATTAAATCCTAATTCATGAGAAGGATTTCTTCAGGTAAAGAAAGTGGAGGAATAAACATCTGTAAAAAAAAAAAAAGTTGCCATTCAGATGTGTTCTTTATCCATTTACTTTCTTAAAAGAATATTTGACAGAATGCACAGCTGGTGACATGGCCTCACGTGTGGCCCACAGGGTGTTGACAGGCAATACCGTGAAAGGTGAACAGACAGACTGAGAAGGAGGAGGTCAATGTTGTCGCTCAGCACATGAGGAGACATGTTACACAGTCTCCCTGAAGAAGTGTATAGATTTTCTAATTAAACAGGATTTGCTCAGTGAAAATCCGAGATCATTGACTGTTAGCACCTTTACTTTTTATAGAACCACTGCTATTTGCCAGTACCCCACAACCTCCCAGGCACTCTGCAGTGTCTGAGGAAGGGCACTGGGCAAGAAAAGTTATAGGAAATGTGTTTGGTTTGTTCTTTCTATATTGTACCTTCCCTCATCAAAAACAGTCACATAGGAGAAAATTTAGATGGAGCATATTTATTTGTTAAAATCTAAGTGTCTTGAAAATAGAGAGAATAAAGGGTTTTAATATTGTTGAGGGAGCAGAGTAGGAATACAAAAGAGTAAAAAAGAAACAGAGAGAAGTTTCACCTAACGCCCTTACAAAGAAAGAAGCATGAGTTCTGTCCCTGGAGCAGCAAGAAGCTATGTACCACTCCAGGACACTAAAAAGTTAGCAAGGTCTCAAAGAAGATAGCAGAATTATGCTAAATTCCTAGCTTCAGCAAAGATTTCTGCACTCCATACTTGGCCTACACAACTTAGCCAATGGATTTCAAAACCACATCATGGGCTAATGTAATGACAAAGTCTTTCATGACCATCACTAGCAAAAATTTATGGATTTTGATGTTACCTTTGAAGTATAAGCATTACATCTGATGAGATGTAAATTATAATAAATTTACAGATGAAATTTTCTATTAGCTATTTTTTACACTATTTTTACACTATTTTTTACACTGTTTTTTTACAGATGTTTATTCCTCCACTTTCTTTACCTGAAGTGGCAATTTGGTTTTGCATTACGCAATATAAAATCAATATTAGAAGTTGTGTAAAGCCTAATTCAAACCTATAAAATGTGTGAGGCAAAATTTTAATGTTTATATTTTATTCTTTTTGTTGGATTCTCGCAGAAGTTCCTTGAGTTTTTGGTCTTAGACTGCCTTTACATAAGTATATTTTGTGTATACAACAAGATACTAAAGAATGAAACTATGAAAGCCAGTAAAACAGCTACATTTTTTCCCAGAAAGTAAGTCAAAGTATATACTTTTGAATACTCTGTCCTTTCCCCAATGTATGTTCTTGACATTTTTGTCAAAAATACATTGACTATAAATTCTTAGATTACATTCATGAATTTATTTCTGGTTTTTCAACTTTGTTCCGTTGTTCAATGTGTCTGTTTTTATGACACTACCGTGCTGTTTTAGTTACTATGGCTTTGTAGTATAATTTGAAGTCAAGTAATGTAAAGCCTTCAGCTTTGTTTTGTTTTTTTGTTTGTTTGTTGTTGTTGTTGTTGCTAAGAATTGCTTTGGCTATTCTGGATCTTTTATGGTTCTATATAAATTTTAGGATTATGTTTCTATTTCTGTGAAGAATGTAAATTAGCATAGCTACTATGGGAAAAAGTGTGGAGGTGTCTCAAAAAAACAAAAATAAAACTGCCATAAATTACAGCAATCCCACTGCTAGGTATATATCCAAAAGAAAGGAAGTTCATATAGCCAAGAGATATCTGCACTCCCATGTTTATTGCAGCACTATTTATAATAATTAAAATATTGAATAAAACTAAGTGTCCATCAAAATTGATGAATGGATTGCCTAAGCCTAGGAGTTTGAGACCAGCCTAGGCAACACAGAGAGAGACCCTGTCTCTCCAAAAAAAAAAAAACAGTGATGCATGCTTGTAGTTCCAGCCGCTTGGGAGGCTGAGGCACAGGAGGATCACTTGAACCCAGGAGATCGAGGCTGCAATGAGCTGTGATAGTCCCAATGCACTCCAGCCTAGGTAACTGAGAAAGACCCAATTTAAAAAAAGAAAGAAAACCGAAAAAAAAAGATAAGAAAAAGAAAATAAATAAATCCTAGCATTTGTAATAATATGGATGGAATTGGAGGACATTATGATACATAAAATAAGCCAGACACAAAAATACAAAAAGAGCATGTTCTCACCCATAAGTAGGAGCTAAAATAATTGATCTCAAGAGTTCAATGATGGCTACCAGAGACTGAGAACAGCGCTGGAGAGGAAGGATAAAGAAGGGTTGGACAATGAGTACAAAGATACAGTTAGATAGAAGGAATAAGATCTAGCATTTGATAGGAAAATAGGGCAATTATAGTTAACAATTATTTATTTTATATTTCGAAATAGCTAGAAGAGTGAAATCGGAATAATCTCAACACAAAGTAATAATAAATGTTTCAAGTGATGGATATTCCAACTACCCTGATTTGATCATTACACATAGTATTCATGGATCAAAATATCACATGCAACTATAAATATGTATAACTATTATGTATCCATAAAAACTGAAAATAAATAAAAAAACAAAGTATGGATTTTACTAATGGTGGGAATCACTTCGATTATTTAAAGATACATAATGGGTACAATGAAAGCTAGAGATGTCCAGGACCCCATGCGCTTGCATCCTCAATCAGCCCTCTAAAGTTCTCTAGAGAGAATGCAGATGAGAATTTTCAGGGAAATAGTTTATTACAATTTATGGCTCTGACTCCAAACTTCTGTGTGGTCTTCTTGGCATGTGTGAATCATAAAGATTACTTGCAGTTTTAGCATTGCCCCCATGACATTTGAGTTGTAGATACAGATTCCAATTTTGCCAGTGCACTGTGCTGTCTTGAATGATCAGTTCCATGTCTTATACCTGTTTGTTTTCCTAGTGCTTACCATAAGCATTCAGTTCCTGTTTGTAACTTTTCCTCGTCTCTCTACCACAAACCAACTGTTCAGCTTTGGGCGGAACATTCAAGTGGTCATTATCTAAATTGACTTATATAAAGAACGCTTTGAGGGAATGACATTTAAGGCCATCTCAAAGTTTCTCTTAAGTAATTCATTTTATTTTCGTTAATACCTTTTGAGATTTGAAGACTACTATCACATCTTTTTTAAATTACTTTTCTGCCAAGTTCTCATAAGTCAGCTTGTTAGATCATTTCTGACTTGGAGGGCCTTAAATCTTATGAAAACGTAATAATGATAGAATTAGCATCTCCATGTGGTTGTACCTCAAGCAACAGATCCTCTGTGGAAGAAGATGACCTTCAACTATGTCAGTCTGGACTGAAAAAGGATATAAGGTTAATTGAATTTGTCTGTTTGGTTTTGGTTGTTTGATTTTCATTCCCATATAGTATAGTTAAAAGCTGAGGTCTCGTTTTGTTTTGAGTCAACTCTTCTATCATTTGTCCCTTGGAGTGACTTTTTACTGCCCTCTAGCTGAAGAGGAGGCCATAATTCTCTGATGCTAGAGAGTGCGGGAACATGCCATCTGTCCTAAGAAGGGGGCATGAGTCGAAAGAACACCAAAAGTGCAGTAAGTTACAGCTGACTCATACAAAGGGAAAAGAAGAGAACAGGGATCCACAGACATAAATTTTCCAGGGAGAAAATTTGTGGCCTGGAATATATATCCCTGTGTTTCCTATGTGGTGTTCCCTTTGATAAACCATCTAACTAGAAAGGACATTTTAGAAAAAGAGAGTTAGGCACTCTGTTCTTTGAAATAAAAAGTCAGTGAAGGAGAGGAAAGTGAAGATAATGGTGAATACAAATTTCTGATTCTATTTACCATTTTCCTTTCTACTTTGCCTCCACCACAGTAATGTTTTTCCTATTATCTTATTAAAAGAACATTCATAACCAAGTCATCACAGTTGATTGTAATAATGTATGAATTAACTGTGTAATTTATATTAATATATGATGACCTAAACCATTTAGGTTTTGCATCACTTTGCGTTACTTAGATTCTTGGTACACAATTGGAAAAATATGTGTGGAATTTTAACAGACAATGGTGGGCGTGGGATGGGCTTTAACTATGTATTTTCTTACCTTAGCTGATATTTACTTCTATTCCCATTTGAAAATACTGTTTCCTCCTTGAAAAGTGCAATGTATATGATTCACCAGCAAGAAAAGCAGATACTTTTTATTGCAGCATTTTCATTGCTGTATAACTGAAGTTACACTATGGATAACACAGCAACCAGCAAATTTGTTTCCATTTATAAACTGTTAACATTACATTTTCTATTTAAAATTGAAGTTTGTATTATTGTTGTTTGATTTCACAGGAAAATTTGATATTCTAATTGATAGATGATAATTCTATACATCAAATTCTTATTTTACATATTCGTAGTTTCTAGTGAATACAAATATCAAGGAAAAATGATGTAAGACAACATAGCCTTAAGTTGATTTTATCGACAATGGAGTGCAATCACCTTGTCTACTTTTGGTCGTTGCTGTTGTTGAGAGTGAAGATTATTTGTAATGATTTAGAGTTTAAAAGGACCATATTTCTGATCTTGCATTGGTAAATAATCTCAAATGGTAATGAAATGTTTCTTTCTTTTTTTTTTTTTTTTTTTTGAGACGGAGTCATGCTCTGTCGCCCAGGCTGGAATGCAATGGTGTGATCTCGGCTTACTGCAAGCTCCACCTCCTGGGTTCAAGCGATTATCCTGCCTCAGCCTCCCCAGTAGCCGGGACTACAGGCACCACCACCATGCCCAGCTAATTTTTGTATTTTTAGTAGAGACTGGGTTTCATCATGTTGGCCAGGCTGGTCTTGAACTCCTGACCTTGTGATCCATCCGCCTTGACCTCCCAAAGTGCTGGGATTACAGGCGTGAACCACCATGCCTGGCCTCGTTTTTGTATAATCCATTTTCTCAGAGGCATTTCACCATTTTGTTGGGCTTTAATTTGAAAACACTATTGCAAAATACTCAAAAAATACAGTAATTATTTTAAAAAATCACTCAAGCAATGTAACGGTATACTCCAGTATGTCACACTCTGCTTTGCAGTCAAGATTCTAAAGTTATTACTTTTTCTATGATGAAGTTCTCAAATAGAGTTCAGTAGAGGTTAGAGGACTACATGAAGCCTATGAGTGAAGATGATACAGCACATATGTAGTGTGAGATGATGTTATCCTTTTTGTTCTTAAGTAAAATGAATATACATATTATTTTGATATATATTATTTTTTAAATAAGAAAACCAAAATAACTCCAAGTAATTTCTAACTACTAAAATTTAAAATCTCACACATGCTTCTAAGTATCTGTATATTTAGAACTAAGTAAAAACAGGCCAGGTGTGGTGGCTCACACCTGTAATTCCAGCACTTTGGGAGGCAGAGGCAGGCAGATCACTAAAAGTCAGGAGTTCGAGACCACCCTGGCCAAACATGGGGAAACTGTCTCTAACAAAAATACAAAAATTAGCCTGGCATGGTGGCAGGTGCCTGTAATCCCAGCTACTCAGGAGGCTGAGGCAGGAGAATTGCTTGAACCCGAGAGGCAGAGGTTGCAGTGAGCGGAGATCACACCACTGCACTCCAGCCTGGGTGACAGAGCAAGACTCTGTCTCAGAAAGAGAAAAAAAAAAAAAAAAAAAGTAAGAGCTAAATAAAAACAGGGAAATCCTTAGAGTTCGGTTGCTCTAGTAATTTTTATGTACTCCATGAATTCCAACAAAAGCATGAGACCAAAAAAAAAAAAAAAAAAGGAAAGAATAATAAAATCAGATGACTTAATTTGGAGGCTGCTACCTCTCAAAAGTTAGCATAGATGAAGCATTACATTGTTTGCTGCAAAACAACATACATAAGGAGTCATTTGCCAACAAAAACAAAATCCTATTATTACGTATCATGCTACATGCTAAGTATACTATCTCATTAACTATGGCAACAGTCCTCTGACATCAGTGTTTATAACCTTTTTGTTTGAATGGAAGAGGAGACTTATGAAATATGAAGATTAAGAAGTTTTCTGACACATGCACAGCTAGGAATGGGAACATTGGCATCTAATGTCACTCTCTGTTGCCCCAAAGCCTGTGCTTTTTAAGAAAGAGAAATGTTGTGACTACACTTTGCCATAGAGGAGAATTGTTTGATATCCCCATATAAATAGTCCTAGACTCACTTTATCATACATAGCAGTCTCATAGAGCAATTCCTTCGCCACCACAGGAATGGAGTCAGGAATTTTTTTTTTTTTTAGATGAGTCTCACTCTGTCACCGGGCTTTCTTAAATAATTTTATAATTATGTAACAAATATAACTGAAGAAAAAAACAACTGATTTTTGACTTTGATTTTGAGAGAGAGAAAGATATGAGGAGAAGTAGAAGGAGGAGGAGAAGGGAGAAGAGGAGGAAGAGGAGAAGTAGATGCAAGGTGATGAACAGGGAAATAGTGTAAGAATGTCATTTCTATTTCAAGTGGAATGTTAGGCAAAGTCTCCTAAGGAGTTCATATTAACCAGAATCCCAAAAAAAGTGACAGAACTGTCTATGAGAATGTTTGAGAAAAGGCCGACGGAATTAGAATTAGAATCATTGTGTTCGTGTGTGTGTGTGTGTGTGTGTGTGTGTAGCCAAGGCGGGTGGATTATAAGGTCAGGAGTTCGAGACCAGCCTGGCCAACATGGTGAAACCCCGTCTCTACTAAAAATACAAAAATTAGCCAGGCGCGGTGGCGGGTGCCTCAATCCCAGCTACTTGGGAGGCTGAAGCAGGAGAATCACTTGAACCTGGGAGGCGGAGGTTGCAGTGAGCCAAGATCGCGCCACTGCACTCCAGCCTGGGTGACAGAGCGAGACTCCATCTCGAAAAAAAAAAAAAATGTTTCAGTGATTCTCTCTCCTCCTCCCTTTTCTTTGGCTGATAATAATCTACTATTCTACACTAAGGATGATATCATTCCACTTCCTTTCTTCATTTTGTATATTTAGAAGTATATCTAATTAACAGGTACATATTTATTTAATATTAAATATGTGGTGGATACTGACAATTAAATAACTCAAGTTTTATGTAGAGTAGAAAAGATAAAGAGAAAAAGAGTTATTGAAAGTTAAGAAGAAATTTCTAAGAAGCTAAGGATCAACTAATCTACATAGTGGTCTGGCTTTCAAGGGGGTAAAACATGCCCCAAATTGGTGTTGACTCACACACGCACACAAAGAGCATTTTATATTTTTCAAAATTTCAAAATAGTCATATTTTCCATCTCTCAGTGAAACCACATTATGTCTATGACTAACAGGTACTTTGAAGACAAATGGAGTTTTCACCAGATGAGTCATTTTTCTCTAACGGAGAACTATCAGGATTGAAGGTGATTAAAGCAGAACAGATCTTTGAGAAACTAAATAAGAAACAATGCTCAATGGCATTTCTTAGAAGCAAAAAATATCAGATCATCTATAACAGAATATTTATTTTCATAACAACCATAATAACCGTTACAGCCACAGTGGGTGCTGTGTATACAGCCATACCCACAACCATAGCAAGAGCCAAATCCACAGCTCCCACACACACTTTTGTAATTGAAATACATAGTGTCAGGAGATGAGAATTCAGCCAGGTAACAGCATTTCTGGAGTTTGGAACCCTTGGGATCTTTCTATATAATAAGAGGTCTGCAAAGTGTGTGCCATCCCTACTTTGCCTTCTCATTCCCACAAGAATTTATATTTAACAAGCTTGTTGTTGTTTTATTCTGTGTCCTAAGAAAGCCTCTCATTTTAGACCTTCATTTAATTCCTGCAAGTTAATCATAGACTGTAAAAAGTAATTTGTACACTCTGTATACATGTTCTCAGTGAGCCCCAAATGTACACTCCACAAATATCATGATGCTAAATCTTGCAGGGAAGTACTTCCCTCAGCTCTAACCCAAAACATTGAGAATCCCCATCCCCAGCCTCCTAGAGAAAGGAAGGGGCTTAGTGATTCCTACCTTTTCAGGTGCCACCAGTATTACCATCCAATCCACAACTGTACTACTCAGGAGAGGATAGGCATAGGAAGGCTAAATTGAGAAACATGCGTTCAATTCTATAATATTAGAATTTATTGAGAACTTTCCTAAAAAACAGAACATGACAGTAGGCACTGCTGAAAATAACATAAAAATAAAAATGAAAAACATAAATAAGACCAAGAACAGACCTTCAATGAACTCCCAGCTTAGTAAGGAAGAGAAACATTTACACAAAAAAAGTCTCAGATTGATGCGGTTAGAGAAAAAGGAAAGAGAAATCCTATGAAATAGACCTCAAAACAATCCAGACCAGGTCCACTTAGGGCCTTCATCCATGCTGGGCTTTCACCTGCAGTTTTTACAATTTAACACCCATATCTATGACTCATTCCCTCATTGCCATCAGAGTGTGTTCAAATGTCACTCAAGGAGGCCCTCCCTGAACAGTATTATTTATAGCTAGCACCCTCCCACAGATATATCTTTATTCTCTACTTAGCATTTATCAAGCCATTTATCACCATATGATAGACTTGCATTTTACTAATTTTGTTGACTGTTTTTCTCACTGGAATATAGGATATCTGTGAAGGCAGGAATTTCTTTTTTTCTTTAGGGAATAAAATAGATTTTAAAAAAGTATAATAAACTGGGGCCAAATAATAAAGAGCTTTGAATATTAAGGTAAAAAGTGTGGAATTCATTCTAAAGGTAATGGAGAACCAGAGAAGATTTTGAGCAAATTAATGGCATAATCAGCTCAATATTTTGAGATACAGAAATCACAACCATTTATCCAGTGTACTTAGTAATGTCCTATTTCTTCGAAACCATTATTTGCTAAATTATTCTCTTGAGCAAAGATCTTTCCTTGAGCACTAGCCATGGTTGCATTGAATTTGTGGCATTTTATTTTCCAATTATGTTTCCAGGAACACTAGGACTGGGAGGTATTAAAATGTATTCCAAGAAATAGAGTTTCCAAGATTTTAAAATGTGCTATCAAACACTATAAAATAAAAACACCTTCAGAGTATTCACAATTTACATATGCGCTGTAAGTTTTACTTGCACCTAAATGCCAGGTATTGTAGTAGGAGTACAAACTGGAACGCCATGATAGCATTTTAATTATCCTTAGGAGGACAACTGTGTAAAGAAAACCAGCTTGACATTCTTCAATAAACTAACATATTTGTGTAACAAAATAACTTTTTAAGTTGAGAAATAACTTTTAAGTTCTTTTGAAAGTTATCGTCTTAGAGTATATGTTCAAATATGAAAATCTTATGAGTGTTCAAGTTTCCAAATCACTAAAGAGACTGTTGGCGTTTTTATACAGCACAAGCAAATAGGCCACATTAAGTCAAACAGGTCATCTTTTTTTTTTTTTTTTTTTTTTTTTTGAGACGGAGTCTCGCTCTGTCGCCCAGGCCGGACTGCGGACTGCAGTGGCGCAATCTCGGCTCACTGCAAGCTCCGCTTCCCGGGTTCACGCCATTCTCCTGCCTCAGCCTCCCCAGTAGCTGGGACTACAGGCGCCTGCCACCGCGCCCGGCTAATTTTTTGTATTTTTAGTAGAGACGGGGTTTCACCTTGTTAGCCAGGATGGTCTCGAAGGTCATCTTTTAAAATAACCATTGGGTAAGCAGTTTTGCCTAGATTAAACTGAATATTTTGAAAATAAACCTTTGATGGGACTCAATTACAAAATTAGTCTCAACTCAACCTAAATATGGTATTTTCTTGCCCATGAGAGTTGAAAATCTATATTTAAGATGCTCAGTGAGGATTGAATCTTAGACAATCTGAAAAAAGCTTCTAAAATTTGGTACCTGAGCACAGTGGCTCACACCTGTAACTTCACCACTTTGGGAGGCTAAGGCAGGAGGATTACTTAAGGGCATGAGTTCCAGACTAGCCTGGGCAACATAATGAGACCCTGTCTCTACAAAATAAAATAAAATAAATTAGCAGAATGTGGTGGCACATGCCTATAGTCCCAGCTACTCAGGAGGCTGAGGTGGGAGGATCCCTTAAGCCCAGGAATTTGAGGCTGCAGTGACCTATGATCAGACCACTGCACTCTAGCCTGGGTGACAGAGTGAGATCATCTTTCTAAAAAAAATGTTTTTAATTGATACTTTATTTGAACCATCTTTTGCTGCAAATTATCCGTATTATGATGTATCATGTGTTTCTTTGCATATATGTCTCATGTTACCTATTTTAATATATGCAGTCTCTTTAAAAGTGAGAACCTTGTTATTATTTTTATTTTTTGTTTTATATTTTGCTCTGTACATTCTATACCCCTGCAAGCATCTTACTTTGTACAGGGAAATTAGAACTGCAATATGTATTTTATTGTGGATTTTTTTTTCTATCATTTCATACACTTAAGTATCTGTTCCTTTTCAGACTTTTGACTTTCATGTGACTGTAAGGAATTGTGGTTGCTATTTTTCTCTTGACCCAAAAATGCTGAGTTGCTCTGAAAAGTATTTCCTAACCATATAAGAATTCATTCGTATTCTGAAAATTTGTTTCTGCTTAATTTCCCGATTATTGATGACATATTATGTAATTATTTTCAGCTTTTCATTAGTAAAAATTCACCACATTAAGTCAAATGCAAAATTTATTGCAAATTTATTCATCTTTCCCATATTTTCCCTTTCATTTTCTCAGCTAAGGTCTCATGTTAATAGCAGTGATGACCCTGTGCCACTTTAAGTAAAATTCGGAATTTGTATACCCCTAGCCTTCATTTGTAAAGTATACAACTATGTCTTTGACCATAATAGCCCTCTCTGTAAAATCACCAATAAATTTCCAAAATATGTGATGGTAAAATTAAGTTTCATATTCTTCCCCCAGCTATTTTCTACTTCTTACCAAATATACTACTGACCTTTTAGGCCCATTTTTCTTTCTTGAATCAATGGTGTTATTTCTCTACCTGGAACATCATCAAATCTGAAAATTTCCATTCCCACCTCTGAAAGTGGCTTAACTCCTATGTTCTCCATCCTCATGAAGATTTCTCTACGTCAGGGGAAAGAAAATGTGAATGTTCACATTCATTTGCCTGCAAATTTTTTTAAATAGAAAGAAGAAAATAAGCAATTTATTATTCTACTAGATATTTTATAATTCACTTTGTTAGATTTAATTTATCTCATTCTCCAAAATATTCATGTAAAAATTAAATACGGTGATAATATTAATAGAAATACCTTTAGTTCAAAGTCAGCATCCATTTAATGTTCACATTTAAATGCATATATAATTTATAAGAGTAGATTATATGCAAAAAATATTTAATCATTATAGATTTATGTAAAAATATATGTTTAATTTTGAAAAAAAGATTGTATTGAAAATAAGTCATATTTCTGTTGTGTTTTCCCTTCAGTCTCAGAAGATGAGGTATTTTTTTCTTCCTTCAAATTATTAGCTCTCCACCAACGTGGTATCCTAACTTGTTTCTACTTTTATTGCTCTATGGCTCTATCTTCATCAGTCTCTTCAAATCTACTCCCTTCTTCTGCCTACTCTTCCCTAAGAGATTTTTAATGTTTTCTTTTGCCAATGCCAGTCACATTTCTTCTCCATGGTTATCGTTGACCTCTGCTGCCACAAGGTATCATTTCCTCTACTTCCAACCCTTTTCAACACCATCCTCATTCTCTTTTTACAACTGTACCTTTCATGTGTTTTCTTCATTTATTCCTCTGACTCTACCCAAACTCTAACTAAGGAGCCCTTCCTAGATTCAATTCCTTGACTTTCTCTCTCTAAATTCTCTTATTAATTTCCCATTTGTACTCCCACTACAATGTCTGACTTACAGAAAGTGATCCATTAAAACTTAAGGAATAAATGTGTGTGAGTAAATATTTTCTCTCACATTTACAGCTTTAAATAAAAAATTAATATCAGTTACTTTCAAATTGATATGTCGTGTACTCTCCTTAAATATACAAATCTTAGCTAGATAATTTTTTTGAATGTATTATTACCTCAAATCAACATATCCAAAACCAGATACATCTCTCTGGCAAAACTAAATTTTAAAAATATTTCTCCCTGTTAATAACATTTCCTTTCTTGATGAATACCCACATTCAAAAGTACCACATTTATGCATTTGTTTATGTCACTGAAACAAATCATTTTCCATACAAAATTTTGGTATCTATTTTCTTACTCTTACTGCAACAGGCTTAATTCTGGTCCTAATCTTCTCACTCTTGGACCCCCCCACCCCAATAAGTCCTTAGCTCCAGGAACTCAATGCATCTTTCGTTTCCACACTGTCCAACCTATTCTGCACATTGTTTCTAAATTTATATTTCCTACATATTACTTTTATCATGCATTTCTTCTGCTTAATATTCTGAATCTCCTACTGTGCTAATTCTATATCCTCTGCCTGGGCTCACAGATCTCTCATAATATACCTCTTCCCCTAACCATTCCAAATCTGTTTACCACTCTAAGTCATGGTAATCATCACATTATTTGTTAAATACATTCATGTGCAAGACACCAACCATTTCCCCTAAACAGCCGATTTAATGCCCATTCTGCCTCTGTCCCCAGTGACTCTCCCACCTTGAATTTCTGATTTTCTAATCTATTAATGCAGTTCTTCCAAGCCCAGTTCATTTCCCCTTCGACAGAAGCTTTCTGCAGTTCCCGGAGTCCTCATTATCTTCCTTTCCTATGAACTCCTGCCAGTCTTTTCATCTGTGACACATAAGCTGTTATATCTCAAGTTTTGTTCTTTTCTACAAATAGGTATGTTAGTCTTGATCTTCCAAATGGATGGTTAGTTCTTTGATCTCAGCAACTATTCTCATCTACACAACACTATCATGGTGCTGACCAAACACATATTAAGTGCTCGATAAATCCCTGTTGATCACCTACTGAACCCAGGTGAAAAAATATATTTTCCATTAATTCATTTGCTCCACTGCAATTTTTAAGAGTTAGAGTTTCTAAAAGTGGAGTGTATGGATCAGCAGTTATCAGCATCACTTGGGAATTTGTTAAAATTGCAGATTTTGAGGTTCTACCCAAAACCTACTAAATCAGAAGGTCTAGGAGTAGGACCCAAAAACTCTATGTTTTTCAAGCACTCTGGTTAATTTAATACACACTATCATTTCAGAACCACTGCCATAGATCAATCGTCTTGTCCTCATAACAAGGTCTCTAGATAAAATAGCAGTGGCCAACACAAAAGGTTAATGGCTTACTGAGCTTTTATTTTTGAGGACATTCTGACCTGTTTAAAACCAGACAAGTGGTGATTAGCAGTGTACTTTCTGTGATTCACAAAGCTTAGACAATAATGGAAACAGGCTATTTGAGCAATCAGTTATCTAAATGAATCTAAAAGGTTTTGCTGTGAAGGTTAATATTCCATGTTTTATCTAACATTTGCCTTGTACCCTCCGCCAAAATTGGTTTAATGTGCAGTTCTGAAACTGGAATCTAAAGTGCAGAGGTTATTGTGGAAAGCTCAATCATCTAGCTGCTACATAAGTCTGAATATTTGTAAAGGTTTTAGAACCCAAATGTTAGATTTTAAGTTTATCATCCACCATCTTTTATGCATATCTTACCAGCTCTGAATAGGGGTGAGATAAGGAACAGAGATCACAGACTCGAGCTGAGGACCCTAGAGAGACTATCTCATGCTCAGGTTTAAGAGAAATTCAGGGGACTCAATGTTGATCTGTATTCTGTTCAGGGGACAAAGTTACCCAAAGGGAAGCCATAAACCCCAGGGCCTTAGCAGTTAATCTCACTTCCACCTAGTTCAATGGTGTGTTACGGTCCTCCCAAGAAAAAATAACAGTAGGATGTGTGTGTCTACATGTAAGTATGTGTATACACATACCTACAGGATGCATGAAGGAAATACATACATACACACACACACACACACACACACAGAGAGAGAGAGAGAAGGAAGAGGTGGAAGAGTGAGGGAGAGAGAGGCAAAGAGGAATGAGAGAGAGAGGAGAGAAAGGGAAAGAGAGGGAGGAGAGAGAAAAAAGAGGGAGAGTGAGGGGGAGAGAGAAAGAGGAGAGTAGAGAGGGAGAGAAAAGAGAGAGAAAAGTGGGGAGGGAGAAAAGGAGGAGGAGTAGAGAGGAGAGAGGCCAGAAGGGAGATAAGCGGGGAGAGAGAGAAGAGAGAGAAGCAAGGAGAGGGAGAGAAATTGGGGGACAATAAAGAGAGAGAGAGAGAAAGGGAGGGAGGGATACAGAGAGACAGAGCGAGAGAAGAGGCAGATTTTAAAGCATTGGCTCACATGATTGTAGGGGCTAGCAAAATCAAAATCTGCTGAGCAGGCTGGAGACCCAGGGAAGAGCTGATCTTGCAACTTGAATGTGAACTCAGGTTGAAGGCAGATTTCCCTCTTCCTCTGGTAGACATCACCCTTTTCTCTTAAGGCCCTCAACTGCCTGGAGGAAGCTCACCCACATTATGGAAGGTACGTGACTTTTCTCAAGTCTGCTGATTAAATGCCAACCTTATCTGAAAAATATCATCATAGCAACCTTTAGACTGGTGTTCGACCAAACATTTGGTCTTTGTAGCTTAGCCAAGTTGACGCATAAAATCAGTCATCAACCGTAAGTCAGAAGCTGAACTGCCTGAATCCTCAGTCATTGTTATAATTTGCATTCTCCACACAAATTTAACTACAGAGATACTTTTGAACTTTAATCTCAATCAAATGGAAAGTACACATTTCCAGGTGGAAGAAAAGAAAGATGGTTTGGCAATTTGGGGAAAATTCTCACTTCTGTGGTCTGGGGCACAATTCTTAGCCAACTTTGAGGTGATAGGGATATCTTCTCAATCATGGATGTGCATTGTATTTCGTGGGAAAACTTTAATAAAATGCCAGTACTCCCATCTCAGACCAATAAAACCAAAATCTCAAAGGTGGGACTCAGGTATTGCCATTTAATGGAATCTGACATGCATTCGGATTTGAGTCACTGCTCTAAATAAAGGAAAGCTTCAAATAAATCTGAAAGTGCAATATCTGAGAAAAGCAATGAATCTGAAATCAAATCAGTCTGAAAGCACAATATCTGAGAAAAGCAATGAGTAGGTACAAGGGGATTGAAAGGCATGGGGAGTGGATGCTGCAAGGCTGAGAAACTTACAGGTAAAAACCATCTCCAACAATGGCGTGGCTGCATTGGAGGCTTTCCTTTCAGCTTCTCTGATCTGTTTTCTCTATTCCTTATCTTTTCTTTTCCATCTTCTCTTCCTTTTAAGTTTTAGGAATGGCAATGACATTGAATTAGGGTTGATGGTGGAGTTTTACCTTTGTTCTCTAACTACTTCTAAGTTTTGGAAGAAACAGGAGGACCCATGTTTCTTCCAAAACTTAGAGGTAGAATTGGAAAACGGGTGAATGTTTTCTTCCAGAACTTAGAGGTGAATGTGGGAAACAGATGAATGCTGGATTACGAAGTCCCAGTGAGGGAGTGGGCTTCAGGAGGTGAAGGTGTACTTCACTGGGATAGCACACATGAAAGGGTATTGAAGATTTGGCAAGGCTTGCTTTTTTGTGAAACATGGCTGGATAGGACTTCAACTTCACAGAGTTGTAGGCTATTCAAAAATAGTCCAGGAACCAGCAGCATTAGGATCACTGTAAACTTGTTAGAAAGGCAAATTCTCAAGCCCCACCCAGAAAAACTGAATCAGCATCTCTGGAATCAGCATGTCTGAGGCCCAGAAATCTGTTTCAGCACAGTCTCCAGTGATTCTTATGCATGCTGAAACTGGAGAACCATAGCTATAAAATAAATGAGTGAAGAGTCTGCTGTCTTGACTTCATCCTGTTTCCAGTCTATTCACTACGAGATTTTATTGGTATTTATTTTGGTGTATTTATTTATAACCAATACCCTTGAGAAATTTATTATTTATTTTTAATATTTTTAGCTGTTCTTTTAGGTTTTCTGAGTCAATAGCCAACTCACCTAGTCTTACATTAGCTGCATGCATTATTTCATCTTATTACCTTATTAATTTTTTTAAATGGTGATGGTGGACACCATTATCTTACTCATTTGTGGGAATTTTTAGGATTTCAACCATAAACTTGATGTTAAAATTTGTCTTGTAAAAGATAAATATTCCTCACAAATTTTACTAATCACTTTTTTTTTTTACTGTGAATGGACGCCGAATTTCATTTAAAAAGAACGGAAATCATAACAAACAGTCTCTCAGACCACAGTGTAATCAAATTAGAACTCAGGATTAAGAAACTCACTCAAAACTGCACAACTACATGGAAACTGAACAACGTGCTCCTGAATGACTGCTGGGTAAATAATGAAATTAAGGCAGAAATAAATAATTTCTTTGAAACCAATGAGAACAAAGACACAATGTACCAGAATCTCTGGGCTACAGCTTAATCAGTGTTTAGAGGAAAATTATTAGCACTAAATACCCACAAAAGAAAGTGGGAAAGATCTAAAATCGACACCCTAACATCACAATTACAAGAACTAGAGCAGCAAGAGCAAATAAATTCAAAAGCTAGCAGAAGACAAGAAATAACTAAAATCAGAGCAGAACTGAAGGAGATAGAGACACGAAAAACCCTTCAAAAAAATCAATGAATCCAGGAGGTAGTTTTTTGAAAAGATGAATAAAATAGATAGCACGCTAGCCAGACTGATAAAGAAGAAAAGAGAGAAGAAGCATCAAATAGACACAATAAAAAATGATAAAGGGGATATCACCACAGATCCCACAGAAATACAAACCACCACCAGAGAATATTATAAACATCTCTACACACAAAAAACTAGAAAGTCTAGAAGAAATGGATAAATTCCTGGACACACACACCCTCCCAAGATTAAACCAGGAACAAGTTGAATCCCTGAATAGACCAATAACAAGTTCTGAAATTGAGGCAGTAATTGATAGCCTACTAACGAAAAAGAAGCCCAGAACCAGACGGATTAACAGCTGAATTCTGCCAGAGGTACAAAGAGGACCTGGTACCATTCCTTCTAAAATTAATCCTAACTATAGAAAAAGAGGGACTCCTCCCTAACTCATTTATGAGGCCAGAATCATCCTGATACCAAAACCTGGCAGAGATACAACAAAAAAAGAAAACTTCAGGCCAATATCCCTCATGAAGATTGATGCAAAAATCCTCAATAAAATACTGGCAAACCAAATCCAGCGACACATCAAAAAGCTTATCCTCCACGATCAAGTCAGCTTCATCCCTCAGATGCAAGGCTGGTTCAACATACGCAAATCAATAAACGTAATCCTTCACATAAACAGAACCAATGACAAAAACCACATGATTATCTCAATAGATACAGAAAAAGCCTTGGATAAAATTCAACACACTTCATGCTAAAAGCACTCAATAAACTAGGTATTGATGGAATGTATCTCAAAATAATAAGAGCTCTTTATGACAAACCAGCAGCCGATATCATACTGAATGGGCAAAAGCTGGAAGCATTCCCTTTGAAAACTGGCAAAAGACAAGAATGCCCTCTCTCACCACTCCTATTCAACATAGTGTTGGAAGTTCTGCCCGGGGCAATCAGGCAAGAGAAAAAAATAAAGAGTATCCAAATAGGAAGAGAAGAAGTCAAATTGTGTCTGTCTGGAGATGACGTGATTGTACATTTGGAAAACTGCATCGTCTCAGCCCAAAAACTCTTTAAAGTGATAAGGAACTTCAGCAAAGTCTCAGGATACAAAAATCAATGTGCAAAAATCACAAGCATTTCTATACACCAATAATAGACAGAGAGCCAAATCATAGTAAACTCCCATTCACAATTGCTACAAAGAGAATAAAATACCTAGGAATACAACTTAAAAGGGATGTGAAGGACCTCTTCAAACAGAACTACAAACCACTGCTCAAGGAAATCAGAGAGGACACAAACAAACGGAAAAACCTTCCAGGCTCATGGATAGGAAGAATCAGTATCGTGAAAATGGCCATACTGCCCAAAGTAATTTATAGATTCAATGCTACCCCCATCAAGCTACCATTGACTTTCTTCACAGAATTAGAAAAAACTACTTTAAATTTCATATGGAACCAAAAAAGAGAGTATATAGCCAGGACAATCCTCAGCAAAAAGAACAAAGATGGAGGCATCACACTACGTGACTTCAAAGTACACCACAAGGCTACAGTAAACAACACAGCATGGTACTGGTACCAAAACAGATACATAGACCAATGGAACAGAACAGAGGCCTCAGAAATGATGCCACACGTTTACAACCATCTGATCTTTGACAAACCTGACAAAAACAAGCAACGGGGAAAGGATTCCCTATTTAATTAATGGTGTTAGGAAAACAGGCTAGCCATATGCAGAAAACTGAAACTGGACCCCTTCCTTACACCTTACACAAAAATTAACTCAAGACGGATTAAAGACTTAAACATAAGACCTAAAACCATAAAAACCCTAGAAAAAAATCTAGGCCATACCATTCAGGACACAGGCATGGGCAAAGACTTCATGACTAAAACATCAAAAGCAATGGCGACAAAAGCCAAAATTGACAAATGGGATCTAATTAAATTAAAGAACTTCTGCATAGCAAAAGAAACTGTCATCAGAGTTAACAGGCATCCTACAGAATGGGAGAAAGTTTTTTCAATCTACCCATCTGACAAAGAGCTAATATCCAGAATATACAAGGAGCTTAAACAAATTTACAAGAAAAAAAAAACATCAAAAAGTGGGTGAAGGATATAAAAAGACACTTTTCAAAAGAAGACATTTATGCTGCCAACAAACATATGAAAAATAGCTCATCATCACTGGTCATTAGAGAAATGCAAATCAAAACCACAGTGAGATACCACCTCATGCCAGTTAGAACGGCAATCATTAAAAAATCAGGAAACAACAGATGCTGGAGAGAATGTGGGGAAATAGGAACGCTTTTACACCGTTGGTGGGAGTGTAAATTAGTTCAACCATTGTGGAAGATAGTGTGGCAATTCCTCAAGGATCTAGAACTAGAAATACCATTTGATCCAGCAATCCCATTACTGGGTATATACCCAAAGGATTATAAATCATTCTACTATAAAGACACATGCGCAAGTATGTGTATTACAGCACTATTCACAATAGCAAAGACTTGAAACCAACTCAAATGCCCATCAATGATAGACTGGATAAAGAAAATGTGTCACATATACACCATGGAATACTATGCAGCCATAAAAAAGAATGAGTTCATGTCCTTTGCAGGAACATGGATGAAGCTGGAAACCATCATTCTCAGCAAACTAACACAGGACAGAAAAACACACCACATGTTCTGACTCACAAGTGGGAGCTGAACAATGAGAACACATGGACGCAGGGAGGGGAACGTCACATACCAGGGCCTGTCGGGGCTTGGGGACTAGGGGAGGAATAGCATTAGGAGAAATACCTATTGTACATGATAGGTTGATGGGTGCAGCTAACAACCATGGCACATGTATACCTATGCAACAAACATTCACGTTCTGCACATGTATCCCAGAAATTAAAGTATAAAAAAAATTAGTTTTAACTAACATCCAAAATGGATTAACAGTTCATCAATTAAAAAAGTCTTTGCAACATGAATGAATACTTTTCATCTTCTTTAAACTAATCATGTGAATTCACAATATGCACTCTCCCAGCAGTTTTAGAATGAGCACTACTTAGTGAAGGGTCTTTTGAAATATAATTGTAACTATATGTAAAATACAACTGTTTTCTATAACATTTTACCTTTTTGCCTATATAATCAAAATGAAAGTATTATTTATGTGCTCAGTTTCACAAGTTTGGAAGCTTTCCTACCTTTTCCTGTGATCTATAGATTACTCAAACTCTTCAGAATTGTCTCTTCCTTGAAGTCTTTGAAGCTATCTGGATAGCTTTTAGGGGTAGGTGTAGAACAATTTCCTCAAGAATTTCATAGATACTAAACTACATATATTTCCTATCTATTTTAGCAACATTCAGCAATTTAGGTCTTCCTGGAGAAAATACATTTTTCTAGATTTTAACATTTTTAACATAAATCAATAGAAAGTATTACCCAATAGCTTTGACTTCTGTGTCAGCTGGCTTTGTCTTCTTATTTATCCCTAATTTGTGTGCTTGCCTGTTTTTTTCCTTCTTTGAAAAACCACTTAGATATTTATCACCAAGGTACAAAAAGCTCTTGGATTTATTATACTTTATACTGCTTTTCAGTTTTCTATTCATTAATTTTAGCTAAAATTATTTTCTCCTGCTTTTTTTGTCTATTTTTTCTTTATATAAATTTTCAAATTCAGTAGCTTTTTGTTCCATTTTTACATTTATATAATAAGAATGTAATAAAGGCGCTTAATTCTATAACTTTCCTGTAAATACAGCTTTGGCAATATACCAGAGGTTTTTATATGCAGTCTCCTTGCTTATTAAATTTTAATTTATTTTCTTCTTTGACTACAAAATTGTTTATTCTCACATTTTTTAACACTATTTTTCTTCTGTTATTTATTTCTAGCTTTCTAATATTGTTCCCAGTGTCTATAACCTACACTAATTCTATCTTTTGGAATATATTGATGTTCAATTAAAAAAAAAAACCTTACAAGTGCTTAAAAGAAGGTGATTTTCTGTAGTGCATGGAGTTTATTACATAGTTTTGAAATCTTTTTAATTTCCCATTCATTTATCTGTGTTCAATGTAATCTTTTAAGGACTAAAGGAGGCAATTAGTTTCACACTAGTACTGATTTTCTGCCAATATCTCTAGATACAACATTTACTTTGGTTTTGACTTTATAGATTTCAATACTATGTCACTTGTTGAGTTACATTTCAGTAAAATATAAGCCTCCTTTGTAATTGTTTAAACATGTTACATTTATTTAAAGTTTCATATTAAATTTGCAAACATTTTTATATTTGTTCCATTTGATAACTAATCTTCACATTTAATTTTTAACTTCTGATTTATTTTTACATGTGAGTCTCATAGAAATTATGTAATAGTATTTGTAGTTTGCTTTTGTATTTACTCAATTTATGTATTTATTTGAAAAGCTAAATTTGTCATGTATATTTGTATCTTACTTCTGTCTCTTAATATAACATTTTGTTTTACATCCTTCCTTTTTGTGTCCTTTATTTTCTCTATTTTGTTTTATAGTCTGGGTTTCTTCTATTTCCGACATCCCCAAATTACCTTTATTTTTATTGTTATATTCACTGAACATTTTCCTAGTTTTCTAATTATTTTTACTCTTAGCACTTAATTTATTTCTTTAGGTTTTAGACATATGTTAATTATCTATACTAAACTGTATGTTTAAATGGTTTTAATACTTAACATTACCCCTTGGAACCAAAACTCTCCTATTTATCAATTATTTGTTCCTATTCAACCTTCAGTTGAGTAGTGTATATCTTCAAGTAGTTTTGGGGTTTTTTTAATTGTTTTACCTTGCTTTGTTTTTCCATTTTCCAAGTTACATTAGTAATCCTTCCTGGAGGTTTGCATATTTGAAAATAATTTAATGTTATCTCAATCTATGAACAATATTGGGGTAAGGTTAAAATTCTTGATGTAGCAACTCTTTTCCTCAAGATATTGTAGTTGATATTCTATTTCCTTCTGATTTCCTAGCTATGGAAGAAAAGGACAGAATTGTTACTGTTCTCTTTAGATGGCTCTCCCTAGTCCCATGTAGGTTTCGGTTTATTCATGAAGTTCAATAATCCTGGTAAGTTATGTTTTGTTGTTTCTGCTTTTCATTTATCTTGATGAACATTGACAACTCTTGTTATCAGTAGATTTAATTTTTTCAATTTAATAAAATTTTCACCTACTGTACCATTTAATGTTTTTGTTTCTTTTTTTTTTCAATTGTTTTCATTGAAGATACCTGTTATGCTTGTTTTGGAGTGCCGTCATCTTCTGGACAACATCTAATTGGATGCTACCACCTTCTGGTCACTTTGTTCACCATGACTATTTGTTGGATTCAATATTATATTTTTCATGTCTATCCTCTATCACTGATACATTTTTATTCATATTATTTTCTTTCTTTCTTCACTTTAAAATCTTTTCTGATATTATTTCTTCCCTCACTTTATTTTCTAATTCTACCAATACCTTTTCTTATCTCAATATAGTGACTTATTTAATTTGGTATTGAGTTGATCTTCTTAATTTTTTTTTGGTATTAAGCAATACATTCTAAATTTTTCTTCTGGTTCCTAGTGTAAATCATTTTCAGAAATATTGTTCTGTGTATGTTTTTAGTAATATATTAATCTTCTTTGTTGTTGCAAAACATTTACAACAGTCCCATGCTGTGGTGTGTTTTTTATTCTTTTTGGGAAAGTTCATTCAAGGTTACTATCTTTCATTAAGTCTTTTTTGTTAATCTGGGAAATACCCGAATCCATTCCATCTCCATATCTGGATTAAAACCTGCAATTTCACCACCATCTTATTCTGAATTTTTTCCTTTTCCTTTCCTTCGGTGCTTTGAAATAGCTCCAACTATGCCAAAGATATTTTAAAAATAAATGACTTACTTCACAAAAATACAGATATCTATATATTTGTGGAAAAGGCTGATTGGCTTAGGTAAAATTGTTACTAATTATGCAATTTGTACTAAATGGAATTTAAAAATCAATGGTAAAACCCAGGAAACTTGTAAAAGACCTTAGATTTAGAAATATTTGCTTGAGGCAATTCGCTAGGCTTCTGAGGGCGAATATTTCAAATCATGTTATTGCTACTGCAGTCTCTCTTCATCACCATACTAAAGGTGTCTATAAGCCATTATTTCTTATCACAAAAGCTGCCAATATAAAAATCAAAGCACAACAAATAGCAAAACACACTGTGTCTCCTGCTGTAAAACCTGCTGTGGATGCAGATGTGTGTCCACTTTGAAGTGTCAAGAACTAACCAGAAATTTTGAAATGTTTGTGAATAGATGCTTAATTTTACCTAAAACCAAATAAGCAATACTGTAGTTGATTCGCTTATAAAAGGTAACCTATTATTGGCTTACAACCAATAAATGATTATGTTATAAAAGGTAATCATTCATTGGATTACAACCAATAAATGTTCTAAGATATACAAAAAGCAGACTTCCTATCACAAAGGAAACTTTATTAGAAATCTCATTCTAAGCTCCTATTCTTAGAATATTATGATCACAACAATGCAGAATCAACAAATACAAGTGGTTTTTTTTCTGAGTGTCTGAGTTTTTATGTCTTCCAAAAATAAGGTATAAATTCTAAAAACTGAAATCTTTTCATTGATTTGCAAGTACTTAACAATAAAATGTTTGAAAGTGACTCTCAAACTTGTATGGAGAGGAAGAGTATTTACATGCAAGGACAAAGAAGGAAACTATATATAAGAAGATGAAGTCAAATATACAGAATGTGTTGGAATTCACAATCTGGGATAAAAATAACTGGCACCTTAGGTCACTAGATAGTCTATAGCCAGAGCAACTAGAACTGTATGGACGTCAAGAGAAGACTCCTACCCCACAGACTCAACAGGAGCCAGAGGCATCACTTTCACCAGCACTGCACAAGCACGCTGGTTGGTTTCCACACCTCTCTGCCAGCAACAACCGTAAAAACTGTTACCTGTCTGATGATAAATAAAATTAAAATAGTATGGATTTTTTTATTTTGAATTTTCCTAACTACGAGTGGATTTGAATATCTTAATATGTTTGGACTATTGTACTTCTCTTACATAGAATGTCTACTTATAATCATCTGCCTATTTTTCTATTGAGTTATATAACTTTCTATATATTAAGACATTAATATTCCTGTATTATCCCCATTCGTCTCTGGGTTTCTGTTCATGATAGAGGTCTCCATTGTGTGTGTGTATATGGACGTGTGTGTGTATAATGTGTGTGCATTTGTGACTGTGTTGTGTGTGGATGTGTATGTGTACTCCCTTGGTTTTTCTTTTTTGCAGAGGGCTTTTTTAATTTTCATTTTGCTTTGTTTGTTTTTTCACTTCACTTTTTATACTTAAACTGTTAATATTTCTGCAATACTTTTTACAGATAGTTTAACTGAAGATCCACTTTTATTGTTTTCTAGATGGACGGTCAGTTGTATTGGCACTATTTCTCAAATAATTTTTTTTCACCATGTTGTACTATGAAGTTTACCTTATGTTATATTCTCAAAAGTACTCAGATGTGTTTCTAAATTCTTGTTTATATTCCTTTTTATTTTTCTATTCTTAAACCAAAACAATATTCTCATTTCTCATGAGAGAAAATTTTCCCTTGAGTCCTGATAATGTATTTTATGCACATTTTGAATAATTTTATTGAATAAAGAATCCAGTAGATGTCTTAATTTACGTATCAATTTAGAAGATTTAAATTTTATGATAGATCTTTCCGGTCAAGATTACATCTGCATTTCCATTTCTTCAGCTTTTTATTTTCTTTCATAAGATATTCTATTATAGTATTGTGCAAATTGAATAAGTCTTTGAAACTTTCTTTCTAGCTTTTCCTGAGCATTGTATAGTTATAGCACATTATCAGAATCATCTCCATTTCTAAATGTAGGTAAGCAGAAAATCTTTTTAAACTTATTTTTCTGGTGTTCATACATCTTACAAATTTTCTGATTAATTTTGCTATATTTGTTTTACTTTAATAGCTTGAGTTTTCTTTGCACACAAAGATATAATCAAAAAGATCATTTCTTTTTTCCAATGTTTTTGCCTATTATTTTATTTTCTTCTCTCTTTGCACTTGATAATGATGTTGGCAGCTGCTAACCCTGTCTGCTTCTTAATAATAACTAAAATTGCTTTATTATTTGGCTGAAGTAGATAAAAACATGCTGCTTTTGCTATTTGGTTAAAATCCTTTATTATATTTAAACAATTTTCTTCTATTGTATTTTATTTCAAATATTTCAAGGTAAGAATTATTTAACTCTATCAAAGACTTTTTCTCACCTAAATATGCAATCTGAGCCAATATTTGAAGCTTACATGTCACTTACAATCTTCAGAATTTTGAAAAAGGATGGCACATATCAATTTTCAGAAAACAGCTATTGTTGTTATGAAGATTTTCACTTTAATCAAGGATATCTGTGTTTTGTTTGCCACATAATATTAATCTTAGAAAAATGTGTGCATTTCTGCAGTAGAAATCTACTCATCTCAAAACATGTCCTCAATGACAAATTTTCATGATAAATTTGTAATAGTGTTGCAATGTCTAATTGCATTGATTTACATCCCAGTCGCATTTTATATCTCTTGATCTTACAGTAAATTTAACATTCTGATTACTGGTACTGCTTCTCCTGTCTTCAGAATATCCCAAGTAGTAATTTTCAGACTTATTTTCAAATCCTTGCTTGTCAGCATTTGCCACAATTAGAATATTGCAAATATTTAAGGAATACTGTTTTGTTTTTTGTTTTTTTCTATTTTGGAGCCCTTCTTTCATTTTAGTTACAATTATTTCCCAATGAAAATTCATTTCCCTTGCCTCATGCCAAGATTGCAAAAATTAGTTTTCCTAAATTGGTTGTTCTACTTTCAGGATTTAATGTCTTTATAGAAAATTTTAATTCAAAACTAAACTTAAATATGTTATGATTTTTCATAGCATTTTTCATTACTATAAAACTTTTTAGGTTCTTTTTAGTCCCATTAAGTATGGTTACTTCCCCTACGAAATATAGTGACTGAAGTGCTATCCCAGCTTCTCACTATGGATCCCAGGCAACTTTCTATAGCTTGTCTGTAATCAAGTTTCTGATAGCCACTAGTCTTTGCATCTTTAAAAACTACATTACATTTCTCACTCTCAGACTAATTTACGATTTTTTTTGGCGGGGGTAGGAACGGAGTTTCGCTTTTGTTGCCCAGGCTGGAGTGCAATGGCGCCATGTTGGCTCACTGCAACCTCCACCTCCCAGGTTCAAGCAATCTTCCACCTCAGCCTCTCAGGCAGCTGGGATTACAGGCACCCGCCACCATGCCTGGCTAATTTTTGTATTTTCAGTAGAGACAGGGTTTCATCATGTTGGTCAGGCTGGTCTCGAACTCCTGATATCAGGTGATCCACCTGCCTTTGCCTCCCAAAGTGCTGGGATTACAGGTGTGAGCCACCACTCCCAGCCTGCAAATGTTTATAAAGTGGAAAATCTTTTGAAATTAGAGAGACCTGTGTCAGAATCCTGGCTCCACCATTTATAAACTGAACAAACATAAGAAACGTTCTTCAACTAATTGAGCATCAACTAAAAATGTGTGTGATAATATGTACCCCAATCATTTGTTCAATTTCTATTAATTGAACGTTAATGAAGAAAACAAATACAAATCCTGAGAAAAATATCTTAATGTTAAACTAACTGCAATGTGATGAAAGCATTTTATACGATAAATTATTGCTGAGACCACTGCATCAATTCACTGGACCTGTAATCATAACATATATTCAATTCCACAATTATGGAAAGTGTGTATCTGCTACTTGAAAACATTTGGTTGGAAAACATTTTATTATTTTAAATGGAAAACAATTCAGATCCTTATTTCAAATTTTGATATCACTGAAAAGATTAGTATCGTAGGAAAAGAGATCATGTTGGAGAGTATGACTATTTTGCTTATATTCATAATTTTAGATGTTACATCTGGAGATTTAAGAAAATATAAACGTTAATTATAGAACATCTATCACTAATTACAGGGAATATGTCTTAGAGAGCCCTGTGCATAAATGTATTAATTAGTCTCTTAAAACCCTGATTACTGCTTTCCCTTTGCAGCCTCCCATAGAGCAAAGAAATTCATTATAATGAAGAGATCTTACAAAAATTCACATTATGCAAATTGCCTTTGGAAATACTATGAAATGTGAACCTCCCAAAAACTTTGAGAAGATATTTTATCCCATGTTATATGTAAGAAAACTGAGTTTTAGGGAGCAATTGTGTTACTAAACCAAAGTAAGAAAAGAAATAAGTAGCAAAGAAATATGCCATTGAGGACATAATCCTGGCAAATGATCATCACCTCAACTGTCCTTGAAGAGTTACCAGAATGAGATGACTGTTTCCCAGGGCAACTGAACTATTACCATATTATATCTCCTAATCTCTCTGCATCCTAGTGTGAGTAGGTTGCTATATCCCTTCAAGAACTGAAACAGACCATATTCATTATAGCATTAATCCATGAACACATTTATGAGTTCCTCTGCAATGGCTTTACTAATCTTGTTCCTCTTTTCCCTGCTTTGAGTTGCATTTTCTGTACAGATCCCAGAAATCCAGAAATACTGACTCTAACAGTAGGTAGATGCTTCAAAGCTCACTTTGAACGTGATATACTCCTTCCTAACTCTGCAATAGAATCGAGCATAATTTTTTCTTTTTGGGTCACATTATTCTTATTCATGTTGCCCTGACCCAACCTTCAATTATTTTTATTATAGAATCACTAAATTACAAAGTAGAAGTGAATAATGTGAATGAATTAATTAAGCCCAAGTTTTGAATGCACATATTTACTCAGACTTTTCTAACTGAAGATGCAAATTCTTCAACAACTTCAGGATAGAAATGTTTACAAGACAGCCTATTCCAATTTCACACTATTCTAGCCTTTAAGAACAAGTTTCTTTGTTTTTTGCTTTTTTTTTTTTTTTTTTTTTTTGAGACAGGATCTCACTCTGTTGCCCAGGCTGGCGTGCAGTCGTGCGATCATGGCTCACTGCAACCTCAACCTCCCAAGCTCAAGTGACCCACCCACCTCAGCCTCCTGAATAGCTGGGACTACAGGTGTGCACCATCATGCCTGGCTAATCCTTGCATTTTTTTCATAAACATGATATTTTGCAGAAAAAACAATTTATCTTGTAAAATTTATTTGTCTTTAAATTCTACCCATTGAATCTTGTGGTCTTCAGTGGAAACACAAAGCAGAATAAACCTAATTTTCTGTCTCACACATACACACAAGAAGTCTTTGAAAAATGCCAAACAACTTAAACATAAAACAAGCATGAAACAGAGTACAGAGATAAACTCATTTACAAGCAATAACGGAGAATAGAGGTGGCAACACCAACCAATGACAAAGGGTTTAGTAGGTGGTGTTAAAGAAGCTGGCTTAATTCAGTGAAAAGGGAAACTGGAGCACCGCATATAAAGGTAGGCTCCAGCTGGACTAATGATCTGAGTGTGAAGTGTAAAACTTTAAAAATAATAAAAGAAAATGTAGCATATCTTTGACATAAAAATAAGGTAGATCTTCTCAAAAAATAACAAATCATAGATTTAAAATGTTTGTTCAATTATGCACGATATGAGCAAAAATAAATGATAGTTTTGGCGATATTTGCAGTGTCTAAAAATGACAAGGAAATTTATCAAGAATATACAATGAAGTCCTACAAATCAGTAAGAAAAAGACAGAAATCTCAATGGAAAAATGGGCAAAGGATATGGAAGAGAAACCACAAAGGTTAACACATACTGGAAGAAATGAAAATGTTCAAACCCGTTAGTAATCAGAGATATGCAAATTAAAACAGCAAGATAACTTTTTACTTCTCAAAAAAACATTAAAAGGTGATATAAAACAATATTGGCACATGTTTGAGGACATATAAGCTGCAATTTGGCAGTTTGGACTGATGCAGACATCCTGGAGACTAACCTGATGGTACTTACTAAAATAAAATATAAACACATCATTTGTCTCAGCAATTTACATTTTGGATTGATTCTCATAGAAGCCCATGGAGGACATGTTCATTGCACCAGTGCTGTGCTGAAGAGGCTGGGTGTGATTTAAGTGTGCATCCCTGAGATACTGAATGGACAAAATCTTGTGTATTAACCACATGGAGTACCAACCAACAATTAGAAATGATAGTTTAAATCTACACATAATAGCATAAATGAGACTTTCAACACAAATAGCACTGAGAGAGAAAAGGTCTTCAGAGGATATAAAATAACACCATTTACATAGATTTAAAATATTTAATAAAATGACCGACTTTCTTGGGACTTTGAAAACATGAATAAGGATGGTTGCATATGAGATAAATTGCAATATGGCTATAAATGAGAGATGAAGGTGGAAACCAAAAAGAAATAAAAGAGAATAAATAAATTATTATGTTAGCAAAATATTAAAACACATAAAGATCCATGCGTGTTCAAACAATAACATTATATGAATAGGGGAGTATATTAATCCTCTACATTTCAAGAAAAAAATTAGTGAAGACATCAGTTGTGCACCTGCCCTAACTAAAATTGATGTAAGGACATATATTAATTTACCTAAGATTTTGCTTGCTCAGCCTTTTGTCCTTTCCTCTTGATCCCCAAGACCTATAAAATTTGGGCACACATTCTTGGCTGACTAGCACAACCCCAGTCCACAACCCCCTTTTTTTTTTCATTACACCCATCTTCAGATAAGAGTGGCCGCAGAACACATGTGTCCAAACAGGGCAGTCAAAAGTCTTCCAGGAAGTGTTCACCTTCCCCACAATGAAGGAAAAAAGTTTTAAAAGGCCTGATGTTCATCATTTATCCTTAGTCGTGCAGGATGTTGGTCATACACAGCAACCACTTTGAAACCATGAGTATGAAAGTCACACAGCAGGAGTGGGGAGTGGGAAGACAAAAGGGTCCTGATGTTTTCTGACTTCCTTGAGCATTTGTAGTAGTCTTATCTGCTTGGTGCAATATTTCTTGTTTTATGTATTTTGAAAGCTATTAACATTAAATTAATAATGTTGCCTCTTAATTCCCGTGACTTAAGCCCAGGACAGCCAGTCATTTCAGGACTAGTGCATTAACCTCGTAAGTAGATTCCTTTTCTCACTAATCTCCTTATTTTAGTCCTTTGGTCATGCATATTATAATATTTTAGTGTGATGTTTGTGTTTGTGTTTAGATATGAATGTAAATAATTAACATACAAAGAATTTAGAAAATACGTAAAACAGCCAATATTTGGATTCAACCAATAAAATATTATCTTATTTTAAGTTGCCATCACCCATCTTGTAAGGAAGCCACAAACCCTGAAACTAATGCTGATTCTGACATGAGACCAGTTTTCCTACTGAACAAGGCTTTTTATTAAGAAACTTCCATTTTTATTCCCTTGTAGTATGCACCAATTACGTGGCCCTCCTGTGCTTTTTCAGAAATCCACAATACAAAGACAGAGAAGATGATGTAAAAATTTACAATGGAAAATTAATCAGAATAAAATCTTCTGTCTTCAGTGATGTGATGGAACTACTCAGTCTCCATCCACTGCAAACAGCTTCTTGTATGTTCATTCAGATAGTTAGTGGACCATAGTTAATCTTTACTTAGATGTGAAGATAATGGGTAGGGGAGATTTCAACTGGACTTGATCTTGGAGAGGTCATCATTAAGGCAAGGATCATCTGTGGTGATGATTAGCAGCAAGAGGAATAGCATCTTCTGTAGCAAAATGGTCGACAGCCCCAGCAGCCAGAGCTGTATTTACAGCCGTAGGGAGAGCCGAATCCATATCCAGAGCCATATCCACAGCCATAGCCAGAGGCAGAGCCATATCCACAGCCATAGCCACAGCCAGTTCCATATCCAGAGCCATATTGACAGCCGGAGCCATATCTACAGCCAGAGCCATATCCACAACCATAGCCACAGCCAGTTCCATATCCACAGCCATAGCCAGAGCCAGAGCCATATCCACAACCATAGCCAGAGCCAGAGCCATATCCACAACCATAGCCACAGCCAGTTCCATATCCACAGCCATAGCCAGAGCCAGAGCCATATCCACAGCCATAGCCAGAGCCAGAGCCATATCCATAACCATAGCCACAGTCAGATCCATATCCAGAGCCGTATTGACAGCCAGAGCCATATCCACAGCCATAGCCAGAGCCAGAGCCATATCCACAGCCATAGCCAGAGCCATATCCACAGCCATAGCCAGAGCCAGAGCCATATCCATAGCCATAGCCACAGCCAGATCCATATCCAGAGCCGTATTGATAGCCAGAGCCATATCCAGAGCCAGAGCCAGAGCCATAGCCATAGCCATAGCCAGAGCCATAGCCATAGCCAGAGCCAGAGCCATATCCATAGCCATAGCCACAGCCAGAGCCATATCCATAGCCATAGCCACAGCCATAGCCATATCCATAACCATAGCCAGAGCCATATCCACAACCATATCCAGAACCACAATCATATCCACAGACAGAACCCCAGGCAGAGCCATATCTGCATATGTCCTCTTAGATCTGCCTTTGCTGCATCCCAACGTTTTGGTATGTTATGCTTTTATTTTCGTTTGTTTCAAGATATCTTTAGTTTTCCTTTCTTTTTATTCTTGACTCATTTGTTGTTTATGATGATGTTGTTTAGTTTTCATATATCTGCACATTTTCCAAAATTCCTTCCATTATTGATTTGTTGATTCAAACCATTGTGGTTGGAAAAGATACTTAATATAATCACAGTCTTCCTAAATATATTAAGACCTGTTTTGAAACACATTTCAAAACAACAAAAGAAAACTTAAATATGTTAAGACTTCTTTTGAAGCATGTTTTCTGTGTTTTGAGCAGAATTGTATTCTGCTGCTGTTGGATGAAATGTCCTATATACGCCTATTAGGTCCATTTGCTCTAAAGTATAGTTCAGATCTAATGGTTACTTACCTATTTTCTATCTGAATAATCTGTTCATTGATGAAAGAATAATAATAATAATAGTATAATAAAATACAATAATAAAATAATAGTAATATTACATTGTAAATGTCTCTTCAACTATATTAATATTTGCTTTACATTTTTAGGTGTTTGACATTGGGTACATATGTGTTTATAATTGTTATGTCTTCTTGATGAGTTAATCCATTTACCATTATATACTGACTTTCTTTTCCTTGTTTTACAGTTTTTTTTAATTCAAAGTCTAATTTATTTGATATATGTATATGGTCTTTTTTTGTTTCAATTTGCATGGAATACCTTTTTCCATCCTTGTTCTTTCAATCTATATGTGTCCTTAAAAGCAACGTGAGTTTCTTGTAGGCAACATTTAGTTGGGTCTTTGTTTATATATATACGGATATATATATATATGAATATATATACGAATATATATATATGAATATATATACGAATATATATACGAATATATATACGAATATATATACGTATATATATACGTATATATACACGAATATATATACGTATATATACGAATATATACGTATATATATACGAATATATACGAACATATATACGAACATATATACGAACATATATATGAACATATATATATGAACGTATATATGAATATATATATATGAACGTATGTATGAATATATATATGAACGTATGTATGAATGTATATATGAATATATATATGAATGTATATATGAATATATATATGAATATATATATGAATATATATATGAGCATTTTCTTGTTTTCTGGGTGTTTTGTAGATCTTTTCTTTCCTCCTCTCTGCTGTCTTCCATTGTAATTAGATAACGTTTTTCTACTGATATATGCATTCCACAGTGAGTACTTCCTGGGATCCCTTCAATAACTGAAATAGATCCCACACATTATTGCAGTAATATCTTACCACTCTAATGAGCGCTTCTGCAAGGGTATTACTAATCTGTTGTCTTTCTTTCTCCTGCTTTGGAAACCATTTTCTGCATGGACTCCCAGAAATCATTTAAAACTTGATCTAACAGTAGGTTAGCCTCAAAACTCATGTGAAACCTTACATTCTTCTTCCTAACTCTATAATAAAATTGAGTATTATTTCTTGGCATTATAGGCCATATCATTCTTATCCAGCTTGCCTACAACTAACATTCAATGATCCTTTACATATACAATCACAGAATTTCAAAGTAGAAGTGAATGATGTGGATAATTTAATTAGGTCCACGTTCAGAGTGCAGAATTACTCAGAATTTTCTAGGGGGTGGAGATACAAATTATTCAATAACTTCAGGATAGGGATGCTAACAAGACAACTTATTCCATCTTCATACTGTGTTAGCCATTTGAAAAGTGTCTTATTTTTTTAAGTCTTCCTGTCTTTAAATTCTATCCATTGGACCTAGTTGTCTTCAGTGAAAAAACAAACCAGAATAAACCTAATTCTGTATCACACATATACCTTCCCTGCAAAACCTTTTAAAAATGCTAAGAAATATAAACATAAATCAAGCATAGTACAAAGTCCAGAGACCAACTCTTGTATATGTGATAAAATCATAGACTAACGATGGTCACCACCAATCAGTTACAAATGGTGAGCTGTTTAGTAGGTGGTGCTGGAGAATCTAGCTTAATATAATGAAAAATGAAACTGGACCACCATATATAGAGGTGGACTCCAGGTGGATTAATGATCAAAGAGTGAAATGTAAAAATTTTCAATTGACAGATGTAGAATATCAATGAAATAAAGATAATATGTATCATCTTTTAAATAACTAAAAAGTCAGAAATTACAGTTTGCAATGTGGTGCAATTATGCACACTATTAACAAAAATAAACAAATGACAGTTTGTGAGATTTTTCCAGTGTCAAAAATAACAAGGGAATTTTATTAGGATTATACAATAAATGCCTACAAATCAATAAGAAAGAGACAGACACTTCTGTTTAGAAAATGAGCAAAGGATGTGGAAGAGAAAACATTAAGGATAACACATATGGAAAGAAAATTGTTCACACCCATTAATAATAAGAGATACATAAATTAAAACAGCAAGATGATATCTTTGTCACTGTGCAAACAAGCAACATTAGCATGTTAGAGTAAACAAATATTGTTACATATGTGAGGACAGATTTTGGGATTGACTTTCATAGAAGCCCATAAGGGTCACGTGTTCATTGCAGCAATGTTGTGCTGAAGAAGAGCTGGGTGTGATTATGTGTGCATCACCGAGATAGCAAAAGGCAAAATCTTGTGTATTAGCCACGTGAAGTATCATATGGCAATGAGAAATAATAGTCTAAATGTACACGTAGTAGCATAAATGAATCATTCACTGCAATTGTGCTGAAAGAAAAGGGGTTTTAAAAAATATATATAATAATACAATTTAAATAGGTTGAAAATATATAGTAGAATGGCCAACTTTTGGGGGATACTGACAAGATGAAAAGGGGTATTGCATATAAAATAATAAATAACAAGGTGTTTATGAATGAGAGATGAGTGTGAGAATGGAAATAAAAGATAAATGTAAGAGAATAAATAAATTACTCTGTTAGACAAAAAAAAATAGAAAAAGGGAAAAGAGCTATGTGTGGACAAACAGTAATATGATATAAATAGGACAGTATATTAAGCTCAAACCTCTACACTTGAAGGAAAAAAATGAGTGAAGTCATAAATTGTACCCCTTCCCAAACTCAAATTGCTGTAGGAACATATGGCCATTTACCTGAGGTTTTGCTTCCTCAGTCTTTTGTCCTTTCCTCTTGATCCCAAAGACCTACATACTTTGGGCACACATGATTGCTGACTAGCAGAACCCCTGAACACCTTTTTGTTCTTTACACACCTTTAGCTAAGAGTGGTCACAGTACACATGTGTACAAACAAGGGCAGTCAAAATTCTTCCAGGAAGAGTGTCCCTTCCCAAATAAGAGGACAAAGTTTTAAAAGACCTGATGCTCTTCATCATTTGTCCTTACTTGTGCAGAATGTTGGTCATACACAGCAACCACTTTAAAACCATGAGTATGAAAGTCACACAGAAAGGGTGGGGAGTGGGAACATAAAAGAGCCCTGATCCTTTCTCACCATCTTGAGCACTTGTAGGAGACTTATCTGCTTAGTCTAAGATTTCTTGTTTTACATATTTCAAAAGCTATTAACATTAAATTAATATTGTTGCCTCTTAATTACCTTGACTTAAGCTCAAACAAGATAGTCATTGCTGAACTAGTGCATTAACCTCATGAGTAGATCCCCTGTCTCATTCTTGGTTCTATTCTAATTCTTTTTTCATGCATATTTTAAAATTTTGAGCTTAATATTTGTGTTCATGTTTAAATAAAAATGTAAAGAGTTAACATACAAGGAATTAAGAAATATGTAAAACACAAGTATTTGGATTCAACCAATAAAATAACGTTGTCTTATTTAAAGTTGTGGTCACACAGCTTTTGAGGAAGCCACAAAACCTCAAATTAAGGAGACATTAAGGAGACCAGACTTCTTAGTGAGTAAGGCCTTTTATTAAGAAAATTCTATTTTTTTTCCATTTTAGTATGCTCCAATTATATAGTCCTCTTGTGTTTCAGCAAATAGTCATGGCACAAAGATTCAGAAAAAGATGTAAGAGCTTACATTAGAAAATTACACTAGAAAATTAATCAGAATAAAATCTCCTCTCTTCAGCGATGTGATGAAACTACTCAGTCTCCATCCACTGCCAACAGCTTCTCTTATATGCATTCAGATAGTCAGGTGACCATAGTCAACCTTTACTTAGATGTGAAGATAATGGGTAGGGGAGATTTCAATTGAACTTGATCTTGGAGAGGTCATTGCAAAGCCAAGGATGACCTGTAGTGATGATTAGTAGCAAGAGGAATAGCATCTTCTGTAGCAAAGTGGTCGGTAGCCACAGCAGCTAGAGCTGTATCCACAGCCATATCCACAGCCAGAGCCGTATCCACAGCCATAGCCACAGCCAGTTCCATAGCCAGAGCCATATCTACAGCCAGAGCCGTATCCACAGCCATAGCCACAACCATATCCACAGCCGGAACTCCAGCCAGAGCCATATCCACAGCCCCCACAGCAGTTTCTGTAGTAGTTGCAACACATGATTTCAGGAGGTTAGATTTCAGTTGAGGTGTAGGAGGATATTTCTGAAGTGTGACTGTCCTCTACTCTTCTAAGACCTTTATATACTTCCAGGGATGCATGGGTCATCCTCACATGGGCTCTATTTGCTCATTTTATAATCATCTGCCTAAAATGAGCTCATTCTGTGTACATCTACTTTCTTTGGAATTCATAATTTGCTTATGACTTCCCTAGGAATATTTTTATGCCTGAAAAGAAAACAAATATACAAGTTCTAAACACACAAGCTTATACAACCATAATTTTGTTTTCCATAGTTTCATTTCATAGCCATGACATAACACATCACCAAAATATGTTTGACCTATAAATGTATGTTTATCTTTCTGTTCTTGTAAGGTCTTGAGAATTATCTATTTAATAAGGAGTTCTCACTGCTCTTAATACCATCATCATCATCATTTCTTCTTATTCTTTCCTAATACCTTGGTGTTCTTTTCTTATCATAGTCACTAAAAATTACTAAATCATGGTTTTTGGACAAAGAATTGGGTATTTCCACGTGCTACCTCAACTTCTTGAAACCCTCTCCTTCTCTCTGAAGAAAAGTTTGACCATTCCCCCCTTTTCTAGGCAGTCTATGACCTTCTCTTGCTTGAAAAAAAAATTTTTGTTAAACGTCTGACAGGTCAGTTATGTAATATGTGTCATTTAAAATTTATAGAATAAACTTTTGATTTTTCCATTTAAAGTGAGGGGAATTCCTTGGTTCACAACTTTGTTGTTGATGTCCAGTTGTTAAATTCTGTTCTTAAACACAGGTTTGTTTGTGTTTAAGAACCGAATTAACAATTGGATATCCATAATAATTGGACCACTCTGATGTTTATGCTGTACATCGGTGCTTTCTACTGAATAATAATTTCCAGCATATCCTGGACCCAAAACTGAGGTGGAGCTTCATTGGATATCCTTAACCCACACTGCTGATACCTTCTACTGCCCTTCTGTGCCACACCCAAAAATGCAGGAGCTCTGTTTCCTCCTGCAATGTCCCTGCTGCATCCTCTCCTGAGAAAACTTGAAGCCATGCTCACAGTGAAGGAGAAATACTTAAAGGAATCCCATCTATCAGCACAGAGAATATACTGAAGGATGAATTAGATGCTGAGGGGCCACAAATTGATAATCAGTACAATGTCCTCCATGTTCCAGAGGCTCTGTAGTAGAAATAGCTTTCCCTGGAAAACAGATTGGTTAATTTCCTGACTGAGTCTTTTCCTAATTATATGACCATGGAAAATGTCCTCAACTTAGATGAACCTCAGTTTCTGCAACTGCCAAATGGGAATAAAAATAATTACTTTTATTTAAAATTTTATTAAGAGGCCTACAGAAAATACACAGGCAATATAAGTAGTGTAGCAATGACCCTGATACATGGTGGAGACAAAACTTTTTCTTTCTTTTCCCCTTTTCTTTTGCCCAAATATAAGCATTCCTAAACAGTAACAGCTTTTCAAATTTCTGTATATACTTGTATTGATCTATTTGTTGTACTAAAATTTTGAGATTTGAATTTTAATTTTGCTATTTTTAAAGTATGTGATATACATATGTGTAAATATACATATGTCAAGTAATGTTTTCGTAATAAACTTTCAAAAGTGAGCAAATGCTCTCAGAAAATGAACTTCCATGTAATTGACCTCAGTTTACCTTGCCTGAAGCATTTTATACAATAATGTTTTGTAAAAATACAGAATCAAGGAACACATCACAGGGCTACCAAAACAGTGTGGTAGTGGTATAAATATAGATAAATAGATCATTGAAAAAGAAGAGAGAACCCGGAAATAAAGCCATATTATTTATAGCCAGCTGTTCTTTGACTAAGTCAACACGAACATACATTGGGGAAAGGATATCCTCTTCAATAAATGATGCTGGGAAAATTGGATTGCTATATGCAGACGAATGAAACTGGACCCCATCTCTCACCATATACAAAAATCAACTCGAGATGTATTAAAGACTGCAATGTAAGACCTGAAACAATAAAAATACTGGAAGAAACCCTAGGGAAAACTCTTCTGAACACTGGTCAAGGCAAAGAATTCATGACAAATACTTCAAAAGTATGCAATGAAAACAAAAATAGATGAATGGGACTTAATTAAACTAAAAAGCTTCTTCACAGCAAAAGAAATAATTAACAGAGTGAACAGACAACCTGAAGAATGGGAGAAAATATTTGCAAACTATGCATCTGACAGGGGACTAACATTCAGAATGTACAAGAAACTCAAACACTTAAACAACAAAAAAAACCACAAATAATTTCATGAAAAAAGTGGACAAAGAACATGAATAGACATTTTCCAAAGCAGACATCCCCTTTTAATTTTTGAGTCACACTTACATTTATTACTTCATTGATTCTTATAAAAACAATGTAAAGTAAGTTGTGTTTTTTATTATTTTCCAGCTTTATTGAGGTATCAGGGACAAAGATAATCATATGAGCTTAAGTTATACAATATGATGATTTGATATACATATTTACTGAGAAATGATTGACACAATCAAGTAAGTTACCACAATAATCACATAATTAGCATTTTGGTTTTGTTTTATGGTGAGAACAATTAAGATCTCCCCTTAGCAAATTTCGAGTATACAATAGAGTATCGTTAACTATAGTTAGTTACCGTGTGGTAAATTGTATCTCCAGAACTTATTCTTCTTGTAACTGAAGATTTGTACCCTTAAACTAACATCTTCCCATTTCTTCCACCTCCCAACCCCTTGGCAACCACCATTCCACATTCTGTTTTTTGAGTTCTACATTTTAGATTCCACATATAAGTAAGATTACTCAGCATTTGTCTTTCTCTGGCTGACTTGTCACTTAGCATAATGCCTTCCATGTTTATCCATGCTGTTGTCAATGGCAGGATTTCTTTCCTTTTTATAATATTTCATTACAAATATACACCACAATTTATTTTTTCATTCACTCATTAGTGAACAGTTAGGTTGTTTCCATGTTTTGGCTATTGTAAATAGTGCTGCAACAAACATGGGAATGCATATATCTCTTTGAGCTACTGATTTTGTATCTTTGACATATAAACCCAGAAGTAGGGCTAGATCGTGTGGTAGTTCTAATTTTCATTTTTTAAGGAACCTCCATATTGTTATCCATAATGGCTGTATGAATTTATGTTCCCATCAAAAACAGTGCACAAATGTTTCTTTTATTGCACTTCCTCGCCAACACTTGTTATCTCTTATCTTTTTTATAATACCCATCACACCAGGTATGAGGTGATAGCTCACTGTGATTTTGATTTGCATTTCTCTGATGATTATTGATGTAAAGCAACTTTCATGTACCTAATGGTTTTTGTTTTTACACACGTCGCAGATGTGAAAACAGAAGCCACAGGTAGTTGTCACTTGCCCAAGGACTCTCAGCTGTTTAGTGGTAGAGTCAAATCGATTTAACTCCTGCAAGAATATTAAAGCTCAGGAAGGACCCATAAATTATTTTTTCCTTTAGTTTTTCAAATGGAAAATATGCACTTCATTTGACTAAAATTGCCAATATTTTGCCACTTTTGTCTTACACCTCTATCATCTGGATTTTCTTTCTTTGTGATCTTTACAATCCTAGCCAAAATGCCTAAAACTCTATACCATCTTCTAGTACTTTCATAATTTAACCTTCATGTGCAGAACTTTAATCAATGTGGAATTTCTTATGTGTATAGTGTGAGGTAGGTATTTATATCATTGTATCTAAACAGATGGGAGATTGATCAATCCCATTGCTGTGATTTAAATGTTTGCCCCCTTCAAAATTCATGTTGCAACTTAATTGCCATTGTGAAGGTATTGGGAGGTAGGACCATTATGAGGTGTTTAGGTCTTGAAGGCTCCACCCTCATAAATGGACTAACACCATTATCACAGGAGCAAGTCTGTTATTGCGGGAATGGGTTCACCCCGTCTTGCTCTCTCTCTTGCCCTCTCTTGGTCTTTCACCATGTGATGCCTTTTGCCATGTTTTGATGCAGCAGGAAGACTCTCACCACTTTGATGCTGGATTTTCCAGCCACCAGAACTATGAGCTAATAAATTTCTGTTTATCATAAATTACCCAGTCTCGGGTATTCTGTTGCAGCAGCATAAAACAAACTAAGACACACATTTACTGAATAAACTATCCCAGATGGAAAATTTGTCTACACAGGGACTTTGCTCCTCCCCTGAATTCTGCAGCACTGGCAACTGTGGTCCTATTGCCTCAGGCTGATCTACTCCTTATACCTGGATAACATGGTTAGACTTCCTAATCTTTGCTAGTGGCCTAACATGACTTCTCTTTCTAGCCAGTGTCCTTACCTGGCCAGTTGGTTATGATTGGCCCTCTAGGACAACACTCTACAATAGAAATATACCATGAAACACATTGAGAAATTTAAATTTTCCAATGTCCACATTTTAAAAAGATAAAAAGAAACAGGTGAATTAATTTTATACCATATTGTATTCACCCTAATGTCTCAAAATATTATCATTTAATATATAACAAATAATTTAAATGTATTTGATACTTTCATTCTTTTTTTTCTATTAAGTCTTTGATATCTACTCTGTATTTTACACTTACAGCGCATTTCATTTTGAATTATCCCCATTTTGAGAACTCAACAGCTGGCTAGTAGCACCATATCAGACAGTGCAGCTTACTCAAGAGACCTGATAATTCTTTTATGGAAGTGGACACTGATTAAAATTTCCCAGTGGGGCCTCCTACTCTTTCAATAAACTGACAGCTTATTTTCTTCTTTCCTTGAATTTCTTGGCCTTGAATTCCATTTTCCGTCTCTTGTAACTGACCAAATCTACCTCATCCTTTATGGCTCTGTTCCTATCATTCTTTGGAAGCAATTTCTGACACTTGTCGAGCCTTCTCTTTCCACATTCTGATTTAAGTTTCCCCCTTGAGCTCTTCTTGGTAACACCATCGTACCTACAAGCATACCTGCTATGTATGATTTAGTATTTTGTGCCCAGCTGAAGATTCTGAATTCTTAGAAGGGACTATGTGTTTTATCTCTCTGTCTCCATACCAATCACAGCACATAGCTGAAACATGAATCTTAATGTTTGTTAAAGAACAAATTTTACAATTTAGATTTTACAATTTAGAGCCTCTACAATATGTAATAATGTATCCCAAAAAAAGACTTTTGTGTTTTTTTTAAAGGAGCTTTGAAGCTTAAATCATTTTCCAACCACAGAAAGTATTGTGAAATATAAATAGTTTTTCCTTTCCTCCATAATGTGATTACATATGTGAATTCAAATATTCGTTTTTCCCAACCTCCACCAAACAGGCCACACCTACATGAGCATCTACACACACACACACACACACACACACACACACACACACACACAAACCTTCTCTAATTTTATCATCTCTGTCTCTGTTAACATTATCACCATTTTCTCATTGCACACAAGCTGAATGTCTCAAAATTTTCTTAAACTGAGATAATCACAATATTTCAGGTTTTGAAGATAAGTTAAGTGTTATCCACTGCTTGTAATACTATAATAACTTCAGAGTTCCAGACAGCACAGTTAGTCCTCAGATCTGACTCACAAATACTCCAGATGGGAAAGCTATCCTGCTCTTGGAAGAAACCCCTATTGTCCATCAGTCGGACAGATTCTATCCTGGACATAGATTTCCTCCTGGGCTGATATTGATTGTAGGGCTATCTTTCTTAGAGCCAGGCATTTTGTGGGGTCACCCAGCTCCAGGGACCTCAGAGAGCCAGACTTGGTGTAATGGTCCCTGTTGTGTGGATGAAACAGGGACACATTTATTACTGCTGATTATAACAAGTTTCTACTGAATCCAGAAGACTTTCTCTGTTGTAAGATTTCAGTGATAGAGTTTGGATGGTCTAGAACTGGAGGAAAGGACACTAAAATCAGAATCAAAGAAGCAGTAAACACTCCACATCAGAAAGTCAGCCAGGAAACTAGAACAGACCCTTTAATCTCATTTTTATGACCACCCCAATCTAAAAAGAACTCCATTAAGATACTAGACCTTGCTCTTTTCTAACTGAAAAATGTGTCATCACCTTCATCATACCCAAAACTTAATGAACTGCTGTCCCCCTTGGCATTTGCTACTGTCCTTTTTAGTCTTTCTTTGCTGCTGGAAATGTTGTATTATGAGCTCAAATGTCATAACCTCAAGATACTTCCCTGAGCTGTCTCTCCAGTACTTCAAACCTTAATCTCCTCTCCATTAAGCTGTTTCATTCCCTCTATAGCAATTATCTGTCTGAATTTGTTATAATTAGTTTTTGCTTCATTATTATTATTATTATTATTATTAATTATTTTAGACAGAGTTTTGCTCTTGTTGCCCGGGCTGGAGTGCAATGACGCAATCTTGGCTCACTGCAACCTCCATCTCCCAGGTTCAAGCGATTCTCGTGCCTCAGCCTCCCAAGTAGCTGGGATTACAGGCGCCCATCACCACGCCTGGCTAATTTTTGTATTCTTAGTAGAGACGGGGTTTCGCCATGTTGGCCAGGCTGGTCTCGAACTCCTGACCTCAAGTGATCCACCTGCCTCAGCCTCCCAAAGTGCAGGGATTAACAGGCATGAGCCACCACATCTGGCCTATTTTTGCTTCTTTAAATCTTCATCTGTTAGACTATAAACATTCTGAGAGCAGAACATTTGCTTATAATTTTTCTTCTGTGTCTTCAGGATGGTGTCTATTCAAAAATATTTAAGTGAATTAAATAGCATTTCTCAACCTCCATGTAAGCAAACATATATATTTGTACTTTTGTCAGATGTAGATACATTTGATAGTATATTTTTTCTTTGAACTTACCCTTTTTTAGGTTTTTATTTCCTCTTGCCTAACACTTGACCCTGACTCAAAATTTTCAACAATCCTGGAAGTGATCTCTCCTATTGCATTACTTTTTTTTGTGTGTGTGATGGAGTCTCAGTGTGTCACCCAAGCAATCTCGGCTCACTGCAACCTCCACCTCCTAAGGGTTCAAGCAATTCTCCTGTCTCCACCTCCTGAGTAGATGGAATTACAGGCACGCACCACCAAGCCCAGCTAATTTTTGTATTTTTAGTAGAAACAGAGTTTCACAATGTTGGCCAGGCTGGTCTCGAACTCCTGACCTCAGGTGATCCACCCACCTCAGCCTCCCAAAGTGCTGGGATTATATTACTTCTTTAAGCACTCAGGCTATATCTCCTCCCTGAGACTTTTGTCATAACATCCTGAATAGGTGTCACTTTGCCTCCCTTTCCCCCTCCAGCTCCATTCTAGACACTCAGTGCCATTTCCAAAGCACAGTTCTGAAATACTCTGTGATTTGTGCTTGGGTATGTGAGAACCTGAGCATGTGGGATATGAGAAGCAGGTAGAGAAGACATTATTTATGATGCAAGCATAAGAGGAAATAATTGCGTTATATCAAGGAAGTACCTAAGGTTCAGCCAACATACTGTTAGCCCAATTTTCAAGAGATTCCAAAACACCCCAAGAAAGAGTAATTCACAAGCAAGTACACAAAGATTTTTAGGAATAAAGAACCATTTTTATTACAAATGATTGACTTCCGCAACTGTAGATGTTATGATCATTAACACAGTCATAACAGAGAATCAGAGATTAAGGGAGCAAAAGATAACATTTGGAAAACAGTCAGATGACACCATGGATCCTATGGCCATGATTTCATTCAAAGAAATGTGAGGCTAGAGGTCGAAGATTCTGTCAAGCATGTAATTCTTGGATATAGAAATCTTGGAGTACGAATCCTTGAATCAGCATTATCTTCAGACGTGTCATTTTAGAAGCAAATGGTCCTCCGACAGTGATGTTTTAGCAGGAAGAATAGCATCTTCTAAAGCAAAATGGCCGGTAGCCACAGTAGCCAGAGCCAGAGCCATATCCACAGCCATAGCCAGTTCCATAACCACAGCCATAATGGGAGCCAAACCCACAGCCATACCCACAGCCATAGCCAGTTCCATAGCCACAGCCACAGCCAGAGCCAGAGCCATAGCCACAGCCACAGCCGGAGCCATAGCCACAGGAGTTGCCGTAGTAGTTGCAACACATGTTGTCAAGAGGAGAGAATTGAGATGGGTTTCAAGAAGATGCTTCTGAGGTGTGGATGTCTTCTACTTCCCTGAGACCTTTATATACTGTCAGTAATTGCCAAAGCATATCACTCATTCCCTGACTTAGGCAACAAATATTTAATCAATTATTATGTGCCAGTCACTGTTGACCATCAATAATATTTTGCTTAAAATGAGCCAATTATTTTGGAGACTCTAGTTTCATTTCAGGAACATCATTTTAATCTGCTCTGCCAAAGAACTGCCTCAATGAAATCATGTGCCCAAATATAAAGCTGATACTAATTTTCAAAATCTCCTATCAGTAAATTTATATCTTACATAACAAGTTTTGGGAGGATAATAACAAAATTTTATCCTTTTTTTCCTCTCTTTTTTCCTAAAATGTCTACCTCTACCCATAGGGAAGGAGACACTCCTATCTCCTTTCCTGAGTCATTACAACTTCTTGCCAGACTTCTTTCTCCAACTCACTCTGCACTTCCACACCTACCCCTTGTCCAACCTCCCTCAAATCCCAAGAAACATATTCACATCTGATCATTCAAAGCCAGAATGTATGCTATCTGCAAGTGCTTCCTACATTTTCCTTCCATCCACCAGGCAAACCAAGACCCTGGGGAGGCAGAGAAGCCCTCCTTTTGTCTCCCATTTCTTCAGCTATATAAGTAATTGTCATTGAGGAGCCTTTTTAAAACTAAACAGCTTCATTTGGATAAGGAAGTAAAAAAATTCATTCGACCAGAAACTCAGTTCTTTCCTCCAATACAGATTTCATCAAAGTTTTGCATGATGAAATACAGATACATTCCTAGAATTTAATAAACCATTTTTCTTCTCCTTTCACTACTATTCCTTGGACATTTACTTCAGAAGCTAAAGGATAGTGGACAATTTTAGGTTACTGACAGCAAAAGCCCACCATTAACAACTAACCCTTCTATGATATAAAGTAGCACAAAAATAAATTTTGTCCCGTTTCCATACACGCATTTCACACTACTCATTCAAAATTCTCAATTACCCACTTATTACAAGTTCTCAATCTTCTACAAAAATATTCATCGTGATTTTGAAATCCGAGGTGCCCTCCTTCTTCCCAACAATCCTCTCTATCACACTTACCTTTTCAAGATACAAAAGAGGAAAATTAGTATCATTTTTTCTGCCATTAGTATTTTTCTCATCACCCTCAATTATCAACCAAAAAAACCTTCTGTTTATACATCAAAAGTCAGATCTGGAATCACTTTCTACAGGATGCCTTTCCTCATTGCTACTGTGGATTACATTTTCCCTTCAGTTGGAAATCTTTCCTTTTTTTTCTGCTATCTGTCACTCGTCTCATCTCATTTCTCTGCTATGTTTAGTCCCTTAAAAAAAGCATAAATAGATCTCTGTCTCAATTTTTTCTTTTCCTTTAGTTTCTTTCTGTTTTTTCATCCTTGAAATTCAAAACTATAAATTCTACTTCACAAGTGGATCCTCTTGTTTGCTCCTATATGCAGACGAATATAATAGATTTGTCATGCTTTGGTGAAACTTTATCCTGTTTACTAATAAAAGCATGATATTCTTGAGGAAAGAGACTATACCTTTCACAGTAGAAATTCCAGGCAAACCTGAGACCCAATCCACATTTTACATAAGAGGAACTTAAGAGTCAATAGGAGTCAAAGACTAGACCCAAACTGAAGCCACTGTAGCTTCAATTTGGGTCTAGTCTAGATATGACTGTAGCTTCAATTTGGGTCTAGTCTAGGTAAGACTGTAGACATGATATTGGTGCCACAAAGAAAATTTTTTCTACTGAGGCTGAAAACATGGTCAGAACTCAGGAATTGGTGTTGAGCCATAAAATTTATACGACATTCCAAAATTGTCTAATGTGTATGGCATCTTTATTTTCTCTAATATTTTTACAAATTTTATCTTTATAGTCATAGCAGGGCCATGGTGATTCTGCAAGAGGATACCTGTAATTAGTGCTTGGACCTGTTACTTATGTATCTGTTGTATATGTATATATGTGTGTATTCATGTATAAAACTATATATATGTTACCATCCATTACCTCAACTGCAAATTTACATGAGCAAGCAACTTATCTCTCCACTTGCAGGATACAGAATATCCATCTGGTATACTGAAAGTACTTAGATAAGCAAAGGATTCATGGGAAAAAATATTTTTCAATAAACTTCAACTTTGCATTCCTATCACTAAAGGATTGAAACATTTATCCATCCATAATACAAATTAAGAGTAGAATCCCATGTCATTTATCAGGGTTCTTTAGACATTTATAATGACTGATGGTCCTTGTAATAATCCAGGTGAGTTAGAGTAGTGGGAAGTGATCACACAGACACCTGCTCCTAGTTATTGGTATTATAGGAAAGATACAGAACTTAGCAGAAATGAGATGCTATGCAGAACTGAGCAGCTTGCCTTGACCTGAGATTTCCCTCTCTCCTTGGTTCTTCCGTGGGGCAAACAGCTGCCAATAACATTCTATGTGCAGTATGGTCCTGTTGGAATTAAGTAAATATGCAAGCTCCTGCTCTTCACTTCCTTTTGCACTCCCGTTCACATGACCATACTGGAAGAACTTACACTGAGACACTATCAACTTCATTTAAGAGAATATTTACAAACTCTGAAGCTGACTGGTTCTTGAAGCAAACCTAGATGTGGAGAGAGATGAAAACAATGTCAGGGCTTCCAGTGCCTTGGTATCTTAATCAACAGTGCTTCCCAGCTTTCCTGTATCCTTGTATTCCTAAAGTCTACTCCTGAAGTTCTAACATCAGGTTTAATCCAAAGAATGAGACCACAAATCCATTTACCTGCTTCCTCTCTTCTAACTAAAATGCATTCAGTTTTCACTGAATTCACAAAGATTCACAAAGATTTCACTGATTCACAAAGAATCTGTGCTTTTTCTACATTGGGTTTCCTCATCTCCAGTTTTAGTTTTTAAATTATAATATGTACTTAAACATTTTTGTTGGTTGCTTGCTTTCTTAGGCATCCATTGAACAACTCAGCTGAATTCCACAAACACTAACTGGACTCATGCCATAGGAAAGATGTTGTCTTGGGAACTGAAAGTTTTCAAAGATAGATCACATGTGGTTTTTGACTCAGGGTCAAGCATCTGCACGAATAAAGTGGCTCCCCCACAAAATGATCTCTGTTCCTCTTAGGACCAACTTACCGGTTTACTGCCCCTACTTTAGGGCTCATTTCTTTCCACACTACAAGTAAAACAGACACAATGGAGCTAGTGCACATCCATATCAGTGGTTCTCAGTGATGGGTGTTTTTGCCCTCTCAGAGACACTTAATAATGTCTGGAGACATTTCACTTGTCACGACTTGGAGAGCGGGAGAAGTTACTGGCATTACTGGCATCTAGTAGTAGAAACCAGGGAAGTAGCTAATCCGAGAAGGCATAGAGTACTCCCCAACAGCAAAGAGTACTGAGGTCTAGAAACCCTGATTTATAGCTATACATCAATAAGTAGGCTTCTAAAACTACAGGTGTCTAATTGAAACTAATCCTTTCTTCTCACTTCATGCCCAGCATCTGACCCTTCGATCACCAAACATATAGTCCAAAAAGGTGGGTTTTTTCTTGTTTCTGGTTTGTTTGTTTGTTTTTAACTTATCTTACTTGTCTAGGTTTCATTTAAATCACCATTTTCAGAATCAGGTTGACTCTACACTTTTAAGTTATTTTTACTATAACAGCCACAAAATCCAAGTTGGAACAGAATACATACTCAGGAAGATCAATTCTTCTCCTGGGTACTCGAATTTGACAACAAAGGAATGAGTGGTGATCCAGCACTTTATTAAATGCCTTCAACAGGGATTTTCACAAAGCTGCCAATTTCATTTTCTGATAATCTTTATTATGAGACATTTTTCCTTCAGTCGAGAAATCTTCCTATTTTTTCTGCCATCGGTCACTGGCCTTATCTGATCACTCTGCTATGTTTCATCCGTAAAAATAAGCATAAAGAAAATAAATCTCTGTTCCAATTGTTTTCTTTTACCTCGGTTTCTTTCTTTTTCTATCATCCTTGAAATTCAAAACTATCAATTCTACTTCACATCATTCCCTGGAATAGACACTTTGCTTTTCAACACTACTGCCAATACTCACTTCCAGGACACAATACCCCTGAGTTATTGAAAAGGTCTTCTATCAAGATTGCATTACTTCTAATCCTTTCCACTCAGATCTCTGGACACTCTTTCATAAGGGCAGAAACTATCTATATTCCCTGAAAATCCAGCTCTGAATACATGTTTGGCACATAATTTGCACTCAATATTTCTCTACCATAAAAAAGATGATTAAGTCAAACATATGTTTCATTGTTTGTGTGACATTTATAAGCCATAAGATATTTGGATATATGTTTAAGTTCTCTGAATATCAGTTTCTTCTTTCTAAAATAGAATCTAAGCATTCTCACATCCTTTTTTATAGGTTACATGCCTATGCAGTGCTTTAGGCCAGGAACTGTATTCTATAAATGTTATTCCTTTGATTGCATTTTTCTCATACCATAGTTTTGAATTTTCATCTAATAATAGGTTTTCGAATATCCATACTTATTTTTACGGAAATGCTGATTTTATCAGAATTTAATGTGATAACTTTGTAATTTAAAGGAGGTTGTTCTATGGTATATACACACATGCTCTTATTTAAAATTTTTCTATGATGAACAAAGAAAACCTCACAGAAAATAAATTACCCTCCCAGTAGCTTTTGTACACCCTGACTGAGCCATTCTGTATAGTAATTTATTACTAAACGTACAGTGTCATCCGTATGTCATTAGGAATAGCATCATGTGTATTTTCAAGCTTAGCAATTACAAGATGATTTTATGTTGCATTTATAAAGCATATCACTTGAAAACATGTTTAGCTACCAATCATGTGTTATGTAAAGGAAGCTCATGTGATTTGTTGTTGTTGTTGTTGTTGTTTGTTTTTGTTTTTGTTTTTGGAATACCACTAGAGTCAAAAGATCAGCCTATAATACAAAAATATTTTATTTTTAGTACTATGGCTGTTTTGATAGCTTCATTAAGTGTCATCTTATAGTAAGAGTTTTAGTGAAGATCAAGGATGTATCATACAGTAAATCCTAAATATTAATAGGAAATATGTTTTAGAGATTTCCATAATTTGGGACGTACATAAATTTCCCCACTTATTGTATAGTATGTTTTTTCCAGCTTTCGATTCCAAGAGTTTTCTTGTCTAAACTTTGATTAAACAATGAAGAAATTCCCTCTAACCTTCCATCTATATTGTAGTTTGTAAAGTGTCTTTACACACATTACTTCAATTCATTCTCACAATCTGGTGAAATGAATAGGGCAGATGCTACTCGAACTAGTGTTTAAGGAAAGAAGCTGAAGTTCAAGGTTATTAAATCACTAGTCCAAAGTCACACAGCTGATGAGTGTCATCCATCAAGTGCCCCTCCTGACCAGGCCCTCCAAATCATCAATGAGGTCTGTGCTGCTCCCTGGGTACCCTTCTTAGACTAGAGAAAGGCTAGGAATTTCCTCTATAAATCTGCTTGGTTATTGCAGTTCTGCCAGTAGTGTCATAAATGCATAAGAAGACGGCTTTTTGTTCTGCTGCCCTATCTCACTGGCCATTCCTGTTCATGCCTCAGGCTTCAATTCAAATGCACCTCTTCTTGGAAATCTTTCCTATCTTCCCACAAATAATCCCTCTGTATTTTAAAACTTTCATACTTATCACTATAAAAACAATAACTTCTTTCTATTTGTAATATTATCATATAACTTAAATAAGGTTACTGATTCACTGAGGACTGACCCCATTTGGATAGACAGTTGATGGGTAAGCAAGTAGGTAGATGGATGGAAGGAAGGAAGGAAGGAAGGAAGGAAGGAGGGAAGGAAGGAGGGAAGGAAGGAAGGGAGGAAGGAAATTCTCCAAAAATCTACCATAACATGAGCTATTTCTCTCTTTTCTTAGCCTCTAGGTTGAATAACAACTCCTTTCGACAGTGCTGGGTACTGACTACACAGAAGACCTAATTTTATTTGAAGAAAGAATTATTGAGATTTCACACCAGCCATGATAGTCTTTCAATTTATGTAAGATACTTTGCATTGTGAAAAACTGACTCTCCTCTCTCCTTTACTTTCTTGTCTCTGTCAGCACCGGCATCATTTTCTCTGCTCATCAGGCTCAACAGTTCTGAGTCATTCTTGATGTGAAGTTCACAGAATTTCAGGACCAGAATGAACACTAGGTCACCACCTATCCTGGAGTTCTCACTCTGGTGATTTTGTCTGTCTTACCCGTGATTGGGAAGCTTCCATCATCTATATTCCCATGGAATAGCCAATTTAGCTCTCAGGGATATACTTGTAAAAAAAAATTAGAGGCTATTGCCCATTAGTCCCAATTCTGATCTCTGGAGACAAGAAGCAAATCCAATCCTCTTGCCATATTATAAACCTTTAATGTGTTTTGATAACCCATGTCACTTCTTCCTGACAAGTCTAATATCTTTCCTCACAAAAGATCACAAGGATGCATTTCCACTAAGTTTCTCTTCCTTGGACATCTCATCTACCTTCCTCTTTCATCATGTCCAAGGCTGAAATACTTGACCTCCAGCATGTTTCATGAGTCCATCACTTTCTTCCCTTTATCAGTGACAAAACTCAATTCAGGCCCACATCACGTCATTCCTGAATTCTCCTAGGCTCATGTCTCTTCCTCTCCAATCCATCCTACAAGATATTAGAGGTTTGCATAAACACAATTCTGAATCCTGTGCAATTGCATATATAAGCATGTGTTTCTGTTATTTCAGATGTGAGTAATCACCAAATAGTAAATTACTGAAGAAAAATTCTTGGATAAATGTCTGAAAAAATGGCAAAGTCACAGGTAACCACACACATAAAATGATAATAAAACAGGAAGATCACAAAATCTGTAGTAATGGATGATTTAAAATAAGATGGATGACACAGACTTGATAGATTCAAAAATGTATTTTATTGGGAAACTGATTTGCCATGTAGAGCACAAATGCTCATGGCCATAGTCACACCATTGGAAGAAACCATGAAACTTAAGGGTTAAATTTCAGGAAACAGTTGGCATATAATCTTTCTTCCATTAACATCAAACCTATCTATGGCAAAAATATTTCAAAGGGATTTAAATAGAGTCACAGCTGTCATCCTATTGTTACTTCAGCAGCAAATAATGCTCTGATAGTGATTTTCTAACAGAAAGACGTCTAGCATGCTCTGTAGCAAAATAGATAATTAGCCATTGCAAACACAGCCAGAATGAGAGCCATTGACACAGCCGTAGCTCGACCCATCACCACAGCCAGAGCCAGGGCTATATCCACAGCCTCCACAGGGATCTCCATAGTAGTAGCAATTCACGGTGTTAGGAGGTGAACGTCAATGAATTATAAGGGGTAATTCTGCATGTCTGAATGGTCCCCACAATCGCAGACCTTCACATGCAATCAGGGATGGGTGGGACACACTGAGTCCACCTGGTCAGTCCCATAGCAATTTGCTTCAAAGTAGCTCATTTTAACTAGGCACTCCAGTTTTGTTAGGAAGTCACTCCAATATTGTTAGAAAGGCTCTTTCTAATGTACTTTTACCCGGGGTTTGTCTCTAGTTGATAATGAGCCTGGAGCAATACTGGCTTCTTTTTCATCAATGCTGTTCTATTAAAAACATCCCACATGTGACTCGTGACCCAACATAGACCAAAATACGTGGTTTGTCCTCTAACTAAATGAAGTAGCCATGAGATTTTGTCTGGGTCCGTGTGTGTGTACATGTGTATATGTAAATATGTAGAATAATATTAATCCTACTTAACAGGGATTTTAATTCCTGTTAAGAGGGGTTTTTTTTGTCTAGAGTTGTTTTTTTTTTTTTTTTTTTCTAAAAAAATCAGGTGACTTGGCTAGAACCACACAGCTGTATGACAGAAGTATAACTTAGTCATCAGACTCCAAATTCCATATTCTTTGAGTCTGACTTAAAAAGAGAGCAGAGTCCAAAAAATCAGCTTTCATAAAAACATTGAAATGCCAATATTACCATTCCATAAATTGTGAACATCTATGACTTGTTTTTTGATGCTAACAGATCCTTGCTTACATTTCATTTTGACCTTCATAGGTTTGTATAAACCAAATGCAAATTGACCATTTCTACCTCTGCCTTCTATGAGTTCCAAGTCTCCCTTAATAAAAAAGGCATCATTATCACTTGCCCATCCAATCATGCTGCTCAGGATCAGAACTGTCTACCATTCTTCTTCCTGAAAGAAGAGTTAGGTAAAGATAGGGCTAAGGGAGAATGAATACAGTTTTTTCTGTTTTTCAAATTATGGGTCTAAGCCTGTGTAAAAGTATATCATCTTTAACCATGATCATATATAATTAAGCCATGAAGTACAAGCCATCTTGAGATTTGGACTTCCATCACTATTGTCTGTGCCTTTCTTTCTGCGCTAAAAAAAAAAAAAAAAAGAAAAAAATCCAATACCTACGCAATTCTTTAAAATTCCATGAATCCTTCCACATAGCAGGCTCTTCCCTGCCTTCTCCCTAGACAATTATACAATGGTGATATTTACTTGCACAAATTTAATTGGATATTTCACTACATAGTCACTAAACCAATCAATTCAATTTATCCATCATGGATTGAGAGCATGCCATATGTAAGGAACAATCAGAGCCAATCATACTGGTTTGCAATCCGTGCAGTTTATAAGGCCCAGTGCTCAGAAAAGGTTCCTGTGTTTGGAGTTTTAAGTTCTTAATACTTTTATCTTTGAATTTGTGGTTCGTTGATGAAGTCTGTAGGGAATGGAACATGTGCTGGGGTGCTGGGATGGGGTGTCAATTCACACACAGTCCCACCTCTCATCTCCAGCCCACCTCCCCAGAACAGGTCTTTGGTTTTCAGCTCCCTCACTCAGTGACTGCTGCCACCTTCTTTCCCCAGCAGGAGCCTGAACACAGGCATGGGAAAGGTCAAGATGGAACATCTACGAGGATCTAGACTCATCCAACAGATATTCCCATGCCCAAGAGCACATGACATTAATAGCAAACAAAAAGCATCATGACATGTCAAGAAAGCACGTTTTCCGTTTGCACTGGACTCTGCGAATTATGTAGCTGACCCTAGATAAAGCCCAACGTGTTCCATTGCCCTCCAGACTTCGTTGAGAGGATGTAAGTGGCAAAAAACACACATTCTCAGACCTTCAAGTTTCCATTAATATTTCAGGAGTTGGTCCTTAACCCCACACACTCATCCACCACTCACTCCACCTTGTTTCTTCCCTTCACCACCAAGTTTCTTCAACAAGTAGGCTGTGCCCAGAATTTTGCCATCCTTTTACTCATTAATTTCTCAATTAATTGCAATTTCTGTTCTATCCCCATCATATAACTAAGGCTGCTCTCAATAAGTCACCAAGGATGTCCTTGTTGCCTGGTTACTAAATAGACCATAGCATTATTTAACCCCTTTGAAGCATTTCACAACACAAACCCCCATCTCCTTATTGAATTTTAACTCCTAACCTCATCATTTTTCCTTGAAAATACATAATTCCTTACAAATTACAACAGATCAAAAGTCTATATTTTCCACTTACCACTGAACTGGTCTTGCTGCAAAATATTCTCAAATATATTCCCAAACATATTATTAAATTGGTCTCTTAAAGTTTGGTTATTTTATTATAAATATATCTTAATTAATATTTTGATAACAAATAAAACAAAATGACCAAACACTCAGATAATAAACAAATCCTTGTTAAGTGTTATGTCACATTGCCTGGAGCATTTTGTACAATAATTTATTACCAAACATAAATGCTCAACACTATGTCACTAGGTTTGACATCATGGCATAGTTTAAAGTTTATTAACTGTGGTGGAAACAGATGTTACCTGTTAAATACTTCTAACCTAGAAACATTATTATGCGTAGTATATAGAAAGGGCAGTATGACATGATACTAAGTACATTTTTTTCTTTATGGCTACTCACCAATGAATGCCAGCGATGTTAAGAACCTAAGTCAATAACCTATTGAGTCATTCTCTCATACCAGGAAAAATACCATCCAACAGAAAAATATATGTATGCTTAATTAATTAAGCAAGTCTTCAAAACTATTTTATATATATATTATATATATATCTCAATCACATGGTTACATATAACACATGGTCTCAGTCACCAATTCATGGACACTTTGTGAATGCAGTGAAAATATATATATATATATATCTCAAATATATATATTCTATATATTATATATAGAATAGTAATATATAATATACATTATATATAGAATAGTAATATATAATATATATTATATATAGAATAGTAATATATATATCAAATATATATATTTGATCCTTGTAAAAGTACTGTAAAAGGCAGCACAGTTATTTTAATTCCAGTTTTACAGAAAGGATAAAAATGAGACTGAATAAGAATGAGTTTTTCCTAAGGTCTCCCAGCTCCGAAGTGGCTCCATAACACCTTTCAGATCCACAGCTCACTCTTCTCTGGACCCATGTCTTGCAAGATGGTTTCCCAGCCTCTTACTGAAGACTTGTCATAAGAAAAAGATAACTAGTTCCCCCCAAAACATCATTCCATTAAAAAAATTTCCAGCTATCAGAGAAATCCCTATATGCTTCAGAGTCTCTCAACATTCAACAATGAATAGTTCCCAACGCACTTAGCATCTCTGTGGAACTATTGCCTGCACTGGGTGCCTCTTAAAGTAATTTTCATGAATCTTGATGTACCATCCTTTCCTAATGGTCTCCCCTGTTCCCAGTTTCCAGCTGGTATGGCACGCTGATTGATGGCTGCAGATGAGCTGATGTGACGTCTTCTAACCAAGCCTTTCAAGTTACCCAAATTCTGTGACTATTTGCAAGGGAAGCCTCAGACTGTCTCTGCTAATCTGACTCTTCCAGTAAAGACCAGACCTCTGTCAATAAGATGGCATGTTATTGATGCCTTCTCCTTTTTTTGATCCCTCTGGTCATTTCTGCAATCATCCAGCAGTCTACCTCCCATTCATCCTTCGAGGATGATCTTTTTGTCTCCTGGAACTTTCCACTCCCCATCATCTCTGACTTTGATGTTTCTTTTTTTATTTTTTTCCAAAGCACCCTCTCATAACTATTAGAAATATTGTAACATCTGTATCATAACCTGCCAGTAAGGTGCTGGTAAATGCACTTACTGGGAAAAAGTAAATAAATAAATACTTCCATCTTAGCCAGTTTCAAACCACCAACATGATGTCACTGATTGTGGAGCTGAGACGAGATATACACAATTAGCCTTCACAAGCCAACACAGCTAGCTCTAGCATGCTGCTGCAAGGGAGGCATCTCAGTGTGGCACTTAAGAACATGGATTCTGGCTTCAACTCTGCCTCTGCCACTAATTAGCCCTAAAATCTTGGACAATTCATTTCATTTGTCTGTGCCTCACTTTTCTCATCTTAAAACGAATATAATGATAGTACCTACGTCTTAGGGTTGTGAAGATTATTTGAGCTAATATCTGTAAATCACTTAGAATAGCACCTAGCCAATAGTAAGTGCTATTTAAGAGGTTTTATTTTTAATATAAATTAGAATGTGTGATCTTGTTATCTCTCCCATACTTCACAGGTGCAAACTTCTTGGAGTCTAGAACTTTATCTTATGCCATTAAATCTACAGCATCTAATAAAGTCATTATATAAAATTTTATAAATGTTTGATAAATGACTATTGATAGTTCAGGATCTAGAACAGAGGTTGGTCCATAAAAGGTGAATTTTTGTCTTTCCTCATAGCATCAATACACACACACACACACACACACACACACACACAATCTTATCTGCTCCCGACTTTGAAATTCTAATTTATTCTATTCTAGAAGATATCTCTCTACAATGTGGTCAGATTTCTAAAACTAACTGATAATATTTGATCTCTCTCTCCATTACAGAATTCTATGGCAAATCGTGTTATTTTTTCTGTTCTATATTCAGCATCATCATTCTTCTCAAGCCTCTGTATTTGAAAATCACTTTTTGTTCATAGAATCCCAGAGGTTAGAGTAAAAAGAAACTTCAGAGGGCAGTTAGCTCTGCCCAGCTCCCGGATGCCAGGACTGCATTCACAAAGTATCCATGAATTGGTGACTGAGACCACGCATTAGTATCTTTAGAGACAGGGTAGGCCATAAAATTATCAATCCGCTTTTCAGATGCAACTAATTATTAAAGGAATTACTTTTTATTTATTATTTTATTTTATTTTATTTTATTTTATTTTGAGACAGAGTCTTGCTCTGTCACCCAGGCTGGAGTGCAGTGGCACAATCTCAGCTCACTGCACCTCCACCTCCCAGGTTCAAGTGATTCTCCTGCCTCAGCCTCCTGAGTAGCTGGGACTACAGGCGCCCGCCACCATGCCTGGCCAATTTTTTGTATTTTTAGTAGAAACATTGTTTTTCACCATGTTAGCCAGGATGGTCTCGATCTCTTGACCTCATAATCCGCCCGCCTCGGCCTCCCAAAGCGCTGGGAATACAGGCCTGAGCCATTGCACCCGGCTAGAGGAATTTCTTATGTCAAGAAGTCTGACCCATTGAATCTTCTATTCATGAATTCTGATTATGGTCTCTTGAATTGTACAAAGCAAATAGAAAACAGTTACCTTATAATCTTCAAATATACAACACCACAGGCAATGTTTCCTGCTCCAACTTTTAAAATCATAAACACTATAAAACAGGGTTTTTTTTCCTAGTAAGGAAAAGTATCCACGCTTTTATTTTCAAATGCTAATGTTCAGCATATCTGATAATTTAATGCTAACTTCTTTCCTTGTACTTCCTATATCTTGCCTATTATTTTTATCTTTATGGACCCAATTATAGTTTGTTTTCTAAGCAGATCACTGTGACTAGCTCACAAAATTGTTGTATATCTTCTCCGAGGTACAGAATATCATTATCACTGCTGTTCCCTAATGACAGTTAAATCACAGTTGAATATATACAGAAAAAGAGGGATCACTCCAAGAGTTTGTTTTTCTTACAGTAAAGGGAATACCAAAGCTCAACAATATCGATTATCGATACTCAATACAAAGCCTTAAGTTCTCATTCATTTGTATAAATGTCTTATTAGTAAATCATGATTGGTAAACTTTGATAATTTTTATCCTCAAAAAAAGCCATCCTCCCAGCATTCTGCCAGAAGCCAATAATTTTTCTGCATTTGTTTATCACATTTCTTCTCTTTCAAGTAGTTTTATAATGTTGCTTTTTTTTTTTTTTTTTTTGAGACAAAGTTTTGCTCTTGTTGCCAGGCTGCAGTGTAATGGCATGATCTCTGCTCACTGAAACCTCCACCCCACCGGGTTCAAGCAATTCTCCTGCCTCAGCCTCCCAAGTGGCTGAGATTACAGACATGTACGACCACGCCCGGCAAATTTTGTATTTTTAGTAGAGACAGGGTTTCTCCATGTTGGTCAGGCTGGTCTCAAACTCCCGACCTCAGGTGATCCGCCCGCCTCAGCCTCCCAAAGTGCTGGGATTACAGGCCTGAGCCACCACACACAGCCCAATGTTGCTATTTTTAATTAACTTTGTTGGTTGTTTTAACAAAAAACCAATCTTATTAAATGCATACAATATACAAAATCGCACACCATAGTCAACAGAGTTCTAAGACGGCCCTCATGATTCCTACCTACTGGTGTCCATGCTTTCGTGTAATTCCCTCACCTTGGGCATAACAGGCAGGACGTGTAACAGCCTTCTAACCAACCAAATGTAGTAGAAGAGATGGCATAGCACCCCCATGATAATGTGACTTCACAGGGCAACAGTGAAGAAATTTTCAGTTAATGGTTTTACAGGTGAGTAAAGTAAACACATGACTTAAGAAAAGAAGTTGCTTTTATCTGTTGTTTTATTGTTCATTTAGAATTTTGTATATAAAGCAAAGATTCATAGACAAGCCTTAATTTAAAACAAATAAATAGTATCCTGGGTATAACTTTGTTATAATCTTCAACTGGTAGCTTTTTGTTTGTTTTCTGATAAAATCTATGTATTCCTTGAGTATAATTTCTTTTCTTGTTCATCTTATGCTCCCATTGCCTATTCATAGGCACCAACTGTACTCATAGGCTGTCATTAATTATTTGCTTAATTAAATTGAATTGAATTGAATCAGGTTGGATAAAAGAAAGTAATTCTTGCAGTAATGTCTTTGCTACATTAAACAAAAGAAAGACTGAACTCATAGAGAATCTTTATTAAGCTATTGTACAACATAAAAGGTCAGGAATTTCTGACCTAGAGCAATTGAAATGACACTCAAAAGAAGGAGAAGTTAGTCATAAGGAACACAAACAGAATTTGGCAAGACAATGTGTCTGGTAGTGAAGGAAAAGGAGGAGCAGATGATGTTATATTTTCAGACCTTTTCAATTTGGCAATGGCGACACCATTTTAATACTTATCACTACTTTTCTTTATAGTTAAGTTGACTTCTGCTCTCTACATGTAAGTTCTTTGGGATCAAGGAAAGATTCCCACAAAGTATTGTGAGAAAATGACCCAGTTTACATTACTTGGCAATAACAGTGATTAAAATGAGTAATGAGAACTCTGATATTCATCTCCGCTAGGTATTACTCATTCAAGAGAAGCTCATAAAAGCAATGATCTAGTTAACAACTTTACACCTATGGCTAATGTTGCAACCACCACAATCCCTTATTATAAACACAGTTTATAGTCACGACGTAATTTATTTTCTCATCTTAGTATAACAGCAAGTGAGGTAATCATGACAATGTATAAATGTGGGCCTGCCTGGCTAAGCATTCCTATTAGGAGTGACTCTACTAATTTCATATCAGACAGTTTCTCTCTCAGAAGCTTTAAATTACCAACAAAGTGTAATTGGTTAAATGTCTGGGAGGATGTAAATGTCAACAATAACTGGTCATTACTTTTTCTGAATTTTAGGAGAATTCCAAGGAAGCTGGTATGGGGGTGTGATCCCAATTTGTACAGAGCGGAAGCCCAAGGCAGGCCATGCCTATTGGCCTGAATCGTGCTGATGCTGATTTTAGAAAAGCAAGCAATGCTTCATAAGTACTGAGACTGTGTTTGGAACCACCAACGTTCTAAAATTAGGATGTAATGACAAACCATGTGTGATGTTTTGCTAGTCAGGATATATTTTGTGCCAATTACACAATTTAGTTGCCCTGGTTTTTTTTTTTTTTTTTTTTTTTTTTTTTTTTGAGACGGAGTCTTGCTCTGTCGCCCAGGCTGGAGTGCAGTGGCGCGATCTTGGCTCACTGCAAGCTCCACCTCCCGGGTTCACGCCATTCTCCTGCCTCAGCCTCCCGAGTAGCTGGGACTACAGGCGCCCGCCACCACGCCCAGCTAATTATTATTTTTTTTTTTTTTTGAATTTTTAGTAGAGACAGGGTTTCACCGTGTTAGCCAAGATGGTCTCGATCTGCTGACTTCGTGATCTGCCCGTCTCGGCCTCCCAAAGTGCTGGGATTACAGGCGTGAGCCACCGTGCCCAGCCTTTTCAAGAGAACAGAACTACACTCACATACTGCATTTGATTTAGAAAGAAAAAGAAGACCATCTCAAAGAATACACAACTATGCCCCTACAGGTCATAGAAAGCATTGTATGTGCACCTGAGAATTAAAGTCCATAATAAGACCTATAATAAAACAGGCAGCAAGAAGATTCATGACAATGCGATCTAAACTATTCATGATACGAGTTTGAATAATTCATTCAAACCTAACTTTTCTTTTCATTTTTTAAGACCTGAAATTCAGGAAATACACAAATAAATTGCAAAGCTACAATTTCATACATTTTGTCGGATATAATTTGATTCTGCCCAGATTTCATCTTCAAGAGAAGAAAGTTAATTGCTTTTTTACCTAAAATTATATGCAGAAAGCAGAACAAATTAATTTGTAAGACATCCTTGGCTTATATGATTAGTGAGTAAATACCTACCCACCAGAAGTAGTTTTAGAAATAAATTTTAAAGTTAAAAAATAGAATGTCTGAGTAGGAGAAACTAGGAGGAGGTAGAGATCGATTTAGATTATTGCTTAATTTTTTAAAATTTATCTTGTAAGTAAACTAGTATAAACATTGTCAAAAATGTAAACAAAATCATTTTGGGATAGCCAGATCTCCTTAACAATGAATAAAAAGAATAACCAAACAGCAGACTCAAATTGTTCAAGACTTTATGAAAATATTTAGGAAGCCAATTAAATGATTCGCCATGTCACAGAAAATGTAATAAATAATTGCATTAGGAAATCCTCTAGGAATATAATAAATAATGCAATCTTTTTCACTCCTGTTGAATTTTGTGCTAGTATACTCAGTCAATGAGAACTCAGCAGGTAACAATACTTTTGATTCCTTCTTATTAGCTTATTATAAGAATTGAATAGAATGTTGTTTACCAAAAGTGTTTTATGTTAAAAATCAAAGGCAACACAATTTGCATCATTACAATACAAATTATCCATACATAAACTTATTTCACAAAAATGCATTCAGTCCATATATCTATGCTGGACAGTGTCCTGGGCTGGAAATACAGTGGAGAAGAATAAACGAGGTGCAATCTCTGACCTCAAAGAGTTTCCAATTAAAAGAAGTGTTTCCAGATCTCTCATCTCTTAAGATCTCTTCTTGGCATCTCTCTCTGTCTTAAATGTCTCTACTATAAATAAATTGATACAATTTGGCAGATACATTCTTTTTAATAGCAGGAAATATTTTTATTTTCTTCCCTATGACACTAACAAGATTTCATCTCTCTGCCTAGGTTTACAAAGTTTTGACTATTACTTCAGGTAATAAATATCATAATATAGGTTCTTAGATGTGAAATAAATTGAAATAAGTACAAAACTATACCTCTCTTTGGCACCTAATATAATCCAATTCATAGAAACGTCTGTGTTTTTCACCAAGTTAAGCAGAAAAATACTCAGACTATGCCTTCCCATGATTATACATCATACCTGAAACCTGAAAAAAATATTAGACAGTAATCCAGCTATTTCAAAGACTTGAATGTTTAGTTCCTATACACAAGTTCCTACATATTCTAACATTTTTAATTTTCAAATATTTATCATGGTCCAAAAAAAGAAAAAACCATCAATCAGACCACGTGATGTGATGGAGTAGCCACAGCACTCCATCTGATTAACCCTTCAGGCCATTGATTAATGCAACCAATCAAGTACCAGACCATTACATCTGATTAAGCACTCTCTGATTTTACTGGCAATTTAAGAACTCCAGCTTAATGCTTAGGAGGGAATCTAATGCATTAAATCTCATATATCTTTTTTTTTTCCAGGAGGAAAACTTCATTTGGTATTCAGTCCACACTAGATAAATGGTGATCTATGGAGACTGAACTACTAAAGCAAATAGGCATGCAGACAATGAGTAAACAGAAGAGAAATGTCTTACAAACACATAGGGTTTTAACCAGCGACTTTAATGTTGGGTCAAGTGTCCTTTCCACGAGCTCCTTTGGAACACAAATGATAACAAAGTCAATAATAACTATTTGTACAAAGTCTCCACTCCTTGCAATCTTGGGAAAGAAGTATTAACTTGAAAGAAGTAATAACTTTTGCACCAACATAATACGCCTTTCCCAGGATTACAAGGAGTGGAGACTTTGTTACAGTAGTTATTATTGACTGTATTATTCAGTCTTCTTTTCAGATTTCTGCTCATCTCCTATGAATGTATCCCAGGAGTAGCATGAGGAACATGGGATTCTGTAGGAAACTGCCAGAGACCCAGGAAACGTGTGAACACAGGTGAAAGGAAAGAGAGGTGTGCCAAGGACTGAGGAAGAAGCAAAGAATCCTAACCCTGGATGTAGGAAACATCAACCCCTGGACATCAGAGATGGTCATACTCACAGAGAGTCTGTAATAACCTATGATACGTGAAAAAAAAGAAAAATGAGCTAGTTCACCAGCTGTCATAGATAGTGCAGAGAATCATCATACACTAAGTGAAATAAGTTTATGTATGGATAATTTTTATTGTAATGATGCAAAGTCTGTTGCCTTTGATTTTTAACATAAAAAACTTTTTCTAATAAACCTTCTATTCAATTCTTATAATAAGCTAAGGAAATGGGCAAGGTTGACCTTATCCCATCTTACAAATGGGGAAACTGCATCTCAGTGAGTCTATATCATAAAAAAGATGGCTGGAGTTCAACACAGCTTTCTAATTTGCAATTCCATGGCTATTTCACTATACAATTAAGTACTATGGAATTTTAGGTTCTTATTTTAATGCATTTTTAAAATATTAAAATAATAAATAATTCTTTGGGCTGCTTCCCCTAGATGTTAATTTTAAGGAATTGTTTATTTTATTTTTAGTCTACTGTATAAAACCTAATATTCATTAAGTGAATATGAGAGAGAATAATTGAATGAATTAAAATTGTAAAATATAAGACATATTACAGAATTATTTTAAACATATTTACATATGTATAAGCTGAACACTTTGTGAACCCCAATGCTAATATATCTTTTCCATAGTTATAAAAGAACATTCAATTTAAGAAGTGGGGCTGGGAAAATTGGTTATTCACATGCAAAAGAATGAAGTTGGATCCCTCCTCACTATATACAAATATTAACTATAAATAGATCATCTTAAATATAAGAGCTAACATTATAAAACTCTTAGAAGAAAATATAGCAGTAATTTTTCACTTAGGCAAAGACTTCTTAGTTGTAATAATTAAAAGACAAGTGACAAAAGCAAAATAGATAAATTGGACATTATCAAATTAAAAACCTGTAGTTTTCAATGGACATGATCAAGACAACCCATGGAGTAGAAAAAACTGTTTGCAAATTCTACATCTTATGGAGGAGTTTATCTAGCATATATAAAGGACTTGCAATTCAATGATAAAAGACAAATAACCCAATTCAAATATAAGCACAGGATCTGAATGAACATTTCCTCAAAAAGGATGTACAAACAGCCAATAAACATAAGAAAATATGCTCAACATCATTAGCCATCAGAAAAATGTAAATTAAAATCCCAGTATCACTTCACACCCATTAGAATGACTATAATCATAAAGTCAGATAATAACTAGTGTTAATAATAATAAAGTGTTGGTGGAGAAATTGAGCCCTCATACACTGCAGGTTGGAATGTAAAATGGTGCAGGTGTTTTGAAAAACAGCCTGACAATTTTTCGAAATGTTAAACATAAAGTTACCATTCAGCTCATAGGTATATAACCAAGAGAATGAAAACATACGTTCACTCAATAAGTTGTATATGAATGTAAGTAGTAGCATTATTTATATTAATCAGAAAAAATGAAAACAAACCAAATGTCTGTCAGCTGGTGAATGGGTATAAATGTGGTATATCCATACAACGGAATATTATGTAACAATAAAAAGAGAGAACGTACTGATACAAGAAAATGCAATTTTACTCCTACACAACTTCTGGTTACCAGGTAAACTGCTGTGAAATTCATTGCCTATCGACATTTGATGTTTTTGAGAGCCTTAAGAAAACCACTTCTTACATTTTAATGAGTCATTAAATGACTTTTCTTCTTTCACACACAAAATCTCCCATTTTAGTTTTTACTGTTTTCCAGTATTTGAGCTTATGTGCCCAAAGTGTTTTTTTATCTAAACTCATAGAAATATAAGCTGTATTTCAAGAATGATCATTGCCAATGAGCCACAACAGAGGTAAAAATATACTTTCTAAATTATCAGGAAGACTCCTACAGCTGATTTTATAAGGAACTCCCTAAAATACATACCAATAGCTTAAGAGATTTGTCAGTAAACAACAATGTCATGTGACAGCAATTAATCAACACAATAGTAACGCCTTGTTTGCTCCTGTGTTCAACTGTCAAAGGAGGCCATTTCATCTGGACTATTAAAACTCCTAAATGTGGCCTGGTTTATCAATGGTAAAGTGAATCAGGGAGTTTTTGACGAATACAAATAGAAAAAAAAATCCTGTAATGTGAATTTAAATGCATGTACTTAGAGGCTGTAATATATAAACTACAGCATACAGATAGGGGTTGGAAAGCCATAGTTTGATGGTACAAGAGCAAATGCTTAAATGATGACTGTATAAAAATGCTGGAAACTCCCCCAGAGGCAAAGAGTAAACTGGAATGTCATATTGCCTGCCACTGTACACAAGAGATGAAGGGACCAGAAAATAAACACAGGCTTCTTGAAATTCATCACAGGATATACTAGTAAAGGCATAAAAACTGGAAGTCAAAAGTCAGCAGCAAGATAATAAGCATTTTGGAAATAGGGTGTTCAGTAGAGAGGGTAACCATAGCCAGAGTTGTATTACAGCCATAGCTTGAGCTGTAGTCACCACCACTTATATGGAGCCTTAATTACAGCCCAGTCCTGGGTAGCTTTTGCTACCCACATCATAGCCATAGCCAAGGCCACATCCACAGTTCCCATACGAGTTTGTGTCATAATTGGAATACATGGTGTCAGCATGTAAGGTTTCAGTTGCATTGTAAAGGAAGATTGATAGTCTATTCAGAGCACCATGCCAAGACCTGCACTTCACCTGCCAGGAACAGGCAGGCCATGTGTCATACAGACTCTGCCTCCTCCATACCTCCAACAGTTTGTGGAGCAGCCTTTCATTATTTTGTGGTGTCCTCTTAGAAAAGATTTGGTCAAAGCAGTTAAGAAAGTGTTTAATTGATCTGCTAACTTGGCTTTCCCCAACTAAATTTTCAGTCTAATATAAGTCATTTTTGATGAACATACTTGTCAGATTTTATTATCCATAACTAGCAGCATGACACCTACTGTGAAGGTGAAGGTCTCAGGTGAGCACCTGTCCACATGAGAGCTGCTATAACGAACCCTTTTGCCTCTCTTATTATCCTGTTATTTTACCTAAGACCATAACCTCAACTTCTTCCTCATTGCAATTTAACGCATTACATCGGCCAGGAAGCTATATTCCCATTAACACATAAAGCCACAGAGGCAGAATTATGTCTGTGTCTACCCGCATTCAAAACAAGACATAATTGGTGATTAGGCCACCTCTGCTACCAAATTCATAGTTAATTCATGAGAAGAGTTAACCCGTGTATTAAAATCTATGTTCTAGACTAGGTGTGGTGGCTCACACAGGTAATCTCAACACTTTGGGAGGCCAAGGAAGGGATTGCTTCAGCCCCAGAGTTCGAGACCAGCATGGGCAACATAGGGAGACACTATCTCTACAAAAAATTTGAAACTTAAACAGACGCAGTAGAGGTGAAAGGATTGCCTGAGCCTAGGAGTGTGAGGTTACAGTAAGCTATGATCATGCCACTGGACTTTAGCCTGGGTAACAAAACAAGAATCTGTCTCTAAAAAAAATTTTTTTTAATTAAAAAGAAAACTAAAGCAAATTATTTTTACCTTTGTAATATCTCACCTGCCTAACTTGTTGGCTGTTAATAATATTTTGATAATTTATCCATCCTTCATGTGATTTTTAGTATATTTCTATTATTCAAAATTCACAATCTAGTAAAATACGTTTCATACTTTTCAATGTATTCTCCAAATCCCTTCCCTTCATTCCTTTTCTCCTTTTCTATGGCCAATCATCAACCATCTTTTGGCAACTGACCCAAATACAGCCATACCCAAATGAAGAAATAACATAAATCATAAATATAATACATTTTAAAAGTGTTGTTTTACTGAGAGGCAGTGTAATCACAGTGCAGTCCCAGGTAAAAGCATACTGCCACCCCTTACTACCAAGTGTATTCCAATTTGGATAATAAATTGTATCAATGACCTATAATCAATGACTCAAGGGCCAGCCTGCCTTGCCAGGTTCAAATACTAGCTTTGTCATTTACCATTTGTGAAATCTGGACAAGTTTTACCTCTCTGACCCTCAGTTGCCTCATTTGCTATTAGGGATACTAAGTTAAGTACTAAGGATTAAATTAGTATATGAAAAGCATTGAGAACAGTGTCTGAAAATGACAATTATTATTACATTATTAAATGTAAGCTGTGGTTATTATTGTATATATTAAAACCAATTACATTCACAGAGAGAGAGAAGAACAACATGCCCTATGGCCTATGGCACTTCAGAAATAAAACAAATATGACACAGAAAACCAACTAACACAGTATTATTTGATTATATATAGCGTTAAGGATGGAAAATGTTAATAGGGACCTTTGGGATTGTGAAACTTTTAGGAGGAAATAGTTATTAGCTTTGCTACATATTACCTGAGGCAAAATGTATGCTAATAGCCCATTGAAATGTTAATATTTAGATGTGAATATTAGTTTTAGTTTAACAGTCATGGAATACAAATAGGATGCATTTAGAAAATTCTGGGGATAAGATAGATATAAACAAGTTACTATTAATAAGAATAAGGTAATTTTCACTAAGTACTTTATATATTATTTTTGAAAAGAAAAAGTAGAATACTAAAAAATACTTTTCCCCAGGTTTATGAAAGCATTGTGGAAAGTGAAAAATAAAATTAATTCACTTTCCAGGATCTTTCTTTACAGAATGGCTTGATAGGCTGCCTACTAATGTTTCTAGAATCTTAAATATGGGAAGTAAAATGATTTTTTAGTAAATCATGTATTATATTTTAGATAGGTTTACCTAGTTCTATTAGCATTCACATAATTTTTCCTTTCCGTAATGGAAATAAGTCATCAGTAGAATCTGTATTTGAGTAATTAATTATAAAAGCAATGGTAGATTTGAAATGATTAATCTTTATTTTTCCCCCTTAGAAATGGCAACATGTAGATTAAAGGTGGTTAACCTGGATTAGAAGACAAGTCATGGTCATAGAAGACATTACACTCAAGTCCCCCAAATCATGGGGCACACGCCCACAACCTCAGCATTATTGAGAGAGCCACAGACAAGCATCACTAATTGGACCAGATGATTTTTACATCCCGTACTGCTCCAAAATTCTGAGTTCTCTCCAGCAGATATTTCAATTAGGCCAAAAAAAAAATACAGCAAAGTAAAAATGGTCACAATCATTTTATCAGAAAGTTCAGAAAATTCCAAAAAACTCCTAAGTTGATTTGCAGGTACCAAGTGAAAAAAGAAGAAACTTTCTACTTCCAGGTAGTATACAGATGATTAAGAAAGATCTTCCCTCCCATAACAACCACAAAATCTTGGACAAAAAAAAAAATCACACTTCTCCATGGGCCTAATAAAGAACAGTAGATGATGTAAAGAATCCTAGTTGAACCGAATTCGAGAAAGAAATAAACCTTAAAAGAGGAAGCCATGGGAGCTTTTATTGCTGAAGGCAGATGTCCACTTTGGATACAGGCAGATCAAATATAAAGAGAGAATTTAAGAATAATTATTACATATTTCAAATATGAAAAAGAAGCCAGTCTCTTTCACTACTTTCGCTCTTTTGAGAGTCTGATTTCACCTCAACTCCTCAACGTCCTTGTGTTCTGATTTCCGTGGCTAAAGCCAGCTTAACACCTCCGAATGGGTACTGTTAAGCTACAAGGGAAGAAAACACATTCCAATTCAATCATCCAACACATGAACATCACAATCTCTTTTATTCAGAGCCAGTACTACCTTCTTTTAATCTACAGCTGACATCACTATGATACTTTGCTCTAGAGGCTGTAACTGACAACATATAAAATGTAATAGCAGCCAGGTAGAGCATTACAGTTCTTGAAATGAAAGGAGATTTGCCATAATAGAAATTCAATTGCCATATGCTGCATCAGCTATAAGTAGCATGTTGGAACACAGCATGCTGTGTTTCAAAACACACCTTATCTTAACACTCAACACCTGAGGCAAAGGCGCATTCAAAATGTATGTCTTTGCAGAGAGACAAGTAATAAAACAGCATCTTACATTTTATAGTGTTTTACAGTTTGCAAAGTGTTTTCATGTATATAATCTAGTATGGCAATAAAAAATTATGAATTCTGTCTTACAGAAAAGAAAACCAAGGTTTAGAGACACTAAATTACTTGCAGATGGTTACTGAAATTGTAAATAGAGGGACAAATTGCGCTAAAGTTTCCTTGTTCTAAATATAGGGCTCTTTCTACAGTCGCACAAGACCACATTCTTTCAAATAGTTAATATCATAGAAAAGACATGCTGAATTATATAATCAAAACTTCTGGTTTTTCATTATGGCTGTATAGTAACCACATGCATCAATAAACTCAAGTATACATTCATTCGTGCAATAAATATTAATTGAATATCTTTCATGGGTTAAGTCCTGGGAATGTAAAATAGTCCTTGCCCTCAAGAATCATGCATTTGACAATAAACATGTAAGTAATCAATTCCAAGATACTGTAACAAGGAGAACACAGAGACTGGCACTAAGGGAAGCTTGAAGTTTCTAGGAAGTTCCAAGAGGATGAGTAAAACTTCATGAGACAAAGAATCAAGGAAAATATTCCAAGGAGAAAGAAAAAGGGTATGAGGGTGAAAATACGGAAAGGCATGATAGAGTTAGGGTGCAGCAGGTATTTTGACACCAAGTGCCCGGAATTCTGTCTTTGGACGACTTTGCCTTTCTGTCTGCATTCACTTAGTGATATCATCTGGTCTCATGAATTTAAGTACTTATATATGTTGCTGGCAACTACCAAATTTGTAACTCTGGCCCAGGTGCCTTCCAAGACTCATGTCCATCTGCCTGATCGACATCTCCAGTTGGATTCTTGATGAGCATCTCGAACATAAAAGCTTCAAAATTGATCTCCTCATTTTGCCCCTCAGATGCACTTTTTTTTTCTTTTTTTGAGACAGTGTCTCATTTTGTCACCCAGGCTGGAGTGCAGCGGCTCACTGCAACTTCCACCTCCCAGGTTCAAATGATTTTCCTGCCTCAGCCTCCCGAATAGCTGGGACTACAGACATGCACCACCATGCCTGGCTAATTTTTGTATTTTTAGTAGAGACAGGGATTTCACCAGTTAGCCAGGCTGGTCTCGAACTCCAGACCTCAGGTGATCCGCCCGCCTCGGCCTCCCAACGTGCTGGGTTTACAGGCCTGAGCTACAGCACCTGGCCCACAGATGCACGTCTTTTGCAGTTTGTTTTACTTCCATTTAAGACTGTCCTATCTTTTCTGTCATTCAGCCTAAATCTTGGAATCACCCTTAACACTTCACTTATGTTTATACCTCACACCCTATCATTCAGCAAAACTAGTAAACTCTACCTTTGAAATAGCTCATCATTTTGATTGCCATCACCAGCAGCTAATTGCAAATGGCTTTTAGCTGGCCTTTCTGCTTCTACTCTTGTCCATTCCTGCTCCCCAGCAGGATAATATCAACATACTACCCAGAGAGAGCTTGTTAAGACAGAAGCCAGACTGTGTCACTCCTCTGCTCCAGACCCTGCAAAAGAATCTCATCTAGAATAAAAGCTAAAACTTTTAACTTAGGTTCTCTGACCTCATCTCCTGCCACCTACTTATCCACCACCTTCCCTGCCTGCTAGCCACACTGCATCTTTCTTCTTCTATACAAAATAGAGTCCAGCCATTGCACTCGCTGTTCACTCTGCCCCCAATGTTTTCCCCTGATAAACATAAGTCACACTTTATCCTCCTTCAAGGTTCGCTTCAGTGCCGTATTCTCAAAGAGAACTTCATTGATCATCTTATTTAAATTTTAGCACCCTTCCTGGTGCTCCCTATCACACTTCGTTTCTTTTTCTCCAAAGCCCTTTTCATCATTAGACATTAAATTTATTATTTGTTTAAGCTCTCCAAAGCTAAATGTAAATTCCAAACATGCTGTGATTTTTGTCTAGAATAGTAATCAGCAGAGAGTACATTCTTGAAACTTATTTGTTAAATGAATGAATTTAGTTGGTCAACGTGGTGTACGGCAAAGTTTCACAAGGGATGAAATGTGAAAGCTAAGCCATATTCACAAAATGATGTGATTTACATATGGGGTGTTCATCCTTCCTGGTTTACCAGAGACAGTTTCTGTTGTTCTCTTGTAAGTACTCAATTAATAGAGTTTCCACGGCCGAGGCGGGCAGATCACGAGGTCAGATCAAGACCATCCTGGCCAACATGGTGAAACCCTGTCTTTACTAAAAATACAAAAATTAGCTGGGCGTGGTGGTGTGTGCCTGTAATCCCAGATACTCGGGAGGCTGAAGCAGGAGAATAGCTTGAACCAGGGAGTCGGAGGTTGCAGTGAGCTGAGATCGTGCCACCACACTCCAGCCTGGTGACAGAGCGAGACTCCATCTCAAAAAAATAAATAAATAAATAAAAAGGGCTTCCATAAACTGTCCAAAACATATAGTTACCCTATGTATATGGTATGCTAGGAAATTTGGACTCTTTCTCACAAGCAGTGGGAAGCCATCAGAAGCACAGGTGAATGGCATAAGTGAGTACGTGTTTTGAAAAGATAATTCTGTATCAACAAAACCAATGAAACTGAATGGAGAGGGATTGGTGATTGGGAAAATGGTTAGAAAGCCAATAAATAACTTGTACGGTGGAGAGTATTCCAAACTATGTGACAGACAGTGAACATTGAGATGAAGTGGACATTTTGAGATGGACAAATGGAAAAACTGTCAGCAGAATTTGGGAATTAATACCATTAAGGAGATATCATAGGTCAAGGCTGGTTGTACGATTTTTAGCCCGAGTGATGGTGCAGATCAGGAAGTTGTTTATCCAAAGTCATGGACACAAGAAAATGATCAAGATTGAGAAAGAAAATGTTAAACCCAGCTGAGATATAAGTTTGAGGCATATCTGTGTACACTTAGAAGACAGTTCAGCAAATAAAGAAGCAAAACAATCTGAATAGAGAAAATAAATTTAATGTCAGAAAAGAGAGATTTAGGACTTATCAGTGCATATTTGAGAGTTTAAAACATCTTGGTCTATGTCCTATTGCATACATTAAGTGATTTTAATGAAGACAAAAAAACTTGCACATTTACATTCAGTTAATCACTATTATATACTGGAGGTAAGATACTGTTATGCATTTTTGGGACATTTATCCAGCCTCATATGAGTAATATCTTCAACAGTCTTTTCCAAATGAATATTGGATACTGCCAATCCATTTTAAAACTCTGTTTAAATACCTTTTACTTGTATATGTTTAAGGTGTAAAACTTGATGATTATACACACACACTTTGAAATAATTACTACAAGCAAGTTATTTAACATATATATTACCTTGCCTAGTTATTTGGTGGGGCTGGCACCTAAGAAGACTTAGAATTGCCCTCAATAAATTTCAAGTATATAGGACAGTGTTGTTACCTGTGATAAGCATTAGATCTCCAGAACTCATTTATCTTACTATCTTACATAACTGAGACTTTGTACCCCGTTCACTAACATCCTTCCATATACCTCTTCCCTCTCGCCTGGTAACACCTTTCTACTCTCTGCTTCTATGAGTTTAACTATTTTTGATTCCACATATAAATGAGATTATGCAGTATTCCTTTTTGTGCCTGGATTATTTCTTTTAGGAAAATGTCCTCTAGGTCCATTCATGTTCTCATGAGTGGAAGGGTCTCCTTTTTCAGCTAAATACTATTCCATTTTATGCATATACTGCATTTTCTGTATCTCTTTATCTGTAGATGGATATGTAGCTTGTTTCTGTATTTTGACTATGGTGAATAATGCTGCAATGACATTGGAGTGTAAATGTCCTTTGGGATTCTGATTTCAATTCCTTTGGATTCATACCCAGAAGTAGGATTTCTGAGTTGCATGGTAGCTCTGTTTTTAATTTTTTTAGAAACTTCCATAGTATTTTCCATAATGGCAGTACCAATCTGCATCCCCATCAACAGTGTAAAAGGGTTCCCTTTTCTTCATATTTTTGCCAATGCTTGTTATCTTTCAATTTTTCAAATATAGTCCTCCTAACAGGTGTAAGGCGATATCTAATTATGGTTTTAATTTGTTATTTTCCTGAAGATTAATAAAGTTGAGTATTTTGTCATATACCTGTCGGTCATCTGTGTGTCTTCTTTGGAAAAATAGCCATTCAGGTCCTTTGCACATTTTGTAATCAAGTTATTTGATACTTTTTGCTATTAAGTTGTAAGAGTTCCCTATTATATATTTTTAATATTAACACCTTATCAGATATTTGATTTATAAATATTTTCTCTCATTTCATAGGTTACTTTTTACCTTGTTGGTTGCTTCCTTTGCTATGCAGAAGCTTTTAAATTTGATGTAGCCCCACTTATTTATTTTTGCTTTTGTTGCCTGTGTTTTTGGTGTCATATCCTCAAATCTGCTGTCAAGACCAATGTCAAGAAGATTTTCCCCTATGTTTTATTCTAGGAGTTTTACAGTTTCAGGTTTTACATTTAAGTCTTTAAACCATTTTTAGTAGATTTTTTATATGATGTAAGATAAGGGTCCAGTTTCATTATTTTGCATGTGGTTATCCAGTTTCCCCAACAACATTTATTAAAGAGACTATCTTTTCCCTACCATGTATTCTTGGGACGCTTGTTGAACATTAGTTGACCGTATATGAATGGGCTTATTTCTAGACTCTCTTTTGTAACGTTGGTATATGTGTCTGCGGGTAAAGGGAAACTGTTCCTGCTTCCCCTCTTTGATGCACCTATCCTTGGATTTTTCTGGAATCTCTCCATCTCTCCACTGAACTCCTTGGTTCCCAGGGAAGTATTCCTGCCCAAGCATGGTTGTGAAAATTGTTGTTTCTGTGGAGGGTTGAGGGATGGAATCTCTTACTCTACCATCTTGCTTACATCCTGCCAATGCATATTTTATTTGGGCACAAATTCTCCTTCTTGAAGACATTTGATTATTCTTTTTTAGCTCATTTGGTTCATCCTTAACATGTTTGTATTAGATTTAAATTAGCATAATGGCATATAGTAAAATCTACTGTAAAAAAAAGTAAGCAATATTGCTTACAGAGTCACTAAACTGAACACCTGCAAAACTAAGTAAATATTCACTGCCAATCCATGTTAGTGAGAAGCTAAGTACTTTTCTGCTAGCTCTGACAAAGTACCGTACTGGAGATTATGCACTGCCACCAAGTTATTAAGCTTCTCTTCCTCTCTAACAGAACCTAAGGAAAAAGCCTTTCCTCTCCAACTTCCGACTTGAAGATGTGGTCACTGGCATTGATGCCCTTGTGCTGAAGTGATCTCATAAATTGAAACTTAAGATGATGCTTTCTGAATGTTTTTAGAGATGAACTTAACATTTCTGTCCTCACGTTTATATTAAATTAATTCATAACATCTTTGTTATTTTAAAATATAGGTTTTGTTACTATTTAGAGACGGTTAGGACAATAGATCAGGAGACAATGGCCACTGAAAAGACAGTTTGTTATCCACATGGATCCCAAGATGAGGAGGCATGCCACACCCAAGGGAGTTACCTAGAGGAGGGCTAGAGTCAATCAAAAAGCAGAGGCAGAAGAGGAAAACGTGAAAAAGAACCTTCGCTGTGGCTTCTGTGCGAGGCAGGGTAAGCAGGGATTGGCAAGTTTGGATCATTTCAGTGGGCTCTGGGGCATAGGCGCTGTCCCTACTTGTCTGGGGCCTGGCCCAGGGGTTATTTGAGCAGGTGGATAATGGCCCAGAGTGTGAGACCCCAATAAAGGAGGTGGCTGGGGGTGTGCATTCTGAATTGGCTGCTTTGCATTTGAAACGTACACTCACTGGTGGTTTGTTTACTACCTCTAGAAACTGGCTAACTTGGCCAGGCGCTGTGGCTCACGCCTGTAATCCCAGCATTTTGGGAGGCCGAAGTGGGTGGATCACGAGGTCAGGAGATCAAGACCATCCTGGCTAACCCCGTCTCTACTAAAAATATAAAAAATTAGCCAGGCGTGGTGGCGGGTGCCTGTAGTCCCAGCTACTCGGGAGGCTGAGGCAGGAGAATGGCGTGAACCCGGGAGGCGGAGCTTGCAGTGAGCCGAGATCGCACCACTGCACTCCAGCCTGGGCAACAGAGCGAGACTCCATCTCCAAAAAAAAAAAAAAAAAAAAAAAGAAATTGGCTAACTTTGAAGGGGCAGTCCCTCCAAGGTCAACAAGGCTCACATGTCAAAGCACCAGAATACAGAAAATAAAAGACACGGTTAATACATTTACATGTACTTGTTGCTTCATTCAATTACTAACAAAAATTTGTCTTTCAACATTGAGTGGTGATGGAGCAACATTCTTGACTTTCAAGGTAAATTATTTATAAAGCATCTATACCTCAGTTTCATTGCATGCACACTAAACTGAGCATCTCCTCTAGAAGAAAATGACAGGAAGCAGATATAATGAAAGAAATACATCCATGAATTTGGTTACTTTAGTAGCAGATTCCAGCAAGTGAATTAAAAATCTGCAAGCAATCGGATATCCTGTTATGTTGGTATTATCTACAAAGCGCAATATTAATATTTTAAAGCACCATTTAACATGTTATAAATGTTATATATTATAAATGCTATATGCATAAACGCACTTACATTTAAAAATGCTCCATCTTATTTGGAGCATCTTAGATAAGCACATAGCAAAGAATCTCCAAAATTCTCTTTATGTCATATCGTTTGTTCTTGGCCAAAGAATAAAATGATTTTTAATTAGCTCGCTATTTCTCTGATTATGGACAATAATTCTGTTATTCTACTAGTGCTGTAATTATGCCCTGAACACAAAACTGAAGAATGAGAAGAGAAATCATAATGCACATAATTACCAAATGACTCATGGCCTCCATCATCTTTCCTCCATTGTCACTTGCAATTGCAATCACTTTTCCTTGCTGAGTTTCCTTTCTGCAAATATATGTTGCCACCAGATTCACAATGTTGCTCATCATGTGAGTTGTAGAGATTTATCAGCAAAGGAGTAAATAAAATCATGATAAGTTTCATCATTAACTCAGCATTTTATCAAATTAAAAAAAATTTTATTGTTTCTGTATGTATGCAATATACACTGTTCCTAATGTACACAATACAGGAATAGCATATTTAGTTATATTGTTAATCCTTTGGCAAACAGAATATAATTCAGGAAAAAAAATTTAAGTAAAATTAAAATATAAATATACTCTAGAAGAAAATCTGTGCTTCAGGGTCATACCTAAGGAAATCTCCTGAGAGCTTGTTGGAAAAGAGGAATCTCAGGCTCCAGTCCAGATCCAGTGAATCCAATTTGGTTTTTAACAAAAACCTGATTTGAACATAATTTGAATCCACCTTAAAGTTCGTGAAACATTGATTTAGATAGCATAAGCTCTCCTAATAGTTGGATCACTCCTCAATGTAGGCATCTCTTTAAATACGTATCTGTTCTTAATAATTTTAATTCAAAAATCACAGTTGTCACTAATTACTGTGGCATATTTCTCTTATGATCATGAATACTCCAATTAGCAGATTAGCATTTCAATATATAAAAGCATGAACACCCGGACGCGGTGGCTCACGCCTGTAATCCCAGCACTTTGGGGAGGCCGAGGCGGACGGATCACAAGTTCAGGAGATCGAGACCATCCTGGCTAACACGGTGAAACCCCGACTCTACTAAAAATACAAACAAAATTAGCCGGGCGTGGTGGCGGGAGCCTGTAGTCCCAGCTACTCGGGAGGTTGAGGCAGGAGAATGGCATGAACCCGGGAGGTGGAGCTTGCAGTGAGCCGAGATAGCGCCACTGCACTCCAGCCTGGGCGATAGAGCCAGACTCTGTCTCAAAAAAAAAAAAAAAAAAAAACCATGAACAGTCCAATTTACCTTTGGACTGCTTGTTTATATTTGAAAGTGAATGTTCAGATAATAACTATAAATTGTAACAACATTCTTTGTAAAACTGACATTGTCACACTGCTTGGAACCATCATATGACCAGGAATAATGAAAAGATCAGAGATATCAAGAATAAGATTGGAGTTGACATGAGGTCCTTCAGAATTCCAGAAGCTGAAGCCAAAGTAAATGTTAAATTTATTCTGTGTATACCTAGTCAATACATTATCTTCCTTTTTCTGTTAATTTTTATCATAAAACAGAGCATCTGCTTATGTAAGAGTGCAGAATAACATGTTCCCAAAGTACAATCTAGAAAACGCTGCAGCTTTCGGCCAGGAAGAATTCCGTCATCCAGATACAGATATGTCCTTTTTTTTCTGTGAAATTCGTAAGTATAAACTTAACAATGATTCACCATTAAATAAAATTACGAATCTATGGCCATTCTCATAATTGTTTCTGCCTATTAGTCATACCTCTCTAGGGCATTATGAGATGCCCAAAAATAAATGGGTTTATTCGAATATATTTTGTTCAAAACTACTGGTAAAAACAACCTTAAACTACATAGTTGCCAATTTTATGGGGAGTAGGGTGGTGCCTGTTTTGTCTAATTCTGTCTCCTTGAGCAGGGTCTAAATTAGAGGGTAATAGGACTACTTAATAGTCAATTGATGAGTCTCAACAAAGTTTTTTTTGGCATTATCTTAGTCAATTTGGCCCGCTATAACAAAGTACCATACACTGGGTGACTTATGACTAATAGAAATTTATCTCTCACAGTTCTCGAGGCTGAAAATCTGAGATCAGGGTGCCAGCATGGTTGGGTTCCGGTGTGGACCCCCTTCCGGAGTGTGGACCACAGTCTTCCCATTGTATCTTCACACAGTGGAAAGAGGGTATGACTTCTCTAGAGTCCCTTTTATAAAGGCAACAATCTCATTCATGAGAGCTTCACCATCTTGACCTAATCACCTCCCAAAGGAGGTCCCATCTCCTAATATCACCACATTGGGGGTTAAGATTTCAACATATAAGTTCTGTGGGGATACAAATATTTAGTCCATTGCAGGCAGAATTCTCAGAAATTATGTAGCCATATACTGAATAAATAGGTAATGGGTTATTTTGCCAACTTTACTTTCAACGAAATTGAATGATAATTGCATTTCAATTAATAGATCATTTAAAATAATTTTGTTGTTAGATAATTATTTACTTTTGGCTTACACCTCAGGAGAGGTCAAACAATCAAGCACAATTGCTGTAACAAAAATTCCTCCATTTTGTCTGCTTACCTGTAGAAACAAGGCCGCCGATGTTTTCTATCTAGAGATCTAAAGCTAGGAGTAGGACTGATGCTGAAATTTATCTCATTCTAGCAAAGAATAGTTGTTCAAGAATCTGTGAAATAGTAAATTTTAAATAAAAAGCTATCTATTTTTGTCTCATCATTGAGCTATATATCAATTTTTATTAATATTTTAGTAACTATTGTATTTGTAATATTTTTATGACACTCTGATGCATGATGCATTATGCTACATTTTATCGAATCTAAACTCCACCAAATGTGTAGCATGCAATTATTTTATTCACCATTAAGGAAATTCAATGGTACACATTAGGCCTTTAGATTTGTTTGTCCCCCATATCCTCTACTTTATACCTCTGACCTACTTCTCCCCATTTCCTCTATCCCTCTTCTGTGGTAACAATTAATGAGGAATATAGCTAATAAAATTGTACTGTACTTGGAATTTCTGCTAAATGATTAGATTTTAGTTGTTCTTGCCACCAAAAAAAAGGATATTTTTGTCAGATGATGGCTATGTTAATTTGCTTCACTGTAGTACCATTTTACTCTCTCCATGTATCCCATAACATTACATTGTATACCTCAAATACACACAATAAAATTTTTAAAAAAGAAAATGCAGTGGCACACATCACTTGTTAAATGCACACAATTTCCAAAATATTAAAATGTGAAAACATATGCACCTAAATATCAATGAAATGTAGTAATAATTATGATAACTGCTATGGGCTGAATTGTGTCTCCTGCCAAAATTCACATGTTAAAGGCTTAACCCTCAATACTATTATCATTGGAGAGAGGCCCTGTAATGAGGTAATTAGGGTTAAATGAGGCCATAAAGACAAACGTGGGGGCCCAGATTTCATAGAATACTGGGTTGTGCTCTCTCTCGCTCTGTCTCTCTCTCCCTTTGCCATGTGGGGACACAGCAAGAAGATGGCCATCTACAAGCCAAGATAAGAGGTCTCAGAATGAAACCTACCTTGCCAGCACCTTGATCTTGGACTTCCCAGCCTCCAGAATGGTAAGAAATAAATTTCTGTTGTTTAAGCCACCGAGCCTGTGAAATTTTGTTACGGTAGCCTTAGCTGACTGAACAACAATCTAATCCAAAAGGACAATTTTAAGACATAGCTTTGTGGGAACAGGAAATAAAATTTATTAATAAATAAAGTTGTATGGAAAAATACATTATAAATTTATAATTGTATCTTTATGTGAATATTTTTGAGAAGATGCACGATAGAGTAGTTAATAAAATACTTATAAAAATATATTTCATTAGTAAAATACTCTATGGGAAAAGGACAATGGAAAGATAAGTTCAAGGAAGAAAAAAGATGCAGATTTCTTTTAAGATCTTAAGGATTTTTCAATGAATAGTAGTGCACAGCAAATGGCTATTATACTTACATTTTACTGGTAGATTTTTAAAGTATGGTAATAATTTTATTTTAAAGTGACAATATTGATACGGTTTGGCTCAGTCCCCAACCAAATCTCATACTGAATTATAATCCCCAGTGTTGGAGGTGGGAACAAGTGGGAGGCGATGGGACCTTCCCTTTCACTCTCTCTTCCCCGTTCCCCTTCCATATAAACCACACTTGCTTCCCAGTAGCCTTCCAGCATGATAGTAAGTTTCCCGAGGCCTCCCCTGAAACAGCAGCCTGTGTAGCCTGCAGAACTCTGAGCCAGTATAAACTCTTTTCTTTATAAAGTGCCCAGCTGCTAGTTTTTTATAGCAGTGAGACAGCGGACTGATGCCGACATTTGAAATATGCCAGAAATTATATTCTTTGCATCTAATTAAATATTAATTTCATATTTTAGATACTATCTTAAAGAAATAAGAGAAGGCATTTATGAGAAGGGTAGATATTATTAGTGTTCACCAATCTCATATTCTCTTATTGTAGGCACCCAAATGCCTTGTATTTGATAGGGCCATTTGACAAATTCTGGCCAGTTATATATAAGGGAAAGAGATGTGTGCGTCTTTCAAACAGCGTTAGTGATTCTCTAGTTTCTCTTTCTTCCACCGAAGACAAAGGAAGTCAGTCTTTTTGCAGATGATGCTGCCAGTACATGATGGGTCTCCAGCCCCCGGGATTCCTAAGTCACTTTTTAACAACACACCTCTGACATCCTGCAATGGGCATGTTACATTAATATGTAATAAATTCATGTTGGGAGAAGCCACTGAAATTTTAAGGTTGTCGGTTACCTCAGATGAACTTAGCCTGGGCTGATGCAGAAGGGGAATCCGTGAGGAAAAGGAAATGAGGACCATCATGATCATGGAACTCTGGGGAAGAGAAAATTTTTAAAGCTGTTTCCATGTGTTTTACAGAGGAAAAAGTGACATGAGGTATGAGAAATAGTTAATGAATCTGATAAATTGGAATTTCTTTGATGATCTTACAGAAAAAGGTTTTCAGGGAAGTGTTGAAGGTTGATTCAGTTGCTATAAATTGAAGAGGGAGTAGGAAGTGAGGCAGTGGCAGTGTGAAATGCCATTTCAAGATTGTGGCTCTGAAGGGAGAAGTCGAGGGAGAAATTTAAAAGGGAGATGACATACTAAAAAATATTTTCTAGAAAATTGAGTGTCCGTCTGGCCTGAAATAACTCATATATATGCAATTTGTGTAAATCCCAATGTACTTGTAGTCCAAATTACAAATAATACCGAGTAATGCACAATCTTTTATTTCTCACCAAATCTTTAATGTGTCTTTGTTTCTCTTCTCGACTAAATCAGCTTCTAGAGAGAGAACAAAGGCAAAAATCGTATTCATGTATTTGTCTCACAGCAACTACAAGTAACTGGTATTTAGTAGAAGCCTGATAAATTTGATTCATTGACTAATTAATCATAATCTGTAACAATGTCTTGAAAATTAAATATAATAATATAAAGATTGTGGTTTATATATGCTTTTCTTATGAAGATTAATTAATAGCATATAAATACCATAAATTTTATAAGTAACATTATTCTTATTACCCCCAAAATTAACAGGATGTACTAAAAGGCCTTTATGTAATAGATATAATTATAACCTCTAAATGCACATGGTTTTTCCATTAATCAATTATGTCATCTGTAAACATTCAGGACCAAGTCAGAAAATATCATCTGAAATGAACAATTATCTGGCTGCTACCCATAGCCCACTTGATGCTACATTTTAGGACAAGCAAGTATATGTTATTCATTTATTCCTCCAGTTACTCCACAGTTGAAACAAGCTGAAAAATAAGAAGGCTAATAAGGACTTCACTCTTTTGCCATTGATAGTCACTGAATATAAGAAATATACTATTACAGACAATGAATGTGTTCAGTGTTCTGGAGAATTTCTACTAATATTTAATCTCTGGATTCAAAGGAGAGGTGTTATATTATCTCAGGGCACAGGGATGCTCCTCTCTGGACACCATGTATGTCAAAATACTTTGGTGCTTCAACGGTGATAAAATGGAGAGGACTCTGAAAGAGTGACAATCCTGTCCTAAAACTAAAATCTGTACACAAATTTGAATATCTTTAGAGAATATAAAATAAATCTGCCCAAATATGAATCTCTAAAAATCAAAACAATAAATAAGTCAAAGAGAGGGTAATTCAGGAAAGAAGTAAGCAAACACTTCTGATAAACTATTCGGGATCCAGCACTTAGATATAAACTCGGGACCCAAATTGAATAAAGAATGAAAAAATATATAACAATCACAGCAATACAACAAAGTACACCCAAAAAATCAGAAAGGAGAATCAGCTATTGCTATGCTAAGGAAAAGGTACTTATTTTTAAAACTCAACATAGAAAAACAGCTCCCAACTTTAACTGAAGTTAAATATGTGATGTCACCCAAGCATAATATTACATGAAAAGAAGAAATAGATCCCTAAAGGGAGAGTATCTGAGGAACTTCAATAAAAGTCATTCAATCCATTTTGAGGTAAAGTCAGTTCAATGCTAGCATTTGGATTCCCAGGTACAACAAAGAATAGAGACATTAGTTACCAAAAAATAATATAATAACTGGAGCTGAGATGTGAGCTGAGCAAGTGGATGAGCTGATGGGTCATGGTGATCAAGGTGTAGAAGTCCCCAGGTAAAAAATGGTAGAGTGCAGATGGCCAATATCTTCCTCAGCAAGCTGGGCTTCTACATTATCAGCCAAAAGCAGAAACACATCCACAGCTATATCCAAGTCATTGGAAACATCTACATTCGCACCCATACCCATAGCCAGAGCCACAGCTGCAACCCAGTCTCCAGAGAGACCATATTCAAATGAGTCCAAAAGTTGAGAAGATCCTGAGGGGTACCAGCCAGAATAGCAATTATTATAATGCATCAAATGAGAACGAAGGATGCCCTCTAATATCCAAAATCAAGTAATCAAAGTTAAACAACACTATCATTTCAGGGTCATTCCTATCTACCTAGCAGTGGGTGGAATGCTACAAATAAATTCTGTATCTTATTATTTTATTAACTGATTTAAAGGAAATGATAAATCTCATTATCTTTTGTCCTCTTATATGAGTAGAGCCTTTGAAATGGGCTCAACAGTACTACAACTTAACCTCAAAGCATATTTAGTTTTCTTTAATGAGTACAATCGACAGTCTATAATAAGTAGTGAAAAATCTTTTCTTTTTAGCCCCAGATTTAAAGCTATGTACCTAGACTGTGTTCTACTCTGCTCAAACACACTGAAATTTCTTTGCCTTCTAATAAAATCTCAAAACCTGTGATGAGGTGAACCTTCCCCAGAAACTAGAAGTTTCTGAACAAATCTCACTTGAGATAGAAAAGACTCACTCGCTTAGAATGTTGCTGACACACACCTGCCACTTGTCATTTACCATGAAGCTGAACTGCCAGCAGGGTATGTCCAAATGTAGCAATTGCCCACAAGTATTATCCAGAGATATTAGCAGACTCCAGCAAGGTAAATACCAACATTAACTAACACTGCCTTGTCCTGAAACCACAGGATGTGTTTCTCTTTAAAAAGCATCCAGCTAACAAATAGCTTCACTTGCTTTTTCAAAGTGTGCAGGTGTTTTAATGAATATCTGTATTCAGTAGGGATCATGTTAAATTTAAAAACTGCTAGTCTCTGAATTGATTAACAACCCATGTATAGACACCAAAGCCCTGCACAAGAGCCCAAATACAAACATGAAAACCCTGCTCAAGAGGCACATCTGAAAATGAAGGATAGTCCACACTTTAATCTACAATATAAACAAACCTTATCTACTTCATAGTCCTCTGGTCTGGACTTTAAACCTACAAAACTTCCATTCCAGCTCCAGAGTTCTACTTTCCTAGTTGCTTTAATATTATGTCAAGAACCACCAAGTGCTGATATATTTATGAAGAACCACCAAAGTGCTAGTACAATCAATGATATTCTCCAGAATTCCCGTGCAAACATAAGATAAACTATTGGGCTATCATAAATAAAAGTTCAAAAAGTGAATAGAAATCATTAAAAATGTATTAATAAATTCAATAAAAAGAAAAGCCATGTTGTTTTCAAGGCAAAGTTAGAGCCAATGGTAATTTTTAGCATTATATTCACTAACAAAACATATGTAATATGTAATATGAAAACCCAGGTACATTACAGAAGTGGCTGTCAAAATTAGGGTTAGAACTGCATTAAAGCTTGTTAGTATTCAAAGAGCCATTAAAAACAAGATTTGAGTCAAAAAATAACTCAGGGTGGATTAAAGATGTAAATCTAAGACCTGAAATCATACAAATTCTAGAAAAAAAACTTAGGAAAAACTTTTCTGGACATTGGCCTAGACAAAGAATTTAGGACTAAGATCCCAAAAGCAAATGCAACAAAAATGAAGATAAATAAATGGGACCAAATTAAACAAAAAGCTTCTGCACTACAAAAGAAATAATAAAAAAATATTAAACAGACAACCTACAGAATAGGAGAAAGAGATTGGTGTAAAAGTAATTGCAGTTTTTGCTATTTAAAAGTAATGGCAAAAGCCACAATTACTTTTGTACCAACCCAATACTTGCAAGCTACAGTTCCAACAAAGGAAACTAATATACAGATTCTACAAGGGACTAAAACAAATCAGCAAGGAAAAAATAGCAATCCCAATAAAAAGTGAGCAAATCACATGAATAGACATTTCTCAAAAGAAGATATACAAGTGGCCAACAAACATATGAAAAAATATTCAACTTCATTAATCATCAGGGAAATACAAAATAGAATCATGATGAGATACCACCTTACCCCAGCCAGAACGGTCATGATTAAAAAGTTTAAAAAAAATAGATGTTAGTGTGAATGTGGTGAAAAGGGAATGCTTATACACTGCTGGTGGGAATGTAAATTAATACAACCACTATGGAAAATGGTATGGCGATTTCTCAAAGAGCTAAAAGTAGATTTACCATTTGATCCAACAATCCCATTGGTAGTTTGCTGGGTAACTGCCAAAAGGAAAATAATTCATTATATCAAAAAGTTGCCTGCGCATGCATAGTTACTGCAGCACAATTCACAGGTGCAAAGGTATGAAATCAACCTAAGTGCCCATTCACCAATGAGTGAATAAAGAAAACCCCATATACACATTCCATAGTGTATATATACAGGATGGACTAATACTCAGCCATAAAAAAATGAAATAATGTATTTTACAGCAACTTCGATGGAATTGGAGGCCATTATCCTAAGTGAAGTAACTTAGGAATGGAAAACCAAATACCGCATATCCTCACTTACAAGTCAGAGCTAAGCTATGGGTCCGCAAAGGCATGCAGAGGGTATAACGGATGCTGCAGACTCAGAAGGCGGGATGGTGGGAGGGCTGAAGGGAAAAAATTACCAATTGGGTACAATGTATATATACACCATGGAATGTGCATATGAGATTTTCTTTATTCACTCATTGGTGAATGGGCACTTAGGTTGATTTCATACCTTTGCACCTGTGAAAGTAATGGGTACAATGCACGCTATCTCGGTGATAGATATACCAAAAACCCAGACTTCACCACTGCACAATTCATCCATGTAACCACACACCACCTGTACTCCTAAAGCTATTGAAATTAAAAAGAAAGAACTGTTTTGAGACAGGATTTATAGGATTACAAGAAACATTTTGGCAAGTATCTGAATGTGATCTTCCTCAACACTGTCGTGGGTTTCCTCTTTGCTCTCTTGCCCAACCCTGACTCTTGTCAACCATTAGTGAAAAATATTTATTGCCGCTCACTTCCCATGTGGCAGTGTTTAACCTGTATGTCATGTTACCCAAAGGGTTGGTGTCACCATTTTACTGATGGACAAAACAATGTTTAGCTCAACCAGCCAGTCAATTTAGAGGAAAGGTCACTACCATTTGATTACCTTTTCTTCTCACCCTGCTGGCAATTGCAGTGTTTTTATTTTTTTCCTTCAGTTGAGCTGTGATATGGGTCATGAAGAGTGGCAAGAATCTTAGGAGAAACAGAATTTTAAAAAATAGATTTTCAGAATATGTATTAGTTTTTAAAACAAAACACAAATATATTCATAAATGTGATATTCTACAGGAAAATCTATATATTATTCATGGAAATCTATATCCTTAATGGTCTATTGAGTGGTAAAATTTATCTGAAAATTTATTTCTAAGCCAGTTCCTATATAATAAGAATAGTAAAAGTTTCTGCTAGAGTGTAGGGGAGAAACTATGGACACAAAGACCTAGAGATCAAAATGGTATTAGATATCTCAAAAGCAAAAATGAAAGCCAGAAAAAAAAAGGGGGCAAGTTTTTCAATAAAATGAAAGAAAATTATTTCTAACCTAGAAATCCAGTCAGTCTATAAACTGTCAGGTTAAAATAAAAATATTTTTAGACATGCGGGATCTCAGAAAGTTTACCTGAAGAGTTACTAGTTCAGACAAATGCTATAGGATGTGCTCCACCAGAAATTAACAAATACAAACACAAATTCAGGCAGCGGATGATATTAAATGGAGTGGCAAAGAGGATTTGAGGCAGGGCGCAGTGGCTCACGCCTGTAATCTCAGCACTTTGGGAGGCCAAGGCGGGTGGATTACTTAAGGTCAGAAGTTCTAGACCAGCCTGATCAACATGGCTGAAACCCGTCTCTACTAAAATTACAAAAATTAGCCAGGCGTGGTGGTGGGCACCTGTGATCCCAGCTACTCAGGAGGCTGAGGCAGGAGAATTGCTTGAATCCAGGAGGCAGAGGCTACAGTGAGCTGAGATCGCGTCACTGCACTCCAGCCTGGGCGACAGAGAGAGATCCTGGCTCAAATAAACAAATAAATAAATAAACAAAGAGGATCTATGCTATGCAGCCAGCCTAAAGGGCAGCAAACCTGATTGGACAGGGCACAAAAGGACAGTGAGCTCCAAAAAGAATATTTCTAGCGCAGAGATGGAACCAGTGGATTTTCCAATGTGTATAATCCTACAGTGAGAATTTTACAATTCTGTCAATGAATTTAAAGATGGTTTCTTGGTGGAAAACTTAGGCAGTTATTAATTCATGGAAAGGAAATGCTATACCAATGCACCAAGGATTTGGGGTAAGTATGTGAATACTTGTTATATAGCCCTGGCTGGTCTCAAACTATACCAATACTACAGTATATACACAGTAAAGACTACTGTGATATTACCATATGGGAGATTGTGAGAGGGAAACTGCATGTGTCTTGGGTGAAGCGTATGTTTTTTAAAATCCTCATTTCACAAAATAGGAAGTTAGTAAATTATGTGCAAAATTGAGGAAACAAAAAGTACAGAATAAGACTATTATGGACAAATGATTAAGTATGGAAAAAGTCTAAAATACTTGAAGGTGGGTTACTACTGCACAGAATAAATCAAAGGTAAGAAGCCTCTATTTTTGTTGTCTGCTTTTTTGTAGAAGTTACTTTTGAATCATCCATTTAATACTTTTATTATTTTTAATGTTAATTAATACTTTTTGAAGATAATTTTAACTAGAAATAAATGCTATAAAACAGGGTAATGAAGACGGGGCCTCGGAAAGGTATCTTCAGAATCCATTAGGACATGGTATGAAAGAAGAAGGTTATTTTAATTGCAATGGCCTAGCATTGAAGAATAACATGTGTTCCGAACCTTAAAAATACTTCTGACATTTGATTTAGTATCCTGGCTCTAACTGGAGTCTAAAATAAGCAAATAATCAAAGATGGGGTTACTGATTACTTAGTAAATGTTCATTAAAATATTACTTTAAATGATAAAGAATTGAAAGCATCCTAAATATATAAAAATTGAGTTAATATTAATAAAACATGCTGCATTTATACAGAATAATATGGTGCAGTCATTTTGAAATAATATATAATTACATAGGGGAGTATTCAAAATAATCACATTACAAAGAATACAAAAATTAGTTTTTCTATATTTTATAATTATTATTTTACTAAAGAAATAATACTAGTTACTCCTAAGTAGTGAATAATGTGTATGTTTTTTCTAACTTTGTTTTCCATACTGTTTGCAATGAGCAATTATGGATAGAAAAAAACAATGAATGTTTTTATTTTTCTACCAAAGTAACTCAGAGTCCAAATTCCTGTAATCTTTTCTTATGGAGCTAAATTTCTTTTTTTAAATAGTTTCTAATGTTTTTCTCTAGAATATTCCTTAATTTTCTATATTCTTAATAAAATTCAGATGATAAAATAGAATCAATATTCTCATAAGAGTTTGAATGATGCTATACAGTGGAAGAATTATCACCTCCCATATGTCCTACTTGTATTAACTCCCATATGTACCAGGGTTTTTTTAAAATTATACATCATGTTGCTGATTCATCCCTAGTGTGCAATGGTTTGGTTTCTGAAATATTTCCCCAAGCCAGTGTTTCTCCATTCTTTACCGGGCCCTGCCTCTTACTTGTTCCTCTCATGCCAACTTTCACTTTTGCTGATTGCCTTGTTTAGGTAGCCTTCAAAATCTATTTCTAACCTTCAAGGTTTGGGAATACCACTTGGTCTCACAACACTGGAAAAATGTGGTCAGGTGCAGTGGTTCATGCCAATAATCTCAGCATTTTGGGAGGCCAAGGTGGGAGGATCACTTGAGGCCAGGAGTTTGAGACCAGCCAGGGCTATACAACAAGACAGCCTCTACAAAAAATAAAAAAAATAAAAATATATCCAGGGGTGGTGGTGTGCACCTGCAGTCCCAGCTTCTCTGGAGACTGAGTGAGGAGGATTGCCTGAGCCCAGGAGTTAGAGGATGCAGTGAGCTATGATCGTACCACTGCACTTCAGCCTGGGTGAGAGAGCAAGCCTGCCTCAAAAAAAAAAAAAAAAAAAAGAATAAAAAAGGCAACTGTGTGATGAGCATGTCTATTTCTTTGTCTAGATCAATGAATCTCAAAAGGTAATTCAAACATCACTCATTTTGGAATCATCTTGTACTATAGTAATTAAAAATGCAGATAAATAGGCTGCACCCCCCAGACTACTGAACCAGAACCTATGGAGGGAGAACTCTGGAGTGTTTATTCTTTAAAAGCGTGGCTAGAATTCTTACACATGCTCAAATTTGAGAAACACAGAATCCAGGTTATTATAAAATAAACTTCACATATTTTTACATATGTGCCAAATTGATAAGCTACTTTCAGAAGCTGCTAGATTCTCTATCCCCACACTTCTCTTTCAATTACAGACTAATCATTCTAGAAGTTTATCCCTACTCCAGATTCTGGAAGAAGTTCTGCTCTTACCCTATTTGCAGAGACAGATTCAAGAAGGTTTGCAAACCCTATATAGGACAAACCCAGAGAAATCTATTTCAAAGCATTATATACTGTATCATTGTACTTATATCACCTTGTCAAAAAGACAAAAACTATAGTGATCGAGAACAGATCAATCACTTTTCAGAGTTAGGGAAGAAAGTATTACTAAAATGGAATAGGACGACAGAGTTTGTTTGTTTTTTTTTCTGGCGGGGGATGGGGAGGGTGATGATAGAATTGTTCTACATTCTGATTGTTATGGTAGTTACACAGATATACTTAAAAACATATTAAACTATACAACTTCACTGTGTTGATTTTTTAATTTAAATCTTATTTTATACAGAATTTTCACAAAGATATAAAAATTCTTCATTTATTTAGATGTTCTAGATCATATTCTTGGATAAAGTTACATTTTTCAGAGAGCTTTATATCTACATTACATTGTTTTACTACGTCCACAAATGTCTTGTAATAGATTTTGCTTTGATATTGCCCAATAGGCTGGCATCGAAATAAATTATAAAAACTAGACATTAGAAACGTATTATTATGTTAATTCTGGCAGTGTTAAGATGATATTTAATGATGATGATAATGATGATAATTTCTAAAAAGAAGATTATTTCACAAGAACAGCTAATTGGATGAGAGGCTGTGAGAGCACAAAGTTAGGGAGATGGGGAATATAAGTGTTATTCTGGGGACTACAGCGCTTCCAGGGTTTGACTACCTGAAGAAGTGAATTCCTCTGCCATTTGTCTTCCATATCTATTTTTAAGGTGTCAAGTTTGCTGATTCAGGAATAAGCCAAATGTGAAGTGTGAAGTGTGATTTGCCATAATGAAATTCACCTTTCTTGACCTTTTCTATTTAAAATAATTTAAAATGTATTTTTGTCTTCCTTCATGCAGCAAATTGAGAATACTCAAGAGAATACATTTTTCTCAGCTTTGTGTGTGAGGCAAATACCACCCTGGTATCACTGAGATTTCTTTTAACTCACAACTTTCTCCTTTTGTTATTAATGGTTTCACCACTAAAGTCATACAGAACACTCAAGAAATAAGCCACATAAACATAAAATACACCAAAACCAGAATATGATAGACATAGAAGCCTTTATTTATTTATTTATTTATTTATTTATTTATTTATTTATTTATTTTTGAGCTAGGGTCTCACTCTGTTGCTTAGGCTGGGGTGCAGTGGTGCAGTCATGGCTCACTGCAACCTTGACCCCCTGGGCTCAAGCGATTCTTCTACCTCAGCCTCCTGAGTATCTGGGACTACAGGCACCCTCCACCACATTCAGCCAATTTTTTAACTTTTTGTAGAGACAGGTTCTCACTATGTGGCTCAAGCAGGTCTCAAATTTCCAAGCTCAAGGGATCCTCCCTCCCCAGCTTCCCAAAGCACTGGGATTATAGACATAAGCTACTGTATCTGGCATTTTTAAATTTTTTGTTGTCTAAGTTTAAGGTGTACATGATGATGTTTTGATATACATGTAGACAGTGAAATGATTACCACAGTCAAACCACTTAATATATCCATCATCTTACATAGTAACGTTTGTGTGTGTATATATTTGTATGTGGTAAAGCATCAAAAATCTACTCTATTAGCAAATGTTCAGTGTATAATACAATCTTATGAACTATAGTTCACAGGTTGTACATTAGTTCTCTAGGATTATCTATCATACATAACTAGAAATTTGCATCTTTTGACCTATATCTCCCCATTTCTTTCCCTTCTATTCCCCTGGTAACCACTCTCTGTTTCTCCATGAGATCATGCAATATTTTTCTTCCTTTGTCTGGCTTATTTCACTTAGCATAAATGCCTTCCAGGTTCATTCAAGTTGTCATAAATGGCAGTGTGAGGAGGATTATAAATTTTAACATAGCTTCTGTGCATTGATTCTTCTATTTGGCATTATAAACATTGAACCAGAATAAAGACAACAGGAAACCAAAAAGTATTCTTCAAAAGCTAAAACTTTATTGAGTTGCATAACATGTTGGAGATCCAAGCAGTTAGGTCTAATTTTAACCCCCAGATTTCTTACTCAAGAGTATAATATGAATAAGAAGAATGAAAGAAGAGCATCATGCAAATTCACCATGGCCTATTTACTTCTTCCTTACAACATCCATTTAGTGGATGGAATGCTTAGAATAGCAAACCATTAACTTCCTGCAAACTGCAGTAGGAAAATATATCCTTAAAGAATGAATCAAGAGGAAAGAAAAAAAGTGAAAATCACATTTATATGGCTGAGTTAAGCATATTTATTATAATATGGAAGTCGGTAAAATAAAATTCACCTAAAGTTAGGGGGAAATCAAATCCACTGGGGGAATGTAAAATACAGTACAGTATTCTATCGGGAAAAACTAAAACTTCTATTAAAGTTCAGCCCACAAAGTTCATTATCAGTCTACTTTGCACAGTTCAATACAGAGAGAATCTAAAATTCACATTTTATCACCTGGAAGGCTGTCAATAAAACATCTCTTCAAGTTTGATTCCTTAGGACACTGATTATAATACAGTTCCCTTTGTCAGAACTTAATAGAGGTCTAGTGTCCAATATCTTCTGTCATCAAGTGGCCAGAAGCCAGCATAGCCATATCCAAAGTCCCCACCCCCTGGTGAACAGGTGCTAACACATCCACAGCCAACACCATCTCAGGGGAGAACCACAACTGCCCTAGTAGGAGCCAGGGGAGATGTATCATTGAAGAGGCCAAAGGACTTCTTGTTAGTTGGGTGTTTAGTACAAAGACTACTAAGAATGACTTACTCCATCTGCCCGAAGTTTTTCATACACCCCCAGTAAAGGGTGTGGCATCCGCATTGCTCTTAAAATTGTTTGAGGTTGACTGACTGCCTAGTGTCCTTTTAATGAGTTTAGTCCCTACAATGAGAAGCTACAGAAATGCTACCAAAGTCTTTGGTAAAAGCAGATTCCCAGTTTATCCATCAAAAATCAGGCTTCTAAACAACTAGAAACATTCTTACTATATTGCCTAACATTGCTTGTGAGATTACAGACAATTTGGAGGCACACAAAAGGGATTATTAATACTATCTAAACTATGAGGTTAAATATATGCAGATTTTTCTCCTAAGAAATTTTGATATGTGATTGAGCAAACTACGGCTGCTTTCAAAACTAATGCAAATCTTCTGTTAATCATATTCTATGTCATCCACAAGTATTTCTTTCTTACTGAGAATTTATTCCACAATTTAACTGTAATTTATTTTTTGTTTGGTGATTGTTTTATATTTTTATCAATTATAAGAAAATATATTTTATACTTAAGAGTATTTAATACATTTTCAAGAATAGCCACTACTTTCACTAACTTTTTTTTTTTTTTTGAGACGGAGTCTTGCTCTGTCACCCAGGCTGGAGTGCAGTGGAGCAATCTCGGCTCACTGCAAGCTCTGCCTCCCGGGTTCACACCATTCTCCTGCCTCAGCCTCCCAAGTAGCTGGGACTACAGGTGCCCACCACCATGCCTGGCTAATTTTTTTGTATTTTTAGTAGAGATAGGGTTTCATTGTGGTAGCCAGGATGGTCTCAATCTCCTGACCTCGTGATCCACCTGCCTCGGCCTCCCAAAGTGCTGGGCTTACACTACACTACTTTCACTAACTTTTTAATTAATTTTCAGTTTCTTCAATGTTCCTCTTTTGTCATGGAATTATGAACCATGTTTAGGCTCTAACTTTATTAAATAACATTGATGTTAAGGTCTACCAGGTATGGGAAAATAAGTAATAAGAATAGTGGAGTGTTTCACAGAATCAGCCACATCAGATAAAATGTAAGTGTAGTTTCCTTCAGTAATCAACTCTCAAGAAACATGACTTTGTGGAGGAATCTCTTACTCTTCCAGTTTCCATCCTATATCTGACTAACTACAGTCCTATAACCAGAAAGAGAAAAGCACATCAGAAATATGCACATTAGCCTTTCAACAGAAACTTAAAGAATCTGTGAACACATTCTACATCTTACTTATATTAAACATTAAGCCAACTAATTTTCACTACTTTAACTGTTCCCTAAGATATGATCAATATTATTGGGAAAAGGCCCAGTGAAATGACACAAATAGGAAAAAAAACTCCCAGCATCAAAGTCAAAATTTAATACAAAATACAAAAATTAACTCAAGATGGATTAAAGACTTACATGTAAGACCTAACCCCATAAAAACCTTAGAAGAAAACCTAGGCAATACCACTCAGTACATAGGCATGGGCAAAGACTTCACGACTATAACACCAAAAGCAATGGCAACAAAAGCCAAAATTAACAAATGGGATCTAATTAAACTAAAGAGCTTCTGCACAGCAAAAGAAACTATCACCAGAGTGAACAGGCAACTTATAGAATGGGAGAAAATCTTTGCAATCTACCCATCTGACAAAGGGCTAATATCCAGAATCTACAAAGAACTTAAAAAAAATTTACAAGAAAAAAAACAACCCCATCAAAAAGTGGGAAAAGGATATGAACAGACACTTCTCAAAAGAAAACATTTATGCAGCCAACAGACACATGAAAAAATGCTCATCATCACTGGCCATCAGAGAAATGCAAATCAAAACCACAATGAGATACCATCTCACACCAGTTAGAATGGCGATCATTAAAAAGTCAGGAATCAACAGGTGCTGGAGAGGATGTGGAGAATAGGAACATTTTTGCACTGTTGGTGGGACTGTAAACTAGTTCAACCATTGTGGAAAACAGTGTGGCGATTCCTCAAGGATCTAGAACTAGAAATACCATTTGACCCAGCCATCCCATTACTGGGTATATACCCAAAGGATTATAAATCATGCTGCTATAAAGACACATGCACATGTATGTTTATTGCGGCACTATTCAAAATAGCAAAGACTTGGAACCAACACAAATGTCCATCAATGATAGACGGGATTAAGAAAATGTGGCACATATACACCATGGAATACTATGCAGCCATAAAAAAGGATGAATTCATGTCCTTTGTAGGGACATGGAGGAAGCTGGAAACCATCATTCTGAGCAAACTATTGCAAGGACAGAAAACCAAACACTGCATGTTCTCACTCATAGGTGGGAATTGAACAATGAGAACACTTGGACACAGGGAGGGGAACATCACACACCAGGACCTGTCAGGGAGTGGGGGGCAGGGGGATGGATAGCATTAGGAGATATACCTAATATAAATGATGAGTTAATAGGTGCAGCAAACCAACATGGCGCATGTATACTTATGTGACAAACCTACAGGTTGTACACATATACCCTAGAACTTAATGTACAATGAAGCACACACACACACACACACACACACACACACACACACAATTATTCAAAATGTTACCTAATTTTTTTTTTTTTTTTTGAGATGGAGTCTCACTCTGTCGCCCAGGCTGGAGTGCCGTGGTGTGATCCCGGCTCACTACAACCTCCGCCTGCCAGGTTCAAGTGATTCTCCTTCCTCAGCCTCCCGAGTAGCTGGGACTACAGGTGTGTCCCACCACACCCGGCTAATTTTTTGTATTTTTAGTAGAGTCAGGGTTTCACCGTGTTAGCAAGGATGGTCTCGAGCTCCTGACCTCGTGATTCACCTGCCTCAGCCTCCCAAGGTGCTGGGATTACAGGCATGAGCCACAGCACCCAGCCACCCAATACTTTAAAATACCCAATTGTTCAGAAAAGTATAGCAGAAGATAACATGGAGCTTGTTGTATATTTTGGAAGAGTTAATGAAAAGACTATATTCAGATTTTCATTTAACCCTGTATTGATTATTTATCATACTTAAATTCACTGTAGTACAGGGATTTGAATCATAAAAAGAATCTTATTGTATCTAACATTAGGCTGTATCTAACACTAGGTAGAAGAGCAAAGTGTTGACCTTAAAAGTGAAAAATTTACTAATGTGGTTTTTTTTTATTTTCTTCAATGAAGTGTATAAGACGTTCAAGAATATAACCCAACCTTGCATAGACTTGCTTACATTTCTGGTTTTATCACTTATTAGAGTGTAATTTGGTTACTAGGTAATACAATGGAAGGACCACAGTAGTAAAATCAGATTTGAACTGTGGTCTGAAATCTACATATTGTTTGTCTAACTTTTGATACTAACACCACATTCTGTGCCTCAACTGCAAAGTTGTACAGAAGATGTAACCACCCCATCTAATTCCTGAGATTTTCTGAAGCTCTAATAAGAAACAGTGAAATCATAAAATACAATATAAATGCATGTTAAAATCATTGTTTTCTTTCATCCATCCCAAATCTAACTCATAAAAGTGGTTCATGAAACTATTCCATATTTGTTTGATGGATCAATATGTTTAATAGTCTAAGCAGTGTTTTACAGGTATATCACATACCGAATCTCCTAGAAGGAGATTTATGTGTTCGCAAAACACATATCGCTGACTTCACAGGTCTCGATGGGTGAGGAGGAAAGAAGGCAGCTTGAAAATTTGCTTTCTGAAAATGTTCCCGGTTAATGCTGATCTCAATGCTGATTCAGGCACCACACATTGGAAAACATGGTTCTAGAGATGAGATAAAATTAAAGAGAATAGCAAGATATAAAAATATATGTGCATAGTCACATATGTTTTTGTGAATATTCAATTAACTTTTTAATTGAATTTCAAATTAAACACGTATGCAATTATACTTCAGTATATACAGTCATTCTGTACTTATTATTTAAGATCCAAGGTAGATTGGTTTGATTTTATTATTGGGCTTTGGATACTAATATATAAATTAAACTTACCTGGACATCATCAATTTCTCCTTTCAGATAACCCAAGGTTAACATCTTTTGGTAATATTTTAAAGTCAGTATTCATTTTACTAAATTTAAAATATTATTTTTATTGTAAAATATAAGTGAAAATACGACCACTGTAAACATATTTACACAAGAAAACATATTCAAACCACATGTCCCATCCTATGTTAATTCAGGTAAGTTTTTTTTTTTTAAACAGAAGCATTCTCATATTTCAAAAAAACATCACAAGCCTAAATGAGGAACTCCTGGAAAAGTTCAGACACAGGCTGAAGTAACACATCTTGAAGTGAACCTGATCCACTGTAAGCAGAGGCTGGATTTGCTCAAGGAGCACCTTGGAACTCAAAGAAAAGTAGAATCAGACTGAAAAAAAAAAAATGCCCCAGAAGTGATAAAGTATTCGATAAGCAGATTAATCAATAAACTCCTGTTGCCGGTCTCTTTTATAGCCAAGTAGCTGGTGTCCTCTGCAGCTATAACAGGCGGAGGACGGCAGGTAAAAAGGTGCTGCCATCGCCACAGGCATCACTGTGGCCCAGGGAATACCCATAACTTCCCAGCAGCCATTTTGGTAGAAGTTCTTAGGGAAGAAGTTCTATCACATTGTCCAAGGAATAAAGGTTTGATCAGGCAGCAAACTCAATAGTTATAGCACATAATAGGATCCTTTTACCTTCGTGACTCATATAACCTCACCAGAGGCTGTGATGAAGAAATGCACCTCTTTCCTTTTTTAGATCAAGGGAATTAGTATTCTCATTAATTTCCTAGATCTCCTTGAAAAAAAAAAAAAAAAAGAGATCCTCATTATTCTTGAAAGAAGTTTGAGCTGAATTAACTGCCAAAGCTGAAGAAGGATTCTTCTTTGTGGGTTTTTTTTTTTCCTGTAATGAGAAGTTACTGCAGTGTCTTCAAAGTCTTTGGTTAAAATAGACTCCAAGTTGAATCCTCCAATTATTAGATGTCTCAAGAACAAAAAATAATGCCAATTGCAATAGCAAACTGTGCTTTTGGTCTGCAGGAATTTACTAAACGTCCTCATGCTTCATAAAGCCCCATACCAGGATTTGAAGTAGAGATATTAAAGAGTTTGTAGACCTAACAAACCTTTCATATTAGAAACAAAGGCAAAGCAGAAAAGCCTACAGTCAACGTAAGTCTATGCAGCTAAACGCCGTAGTTAGAAAAGCTTTAGTGGATGCAGTGAGGCAGGAATAATAGTAGTCGTTTGCGTATATATAAAATGTCACAGATGAATTATACTTTAAGTTCTGATGTTAGAACCAGTGAGAGTGTGGCATAGTACTTATAAGCTACAAAAGCAAAATTTGACAGCTGACGAGGAAGCACTAAGATCTGGGACGAGCCCTATAGCGTGCCTCTTTTCTACTTCTTTTTTCACTGGCTTTCTATCTCTGGGCTGTGCAACTTTGAAGAGCTTACTCATCCCATCATTCTAAGGCAAGGCATAAAGTCATTTTTGACATTTATGAAAAAAATGTACTTACAAATACTCTCTATTTGATATCTCTAAAATCTAAGGGACACAGTGAAATGAATGTCACTAAGAGAGCTGGGGAAAACAAAATTTCCGCATGATGTTATTGCTTCAGACTCTCAGTGGATCCTGACCTAATGGCATCTATAGCCTATCCTGACATCTTGGGAAGTCATTTCTGGACTCATAGTCTACACATTCATGGGCTCTCTCTTGGATATCACAAAAAATCCCAGGCAAATAGTGCTGTGTTCATGGTTTAAACAAATGATTTCCATGGCTCTCATTGCCAAGATTAAAGATCTTAATTTGAAAAACATAGCAGCCTCTTTGTTTCATTCATGATAGTTTTATTGAGGAGATAGTATGAGTTCAATGTTGTGCCTTATTTTGGGAACACGACAAAGCAGGTCCCTTTATGGAGTGTGTGTTTTCAGTTCTATAGGATGCCACTGGAGTGGATTCTGGTTAGCAGAGAGGCAGGTGGCAAGGCTTCAGCATCCAACACACCCAGATTAGAAACCCCATTCTGCCATATTCTAGCTTTGAGACTATGAACACGTCATTTGAAATTTCTGAATTCCAGTTTCCTCAAGTGTAAAATGGGGATAATAGAACCTGGAATAAAACCAACCTCATGGGGTTGTAAAGAGTAATGATGACCCACTGCAGGCCCAGAAATAATATTGGTTATTTTTGCCTTTTCCCTAATTATGTTTGCCTTTGAAATGACTGAAAAATTATACTGGACTACACTTGAAATGATGGCCTAAAATCTTAAATAAACCAAATTGAGAAGATAATCTGCATCATAAGAAATTAATAAGATAAAAATATGTGCTTACCAAGCATTTAGCTCAAAATTAATTATGCTGTTCTAAAGATGTATACAAAGAGGAGTGAGTTGGTTGGCTGGTTGGTTTTTAAGTATGATTTTCTTGCACATGTGCCATCAGAAATCTGTGGGTTGAACCTGTGCACTGGGCAAAAGCTATACACTTTGGATGGCTCTGAGAAAGGCCAACATTCGTCTTAAGGAAAATTATGGGAAACCAAAAATCACCCATATGCGTATGAAGCATTTTTAGTTTCTGCTTTGCCTACTGTGTCTAAAGTTATTGACAAAAGAGCAAGAAAAGGCTTTTCTGCATGAGAAAAGACCTACACTTTGGGTAAAATTTACTAAATACCAGCATCATGTATTTATTCTTCAGTGTTTTATGTTTGCGTCCTTTTCTATCTTTACTGAGAAGAGCTCTGATTTATAAGGCATTTGATAATCTTCCTGAGGTATCCACTGTGGTTGAAAGCTTTTGGGGGGGCTCTGGAAAGAAGGGCCAGTATGAATATTTGGGAAAGGTTGACTTCTTTTGTCAACTGACTTCCTACGACTATGAGATTACCCTGTGCTAGGAAGGCTCCTCTTTTGTTCTGACTTCTCGGTGAGAAACTGCTCTCAAATCCGCTTGGGAACTGATCCTACTATAACAAGATCTAAGGGAAGAGAATATAATCTTGAAGAAAGATACAGAAGCAGAAGGGAAGACAGTGCAGGAAAAGAAAAAACAGGAGGAAGGGCAAATTATTTGGTCATTTCTTATATGCAAGAATAATGTGAATATAGTACAGGACTCCCTGCTTTTATCAGATTCACTACATCTCTGCTATCTTCACATTTTTGGATGTCATAATGTTATGGTCAACACCTTTGTTGGATAGTGTCATCAGATACACTGGTCACATGAAGGATGCCACGTGGAGAATGTTTCTCTGCCAACCTTGCAACAGAGGGCAGATGTCAGATCCCTTCAAAACCGCCTTTAGAGAGTACATGAGGAATGTTAAATAGGGTATCACATAACATGTTATCTATCCTACTTAGCCATGAAAAATTCTGTAGGACTCTAAACCTCCCCTGTGAATCAAATGGGCAAATACAAATTAACATATATATATATTCAGTTACCACTGGTGAATTATTACTTCAGAGTAGTCAAGGGACTGGGAAGCCTAATGATAAGGAAAGGAGGTTTAATTCGACTTACTGGGGGTCTCTCTAGAAGATTCTTCTATACATAAGATGCCCTTAATATTCAAATCAAGTTCTCAGTTATATACACTGTATTAAGCAGGGAGATGTTAAAGATATGCAGCCTGGTTTTCAATGAGAAGAAACAAGCAATTAATGGTGAAATAGAAAATCAAAACAATACTTCCTGTGTGACTTTGTGAGATAAATCTAAGTCATAAAATGCACAGACATCAAGCTTCCAGCTCACAAATGGCTATGAATTAAAGAATGGCACTGCACGATGGTAGCAAACAGATGTTTAACATCTTTTTCGTGTTTATTGAGGAAAGTGGTCTGATAATCTTGTCATACATATTGAGTTTCTACTATGTACAGAGCACTAAACTGGGCTCAGATCAATACCAAAGTTGATAAAGCAATTAGAAACAAATACCTAACTACACTCTATACAGACTACCATTAAGCCTAAATGTAGCAGTAAGTGTTCATTCCAGGCTTTTCTTAAATTGACCTGTAACATATTACTTACTGTTTTCATTTTTTATGAATTCTATATAAATATGGAGGAATTATCTTGGTTTTTAAATTCAAAATAAAAGGAGAGAACTAAAAAAGACAGAAAAGAACAGCCATGAAACCAGACCCTGTAATTGTTTTAAATTGATGGCATAAAACCAAATTACTTACAGGGATTTTTTTAAATACAAATCCCCAGACCCCATAGATCTTCCCATCAGAATGTGCATGGGTGGGATCTTGGTATACGCATTTAAAAAGACTGAATTTCAGTTTTTAAAAATAATCATTAAATAATATTAAGTAATGTAGGCACACTAGGAATTTGTACACTTCTATGCAATAGGAGAAAGTGAATTTATAAAATCCTTACATAACATACTTTTTCCTTTTAGCAGGTCATGGCATCTGAGCCTTCAGCACCAGACTACTGGATATCTACCTAATAGATCCTTTCTCTGTCTAAAAATAGTAGACATTGTTACAGCCAACGCAATCTTCAGTTTGGAACTTTCTAGCAACCACACATTAACTCAAGTTGAAAAGTGCTAAACACAGATGTTGTACCTCCTGTACTCCTTTGGGGATGTAAAGTATCTTCTCTCCTCTGTCCTTGTCTTGTTGAGATGTGCTAGACACTTTTTGAGTAAAAGACTTTCCTTTATCAAGACTCAGTGTCATAAATAAATGGTGTGGGTGGGTGGGTAGTGTACATCTGTAATGACCTGAAACAGTGCTTCTTAGAGTGTGGGTCTCAGACCACCTGTACTAGAAGTCATCAGGAGCATCTTAAAAGTTTAGATTTCTAGACCTGATCCCAGATGTACTGAGTCAGAATCCCTAGGGGCAAGGCATAAGAATCTAAATTTTTAAGTCAGCTACTCAGGTAATTCTCCTGCATACTGAAATTTCCAAAACACTAGAGGAGGTGCTCTCTGAGGTCCCTTCAAGCCCAGATTTTTATATAAGTCAGTCATCTTTACAGAACAGACTGATAACCTTCTAGTTTCGATCTGATGCTCTAATTTCTGAAAAATCCCACTTTTCTTTTTCTGTTCTATTTTAACCTGCATGTTTAATTAATTCACAATTCTCAGCATGAATTAACATATGGCTGCTAGAAAGTTGCAAACTGGAGATTTTGTTGGCTGTAACCTTGTCTACTATCGCTAAAAAGGAAAACAATCAATTATTTCCCGATTTTTTAAAAAAGATATACATTAGATAAAGTATGGTGGAGAAAATACTCTCTTCTGAAATGACCTCGCCAAATAGTCTTTATGTTTTTAACTACGAAGTGAACCATATGCAATATAATCACTTGCACATATTCAATAAAAAAGCAGGGTTAAGCCAAATTTTGTTACCACCAAGAATATTTGTACTATACATAAGATGTTTTCAATAGAAGGATTGAGACTTTTTTTATCTGGCTTATAAAAGGAAATTGCTCCCTTCCCTAAAGGAACACAGAGAAAAGCTGATACATCTTCAGAAATATTCATTACAGCTCATATCTTTTAAGTGAAACTCGCTATCTGGTGTTGATTCTATAAAGATTAAGAAACTTGTCATGGTTGTGAATAACCCAGGTGCTTCAAAGCTACAAAATAGACACCTTAGATGGTTTGATATAGGGGATTTATCCCTTCACCTTAAAAACTCTCAGATTTCCAAAGGATGTCTGTGGCTTCTCTATTACTCAATGCTCCAGCATCCTTCATTAGGGGGCATGGCACTTTAGTCTATAATCCTTAGTCCCTGGGAAAGGGAACACAGTGGATTTCATTTGGACTAACATGGAAGTGACTGAAAAAGTTCCTCCTGTGTTGGGTTTTCTTGCGGAGGAGCAGAAGTAGTGAGATGAGAAGGGGACCCCGAGCAATAAATGGTGCTCCATTGGGTTGGAGGTGGGCATCATAAAATTTAAAGAAGGTTCAAACAGGCAACCTTTTAAGTCATTACCTGCAACCCACCCTCTTACCTGCTTATCACACAGGATCAGTAATTCTTTGCTTTCTGGCTGTTCCTAATGCCCACATGAGAAAAATAAATTCACTTCCCCCCCACCACCCATGTAACAGAAAATATGCACACACCAAGAAAGGAAACTTCGCTCTAGCATGAGAATATTATACCAGCTGAGACAAATTTATTGAGATTTTGATAGACATATCCATGACTTCATCACAAGTCATGAGTGTCATGGAAAATTCAAAAGTAGCTCATGACAAGTGGGAGGTCAAATTTCCGAAAATGTCCCAGAGAACATCAGCCAGGGGAGGCAGCTTGAGGAAGCGTCTGCTTTTTCATTTTCCTCCCCTGGGACTCGAGGTAAGTTGGAAAGCAGTGTCTCTGAGGTTGATGAGCAAATGAGGACTGAAGGAGTGGATACGGGGGGAACCTGGAGATGTGGGGCTCAGCCTTCAAGGGAGAGAAGATGCTACACCTCGGGGATTTCAGCCAATCAGTAGAGAGCAAATGGCGAGTATCTCCTGTAGCCGAAAGCCCCACAGCCGTTGTAGCCATAGCCGAAGCCATAGCCCACTGGAGAGTAGGTGCTGCCATAGCCACAGCCAACGCTATATCCCAGCGGGTAGCCATAGCTGCCCCAGTAGCATCCTGGGAAGACAGCCCCGGGGAAGTTGTCGCAGAGCATGGTGTCGGGAGTGGAGGGCTTAGGTAGCAACAGAGTGCGTTTCCTCAGTGGGATGGATTCCTAGTCTCAGAACCTTCTTTATATATCCCAGCTCTGGTGGGTGGTGAAAAACACAAAGCCCTCATTTTCATTCTTGACACCAATTTACATTCTAAAAAGCTCATTAACTTGTTTTGCTCTTGCTTATGATGTCTTTACAGTGGCTTAAGAAAGCTCTCGTGTGATGCAATACAGGGAGAAGATGCCTTTAAACAAATTATTTCCCTTCCTAAAAAAAAAAAAATTATTGCCAGGACTTCAAAGCACTCTGTCTTATAGACCCCATATAACTCTGTAAGCAGGTATATAATATCAAGAAATATTCTGAGGTTGTTAGCTGTTATGCAGTCCTCTTGCTCTCTGAATTTCCACAACACACAGTTGAAATTCAATAAATATGTGTTAAATACATTAATATATAAAATAACAAATGGATAGTGAGTCTATCTCAAAATTCTCAAAATTAAAGTATGTCTTAGTATTCACCTGCTTCAAGGATTCTCTTTTTTGGAATATGAAAGACAAGTGCAATGGAACTCATGAGAAAGAGTCTTTTTTTTTTCCTCTACTACAGCTACCGTGTTTGGGAAACTGGTTAAAAGTGTAATCTTAATCATAGTCCCCTCCTAAACTATACCTAACATCACATTTCTAGAAGACTACTTGAATTAATAGTATTGAGATTTTAAAACGGAGTATTTGGATTAATCCTTGTACTGAATTGTCAAACAAATTTAATTTTTTGGCCTGAAACATATTTCAAACTAAACATTGAAACTAATAAGGTAAACACAGAAAAATGAATTAAAAAATTTATTGTAAGATTTAAAATTTTTTTTCTCTTAGATCTAATGAAACTAGATTGTCTGACAAATGTGATGATATTATAAAGGGCCAGATGACAACATGAAATCAGTTATTTCACTTTTACAATGATCATGCACCCCAGGATAAAGAAGGAATGTTATTCCTTTCTAAACAGAGAGTCAGTTCTCAAGCATGAGTTAAAGGAGGGATAAGGCTGATCAAAACTATCTTGGATCATGTAAGACCTGATATATTATTCTCAGACACCTGCATTAAGATTTCTTACAGTGGCACTTAGTAGAGAACTTACAGAACAAATACCAAAGAGGGCATATGGAACAGAAATAGGCACAGAGATAATAGGAATCATTCTAGAAGGCCACAAAACAGATATGTATTACACATGAGCTCTCCCAGATTTTACTTCATAACCCAGAGGTAACTTTGCTCCCTGCTATCAGCAGCTAGGAATCAAAGGCTGAATCCAAGAACAAGATGAGACACTTGGAAAATTCAAAACCATGCCAGTGTTCTAGCCAGCAGTAGACTAATTACAGCAGAGGCATTTTTTTTAAATATAGATATATATATAATTTTTTTTTGAGGCAGAGTCTTGCTTTATTGCCCAGGCTGGAGTGCAGTGGTGCAATCTGGACTCACTGCAACCTCCACCTCCTTGGTTCAAGCGAGTCTCCTGCCTCAGCCTCCCGAGTAGCTGGGATTACAGGTGCATGCCACTGCGCCAGGCTAATTTTTGTATTTTTAGTAGAGACAGGGTTTCAGCATGTTGGCCAGGCTGGTCTCGAACTCCTGACCTCAAGTGATCTGCACATCTCGGCCTCCCAAAGAGCTGGGATTACAGGCGTGGGCCACCGCGCCTGGCCTAAATTTTTTTATTTTTAGTTTTTGTGAGTGCATGGTAGGTTTATATATTTATAGAGTACATAAGATGTTTTGATACAGATATGCAATGCGTAATAATCACATTCTGGAGAATGAAAACACCTACAGTACCCTGCTTCGTGAGCAAACCTGGATGGCTGCCTATGGGGATTCAGTAATTAAAATTCAAACACGATATGTGGCTTATAGCTAAACAAGTTCAGGGAATTGAAATTAGATTTATTCCCAAAACATAAAGGTATTCAACCACAGATCATTCCCTAAAAATCATAGAATGATTTACATACTATTTCTACTGGCATCACATTGCTGTGTTTCATGATAGAAAAGCTGGTAATGTTAGGGAAAAAAGAAAAATTAGACAAAAAATAGCATTGTATAATGGATAATTTAAAATTTTTGAATTAATATTGCCAAAGGTCAATTATGTTGCTCTATTTAAAAGAATTCTCCCATTCGCCTACCCAATCTGACAAGATGCTAGCTTTGCCTTCTGCAGCACAAAACCTAGCTCTGAACATGAATAGTAATTAAAATATGTTGTCTTTTTTAAAACTTAAGCCCTATTTACAGAGAATGGCTTGGATTTTCTCTAGAAAGTCTACAGAAAATTCTAACAGAAGAAAATTTTAGGGAAACATATCATTTATCAACAAGTCATTTAAAAATTAATAGCGAAGTTAATCCTATATTGAGCCTATGAAAGCTTTATTCTGATAATAGGCTTATCAAAGAAAGAGCAAGGTTTTCATAAAGCCTGAAAGTATACAATGCTGAAAGCCCTTTTTCTTAAAAAGTATACAATGTAATAAATATAAAATTAAGTACAAAAGTATTTGTTGAGATGCTCAAAAAATCACAAAAAAATTAAACTCCTAAATATATAAAGCAAATATTAATAGACCTGAAAAAAGAAATAGATAGAAATATAATTATAGTACAGAGCTTCAATACCCCATTTTCAACAATGAATGGGTAATCCAAAAAGAAAACCAATAATGACACATTGTACTTGAACTTAGACCAAATGGACCTAACAGACGTGTACAGATAGTCCATCCAACAGCAACAGAATACACATTCTTCTCAAGCACACACAGAACATTCTCCAGTGTATATCACACGTTAGGCCACAAAATAAGTCTTAACAAATGTAAGAAGAATGAAATCATATCAAGCATCTTTTTCAACTATAATTGTATGAAACTAGAAATCAATAACAGGAGGAAAACTGGAAAATTCACAAATATGAGGAACTTAAACATTTCCTGAACAGCCAGTGGGTCAAATGAGGAATGAAAAATATCTCCACACACACACACACACACACACACACACACACACACACACACACACAAAACAGAAAAAAAAAACCAAAATTTTGGAATGCAGCAAAAATTCTAAGACAGAAGTTTATAGCAATAAACTCTACATTAAGAAAAATTAGAATTTCAACTAAACAACATAATTTTATATTTGAAGGAACTAGAAGAAAAAGAACAAACTAAGTCCAAAGTTACCAAGAAAAAAGGAATAAAGATCAAAGCAGAAATAACTGAAATATAATCTGAAAAACAGAAAAGAGCAACAAAACTAAGAGTTGGTTTTTTAAAAGATAAACAAAATTGACAAACCTTTAGCTAGACTAATAAAACAAGGGAAAAGACAAATAAAATCAGAAATAAAAGAAGAGATATTATAACATACTCCAAAAATATAAAAGATCATAAGAGACTACTGTGAACAATTATATGCCAAAATAATTCAATAACCTCCAATAAATGGACAAATTCCTAGAAACGTGCCACCTACCAAGAATACATCATGAATAGGAAATCTTAACAGACCAATAACAAATAATGAGATTGAATCAGTAATAAAATATCTTCCAACAAAGAAAAATCCAGAGCCAGATTGCTTCACCATTGAATTCTATAAAACATTTAAGAAGAGCTAATACTAATCTTTCTCAAAGTCCTTCAAGCAATTAAAGAGGAAGAAACACTTTCAAACTCATTTTATGAGGCCAGCATTACTCTAATACCAGTCAGACAAGGACACTATGAGAAAATAAAATGATAGGACAATATCCCTAATGACCATAGATGCAAAAATACTAGCAAACCAAATTTAAAAGCACATTAAAAAGATCATACACATGATCAAGTAGATTTACCTCTGATAAGCAAGAGTGGTTCAGCATACAAAAATTAATCAGTGTAATATACTTTACACATGAATAGGATGAAGGATAAAAATTATTTGTTCATCTCAATCGATGCAGAGAAAGAATTTGACAAAATTCAACAATCCTTCATGATAAAAATTCTCAACAAATTAGGTATAGAAGGCATGTACCTCAACATAACAAATGAATAAATCAGTAACAGTCTTAGAAATAAAACAAGAAAAAAAAGTGTTTCAATTGCTCCTATTGTTTTTAGGATAATATTTTTTAATCTTTAAACTGACCTAAAAGTTCTCAACTCTCTCTTCGTTAAGTTTTGCTGTCTTTTAGTTCTTCAAACTTCGCATGCTCCTCTCACTCTTAAGCTTTGACACATGCCGTTTGTTCTGTGAGGAATTCTCTTCCTTCCTCTCCTTCTGATCAACTCCCATGCAACCTTCACATGCCAGCTCAATCACTTCCTTTGGGAGGCCTTTCTGCCATTCCTGATTAGCTGGAGCCCATCTGTAGCATAACAGTAGGCCAACCTCTTCCTCGTATCTGTAGGACTTAATCGTAGTTCCTATATAACCTTCACTTGTGTGATGGGTATCTGTCTGCCTCATTAACATGCTTATTTCCAGGAGAGCAAGATAGTATTTTTAATCAGCCTTGATTCCTCACTGCCTCACTCACTACTGGGCGTAATATAGGTTTTCCATAAGTTTCAGTTGAATGAATTAATGAAAGAATATTCTAAACCTAACTTGGCTACTCACTTGCTGTGAGGATTGAGGCAAATCATTTTTCCGGGCCTCGCGTGACCCGACTGAAAAATGGGACAAGTTGACTTCCTGGGACTTGCCACCCTAAACATTGTATGATTCTCCCATCAAAAATCACTGATGAGTCAATATGACAATTCAACACTCTCTCATTGGAATTTGGTCAATTAGGCATGCGACTATGGAGAGTGCTTTTTCTCATCTTATTACACATTCCTACTAAGACAAACTAATGAGCTTCCAGCTGCCATCACTTTGAAAAACAAAATGCAGTGACAGGAATCACAGAAATATTGAAACCTTCACAAGAATATCATAAGAGTTTTAAAAGTTTAATCTGTGCAAGAATCTCCCAGGATACTTGTTTTAGACAAATATTTCTGAGCTCCATTCCTTTAGATTCTGATTCCGTGGGTCTCATGTGGGGCCAAGGAATCTGCATTTTTAATAAGCAGACGAGGTGATTCCAATAAAGGCGGTGCTTTGGTCAAACTTTGAGAAATGTGCAGTGCTCTTTAATAAGGTACCTGAAAAGGTGTCCTCTTTAGCAAAATATACAACATAAAATGGGATGAATGTGGAACGGTGAAGGAGAAAACAGAGACACTCTTTCAGCCAGGTTTAATGGCTAAGACTAGAGCTGATGTGACATCATTATGGGCAACTGTGCTCCCAAGAGGACATTTGACAATGTCTGGAGACATTTTTGTTTGTCATAACTCAGAGTTGGAAGGGGTGCTACTTAGCATCTAATGGGTAGAGGCCAGGGATGCTGCCAAACATTCTACAATGCACAGGACAGCCCTCACAATACAAAGAATTACCCAGCTCAAAATGTCAATAGAGCTGAGGTCAAGAAACCTGCTCTGAAGTCAAAAATCACACCAAGTCAAATAAAATTGCCAGGCAAAATATATTTAAAAAAAAAAAAACCTGTCATGTGACAGGATCAGAACTTGCTGACCAAGACTTAGGCTAATTTAAGACAAAATTTCAGTACGTTGCTACCACAGCACTTTGAGGGATAAGCCACGTTTGTGAGGCTGTGTGGTTAATTATCACAGCAAGCATCTGGTTAATGAAGCTTAACTTCATTTGATGCAGAACCTATGTGGTTTTCTTAAGAAATAACGTGATACCACAACAATGCCTGGATGCACAGTAGATTCATGGACTCTGGTCAGAAACACCTTACATGTGATTTATAATGAACATGAAAAAGCAGTTCAAAGGAAGGCACGTTTCTGCTGCACGCTTTTCATCACTGGTAGGATAAGAAGGTCAGTTTTGACATCTATTCTCTATTCTTGGGGATGCAAAACAGAGGAATTAAGGTCCTCTTCTTGTGACACCAAGGCAGAGTTAGAGCCAGCAACTGGAATTGTGTATAAATTTAAATTAAAGCACCAGCCTGCAAGCTGAGTTAGTGGAAAGGGTAACAGATAGGGTCAGTTGTACCCCCTCAGTGTGAAGATGATCTCACTGAAGAATAGAATCATGATGCTTCAAATCATTTACCCACTGGTTGGCCTCCGGAAGACCGAGGGCAAATCCTTCTGACAACCTTTAAAATAATGCTTCCTGTTACTGCCAAACAGCAAATGGCAACTTCAAAGCATTATGTCATCAAAGTCTTTGCTGACCAAAACTAAACATAAAATAAAATTTAAATTTAACCAAAAGTATGACCAGTTCCAAAGATTTCTTTCTTAAAATTTAAGGTTGTTCATGAGGAAAGTCTTAAAAATTCTGAAGTTGCACCCTAGTACATTAGATATAGAAGCTTCAAAATGGAAATTGGAAGGCACACTTGCAAAGCAGATTTCTAAGAGGGAAGGATGATTGGAAAGGGAAGAAAAAGAAACAGGACACAGCAGTGCAAATACCGTTATCAAAGATAATGTCAGAAGCCTCAGAGGCAAGTCACTAAAAAGGAATTGAAGTCTGAGAAATAACAGCTTATTTTCAGAGACAACAATGCTTAACATGTTTAGTTTTATAGAATACCCAAAGAGTTCCCTGCCTAGCAAGCTTTAGAATCTGGAAATATGTCCCTTTATCTAATAGAAGGCTCTCCTGCTACAATTTTAAGTGCTTTTCCTCTATCCTCAATGGAAATGAAAAACATAATCTGGTTTTTCTGTAAATAGCAATAAAAAAATGAACAAAAGTATAGGAAAAATAATAAGAAAGAGAAAATTTTCTTTTCTTGATAAAAATGTCAATACTATTTCATCAATTATTTTAAGAATCAACAGTGAGAATTATCTCCCTTTCTACTTCCTTTGGGATAAGAGTCAACAGAACTGGGCCAGTCCTGAAACTTTATGTGCACACAAATCACCTGAGAATCTTGTTAAAGTGTAGAGTCTAATTTAATAGAGGAGAGGCCTGAGATTCTGAATTTTGAACAAGCACAAGGTGATGCCAATGTGTCCTGTCTGCAGATCATATTTTTTTGAGATGGGGTCTCACTTTGTTGCCCAGGCTGGAGTGCAGTGGTGTGATCATGTCTCATTGCAGCCTCAACCTCCCCAGGCTCAGGCAATCCTCCAGCCTTAGACTCCTGAGTAGCTGAGGCTACAGGTGCACACCACCATGTCCAGCTAATTTTCGTTTTTGTTGTTGTTGGTGGTGGTGCTGGTGGTGATGGTGGTGGTGTTGGTAGAGATGGAGTTTCATCATATTGCCCAGGCTGCTCTCAAACTCCTGGCCTCAAGTGATTCTCCCACGTTGGCCTCCCAATGTGCTGAGATTACAGGTGTGAGCCACCATGCCCAGCCTGCAGGCCATATTTTAAGTAACAAGGAAATGGGCTTTTTTTTCTCTAAGGTTTTAAATAATTACATTAATTCAAAAAAATTTATCAGCTGGGCATGGTGGCTCACACCTGTAATCCCAGTACTTTGGGAGGCCAAGGCAGGTGGACTGCCTGAGGTCAGGAGTTAGAGACCAGCCTGGCCAACACTGTGAAACCCTGTCTCTACTAAAAATACAAAAATTAGCTGGGCGTGGTGGTGGGTGCCTGTAATCTCAACTATTCAGGAGGCTGAGGCACAAGAATCGCTTGAAAACGGGAGGTAGAGGTTGCAGTGAGCCAAGATTGTGCCACTGCACTCCAGCCTGGGTGACGGAGAGAAACTCAGTCTCAAAAAAAAAAAATTATCAAATGTCTGGGATCCAAAGCACAGGTGATGTAACATTGAATAAAACATGGTGCTTGACCTCAAAGAACCTACAGAATACATCGTGTAATGAGGGAATCACAGGCATCAGCTAATGAAGGCACCAGTAAGAAAGAGAAACAGCAGCCCCAATAACACTAACAGTAAACCAGAACTTCCCATCTGCAACTTCCAGAACACCAAATCAGATGAGGTCAGGCTGTGATGATGCCAGAGTGAGACAAAAATAAGATCCATCTGTAATCACATCTGAGAAGGGAGAAAAACAAGTGCAGTGAGCTACACAAACCATAACCATGACCACACGTTACCTTTGGTGACTGCTGCTTCTTTACCAATTACAAACATAGTCTTGTTCCACCTCCTAAATAAAATCCTTTGAAACAGCTGATCCTAGAATTAGGCTGCGATAGGCGGAATAATGTTCCCTGAAGATGTCATCATTCTAATCCTGTATGTTATACAGCAAGTCTGAATTAAAGTTGCCAATCTGCTGACCTTAAGTTAGGGAGATGATCCTGGATTACCTGGGCAAACCCAGTGTCATCACAAGGGTTCTTATAAATAGAAAGGGAAGACAGGAGACTCCTGTATCAGTATCCGAATCAAGGAGAGAGCTGGGAAGGTGCCGTGCGGTTGTCCTTTGAAGACAGAAGGGACACAGCCAAGAAATGGCTGGGTGGGAGGGCTGGGGTGCAGGCAGGACCAGCCCACACAGTCACATCCAGGACACATGTCTTTTTTTGAGAGCAGTGTGGAGCCACAAAAGGGTTTTAAGCAGGGGAGGGATGGCATCAGCTTTGATTCTTAAACCCCTTTACCCCAACCCTGGCCCCCAAGCAGAGGCAGCAGGTCAGGAACAGGACATACATTTGACAGATGAGGAGCTTGAGGCCAAAGAAATGCGGTGCCTGGACATCCAGCCGGCAGGCAGCCTCAAGAAAGTGGAAAATGCAAGGAAATGAATTCTGCTCTAGACCATCCAGAATAAATGCAGCGTTACCAACACCTTGATTTGAGCCCAGTAAGACCCATTTTGAACATCGGACCCCCAGAACTATACAAGAATACATTTGTGTTATTTTAAGCCACTAAATTTGTGGTAATTTGTGACAACGACAATGGGAAACTAATACAGTATGCAATGTAGAAGAGACCTCTGCCTCCTTCGATCTTCTGGAAAATCACCTAATTCAAGCCCAAATCCCATAACAAACCCCTCCTCGCACCCTCTTAGTGAGATATCCTGCAGTTTCTCATGTTCTGTGATCTCCACTGTGGCAACAAGTTAATAAGCCTAACTTGTTTGACTATAGGTGTATTTCTGGTGGTCTTGGTTAGTGGACTTCAACAGTGCAGTGTGAACAATATGACATCAAAGTAAACAGAGATGAGACTTTTCAACTGGGAAAAGGAGAGCACCCTGGGGTGGAGGAAGATCTTTTGAAGGATCTGTAGGAGTTCACTAGATTGAAAAGAGTGCAGAAGGGAACAAAAACCTGTGATAGTCCCCACTGCAGGGGAAAAGGAAGCACATTAAGGAGAAGTAGGAAATAAGGCTAGAAAATTTGGTAGATCTGTGAGCCTCTACTTGATCATTGTCCTGAAAACCGTAAGAAATAAAAAAAAAATCACCAAAGAGTTTGCAGAAAAGAGCTACACAATTAGACTTGCATTTCGAGAGATTATTGTGCCTGTTGCATGGAAGATGGATTGGAGACTGCCTGGCAGAATGGATAAGTAGCTGGGCTAGTAACCCAGGCAAGAAATGATGCAGGTGTGAACTGAGGCAGAAATATCAGGAATGAAGTCCTGACAGGATTTCTTAGAAAATCTAAGGACTTGGTATCAACATAAAGAATAAAGCCTAATAATTATTAAAATCTTTTTGGAAAGCTTGTGAAAATGGCAGAGAATCTTGATAAAATAGGTGATATAGTTTGGCTCTGTGTCCCCACCCAAATCTCATGTTGAATTTTAATCCCAGATATTGGAGGTGGGGCCTGGTGGGAGGTGGTTGGATCACGGAGGTGGTTTCCAATGACTTAGCACCATCCCGCTAGTGCTGTTTTATGACAGAGTCCTCAGGAGTTTCAAAGTTGTTTAAAGGCATGTAGCACCTCCCCCTTTGCCCTCTTCCTCCTGCTCAAGCCATGTAGGATGTGACTGCTTCCCCTTGGCCTTCCACCATGATTGTAAGTTTCCTGAGGCCTCCCCAGCCATGCTTCCTATACCGCCTATGGAACCATGAGCCAACTGAACCTCTTTGCTTTAGAAATTACTCAGTCTCGGGTAGTTCTTTATAGCAATATGAGAATGGACAAATACAATTAATTAAGTCAAATTGGAAGACTCATGATCAATGTTCTGCATTTGTTATCAGTGGCAGGACAATGGGCATGGGAGGAATCAGAGATGTCAGCTTGATGCTCTGGAACTAATACAGTATGCAACCTAGAAGAGACCTGGCTTCCTACAGTCTTCTCCAAAATTACCTAATGCAAGCCCAAATCCTGTAACAAACCCTCCTCACTCCATCTTATTGAGATATCTTGCTGTTTCTCCTATTGTAAGGTCTCTGTTGTGGCAACAAGTTAATAAACCCAACTTTGTTTATCTGTAGGAGTATTCCTGGTGGTCCTGGTTGGCAGGCTTCAACAGTGCAGTGTGAGAATATGATATAAGAGTAAACAGAGATGGGACTTCTAAACTGGAACAAAGAAAACTTCTTATTCAAGCTTCACCTTTCTCACCTATTGAACATTTGCCCACTTAGGCAAATTACTTAGTCTCCATCAATTTCCTCATGATATTGATTTCCCAAGATAGTTGTCAGAATTAAATAAAATTCTAGGGAAGTATTTTTTAACTCACTATGTAAACATAGGAGGTATAATTATTAATGGCATAAGAGGTATTCTGCAGGGATATTTCTAGGGAACAGCTCTATAATTTGGAAAGTGATGTACAGTTTGTTTTAAAGTGGAGGAATGGATTGGGAGTCAGACCCTCCTTACTTATATATTAGTGTTTTACTTCACAGATGAATGATACAGCCTGAAACAAATTATTTAACTTCTGAATTTTGGCTTCTTCAATAATAGGTGGATAATAAAATCTACCTCTAAAAATTATTATGCAAGTAGTGAAATTGTCTATTATTGTATCTGTCACACTGTTGCTGCAAGAGAAGGCAAGTTGTCATTGTAACTTGTTAATCCCTTCTTGACCCTCCTCAAGGAATACGTGGTTTTTAGGTGCAAGATGTCAGAGTTACCCTACAGATTTCGCCCTCCTTCTTCCCCAGAAGCCATTAAATTATAGTAAGGGAGTGAAGGAGTGGAAGCCAACAATAACAGAGAATTGTAAGGATGATGTCAATTGAATAAAGGTAAACTACATTTCTGGAAGTTGCAAAGGAGATGAAGGAAAATCACAAAGAAAAAGGAGCCATAGCAGAAATTGTGACAAGAGGGAGCTAAAGGAAGGAGTGAGCCTTCAAACTCCCATAGAGAACCGAGACTCACAACATTAAGAATCAATGCCAGGATTAAGGCTGAAACAGAGGAAAGGTGGTACGAAATCTAGTTGAAGAACAGGGGGTTCTGAGGCCACTGGTGTAGTCACTTGGTCAGCACAAAGGACCTTTACACTCTGGCATTTGAAGACCTCCCCTCCTACCAAAAGCTCAGCCTCTCTCTTACCGTAAGCAAATTCTGTCCCTCAATGAATTCTGTTCCCACACACAGAGCTCCAGCGCAGCTTCTGAGTGTGTCATTCTTAAATCAGAAAGGACAATTAAGGATCATAGCAATGATTGTCATACCATATGATACGCAGCAATGACAGCACAGCAGTGAGCTCCCTTAGCACCCATATCTTACTTTTTTTTTTTTTTTTGAGATGGAGTCTCACTCTGTTGCCAGGCTGGAGTGCAGTGGCGCAATCTCGGCTCACTGCAAACTCCGCCTTCCAGGTTCAAGCAATTCTCCTGCCTCAGCCTCCCGAGTAGCTGGGATTACAGGTGCCCGCCACCATGTCCGGCTAATTTTTGTATTTTTAGTAGAGACAGGGTTTCACCATGTTAGCCAGGATGGTCTCAATCTCTTGACCTAGTGATCCAACCCCCTCAGCCTCCCAAAATGCTGGGATTACAGGCGTGACCACCGTGCCCGGCCCTTACCTTTTTTTTTTTTTTTTTTGAGAGAGAGTTTCACTCTGTCGCCCAGGCTGGGGTGCAGTTGCATGATCTCGGCTCACTGCAAGCTCCGCCTCCCAGGTTCACACCATTCTCCTGCCTCAGCCTCCCGAGTAGCTGGGACTACAGGAGCCCGCCGCCACCATGCCTGGCTAATTTTTTGTATTTTTAGTAGAGACGGGGTTTCACCGTGTTAGCCAGGATGGTCTCGATCTCCTGACCTCGTGATCCGCCCGCCTCGGCCTCCGAAAGTGCTGGGATTACAAGCATGAGCCACCACGCCCAGCTGCCAGGCCCTTACTTTCTAAATACCAGTCTGCACTTAAAAAATTCAGAGCTCCTGGGAGAAATCCCTGACTCTATTATAAGAGCAGAAAAGTTCAAGACGAGTCAGACAGGAATATCTTGTTGAGCCAGAAAGAAAGAAAATGATCAAATAGTGATGGGGGACACTTCCAAAGGACATAGAAGCCAGCACGAAGGTATTCCCACTGTCCAAATCTGAGGCACTTTGAAGATCAAAATAAATATTAGTGGATTATCATACATTGAGTAAAATAAGAATCCATGAACCCATACTGATATAAGCATTGGCACATATAAGTAAGCAAACAAAAAATTAATAAATGGGGAAAAGAGAAACTTCTTTCTTACAGTAGAATGCCAACTAATAAAGGTAAAGGGATTTATTGATGTAAAATTAGAAATTTGTGGATGAATCGTAAAATTGACAAGTAAAAACTTGGTAAGAAATAAGATATTCACACAGTGCCAAAGTATCAACTCACAAATTAATTATTAATTACAAAGGGCAAAGAGCAACTTTACAGTAAAGAAACCTGAAAGGCGCAACTTTCCCCAAGTGATCAAAGTTAATATCAACCAAACTACATGAGCCAACATAATGTGCCTCCTGATATGATGTGCTGAGAAGGATAAAGTATCACTTCAATGACATTTCCACCAAAAGTGCATGATATAAATCTAATCGTGAGGAAAGTCAAACCCAAATCAAGATACATTCTGTGAAATGACTGCCTGCATTCTTCATATTGGTTGAGGTCAAGAAAGGCAGAGAAAAGTTGAGGTACTGGTCCACATTAAAGAAGACTAAAGAGACATACATAATACTGGATTGGATCCCGAAGTAGGGGGAAAAAAAGTACAAAGGACATTAGTGAGACAAGTGATTACATTTGAGTATGCACTTTGGGTTAGAGAATAGTATTATATTAATATTAAATATTTAATTTGTATAGTTATATTGGCTTTGTTCTTAAGATAAATGGTATGATATCTGCCACCTATTCTGAATGGCTATCCAGATAGACAGACAGAGAGAGAGTTGATAGATAGATAGATAGATAGATAGATAGATAGATAGATAGATAGACAGACAGATAGATGATAGATACATAGATACATACATAGGTAGATAGATGATAGAGATACACACACACTATACACATACATCATATAGCATATATACTATATGTAATAATACATTCGATGGAAGAAAAATGTAAATCTGAGAATGCAGGACTTTTTTGCACTATTACAGCAAATTTTTCATAAGTTTGAAATTTTTTTAAATAAAAACTAATTAACAAAATACAAAACAATTATGGCCTTAAAGTAGAAAATAAATGTTAGTCATAAAGATAGAATCTAAAGTCTTATGGTTGGTAGAGATCTCAAATCACCTATCCAGTACTCAACACCCTTGGAATCTCTCCACCAACAGGTCATCCTACCTATGCATTGGAGCCTTGCCAGTGATAACCTATTTCATCCTTAAATAGCCTTATTCTTTTTCCCATTTGCACAGCCATATCTAACTTGATATGTAACTCTTACTCCCTCTCATGGTCATGTTTACGTACCGAAGCTTCCCTTCTATGCAAGCCTGTAACACTTTGTGTGTATACATGGTTCTTATCACAGACTGTCTCCAATTTTAGGTCCTAGGAAGCAAATGAGTAAGGAATATCTATCTGTCTTTGGATAGTCATTTACAGCACATTGATTGACATGAAATAGGAGACTATTAAAAGCCCTTTAAATATTGAATAAAGTGTATTTAATTCTTAAGGGCATAAATTGTGTTTCAGTTATCTCTAAGATTTGTGTCCCCAAATCTTAAGACAATGCTGTGCTATACTATGTGATGAGTACCTCTTGAATGAATAAATCTCGAAGACAGTCAGCTTCTCATATCAAAAACACCTCTGCTTAGTTGTTTTTACAACTGTAAATATCTTAACACAGTGGCCACAGCCCAATAATACCTGATGCATGCATGAATGAACTTTACATTGGACAATACAATATTTTGCACCCATAAAGCAGAGATTTAACAAGTAAAGTCAATGAACAATTAATCAAGCACCTTCTCTCAGGCAGAGGTGCAATAAATACATGATATGTGAATGAATGAGTTTTAATTCAAACATAAAGTGTTTTGCTTCAATAAAGCAGAGATTTTTCAGTAAGCAAGACAGGGAGCATTTTCTTTTTTTTTTCTTTTATTATTATACTTTAAGTTTTAGGGTACATGTGCACATTGTGCAGGTTAGTTAGATATGTATACATGTGCCATGCTGGTGCGCTGCACCCACTAACTCGTCATCTAGCATTAGGTATATCTCCCAATGCTATCCCTCCCCCTACCTCCCACCCCACAACAGTCCCCAGAGTGTGATATTCCCCTTCCTGTGTCCATGTGATCTCGTTGTTCAATTCCCACCTATGAGTGAGAATATGCGGTGTTTGGTTTTTTGTTCTTGCGATAGTTTACTGAGAATGATGATTTCTAATTTCATCCATGTCCCTACAAAGGACATGAACTCATCATTTTTTATGGCTGCATAGTATTCCATGGTGTATATGTGCCACATTTTCTTAATCCAGTCTATCATTGTTGGACATTTGGGTTGGTTCCAAGTCTTTGCTATTGTGAATAGTGCCGCAATAAACATACGTGTGCATGTGTCTTTATAGCAGCATGATTTATAGACCTTTGGGTATATACCCAGTAATGGGATGGCTGGGTCAAATGTTATTTCTAGTTCTAGATCGACAGGGAGCATTTTCTAAGTGTAGACAACATACCATTTCAAGTGCTTTTGATGGCAACTATTATTTCAAAGAATAAACACTTCATTTTTAGTACTAGTTATATGTATAATCAGAGGTGAAGAAAGTGGAGAAAATAAACCCATCTATCAAAAAAGGATAAAAAATAATATGTGATTTTAGTAGTTGGCTTCCCTTTATTGATCAAATCTTAGGAACTCTTAAAGATAGAGTTTCATAACTAAGTCTATTTAGTTCCAATTCTTCCAACAACATGAGGGGTTCAAATCTCCCCAGAGCTGAGTTCTATAAACAGTAGGAAAGGAGAAATGAACCAAAATGGAATCTTGTCACTAAGGAAAAGAGAAAAGAAAACATGTTTTAGCATTCAACAGCTAAGAAATATTCCTGTTTTATAATCAGCTTTGAGAAACGCCAACAATTGCAGTATATCTGGGTTAAATACGGGACATTTCCAGGGAGTTTTTTAAATTGAAATATCAATATAAAAATAAAAAATGGTTAGGCATCACCCTATCCTGGCTATATAGTCTGAAATCAGAATAAAATTTGGTTAAAGTCAACCATTACGGGTTTAAACTGATTGATGAATTCAAGAGCATAAAAGAGAAGTGAAATAAATAACCAGGACAAAAATATTTATGCTGAAGGAAATAGATTTATTAAGAGACTGACAGAAAATCCCCTTACTACCCACACCCAATTTGTAATACATTAATGTTGATGTAGAAGCTAATAATACATGAGCAGAGCAACCATGGGAGGCAAACTACTTTTTCACTGTTAAAATTCAAGTATGACCAAAAAAATGCATCTTGCTTCCTTTGTCTGTAGATGAGTATCAGTTCAGCACCTGAGTCCTGGGTGACTTGTCCAACAGCATCAAAGACAAAGACCACAGCAAGAAGTCAGCAAGAAGATGGAAGATGTATCACCCAAGCACATGGGAAGGTAGGAAGACAGTCATTGCTCTTCAGGTTGTTCTGTGCAGAGAATTAATTGAGAGTCCTGTAGTCACTGGAGCCATTGGTCCATCAGTAGGTGCTGTAGCCAAAGCCAGAGCCAGAGCCCCATGGCCTATAGAAGCTACCACCATAGCAGCCGCCCAGGTTGTTGATGTTGCTACCACCAAAGCTGTAGCCCAGGGAGCTGTAGCCATTGCATCCACAGCCATAGTTCAGGGGAGAGCCCAGAGGCACAACACAGTTCAAGGGGGTGGCTCTGAAGGTCCCATGGAAGTTGGTCCCATAGATAGGGTATCCTGGGAAGTAGCTTCCACAGCAGAAGTAACGAGTCATGGTGGCAGCAATTGAGAAGGATTTAGATGGATTGTGAAGGGTAAGTTACCCAAGTGTTAATGAAGGTCTCTTCCCGTACAGGGCTTTTTATACCTCAAGCTGGTGGGCACAACACATCTGTCTAAACATCTTCCCACTAATTTGCATAGGTAATCTCATTCTTTTCTAATAAAATGCTTATAAGGAATGCACAGACTCATTGCCCACATTTTTGTTGGCTTTTCTCTGTACTATTTTAAAGCCAGTGACCATGCTTGACACGCAATCGAATTCTTTTCATCAGAGTCCCATAGTTTAACTACTGTTCTTGATTGCATCATGTGAGACTCTTTAAATCCTCTGATTATAAACTCTTCCCAACTGACATAGCTAAACTAAAAAAGCTTTGGCAAGAATGCAAACACTTCAAGCCAAGACAAAGCCATATATTGAGGTCTTTTGAACATTATTTTGAAACATCAAACTGAAATTCTATAACCTCTTGAAATTCACCCATGTGCCCTTTTAAAACAATTGTATACCAACTAGTTAATGGGTACAGAGTTTCCTTTTGGAGTGAAGAAAATCATTTGGAACTAGACAATGTTGCAAAACATTTGGAATGTACTAAATATCACTGAATTGTTACCTTTAAAATGCCTTGGTTTGTGTTATACAAATTTTAACTCAAAATGTATTTTTTATTTTAAAAAGCACTGCTACACAAATCTATCCAACCAGGTGTTTTTACAGAGGCTGCAATGGTGCCAAATAATAAGTTGGCTGTGAATAACCTGCAAGTAATTTTCATCAATTTCATTTATGAGCATTCTGTTTGTTAATACATATTTTATTTTTTCATGGAGAACATACCATGTTTGCTTGTAAATCATCTTGAACATTGCCAAACTGTCTTTCTGGAGTTGCCACACTGGCGCTGAGTGGGATGATGCTCAATTTCAGAGTCATGTTATACCACACTTGCTTCTTACTGACTCCTATAAAACAAGCCTGAATGCCATGATCCATTATGAAATACCAGTTATATTTAAGGATGCAACACTTCCTTCTGCTCTTATTTTGCCTTACATAACCAATTCTCATGAAGAACGTAAACCAGGAAGGATCTGAGCTCAGCAAAGCTAAGTCTATTCCAATTCAAAGGTTTACGACATCATCTTTTTATATGTGAATCAAAGTCAGAATTCTCTGAAAGTAGAAGAAAAAACTTCCTGAATACCAATTCCTTTTTTTATTTCCATCTTAACAGACAATCACAGAGTCCAATATGCAAAACTAATCATTCCTCTCAGACATCCCTCTCTCTTTAAGATTCTATCTCTCTCAGTTTCTCTGACAGAGAGCTGCCTAAAGAATGTTCTATAAGTGGATATGATTTCTTTTATTCTACAAATTAATTAAATGTCATAAGAGTATATAGAGAAAGTTAAAGAAAAATAAGTTATAATTTCAAATTCAGTTTAACAAAAAGAATGAATTAAAATGGTAAGAGGTTGTGTCCTCAGGGTTTAAATTATATAAACTCTGTATCAGATAATCCAGAAAACTCAAAAATACGTTTGTGATTAGGAGAGGGCAGGGGTGACTAAGAATTACGCGTGACTTGAAAAATTTCACTACTGATTCTATCACACAATGACATTGGAACCTGTAATTTGTACATGCTGCCACCAGGTGGCAGTGGTATTTCAGTTACTCCGTATAAACCACAGGACTGGATTTAGGGTTCTCAAATGTAAGCAGGTAGAAGAATCTTCTAAAGAATTCGCTTGAAATTCAGAATTCCAGGAGCTCTCCTCTCCCACCACCACCTGAGATTCTGGAAATCTCTATTTGTAATGGGTATCTCAGGTAATTCTGATGAATAAATCATCCTGATAAATTCCAGGGCTGGTTTGTCATGAGAATTCAAAAAAGCTTTTGCTGGGCTGTGTGAAATTGCCCAGAGATGCTTATCTCTCATTGGCAGGAGTGTTTGGTTTCAGTCGCTGGTGACTTATTTCCCTTAACTCTGGATGATAGAGGTAATTAAAGAAAAAGCTTTAGTTTGTCCTCTTCCATTTCTTGATGCTCTCTGCTTCTTGTCTCAGGACACACCTGATTAGAAAGGGAAGGTAACAGCAATGTGTTCAAGTGTCTCCTCAGAGGTAAAACCCACCTATGTGACTGCTGGTTTTGTTACCCATAATCAAAAGAAAAACTTATATTTTCTCCTTAGCTTGTTTTCACTTTCCTATCTCTTACTAGACATACCCAGAGAAAATTATCAGCCAAGTACTCGATTGCTATTCAATGATTTTTAAGATTGATAATAACAAAAAATATCATTAAGGACTTACTCTGTGCTAGACTCTGTTCTAAAGAATTTGCACATACTACTTAATTATATATTTTACCTCTATATATAGTAAGAAGGCTTACTATGCACTATTCCAAGCATTTGACAAGTGTTAATTCATTTAATTTTTATAATGATCTTATGATGTGGGTATTATGATTCTTTATAAGAAAACCGAGTCCAGAGGGTTTAAGAGAATTACTGAAGGTCACATGGTTAATAGTCAGCAGAATCAATCTCCAAACCCATGCCATCTACCTCCAAGCCATGCTCTTAACTACTTTACTATCCTGCTTTTGATATGTCATTAAGGCTTTAAAGGGATATAGCTTCTACATGCCTCAAATCTATAATTCATTGCATTATTTTTTGAAGAACACATCGATCTAGCTTTTGCTGCTAAAAACTAGAAAACAAAAAAACAAAGGCTAGTTTTTGCTGCTATAACAGACAGACATCCAAAATTTCCATGTTCAGAAATGTATTGCCTGCTCACACTATGAATTCCTCTCACATTGGTGACTGTCTTGGATACACATCATTTTCACTCAAAAGACTCAAGCTGACAGTGCTTTGATTATCTGAAATATGACAAACAGGGGAAAATGAATGGGGCAAGCCATGGTAGCTTTTAAAGGCTCTCCTCAAGTGTTATACACCATTTCCACACTCTCCTCATTTCCTAAAGTAAGTTCCACAGCCACATCTAACTTCACAGGTCACGAAGAGCAATGCTACTATGTGCCTGGAGGGCGAAAGCCTACAATGTCACCGAACAACATTAATGACTTCCACTGAATTTCTATTCCTTACATGGGCTAAAATAATTTTAACAGATTTTAACACATATTTCAAAAGATTAGATGAGGGCAGACATAAAAAGTTTTTTAGAACTTTACATATCATAATGTAAAATGGTCCTGATAATTCTAATCCTGAACAATTTTAAATATAGAGGTTTTATAAGTTGTTTGTGCAATTCATGTAATATTAGTCAGCCTTTGGTTGTAGATTAGCATGTAGCTTTAATTCCTTTTCTTTGTTTTCTTTTCTCCATTTCCCCCTAATCACTATGTACTCTAATTGAGGGAAAAGTTGCCATAAATATTAGTTTTACAAAGAAAATCCCTCAATGCCAATTGATTTGGTGGGGGGAGAGATTAGTTCTAACACCAGATTTTATTTGATTTATTTGAATGCATGTATTTTCTTTAAAGAAAAGAGAAAATGAATTGACACATAGTATTTACAAGGAAAAAAATAAGCAATAAGGAGCCTACATGACATATTCACTTGGAAATTTGAGAACTTTTATCAGGCAAGGATCAGACCCCACTCATAGCCTCCCAGCCTCTCCCACCTCTTATGCAGCTGCCCCTATAGGAATCATCTTGGTGTAGGTTCCAACTCACCTCAAGCTGGTACAACATGATGGAGCTTTACATCAGTCCCCTCACCAGATATCTGTCATCCCCCACCTGGGGACTTCACCTTTAATAGCTAGGATAGAGACTGGGGAGCCTATCTAGGGCCCATGCTTGCAAAACCTGAAGTGTAGGGCAGTTAATGCCCTGTGGAGCAAAACTTCGACCAAAAAGAAATGGAAGTGTGGATATATTCTCCCCTTTTCTCCATGGACAGACTTGCCTGAGACAGTCCTAAGAGGGTTAGGCAGCTTCTTGGGGAATAGTGTCATGGAATCCAGCACATAATTGCTTAGCTATGGTCAACTGGATGAGGCATCTTCATTTGAGCACTCCACCTTCCCTGCTTCACTTCCCTTACCCTTCGCTCCTTCTCCTGAAGAAAGCAATAGTACATGAGCCCTTCACCTGAAACTCTGCTTTCTAGAAAACTCAGAACAGAATACCACATCAAACCATCTTTGGAATAGCACCTTTACTGAGATGTAATTCACATATGATAAAATTCACCCAAAAGTGTACAAAAAGTATACAGTGGGTTTTAGTGTATTTATAGAGTCCATCACCACTAACCAATTTCAGAACATTTTCTTTACCCCAAAAAGAAACTCCATAACCACTAAAAGTCACTCCCAATTTACAACAACTAAACTAAGTTCTCATTCATAAGACTTAAGCTGACAGTGCTTTCATTATCTGAAATATTACAAACAAGGCAAGAGGAATGGGGCAAGTGACGGTAGTGTTTGTTTGTTTGTTTGTTTGTTTGTTTGTTTTGAGACGGAGTCTCGCTCTGTCGCCCAGGCTGGAGTGCAGTGGCACGATTTCGCCTCACTGCAACCTCTGCCTCCCGGGTTCAAGTGGTTCTCCTGCCTCAGCCTTCCAAGTAGCTGGGATTTACAGGCGCCCACCACCACAACTGGCCAATTTTTTGTATTTTTAGTAGATACGGGGTTTCAGCATGTTGGCCAGGCTGGTCGCAAACTCCTGACCTCAGGTGATCCACCCGCCTCAGCCTCCCAAAGTGCTGGGATTACAGGCGTGAGCCACCGTGCCCGGCCGATGGTAGCTTTTAAAGATTCTTCCCAAATGTTGTACACCACCTGGACACAAAATTAAGTTCTGTCTCTGTGGGTTTTCCTATTCTGGACACCTCACATAAATTGAATCACACAGTATGTGGCCTTTTGTGTATGATTTCTTTCTCTTAGCCCAATATTTTCAATATTCATCCATGTCATCACACATATCAGTATTCTTTATTGTCAAATAGCATTCCATTGTATGAATATACCACACTTCGCTTATCTATTCATCAGTTAACAGGTTTTTACATTGTTTCCAATTTTGGCTGTTATAAATATACTGCTATGAATATTCATGTACAAATAATTTTTAACATGTCAAAACTTAAGCTCTTAATTTTCTCCTAGACACTCACTTCTTCTCCAGCCTTTCTCATCTCAGTAAATAACACTACCACCAAACTGCTTAGAACACAAACTAAATTTCTTTCTTAATGATAATTCCTTCAACCCCTCTGTCCCCAGGTCCAGTCAGCTTTGCCTCCAAAACATAGCTCAAATCCATCACACTTCTTCACTCTCTCTGCTGTCACCTCATCACACCATCATCTCTGCCCTGAGCCACTGCCAGAGCCTCCTCATTGGCTTCCCTCGTCCCACTCTCCTTCCACTCTACAGGGTTATTCCTAAATACCAGCTACTGTGGCCTTTAAAAAATAAAGTGTGTTTTCTCCTAGTTCAAAAGCCTCCAGTAACTTTCTAATGTTCTTAAGAAAACAAAAATTCAAACCTCTGACCATGATCTTGCTCCTGTGTAATTGTCAAATTTCACCACATCCCATTCTTCTTCCCTTCCTATAAAACAGTGAAGAAGATCTCCTTCCACACTGCCTGTCTTCTGCACTGGAACTCCCTGAAGGTAGGCACCTCTTCTGTCTTGTTCACCATTGTATCTCCAGCATCTTGTATAGTATCTGACTACTACGTAATTGGGACTCAATAAATATCTATCAATCTGTTGAATATAGGAATGAATGAATGAATGAATGAATGAATGAAATGAATGAATCTTGTGAAGATGATACCAGTACGGAGAAATATGACAGAATTCCAAATACCCTCCTGATGGCAAGATGGAGATCTGATATCTCCTTGCCCCCAACCAGTCCAGCTCTGTGTTGACATCCTCCCTGGCCTCCCTGACTGTGTAACACTAGTTATTGGACTCTATGTAGACCAAGGATAAACCCATAGTAGGCACTGACTCTCCTGGATTCAGGAGGTAGGGTTGTCTTTGGCTTTCTAGAAATGTGTGTTTTGATGGGACAGATAAAAGACAGAACTCATGGCTGGGCGCGGTGGCTCACGCCTGTAATCCTAGCACTTCGGGAGGCTGAGGTGGGTGGATTGTGGCCAGGAGTTCGAGATCAGCCTGGCCAACAGGGTGAAACCCCATGCCTATTAAAAATACAAAAATTATTGTTAAGGTGTGCCATGAAGGACAGGTGTGATTTCAACAGGTGGAGGAGAAAAAGGATATTTATAAAGAAGGAACACCAAAGGCAAAGACAGAGCAGAAGTGTCTGGGTTCATTTGGGATTGGTGAGCTAACCTATATAAATTAAGGACAGAGCATGTGTAAGAAAGTTAAGGAGAACTTTCTGGCAAATGAGTGCCAGAGTTAAGGAAAGGATGGATGGATGTGCAGTACATGTGCAGGACATAGATAAAGAGCAGCTACTAAAATACTTAATTGAGGAGATGATGCGATGAGAACTAGCTCAATGTGAATAATGTATTCTAAAGGAAAGCTATGAAGAAAGGGCCATCTCTTAATATTCCATTCTAATCATCAATTCAAGAAATAATTGAGAATCTGAGTTAAGTTGGGGGCAATAAAAATGGGAAAAAAAGAAAACAGATTTGAGTGAAACTGGGGAAGAAGAATGTACAGAACTTGTTTAGCAATGAAAGGGATGGCAGCTATGAAGAAAAAACATAAATCCAAAGAATCACTCCCAATACCTGGATGAAAGGTGCTTCTAGTAATGACAATAGAGGAGTTAAGAGAAGGATTTTAATGGTGAGGGCTCTCTTATGCCAATAGGTTGTAATTAAACATTTGGAAATATAGAAAAACAGCTTAGAAGAAAATAAGCTAAATATCATAATCAGAGCTTCATCTTCCTAGAGGTGATACTTCAAGGAATGTTAGACAGATAGAGAAGACCCACCAGAAAAAACAAAAGGCTGAGAACAGAACATTGGGGATGCCTAGTTTTAGAGGGATGAGAAGCAAGAGAAGTCAGAGGACTCAGAATCAGAGAGTCAAGGTGTTGGAGCTCATGGAAGCCACAGGATGTGGGGATTTTCAAGGCAGAATAGTCAACAATGCCTAATGCCACAATAGAGCTGGGGAGAAGGGGGATCAAGAATACTTCGCTGAATTTGGCAAGAATTTTTTACTGATTATCTTTGAAGGAGAAAAAGGAATAAGGGAAAATCTGTATTGCAAGTGATTAAGAATTGCAGCACCAACACAAAAGTAATAAATGTAGACTCCACAGACGCTTAAGAGAAGAAAGAAAAACTATGAGAAAATATAGCTCAAAGAGCATACAAATCAGGGTGGAGTTTCTGTTATTTGGGTCTTTTTTTTTTTTTTTTTTTTTTGACGGAGTCTTGATCAGTCACCCAGGCTGGAGTGCAGTGGTGCGATCTCAGCTCACTGCAAGCTCCACCTCCCGGGTTCACGCCATTCTCCTCTTCAGCCTCCCGAGTAGCTGGGACTACAGGAGCCTGCCACCATGCCCGGCTAATTTTTTTGTATTTTTAGTAGAGATGGGGTTTCACCATGCTAGCCAGGATGGTCTCGATTTCCTGACCTCGTGATCCACCCGCCTCGGCCTCCCAAAGTGCTGGGATTACAGGCGTGAGCCACCTCGCCCGGCCTATTTGAGTATTTTAATACTAAAAGAAATTCTGAATGTTGGAGCTGGAGTAAATACCAGTTTAAACTCCCTCTTCATTTTATACATGAGGAAAGTGAGATTCGGAAAAGAAAGTGAGCTGTCCAATACTGCATCATCAGTGTTGATTTGAGCCTAAAATCAAAATGTGAAGTTCTTGTCCATTACAGGTTTGAATCCAACCAACTACTCAACAACAACAACAAAATGTATTCCTTGTCTGCACCTGATATCCTATGGTTGGCAGACTCAAAGGCAACCCCCACGATCCCTGCAACATAGTGTCCACACCCTTGAGAAATGCCCTCTTGTGAACATGTGTGGAGCCAGTGACTTGCTTCTAATGAACAGAATATGGTGAAGGTGGCAAGATGTCACCTCTGTGATGACATTATGTAGACTGTAGTGTCTGTCTTGACAAAAGACTCTCTCTCTTGCTCATTTGGTAAAGTAGCCATGCTGCCAAGATCCCAAGACCAGGAACTGGAGGAAGCAGCCAGCCAACAGCCAATTAAAAAACAAAACAAAACAAAAAGCAAAAAACCTGAGGTTCTCAGTCCAACAGGCTATTCCACCAACAATATAAATATGGAAGTGAATCTTTCCCCACTCAAGCCTTGAAGTGAGACTGCAAGCCCAATAGACACTCTGTTTGCAGCCTTCAAAGAAAACTATGCAGCAGAGAACCCAGAGAAGCTGTGCCCAGAATCTTGACTCCTAAAAATCCTGAAATAATCAGTGGATGCTGTTTTAAACTACTAAGTTTGCGGTAATATTGTTACACAATAGAAAAGTAACACAACATGCACGTGTGCATACAGTGCAGACCCAACCTGTCACTGATACAATTGGCTCCAAACTTTATCGCAAATCCATTCACATTTCTTTATCTCCATGGTCACCAGCCACCAAAGGAAGTAGCTCTTGGCTCCCTACACTTTCTGCTTCAACCTTGAGGTGAATTTCTCATCTGCACACTGCCAGGCACAAGAAAGAAGGAGCACAAGCCAGCTCACCCAGCCCCTCCTGAGGAGCTGTCCTCACCACTGCACCAGGCTATCAAAGTCTCCCGCACCTGCCCCAGCAGATCTGCGCATGCCCAATCCTGTGTGCTTTCTGTCCTTACGGAATTTCATATTTCTGCTGCCTTCTGACGGCAATCTTTTGTTCCAGGATTGTTACAATTTATTCCTTTTAAAGAAATTATCTTTTCTATCATTTCTAGGTCTGTGGCGAGAGAGTAGAAGGCAGACTCCTGTGTTCGGTCTGTCATTTTGATACAATAGTCTTTCCAGGGTAATTGTCATGATGTCATGCTGTCTCAAAAAAAAATCCATTTACAGACATTTTTTACTGTAACTAAAGTCTAACAGGGATTTTTTACAATGGTTCTTGTAAGTACTATGCAGCCACTACAAATTATATGTATAAGGAATGTTTAATGGTGTTGCCAAATGCTCATACTGTAATGACGTTATAAGACAGTATAGAAAGTATATTGAAGTTTCATCCTCCTTGAGGTGAAATGTTAAGCCATGTGAATGAATGATGTACACAAGAAAACAGAAGAGGGCTGAGAACAGACCTCAGGAAATCTCCAGGAGACTGAGACAGACAAAGAATTAGAGAGAGAGAAAGCTGTAGACAGAGAGAGACAGGCACTAAACAAGACTGCGGAAGTCCTGGAAGGCTTCCTAGAGTCGGACCCAGGTGAGCTGATTCTGAAAGGTAAGTAGGAAGGATCCAATAGAAGTGATCAGAGAAATAATGGACCAAGGAATGAAGGGAGTAAAAGGAAGAAAATGAGAAAAGCATTTAGACTTGGAGACACTGATGTCACAGAGCCCGGCACACAGCAGAACTCAATAAGCATTTTTAATACATTAATAAACTGGTGCTAATTGACTAATTAACAAAATCAAAAAAGTGGCTCAAATAAAATCAACATTGTAGCATTTTTATAGCAGCCAAACCTGCAATGCGAACCCTGAACTCTTTGAGGAGGCTGGTCCTGCAGCCTAAGCTGGACTCTCTGCTGCCCTCTTGTAGACAGACACCATCACCGCAGCGCTCGCAGCAGTCAATGAGTCACTTGTATGAGTCTTCTAACTTTGAAGCTACCCGTGCTCTCCATCTCAATATCTTCACAGGGTGAATACAGACTGAGGCCAACAGAAAGATACCAGGAAATGGTAGCTCTCAAAAAGCATTATTAAATACATTTAACTCAGCTATGTTTCTGAGGCCCTATCCACCTGTCAGAGTAAAGGTTGTCCAGAATAATTATCCTGATGATGCTTTTTGCTACACCTTCTCTCTAAATTGCTCCATTCCTTGGTTTTATCACTGAGAAACATGGCATGAGCTTTAGGCAGGAACTGAGAGATGTCTCTTGGTTCAGTCTAGTCCAAGAATATGTTTTCCCAATTTTCCAAAAATTGGGGGAAAAAACTGATTTTTTTTAATTCTTAAAAAAAAACAAAGAACATCTTTATTTCTGCCTTCATTTCGTTATGTACCCAGTAGTCATTCAGGAGCAGGTTGTTCAGTTTCCAGGTAGTTGAGCGGCTTTGAGTGAGATTCTTAATCCTGAGTTCTAGTTTGATTGCACTGTGGTCTGAGAGATAGTTTGTTATAATTTCTGTTCTTTTACATTTGCTGAGGAGAGCTTTACTTCCAACTATGTGGTCAATTTTGGAATAGGTGTGGTGTGGTGCTGAAAAAAATGTATATTCTGTTGATTTGGGGTGGAGAGTTCTGTAGATGTCTATTAGGTCCGCTTGGTGCAGAGCTGAGTTCAATTCCTGGGTATCCTTGTTGACTTTCTGTCTCGTTGATCTGTCTAATGTTGACAGTGGGGTGTTAAAGTCTCCCATTATTAATGTGTGGGAGTCTAAGTCTCTTTGTAGGTCACTCAGGACTTGCTTTATGAATCTGGGTGCTCCTGTATTGGGTGCATAAATATTTAGGATAGTTAGCTCCTCTTGTTGAATTGATCCCTTTACCATTATGTAATGGCCTTCTTTGTCTCTTTTGATCTTTGTTGGTTTAAAGTCTGTTTTATCAGAGACTAGGATTGCAACCCCTGCCTTTTTTTGTTTTCCATTGGCTTGGTAGATCTTCCTCCATCCTTTTATTTTGAGCCTATGTGTGTCTCTGCACGTGAGATGGGTTTCCTGAATATAGCACACTGATGGGTCTTGACTCTTTATCCAACTTGCCAGTCTGTGTCTTTTAATTGCAGAATTTAGTCCATTTATATTTAAAGTTAATATTGTTATGTGTGAATTTGATCCTGTCATTATGATGTTAGCTGGTGATTTTGCTCATTAGTTGATGCAGTTTCTTCCTAGTCTTGATGGTCTTTACATTTTGGCATGATTTTGCAGCGGCTGGTACCGGTTGTTCCTTTCCATATTTAGCGCTTCCTTCAGGAGCTCTTTTAGGGCAGGCCTGGTGGTGACAAAATCTCTCAGCATTTGCTTGTCTATAAAGTATTTTATTTCTCCTTCACTTATGAAGCTTAGTTTGGCTGGATATGAAATTCTGGGTTGAAAATTCTTTTCTTTAAGAATGAAGGACATGAACAGACACTTCTCAAAAGAAGACATTTATGCAGCCAAAAAACACATGAAGAAATGCTCATCATCACTGGCCATCAGAGAAATGCAAATCAAAACCACTATGAGATATCATCTCACACCAGTTAGAATGGCAATCATTAAAAAGTCAGGAAACAACAGGTGCTGGAGAGGATGTGGAGAAATAGGAACACTTTTACACTGTTGGTGGGACTGTAAACTAGTTCAACCATTGTGGAAGTCAGTGTGGCGATTCCTCAGGGATCTAGAACTAGAAATACCATTTGGCCCAGCCATCCCATTACTGGGTATATACCCAAAGGACTATAAATCATGCTGCTATAAAGACACATGCACACGTATGTTTATTGCGGCACTATTCACAATAGCAAAGACTTGGAACCAACCCAAATGTCCAACAATGATAGACTGGATTAAGAAAATGTGGCACATATACACCATGGAATACTATGCAGCCATAAAAAATGATGAGTTCATGTCCTTTGTAGGGACATGGATGAAATTGGAAACCATCATTCTCAGTAAACTATCGCAAGAACAAAAAACCAAACACCACATATTCTCACTCATAGGTGGGAATTGAACAATGAGATCACATGGACACAGGAAGGGGAATATCACACTCTGGGGACTGTGGTGGGGTCGGGGGAGGGGGGAGGGATAGCATTGGGAGATATACCTAATGCTAGATGACACGTTAGTGGGTGCAGCGCACCAGCATGGCACATGTATACATATGTAACTAACCTGCACATTGTGCACATGTACCCTAAAACTTAAGAGTACAATAAAAAAAAAAAAAAAAATTAAAAAAAAAAAAACATAAACAACAACAACAACAAAAAAACAGAGTTTCTCTCTTATCGCCCAGGCTGGAATACAGTGGCGCTACCTCAGCTCACTGTAACCTCTGCCTCCAGGGTTTAAGCGATTCTTCTGCTTCAGCCTCCTGAGTAGCTGGGATTACAGGCAACCACCACCATGCCCGGCTAATTTTTCTATTTTTAGTGGAGACAGGGTTTTGTCATGCTGACCAGGCTGGTCTCGAACTCCTGACCTCAGGTGTTACACCCGTCTTGGCCTCCCAAAGTGCTGGGATTACAGGGGTGAGCCACTGCGCCCGGCCAAAAAACAAACGAACAAAAAAAAAAAACCAAAAAAAAAAATCTTTTTTAAAACCCAGGTTATCGGAGCTCATAAATGTGATAAAACAGCAGGCCCTGGATCACCCTACAGTGATTGGTCTTGCAATTCTATGCATTCTTTCATATATGAATCCATAGAACACTCTTGTCCGTGCACAACAGCTATAGAGAAAAATCAGAACTTTTTCTACACTCGGCTAGATGCTCTCTGTAAAATTAAAGTTTGAGAGTCAGAAAAATTTGAAGCAAGCTTCAAAACTACCAGTGAACAAATACTTAACTACAGAATTATCAAAAGATATTTTTTAAGTTCTAGTTTTATAATTCAAGAAAAAAATCATTAAATGTATTTAATCATGCAGTCAAAACTGTATATTCTAAATTTTAAAAACTAAATCAAAAGAAAAAGGCAATCTGAAAACAGAAAACAATGTGAAACAAATGAATCTAACTAAATGTCAAGTCAGTAGCACAACTCAGAATTATTTCAAGTGACTCTGAATCACAGAATGTTGGTTGGGCACACCTAGAGGTAAAATACCCTCAGATGAAAAGAAATATTTAAAAACCTTCAATTGTATTCAGTAATCTTATTGTTCACAATGACATGTTTTATTATTTTGAACTGCCATAGGTAATTATAAGACAATGTAAATGAAAAACTAAGATTTTCAGCTTAAGAGGAAAAAAAGAAGTTTAAAAATCAAAGAAGTAAATGTGAATTTGAAATATCAGAAAAGATTCACTATTTATGTTTCTCTTTCAAAAAAATACAGATCCCCTGGCTCTGTTTATTAAAACTGTCTGTAATGACAACTCAGTAGCAATGTGGACTCAGCATCAAGACTATGTGCTCTTAATGTCAATTTATATCAATAGGAAAGAGCTCCTTAGGAAAATTACTACTTCCAGGTCTGGAGGAAGAAATGCATGAAATGAGCTTGAACCACCTGTGCCTGAAAGCACATGAGCTGTCAAAGACACCTGAAGTCACAGCAAAAGGACAGAAGGCAACCTGAGAGTATTCCTACTGGCCAAAGTTGGCATAACATAAGCACAAAAATAAAAATTACTACAATGGGTTGAGAAAAAGATTTGTTTTAATTCCATGAATTGTTAATGATACACAAATAAGTGAACTGGTAACATTTGGAGGTTTTATAATAAAATTTAATAAAAATAATACCACTACCTATCATTGTATTTATTTCAAGAGCCATTGACTTCTGAGAGTCCCATCTCTTCTCTTTTTTTTCCCTAAGTATTGACACTTCACACAAATATTTACTAGCTTCTCATCATCCATAAAATAATACTGCATTGGTGCAAAAGTTATTGCAGCTTTTGTCATTGAAAGTAATGGCAAAAAACCACAATAACTTTTGCACCAATCTTAACAGATGAAAATTACATAATTCCACATTTTTATGCTGTACACAGGATTTGAGTCTGAATGAAATAAGTACTTGTATCATGTCTCAAACTAAATATGTAACTTCTATGAAAACATTTAGACCATGACAAATATTAATGAAGAGCATGTATTAAGCAAAATTAAATAGAAGTCAGGCATGGTGGCTCATGCCTAAGATCCCAGCACTTTGGGAGGCCGAAGCAGGAAGACTGCTTGAGGCCAGCAGCTCGAGGTTACAGTGAGCTATGACCGCACCACTGTACTCCAGCCTGGGCAACAGAAAGAGATTATGTCTCTAAAATGAATAAATAAGCAGAAGGATGTACACTTACTTTTACATAACTAAGGAGAAGAAAATGGCAAACTATTTCGGAAGGAAATTTAGGATATTAGACACCAAAAGGAGAACTCTGTAATTTATTAATGATTTTTAAATAGATAAAATGGCAGTTCTATGCCAAAAGAGAGGGCAGTTAAACCAGGGCATCAAAGAACAGTGGCCCATTCTGTGGGCTGTCTCATATGGAGCATGAGAAATACAAATCAGTGGTTTACAATTAAATGGAAGGTTATATTTCCTTAAAATAATTCATTGCCAACAGTGAATCAATGAACCATAAAAGTTTTTAGAAAGCTTAACAGAGTTTATTTTACAATGGCTTTATTTCAAAGATATGAATAGAAGTTAATCTAAAAAACAGTTCCCCCGCTAGGCTGGACGCGGTGGCTCACGCCTATAATCCCAGCACTTTGGGAGGCCGAGCCAGGTGGATCACGAGGTCAAGAGGTCGAGACAAGCCTGGCCAAAATGGTGAAACCCCGTCTCTACCAAAAATACAAAAATTAGCCAGGTGTGGCGGCACATGCCTGTAGTCCCAGCTGCTCGAGAGGCTGAGGCAGGAGAATCACTTGAACCTGGAAGGTGGAGGTTGCAGTGAGCCAAGACTGTACCACTGCACTGCAGCCTGGGCGACAGAGTGAGACTGTCTCCAAAAAAAAAAAGTTCCCCAGCTTCGTCATAGCCCCTGAATCATACAAACCTGTCTTGCACATTAAAATCTTCACTACTTTTAGTGAAAAGTTTAACAGGAACTCAAGCATAATAGAGTGACACGGTATGTTACATCTTTTTAATAAAGGAGAAAGATGTATTTCATTTTCCAATATCCTCAGAAACTCTCTTCTGCATCTTGTCTCATAATAGAAAAAAGCAATTGACAAAAAGATAATGTTATGCTTTTTATATTTTTACATGTACTCTGCAAGTCATTCATTCATTTTCAAAATACTAAGAAACACTGCAATCTTATCCTTTTATTTCCTTTCAAAGAAATATAAAACTTGTAAAACATCCTTCCACATAAATGCTCGAATTTCAAGGAGTTATTAACAAATGAACCATCACATCTGTTCAAACAGGAAGCCAAATTTTGTGAACTCTAAATCAATATGCAAGAAAAAAAGAAAGAAAAGAAAAATTTTCTTCTGTACTTTTAGTAAAGAAATATCAAATGCCAAGATCAGAAATAACTTAAAATCTTATGTCTTTCCTAAAATATCACAATGGCTTCTAATATCTCTCTGATTTCAGACTTTCCTCTTCCTACCCATTTTGCAATTGTTCAAATGTGTCTTTGTAAAGCCTTGCGTCATTATGCTATTGGCCTGTTCAACTGCTCTCATCCGTTCCCCATTGCTACTGAAGTTCAAACTTTTCAATAGAAAATAAAGCCCTCCACAATCTGTCCCCAGCCAAACTTTCCAAGCATATCATTTACTCCCCATTCCTCTTCCATTCTGTGCAACGGGGAACTTCAGTGATCACCATTTCCCACATGTGCATTGCTATTTCCTACTCCAATTTTCTACTTTTTATTTCCCCTACTTATTGGAATGACCCCTTCTCTGAAATCGCCTCTGCCTTTGAGATAGCTTCATTTCAGTCATGATTCAGTTACATGTCACCTCTTCTGAGAAAATAACCTGACCAACTCATCCGAAGTGGTTTTGCTTACCTCTGAATTCCATTAGCCCTTGTGAGAGCAAATTAGAACCCTTGTTCAAGCAAATGTACCCTTTAAGTTTTTTCTTTACTCTAATTAGACCATGAGTTCCTTACAACGAGAATTGCAGACATATTCCTTAGACCTACCTAACTGTGAGTTTGCCAAGCTCCAGTGAAGGAGCAATATACAACAGGAAGAAAACAGTCCATGCACGCACCCTGTCTAGCTGTACTGGATACCTCCGAATGATTACTCCTTGGCTGAGTTGAGTGACACATATGGACGAAACTTTGGGAAACTGAGAAAATTATAAATTAACTTCCCTAAGAACAGGGATAATAAGACATGTTGTAGAAGAAAGAATCCAGAGGAGAAGGAGGCAGGCTAGAGAAATTATGACTGAAGAAGGGAGCCAGGAGGAAGCAGAGGAATAAGACGCAGAGCAAGAAATGAAGAGGTGAAAACACTGGCCATGAGAAGAAACCAAGTGGCAATTCCATGGGGAGCGAACTTTGGAGAGGGAAAGACAGATGAAAAGAATAATTTCAGGAACTTTAGTTGCAAGGTATGCATGTCATCTCCTTCCCTTTATTCTCTATCAAATGCCTTGATGTTGAAGTTTGTGGCACTTTTTAAGATGTGGCAATTCGCAAGACTAGCTTTAAGGGTAGCACATGGTAAGAACAGAACTCATACAAGGGAGTCAGTTTACAATGTATCACAATTAATTCCAGAATAACACTACATTTATATTTGCATATTATTTTGGGGTCCTGGTACACACGCAGACTCTACAAAAGCTAAATATTAGAAAATTTTATATAAAGTTTTGATTCACTCATTCTCTACTATTAATTTCTTTATCTTTGCAATATTTCTTTATAAAAGGACACTCATCAGGTATTATTCAAGAAGCACAGTACCTTAACTGCAGGAACAAATGAACACTTGCAGACAATGTTGTATCTAATATTCAGAATTCTGAGAAGCATGATCCCTTTGCAGAATTGAGCCTGGACAAAGTCTATTTCCACTCCAGTGGGCTGCAGTTTACACTAACAAAGAGCATTACTTTTTGACTAGCTGAGGAATGAATAAAAAATGAATAAATTAAATTTCTCTGTCTCTAGTCAGAATTACAATTGAGATTAACAGACTTTTAAGTCAGCGAGTTATTTCCATTACTATATTAATAAATTTGTGTTTTGTCTGCCAAGAATATTTCAAGGCCCTGTGAGTCTCCCACAGAAAACTCTTTTTAAAACTTACCACTAGACTCTATAATTGCTTCTCCTCTTTTCTCATAAAAATGCCATTCTCTCAGAGCCAAACAGTCCCAGTTAGGTATGGACAGCAGGATGTAGGGGTTGGGGAGTGGGTGGAAGACGCTGAATACACCAATTTTGTGAAATTAACTTATATGACCATTGATCTTTAATTGGTGAAATTTCAGTGACAGAAGGGAATCATTTGGGTGGAAATTTCATTTCCAGGGATCTTTAAGAGTGCCATAACCAGCCAGGCATGGTGGCTCACGCCACCATGAGCCACTTTGGGATGCCGAGGCAGGTGGATCACCTGAGGTCAGGAGTTCAAGACCAGCCTGACCAACATGGAGAAACCGTCTCTACTAAAAATACAAAATTAGCTGGATGTGGTGGCGCATGCCTGTAATCCCAGCTACTTGGGAGGCTGAGGCAGGAGAATCATTTGAACCCGGGAGGCGGAGGTTGCAGTGAGCTGGGATTGTGCCATTGCTCTCCAGCCTGGCCAACAAGAGTGAAACTCTGTCTCAAAAAAAAAAAATAAAAAAGAGTGCCATAACCACATCCTAGGTACTATTTCACCTACAGTGAAGTCAACACTGAACAAAAACTTTTAGAAGAGAAATCTGCGTATTCTATCCTCTCCCCCATTCTCCACTTCCAACAGTAACTGAATTAGCTAGGTCAAAAACTTGGCTGATGAAGAATGCTGACATTTAAGATAGCATACTTGCTACTACACTTCGAAGATTAAAAATCTTGAAACTGAAGCTTGGTATAAGACAATAAATCCAAGATCTCACCTAATGGAGCTGTGAATTAATATGTACCATCACATCTTAGCAAAGACTTAATCGTCTACATAAAGTATATGCTTTCGACACTCTGCTCATTATTGTCATGTGAGAGTAAATGCTCTGAAGGAGATAAATATGAAAATGATTCCTTGAGCTGCCTGCAACTGTCAGGCCCAAGGTACACCACTTGAAACAATTTAAATAAGTGAAAAGATGTGAATGCCGCAGTTGCTTTACCATCTGTGACCATTTATTAGAAAACAAAAACAGAAAATCTTTACCTCCCTTAAACAGAGCAAACAGAGAAAAATAAATAAACAGGCACCTTTTAAAATGTAGGAAAGCTGTCCTTGAGCACTTAATATCTAAAGAGATAATTTCTGGATAAAGACTAGCTGGATTCTTAAGAACTATGCATGTGGCTAATGTACTGACAGCATCCATTAACTCAAAATTGATCTTTGAAACTTAGCCAGTTCGAAAATGTTATTGCAGAAAACACATCACCAAACACATTAATCTAAGAAGCGCCTTGTCCATGATCTGTGACCCCAAGGTCATCAAAACCCATTGTAGCCCAGCAAGGACCAAGGCCCCATGAGCAGCAGCTAATAACATGGACATTGCATTAAAGACATTACTAACTGACTGATGAATTCAAATCCATGTTCCCAACTGGTCACAGGGTAGAAGGAAAAGTACACCATCTGGATTGAGCTGACCTAGGGTCAACGTCCTCCTAATTCGGACACGTGCTAACCAGTTTGTAAACCTCTAATATAGAAATATTATTATTTCAAAAGGACTGTTTGGAGGTTAAATAAGATGATAAGGATGAAATATGTGTCATGAGCATTAAAATGCAATTTCTTCTTGTCAACCACTCATAATTAACACAAATACTCTAACAACTAACAGTGAATTCTAAAACCCAGTGAATTAAATTCCATTTGCATTATATATTTAACTGCTAGGGATAAAAAAAATGTGTCTTGAAATCTCACATCAAAGAGATATTGTTTAGAAAATGAGATATGGCATAATCTGAAGTGTTGCTTTCTGATACATTTTCATCTTGTTAAATCAGATATGCATTATCCAAAGTTAAGAAATTTAAACATTTAAAATCATAAAATAATACTTTTAAACATTTAAAATTATTTTTCATCAAGAGATGAAAGTTGAATCAATGAGTAAAATTTTAATAATAATATGTATAACAACTAGAAAAAATAACAAAATCAATGAAATTTTTATTGAGTTAGGTAAGCTTTAATAGTCTGTATAATGTGAGGAGACTAAGAGTAGAAATGATCTTTAAGGGTTTGTTATTTCTCGCTCTTAGGTTTTATTAACAGATTCACAATGGAGAAAATTATACTATGCTTTTGCTAGACAATAGCTGCAGCCACACGGTGAGATCTTGGCATTGCACTTTAAGAGGTAAATTTATAAATGTTGATGTCATGTAGAAGGACAGAGTGCTTGAAAACACATTTATGTACAAAAAGGTTAAAGAAACTTGGGCTTTTGAGCTTAGCTTTTAAAAACACAGAAGAAATAACAATTACTTCCAAATATTTGAATAGCTATTAAAATTACTCACAGACACTAGAATTAGAAATAATTGCAGGCAGCTACAGGAGACTATATGTCATTCATTTTCTGAGAATAGTGAATACTATTAAAGAGGAGGATGGACAACTATTGAATGTCGTTGAAGAGATTTTAATATTAAACGGAGTAAGTAAAAAGTTACACTACATCATATACAAGGTCCTTCACAACTCAGATTTTATGATTCTATAACTTTTTTTCTCTTAAGCTCAATGTAAAACAAATGCAATATATGCAGCTGAAATCTGGCAACAGTCTTATGTGAACCATGTATGCATTTTTACTAGCGTAGCTCTACAACTTAAGGGTGAAATTGGCTTTGGAACCAGAAAGAAAAAAATTGACTTCGAAAAAATGTCTTCTCACAAACTTGAAATATGAAAAAGTCATCAGTTTCACACACACACACACGCGCGCGCGCACACACACACACACACACCATGTTAAATGTTGTTTCAGGAAATACAGAAAGAGGACCCTTGCTGATGTCCACTTTGTGGAGTGCCAGGAAACATCCCCATTGCTGACTAAAAATATATGATTCATTTTTATGCCAGTATCATGCTGTTTTGGTTACTATAGTTTTGCAGTATAATCTGAAACCTGTTAGTGTGATGCTATCTCCAGCTTTGTTCTTTTTGTTCTGGATTGCTTTAGCTATTTGAGGCCCTTTGTCATTCCATAGGAATTTTAGAATGGCTTTTTTTTTTCTATTATCCACTGTGCTATGAGAGAGAACAATTATCCCCTAATCCTCCTGTGTCCTTAAAGACAAAACTTTCACTTCTTGGGGTGGGGAGTGGAGGTATAGGATAACGCTCCACATTCATTCCTTCTTATTATCTGATTTGATGAGAGTGGGAGAAAGAACTAGGCAGGTTAGGTTCAATTTCTCCTGGGTTCCCTCTGAGAATATGTATATTATTCTCCTTTGCCACGTGGTTTTCTGTCTGCCCTGATGTGGTAACTTGTGGTTTTCTGGTGCTTACCTGTGGCTGTGCCCTAAGCATTATTTGGGGGTGAGTGAGAAGAAGCATTAGAGTCCAGGTGTGAACAGGCTGCATTTTCTTATTCATTTCTAGGTAACAAAGCTAAGACAGTTTCAATAGCCATCTGCTGAGAACCTATGCTTATTTTTTGAAACTGGCTCTAACTAATGCATGAGGGAAAGACATATGATGAATTATTTGCTTCCAAAACATGTACAAGTTTTGCCCAAATGACAGAAACACTTCATGTTGTATGCAAATTCATGCTGGCATTGTCCAAGTGAGCATGTTTATTTGGGCAGAAGAAACATCCACTAAACACAAAAAAGCAGCAAAGAGGGAATAGACACATAATAAATTTAGAAAGAAACAAAATAAATCCTTATTCAACATATAGCGATTTTTGTTCTTTCTGGACTATGCGAAGTTATATATAGTAGCTATTGACTACACTAAGGGAGAAGAGTTCACTTTGAATTTACTATAAATAGATGGATGAAATACAGCTGGTTTTAAAACTTTACTAAAACCTTACCACAAAACAAAATGATTTTCACTGCCAATGAACAGATTCTACAAGAAATGAAAAGAAAATATTGCACTCAAGAAGAAAAACTAAAACATTTTTAAATAATTTATTATAGAGAAAAGAAAATGTTAAAGAATGTATATGTTGTAACCTCCATAAAATTCAATTAAATAAAAACTCTAGGAAATAAAATATAAACATAAGATAAAAAAAGACAAGATGAGATAAATAGGGAAATTTTCTGAGATGCAAGTTGTAGTGAAAATGTTTCAAATAATATAGTAAAATATTGCAAAACACAGTAATAGAACATATATATGTTCATATATATATATATATATATATTTTTTTTTTTTTTTTTTTGAAATGGAGTCTCACTCTGTCGCCAGGCTAGAGTGCCGTGGTGCAACCTCTGCTCACTGGAACCTCCACCTCCTGGGTTCAAGCGATTCTCCTGCCTCAGCTTCCCAGGTAGCTGGGATTACAGGCGTGCGCCACCACCCCCAGCTAATCTTTGTATTTTTAGTAGAGACAGGGTTTCACCATGTTGGCCAGGATGGTCTCGATCTCCTGACCCTGTGATCCGCCTGCCTCAGCCTCCCAAAGTGCTGGGATTACAGGCGTGAGCCACCTCGTGCCTGGCCAGAACTTTTTAATACATTGAATAAAGAGTAGAATTAGCATGATAGAAATAAGTCTGTAATATGAAAAGAACGCTTCAGAAATCTCAAAGGCGGAGGTTAAAAAAATGATTTAAAAAATAAGAGTAGTCAGTTTCTATTTTCACCTGGAGCTAAATGGACCACAATGGAATAGAGATGATACTAAAATAAAATACACTAAATTTTGAAATACTGGCTTCAGTATTTTCAAAACTAAAACATTTGCTTATTGCATTAAAAAGTCTAAAACATTGATGGTAGGCTCATGCACCTGTAAGAGTTATGCAAGAATATAAATATGTAAATCATTGGAGTTAAAACACAACCAAGACTTTGGGGATTACAGCTAACAGAACACATGCTCTATCTAAAAGCCCCCCAAAATAAAAATTTAAAACGAATGTGCAACTCAGAAAGCATGTGTATTAGCTACATTGGGCTCTCTTCCAGTTGGCAACCCCTGGCCAAAAACTTTTTGTTTGTTTGTTTGTTTGTTTTTGAGATGGAGTCTTGCTCTGTCACCAGGCTGGAGTGCAGTGGCGCGATCTTGGCTCACTGCAACCTCCACCTCTGGGTTCAAGCATTCCTCTGCCTCAACCTCCTGAGTAGCTGGGACTACAGGCGCACGCCACCATGCCTGGCTGATTTTTTGTATTTTAGTAGAGACGGGGTTTCACCATGTTGGCCAGGATGGTCTCCATCTCCTGACCTCATGATCTGCCTGCCTGGGCCTCCCAAAGTGCTGGGATTACAGGCGTGAGCCACCGTGCCCAGCCAAATTCTCTTAATTTAAATCTCTTTATCATTTTCTCTTTCTTATATATGTTTGTATATGTTCTATTATATATATATGCACGTGTGTGTATATATAACAAACAAAAATATTGCATTCAAGAAGAGAAAGCAAAGCATTTTAATTAAATGATTTATTGTAGAAAATAATAAATATATACATATATGTATATATTTATACACACACAAATAATATATATAACCATGTCTGCTTCTCAAAAGGTGTGAGTTAATCACTTCATTTCAAAAAAATGTATACATGTATAAGGCTCCTAAAATACCATTCGAAAACAAGAGCCATATGCTGTAGTAGATGATGGCACATCTGGAAACCAACTTAACGGATAACACTGAAGCATAGCGCTGAGCTTCCGGGAAGACTCTTTGTAACTGGACTTAAGTTTTGGAATCACAGAGGCAAATTCTGAAAAGATGGGTGAAATCCAATCAGATAGCACTTTATGATTTATCAGGTGTGGTTTGGCCAAAAAAGTGGAATATGAAAAGAATTCAGAAAGTGTTTGACTTTAAATAAAATAGTTGTATCCAATTAAGCGGTAAAACAAAAGGTTGGAGATTGCAGACCTAATCATATGAAAACAAAATTAGCAGTATTAATAAACACTGAATACTATGTTGGTTCCAAAACCCTTTCCATTTGAAGTGAATAGACTTAAAGTCCCCAGTGTCACAGAGACTATCAAAGGGTTTGGTGACCTCAGACCTAAAGGATTCAGGTAGTTAGCTGACCTCTTACACTCTGACCCATTGGCCATGAAATTTGTAGTTAAAATTTTGACAGGAACAGAACAGAAATCTTCTACATCAAAATCTCCAGTAGGCCTTAAAATGTAAAAATGGTGCTGGGAAAACTGGCTAGCCATATGTCGAGAGCTGAAGCTGGATCCCTTCCTTACACCTTATACAAAAATTAATTCAAGATGGATTAAAGACTTAAATGTTAGACCTAAAACCATAAAAACCCTAGAAGAAAACTAGGCAATACCATTCAGGACATAGGCATGGGCAAGGACTTCATGACTAAAACACCAAAGGCAATGGCAACAAAAGCCAAAATAGACAAATGGGATCTAATTAAACTAAAGAGCTTCTGCATAGCAAAAGAAACTATCATCAGAGTGAACAGGCAACCTACAGAATGGGAGAAAATTTTTACAATCTACCCATCTGACAAAGGGCTAATATCCAGAATCTACAAGGAACTTAAAAAAATTTACAAGAAAAAATCAAACAACCCCATCAAAAAGTGGGAAAAGGATATGAACAGACACTTATCAAAAGAAGACATTTATGCAGCCAAAAGACATATGAAAAAATGCTCTTCATCACTGGCCATCAGAGAAATGCAAATCAAAACCACAATGAGACATCATCTCACACCAATTAGAATGGCGATCATTAAAAAGTCAGGAAACAACAGGTGGTGGAGAAGATGTGGAGAAATAGGAATGCTTTTACCTGCTGGTGGGATTGTAAACTAGTTCAACCATTGTGGAAGACAGTGTGGCGATTCCTCAAGGATCTAGAACTAGAAATACCATTTGACCCAGCCATCCCATTACTGGGTATATACGCAAAGGATTATAAATCATGCTGCTACAAAGACACATGCACACATATGTTTATTGCGGCACTATTCACAATAGCAAAGACTTGGAACCAACCCAAATGTCCATCAATGATGGACAGGATTAAGAAAATGTGGCACATATACACCATGGAATACTATGCAGCCATCAAAAAAGGATGAATTCATGTCCTTCGTAAGGACATGGATGAAGCTGGAAACCATCATTCTCAGCAAACTATCACAAGGACAGAAAACCAAACACCGCGTGTTCTCACTCATAGGTGGGAATTGAACAATGAGAACACATGGACACAGGAAGGGGAACATCACACACTGGGGCCTCTCATGGGGTTGGGGGAGAGGGGAGGGATAGCATTCGGAGATATACCTAATGTAAATGAAGAGTTAATGGGTGCAGCACACCAACATGGCACATGTATACATATGTAACAAACCTGCACGTTGTGCACATGTACCCTACAACTTAAAGTATAATAATTAAAAAAATGTAAGCCAGTTAAGCTGTTGATTCAAAGAAAAGCATTGATTTCAGATACCTTTTCTTGGGAGTGTCAACCTCAACATTCTGATTTAAAAAAAAAAAAAGAATAGAAGTTTAAGTCTGACTAATACTCTGGCCCACATGAACAGACAAGACATGGCCCCACTTGCCTTTCTTGGGCCTCCAGCAGAGGTCATAGCCATTTCCATTCCTTACCATGACAGTCTGGGGGCAGGATCCGATATTGTGAGACCCAACCCTGTGCCTAATCAGACCATGGCAAGAGCCCAAAACGGACATACACTCACTGGAATTTTTTAAATGTCACAGAGAGCCTGGGTGAGTGACCGTGGTCACAATTAAAAACACTCCTACAAAATTTTAGTCCAAGGCTCCTTATCACATATTTCAGATTATATTCATCAAAACTGAGCACACCTAGAAAACAAAATCTACTGAATGAAGCCACTAAAATAAATAAAAATATGTGATCATCTTGTTGACTTTGGTGACATCATTATACTTATTTAATAAGTAGAACAAAAATAAAGAAGGTAGCATGTTCAGAATTTCCTTCTAGAAAAGTGAACTCAAGAGTCAACGTCAACAGAGCTCAGTCTCGAGTAAATAAAATCTGGAATTTTGACAGCTACAGATGGTGACTGTTGTATTGGAAAGACCAAGGCAACAATTTGTCATTAGCTAAGAAATGATTGTCAGAGCCTAGAAAAACAAAACAATTGTATAAATCTGCATAAATCCATAATCCCTGGATTTTAAAGTGTGTGGCTTTGGTTAATGCTGTAGGCTCAAGTTCAGCTGAATCTTCAACCTTCAGTAGCTGCTACATCCCCATCCAGTGCCAAATCCCCTTGACTTAGCACTGCTATCATTTCTATTTCCTCTGGTACCACAGTTTACCTAGCCAAGGTCCCAGCCACTGGAGCTAACGCTGCCAAACCCAAAACTATAGCCCAAGGAAGAAGAGTTGAAAGCCTGCAAAGTCAAAATGGCCAGGCCTATATGCATCCCCATAGAGAAAACCCAAGCTGAGAGCCAAAGAGAGAATGGTACCATAGAAGCAGTAATAGAAGTTCCCAGAAGATGAAGTTTGACTCATTGTGTCCAGATTTGTAAATGAGGTTTATTGAGCAAGGAAGTTGCCAGAGCTTGATGCCTCTTCTCACAGGCACTAGAGGATAGGGCTTCACCAAGAGCCGTTCTTTCTTAACATCCACATCTGTTTATTTGGAAGATTGTCCTGTTAAAAGACAGGCAAATACATGTATGTATGTATGTATGTATATACAAAGTGAGTTTATATGAATACACAGCATGCTAGTGTTCCAATTACTGACAGTAAATTAGAAATGCCCCTTTAAAAGGCAATGTAGGCCAGGTACAGTGGCTCAAGCTTGAAATCCCAGCACTTTGGGAGGCCAAGAAGGCCGGATCACCTGAGGTCAGGAGTTCGAGACCAGCCTGGCCAACATGGTGAAACCCTGTCTCTACTAAAAATATAAAAATTAGCCGGGTATGGTGGCATGCGCCTGCAATCCCAGCTATTTGGCAGACTGAGGCAGGAGAATCACTTGAACCCAGGAGGCGGAGGTTGCAGTGAGCCGAGATTGTGTCACTGCACTCCAGCCTGGACGACAGAGTGAGACTTTGTCTCAAACAAATAAAATACAAAAGTAAAATAAATAAACGGCAATGTATAATGACTGGATGGGGCATGGAGGGCTTTTTGGAAGTGGTCATGCTGTGATACGTACACTTTGAAAAATAGATCGTGTTGCCATACTCGTGTACTTTCTTTTTACTTTCTTTTTGTATTTCAATGAAATTTGCATTTAAAAAGTCAATGGGCAGGTACAAAATTGCAATCCTTTCCTCACTGGAGTAATTTTGGTGGATCAAGTGCATTCTTACTCATTAACTTCTATTAGCATTTATATAATATGTTTGGCATATATCTCCCTGTACTTAAGGCTTCTCCTATAACTAATGGTTTCAAATTAACATCTGACTGCAACATTTGGCAAAATGACTCCCGACTGCATATGTTTTTTGTCTATAAAGGTCAGATACCACAACACATTGCACAAGGAATAAACAATATATCAAGGTGATTGAGAGTCTGAGCTCTGAAACCAGGCTGCCTGGGTTGAATCTAACTCTCTCAACTACTTTGTCGGTGGGTTTGAGAAAATTTATCCTCTTTGCAACTTTTTAATTTGCATAATAGTAATAATAATAGTGCTACTTCCTAAGGTAGGATTGTTGTGAGGATTATATTTATTAATTCATAAAAGCTCTTAGAACTGTGCCAGCTCATGGTAAATTTTAAGTATGACTTCAAAAGTTGGAAGTTTATTTTCTTTTATACAGAGGTAGGCAAGGTGGGTAGACAGTTCTACCATCTCAGTACATAGATTCCATGTGGAGGTCTGAGTCAGCTGCTCCTAAATTTTGCCACATTATAACAGACAAGAAAGTTGCCAAGAGGAATACACAACCAGCTCTTTTAAGAATTAAAGCAGGGTGGGAGGAGGGTGCGGATTGAAGATCAACCCATCGTGTACTATGCTGAGGGACTAGATCGTGAGACTTCTCAGCCTACATAATTACAAGAGCCAATCCCTCATAATAAATCTCTTTTTGTATATCTATACTATATCTATGTTTATATCATAATGGTCTGTTTCTCTGAAGAATGCTGACTATATAGAAACTGGTGCTGAGAAATCGGTGTTGCTATAACAAATACCTAAAAATGTGGAAGCAGCTTTAGAACTCAGTAAGGGATAAAGGCTGGAAGAGTTCTGAGGTCCATTCTAGACAAAGTCTACATTGCTGTTGTGAGTGGACAAAATACAAACTGCTCTCACACACAACAATCAATACATAAGACTTCTATCACCAAATGTGTGGAGACCTCCCCCAACTAATAAGAAAGCAATCAGTTCTTCAGTGGACACCAGCTGAGTATCCTCCAATTCAGTTCTGATATTGTCTACCTAGAGATAGCATCAGATCCTGCAGGTTAAGGGCTCAGTCCCACAAGGCCATCTCCTACTTCCAACGCCAATTGCAAGCTCCAGGTTATCTTCCCTGTGGTTCTGACCAACCAGCGATACCTTGGGGTTCCCATGATTCCCTCCTTGGGTTTAATTAATATGCTAAGGCAGCTCACAGAACTCATAGAAACACTTATGTTTACTGATTTACTACAAAGGATACAGATGAAGCGATGCATAGGGAAAGTTATAGGGGAAGGAGTGCATCGTTTTTATCCCCTCCCCAGGCACTCTACCCTCCAGGAAGCTTCAGATGTTCAGCTATTCAGAAGCTCTCCATACAGCCTTCTTTACAACCTCTTGGGCCTTTCATGAAAACTTCATTGGCTAGGCATAATTGAAGCATGGACGACCATGTAGAAATGTGACTGGACTAAAAAGCTATAACCTAGTACTAATAGACTGAGTAGGGAAATCCAGCAAGGCCTGCCTGCTCATATTTTCATTGGCTTTTCCTCTTTGTGCAGCATTCCTTCCCGCAGGGTATGAGCCCAAGCACCTCCTGAAATTAGGGTCTTATGACCTACAATCAGACAAGGTAGGTCAGAGAATTTCTTTATAACCTGTTCCAAGATAGAAAAGTGGGGAAAGATTAGAGTATATTTTTAGTTTTATGGCCAGCCTTGGGGAAAAATAATAAGAGCTATTGGAGTTATGAGCCAGGAACCATGAACAAAAACTATGTCTATATAAAATCACAGCTGTGAATAGACCTATAAAGCAATTATGGTGAGGACTTGGGAATAAAAGAGGAGACTTCAGTCTTCTTAGGTGATGTACAAATAATCCTGAAGAGAATGTTGGTAGAAATATGGATGGTAAAGGCTATTTGAAGGAGATCTCAGATGAAAATGAGCACACGTTATTGGACAATGTAGAAATGGTGATCCTTCTTATAAAATGCCAAAGAATTTGCCTGAATTTGTCCATGTTCTAGTGTTTTGTGAAAGGCAGAACATGTGAGCAATTAGTTGAATATTTAGTTGATGCTATTTCTAAACAAATTGTTAAAAGCACAGCTTGACTTCTGACTTCCTATAGTAAAATATGGGAAGAGAGAAATTTCCTAAAGATGTCATTGTTAAGCAAAAAGGAAGCAGGTCTTAAAGATTTGAAAACTCTCAGCCTATCCATATTGCAAAAAAAAATGAGAAAGTGTATTCAAGAGAGAACACTAAGGGTGTGGCCAAGAGTCCCTTTGATAAGGAGATTAATATGGGTGTAAAACATGAACTTAATAAGCCATTACAGCTGGATGCCAGCTTGAACAGAAGGGGAAGAAGATGGAAAGAAATAAAAGAAGGCTCTCAGACTTCTTGGATTTTATAGGACAGAACTGTAGAGTCATTCAGCTGAGAATGTGCACTATTCTTTAAGAAAAGGGGAGCATGACCCCAAAGATGATTCAGGATCATCAGGGCTGCCTTTTCATTTTCAAAATGGGGGACCATTACCTTGTTTTCAACAGGCCAGACAGCCTCTGCCTGCAGCCAGGGGGATAGGGTCACCCAAAGCCATTTGGGAGAGGCCAACCAGACCTGTGGGCATGGGACCTCCCAGTAGAGCCCTAGGGCTGCAAACCCTGCCAGGTAGAGCTGGAGGTAAGGGGTCAGGACTTCCACCACAATGGGTCTAGAAGATGGAACCACTGCCTCAGTAGGTCTAGAAGGCAGCACTCTTCCCCAGTGGGCCTGGAGCACAGAGCATCAAGCCGAAGAGGATTATTCTCAAGCCCTGAGATCTTGTGCCATTTTCCTTGTAGTTTGGACTTACACAGGACCTTTTACCCCTTTTGACTTTTTCTGTTTCTTCTTTCTGGAATGGAAATGTCTGTCCTATACCTATCTCACCACTATATTTTGGAAGCACACACCTTATTTAGTTTCACAGGCTCACACCTGGAGAACAATTTGTGCCACAATGAATCACACCTTGAGTCTTACCCATATCTGATTTAGATGATGTTTAGATGAGCTGTTGGCTTTTAGACTTTAGAGTTGATGCTGGACCAAGTTAAGACTTTTGAGGACTGTTAGGATGGAATTAATTTATTTTGCATGCAAGAAAGACCTGAATTTGGGGGCAGGGGGAGGGTTAGCATACTAGACTAAATCTTTGTGTCTCTCCAAAATTCATATGCTGAAATCCTAACCTCCAATGTGATGGTATTAGGAGGTGGGGTATTTGAGAGGTGATTAGGTCATGAAGGTGAAGCTCCCATGAATGAGATTAGTGCCCTCATAAAAAAAGACTCCAGAAAGCTTCCTTGCCATTTTCCACCATGTGAGGATAACGTGAGATGCACCATCTATGATGAGGAAGCAGTCCCTCACCAGACACCAAATCTGCTGGTGCCTTGATCTTGGAACTCTCATCCTACAGAAGTATGAGTAATAAATTTCTGTTGTTTATAAGACACTTAGTCTGTGATATTGTTATAGCATCCCAAAAGGACTAAAACAATCTCTCAGAAAGGTTTAAAAACATTCCATCCATGAAATAAGAGGAGGATGTTATTAAAAGGGGAAAGCCATAAAATAAAATTTTAAAACTCTTAAAAATAAATGATTGTTGAAATTCAAAACTTCAGCAACACATTGAAAAGATAAAGTCAGATGATTTTTCCACATATTACAACAAAAATATAAAGGAATAGAAAATGTAAAAAAATGATAAAACATTAGGATCGTTCTGAGAGATCCAAAATATAACCAATAAATTTTTGAAAACAGGTGATGATCAGATGCATCTTATCAAAGAAATAATAGAAGAGAATTTTCTATAAATGAATGGACGAAAATCAGGAAAGAATGTTCCATAATATTCTGATTAAAATGATCCATTGAGTATCTAAAACGGTGACTAAAGAGAGATTTATATCTACTGTTTCAGTTGTCTACTGCTGTATAACAAATCACCCAATAGTCAGTGGCATAAAACTACAACTACTTTATTATAATCATGGATTTTGTGGATGAGGAATTCATATAGAAGACAGTGAGGATGGCTTTACTCTTTTCCATGATGTTTTGGTTCTAAACTGGGAAGACTTGAATGGCTGGGAGTGATCCAAACAGCTAGAGAGTAGAATCCTCTTGAGGCTTCTCCACTCATGTTTCTGGTACTTGGGCTGGGCTGATCTTAAAGACTAAGTTCGGCCCAAGGCTGTCAACCTGATCACCTACACATGACTTCTATACAGGGCCATGGCTTTTTACAACAAGGCAGCTAGGCTCTGAGAACAACATGGAGCTTCCAGAGAGCTAGAGTTCCACAAGAACCAGGTGGAAGGGGCAAGGTCTTTCATGACTTAACCTCGGAAGTCACCTAGTGTCATCTTCTATAAACTTTATTTGTTGAGGCAGTCTTTGACTTTATTTGTGACAAGCAGTGACAAGTCCAAATTCAATAGGAGAGAATATAAACTCCACCTCTCAATAAGAGAAGTATCAAAGAACTTAGAGGTCATGTTTTAAAATTGCAACTCTTACATACATCACTATGAAATTTCATAATGCCAAGGATAAAAAGAAGATCCAATACTTCCAGGAAAGAAGGGGAAAATGACCACAAAGGAAAGACAGTCTGCTATTGCAATCGACTAATATTGCATTAAATAAACAAACAGCTAAAGACAGAGAAGGAAAACTGTCTATATAGTGGTAGAAAATTATTTTCAACCTCATATTCTATATCTAGTCCATCATTCAAGTTTGAGAAATAATAAGACATTCTCAGATGCATCCACCCGAATTCAGAAAACTTACAGTCTACACATCCTTAGGAATTACCATAAGAATTGCTCCAAGAAAACAAAGGATTTAAACAAAGCCTGGAAGACACAGTGTCTAAGTTCATTTTATGTTGCTGTAACAGAATACCATAGACTGGGAAATTTATCAAGAAAAGAGATGTATTTGGCTCATGGTTCTGGAGGCTGTGAAGTCCATGATTGAAGGGTCACATCTGGGAAGTGACTTCGTGCTGCCTCAGACACGGCAAAAGGTATCACATGGCAAAAGAGGACAAGACAGGCTGAAAGTTCATGAGATAAAGAGAGAAAATGAGAGCTGAACTTCTTCTTTTATCAGGAGCCCATGCCAGTGATAACTAAATGCGGCCCAAGACAAATTCATAAACTTTCTTAAAACATTATGAGATTTCTTTTGCAACTTTTTTTTAACTCATCAACTATCATTAGTATTAGTGTGTTTTCTGTGTGGCCCAAGAAAATTTTTCTTCTTTCAGCGTGGCCCAGGGAAGCGAAAAGATTGAACATCCCTGCCCTAAACCTTTTCTAATAATATTACCACTTTGAAAACAGCACAGAGAAACAGATTTGAGCTTCACACTCCGATCTCCTTGTTGAGTCAACTTGCAATACAAAGCTTTTTTTTTCTTCCAAAATTCCAGTGTCATAGTATTGGCTTCTAGTGCATTGGACAGTGAGCTCCTTTTGTTCTGCAATAGAGCCTGGAAAGAATGTAGCCTTGCCAGTGGGCACCATTACCCCTGTTCCACGTAACAATCACTACAATAAACAATGGCCTGCATGATGTAACTTGGCTTTTAAAAAAGAATAAGATGATGTCTTTATTTTATAAAACTAAATGCATGACATATAAATACAGACAGATGTTTTTCTTTTTCTCTTCCAGAGCACATAGGGTCACACACCTGTGGGAAGATGAAGTTAAGCAGGAGTAGGAGGAGTTTACAGTAGGAGTTTACAATAGTATTTTGGCCAGAGCTGTAGTGCCATTGGTAAGAACAGTCACAGAAACACCAGGAAACATGAAGGACATGCACATCATCCCCCATGACTTCTCCTTCAGAAGGTTCCAGACACTTCTTATCTTCAAAGGAGCTTATTTTACTCTTTGTGTCAACAAAGACCACAACTAGCTTATTAAAAACTTTCTCTTATGAGGCTTAAAGTTCTTTTCTAACCAAAATGTTCATTTGAGTATCTCAAATGCTTGTTCTTATTTTTAGTATTTGAGGATTCCATGAGGAAAGTGAGATTTTTTTCCGGCGCTTATTCCTTAAATGCTTTTCATCTTTGCTGGTATTTCCTCCTAACCTTCACCTTTCCAGAGAGAAAATCCGTAATGCTTTTTCTTCTTCTCCTTCTTCTTCTTCTCCTTCTTCTTCTTCAGAAGCTAGCTTTCTCCTTGAATAATTTAGTTACACTTCATGTTTACCTCCTCTTACATCTTAAAATGCAATGATATCTGTAAATAATGGTTCAAAAAAGAAAGAAACAAACAAAGTCAAACTAACACAATGTCTTATTCTTGAGGCATGTGAATAAATACTCCAGTTAGGGATTTGAGGTGGCTTTAGCGTAGCTGACAGAGGAAAAGATTCACTTAGGCCACACCTCCTTAACCTGTCCCTAGGCCTCCCTTCTCTAATCTCACACTCCTCACTAAGATCAGGATAAAACCTGAAATATCAATATGAGGACCATACTATTGAATGGCTAGAAACTGTTCTTCATCTCTCCACCTCTGGCGTTCACTATGTTTCAGCAGAAAAAAAAAAATAAAGGTCAAAAGGACTGTTAGGTAGAATTGAATAGAAGAGAAATTTATTGAATCAGAATAAAATAAGGGTGGATTTTAAAGTGAAAATTTACATTTTATGATGAATACTTGAAAGTATTGTGTTAATAGAAATATATTAGGTTAGTAAATTCAGAAGGTTTTCCATCTTTTTAGGAATAGTAAATGACACAAGATGAAGGAGCTGCTGTTTTCATTCTTGTGAATGAAGAAAATGTTAACTTTTGATGAAGTGGAGCAAAGGCAACATCCCATATTAAAGTTACTACAATAAGAAAATTTTGTGGTTAATTAAGCACATTGCCTTGCTACCTCTACATTGGGAAAGAGACTGAAAAAAAAAGTTGGGAAAAGTTTCTGAAGTAAGATCAGAACTGTGGATTGTGAATTTAAAAGACTGAACTGAATGGATTGTAAATTAAAAAGACTGAACTGAACCAGCCAGATCTAGAATTTTGGAGTAGCCTCTGTAAATAAATAAAATAATCATTAACACACACAGACCCTTTATTCAACCTGGTATCATTTTTTGCATGGAAAATAAACCCAGACTAGACATGAATTCATTCTCTCAGAGCTTTATAAATTGACTTGGGCTGTGAATGACGTGGTTGCTTGTTACCATAATTGTACTTAGTGTCCCTTAATGCCACCAGAGAGGAACAAGTTCACTGAGGGATCAGCACAGATGGAAGAAGAAGTTCTAACTGTCATTGAAACGTGTCTGAGCTCACAATGTGTATCACATTAATAGCTAGTGTGCTGAGCTAATACAATCTTGTACTATCCCAATAGAAATTCAATGTCAAGTTTTAGCTTTTCATCTGTACTGAGACCAGAGATAATCCTATGAGTGTTGCAGTATTATTTTTTTTCTAATGATTAGGTTGCTAAGCCATTATGATTTTAAATGGATTCTATTTTTCAATTAAATATAGTTGTATTTTGCCAATTACATTTTTAAAAAAAGAAAATTTCTTCTCAGTTTCTGAAGTTGTAAAAAAGTAGTTGAATAATAATACTTCAACTATTTTGACAGAAAGTTAAACACTACTACTACTTTTTTTTTTTTTTTTTTTTTTTTTTTTGGAGACACAGTTTCACTCTTGTTGCCCAGGCTGGAGTGCAATGGTGTGATTTCAGCTCACTGCAACCTCCACCTCCCGGGTTCAATCAAGTCTCCTGCCTCAGTCTCCCCAGTAGCTGGGATTACAGGCATGCACCACCACAGTCGGCTAATTTTTTATTTTTAGTAGAAACGGGGTTTCTCCATGTTGGTCAGGCTTGTCTCAAACTCCCAACCTCAGGTGATCTGCCCGCCTCAGCCTCCCAAAGTGCTGGGATTACAGGCGTGAGCCACCATGCCTGGCCCAGTCCTACTTCTTTATGTGTGATGTAATTATGGTTGAAATAACAATTAAAAGAACCAAATGCTAAACTTTTCCTAGGTGGTCCTTGCAATTTGCTTATTTAATTGGTTTGTTATAAGTACTGTCCTCTCAGTGGTTCCAAGGTTGTACATGATGTTTAACCTTGGATGTAATGCTTTCCAAACAAATCAGACTAGAATGATCAAGGGAGATGGAGTGGGTTATAGCAGCCCCAGCAATACGTATCCAAATCCTAACCCCTGTACTCATGAATATGGCCTTTTTGGAAATAGGGTCTTTGCAGGTGTCGCTAAGGATATTGAGATGATATCATCCTGGATTTAGAATCAGCCCTAAATTCGATGATGTGTATCTTTATAAAGACAGAAAAAGAAGAGACAAAGAGATACAAGACAAGGCCATGTGAAGACAGAGGTAGAGATTGGAGTGATGCTGCCACAAGGCAGATACCACCTAAAGCCCCCAGAAGATGAAAGAGGCATGGAAAGATTCTCCCCTACATCATTCTAAGGTAGTGTGGCCCTGTCTACACTTTGATTTCAGAATTCTGGCCCCACAACTTCGAGAGAATAAATTTTGTTGTTTTAAGCCATGCAGTCAGTAGTGGTTTATTACAGCAGACCTAGGACACTGATACAGAAGGCATCATGGAAATACAGCATCTCAATGCCACTTTGAAGAATGGGAGGAAACTCAGCAGGAAAGGGAATAAGAAAATATGTTTAGGTATGAAAATCCAGGACATTCATAGATAAACTCTGATTTTGAATGAATTGTTCTGTTCCTACAAACAAATGGTCATATATAGATTGGAAAAGTAATTGTGGCCTGGTAGGGCATTGATTGTCAGCCATATATATATATACACATATATATATATACACACATATATACACACATATATATACATATATATACATATATATACATATATATACATATATACACATATATATACATATATATACATATATATACATATATACACACACATACACACACACAATACTTTATTAGGCAACAATAGTACTTTACAGGTCTGTTTTGTTTCAAAGTTTACAAAAGGTCTTCACATATTATCTCATTTAAATCCCACAGCAAACTTATGAATTAGGCAGCAAGGGTATTATTATATAAATGTTATAGGTAGAAGTGGATTCCCCTCCAGTTGTTAAGTAACCTCCTCAAGGTTGTGCACCTCATAAGTGGCTCCCAAGAATACGAATTTTTTACCTGAAATCCAACATTCTGTTCATTACATCTTGATGATTTTAGTAAATGATAATGACCTTAAAAAGTATGATTATGAGATCACGATGGCGTAGTAAGAATATTAATTTGGATAAGAGGTTATAGTTAGGTAACCCTATTAGCCAGCTATTATAAGAGTCAGGTATGAAAGAATCAAGGCCTAGGTCAAGCTGGTCTCAATGCAGGCACATAAGAGCACATGAGGAAAATGCTGATGAAAAAGCGTCAAACTATGTTAAACTGTGTCCACCATGCCTTACCAATTTTGTCATATTTTCTTAAATCCTTTCCTACTTTGAATTTTCTATAAACATTCATTGCATTCCTATATACTGAGATATATTATACTTTTTCTGGCTTCTCCATTTAGCATAACTTTCTGCATGCTTTGGTACATCTTTTTTTCTACAAAAGAACTAGCAACAACTGAGAACCTCGTCTTTGCATCAGGTAGGATTTATCCTACATGAAATCTAACAAAAAGATTCCAGAATTAAAATTGGTTAAACACACACACACACACACACACACACACACACACACACACAATTGGATTAATCACCTAAACATATTGTACTCAAATGAGTTCAGATAAAATCCTCTGATGACATAAACCACTTACATTGAAAGAGACTATAAGAAACTGTTATTGGCTTGGCAGATGGAGGGAGCAGATATACTAAGATTGAACTCCAAAATCTGAAAAATTCTTTCTTATACAATTAAAATTTTAAAATAGCAAGATTGGATATACCTTGATAGCTAAAAAAAAAAATAGTTTAGCTAACATAGCTACATTTTAACAAATATTACCCATGTCAGATTGAGTGTATATATATATATATATATATACACACACATATATATTTTTTATATATGTTATATATATTATAATATATGTATTATATATAGTATATACATCAGCACATTGAGACTGAAATAGAACATACAGGAAAGAAACCAGCTTAACTTTCCTTCACTCAGCATTTTTCACATATATTTTACCTGGAATTTTTTTGATGGGGAGATAAAAGAGAAAGGAGGAGTATTTCTTTTTGATAATCCACGGAATTAGAGCTCCAGATAATGCTGCTCTAATATGTTTAGTCAACGTGCCTGCTGTGGAATAACAGCATTTTTCACATATATTTTACCTGGAATTTTTTTGATGGGGAGATAAAAGAGAAAGGAGGAGTATTTCTTTTTGATAATCCACGGAATTAGAGCTCCAGATAATGCTGCTCTAATATGTTTAGTCAACGTGCCTGCTGTGGAATAACTATTTTCCTTTGTGCAAGTGGCAGCAGTTAGAAGCAAAATACTAAACAATTCAAATAAATGACAAGATGTGCCAACCTTGTCGACTGAATTGGTGTCATTACTTTTTTCAAGAAATATAAGATTATGCACAGAAACTGAGAAAGTAAAAAGAAAAGATGAAAAGGGAAGAGAAAAAAATGCTGATATTTTTTAAAAAGTATTTGGAAAACTAGTTTTATCTTTCAATATTATGCAAACTATGTTCTGGATGAAAAACATCTAGGTTCTTCGCACTGAAGAAAAAAACGCAAGAAACAATATTGCAGAAATATAGATCTCAAGGTACAGCCAAAGAAGATTGTGAAGATTCCAGATCTACTTGCAAACTCTTCCATAGCTGCTCATTTCAAAAGAAAGTGTGATGACCAGTCAACACAATGTAGCATGTTCTCTGGTCCATAACTTCCAGACCCAAAGCTGCAGACCTCGGAAGCTGAGGGAAGAGGGTCCTAGTGATGACTCAGAATGGAATACATTGCGCCCATATATTTTTCTATAATAAAACTGCAACACCAAGGTTTTGGGAAGGTTATCAGTCCCCTAAGAGTACAAAAGCCCAGCCTGGCCAACATGGTGAAACCCCGTCTCTACTAAAAAACTACAAAATTAGCTGGGTGTGGTGGCATGAGCCTGTTATCCAGCTACTTGGGAGGCTGAGGCGGGAGAATTGCTTGAACCCTGGAGGTGGAGGTTGCAATGAGCTGAGATCACAGCATTGCTTTCCTACCTGGGCAAAAAGAGTGAAACTCTGTCTTAAAAAAAAAAAAAAAAAAAAAAAGGTACAAAAGAAGCATGTTCCCAGAGAAAGAGTTGTGATTCTCTCAGTCAGGAGAGAAAGATAAAGTGTGAAGGGAAGAACAAATTCCTGGAGTTTGATGTCACCTTCCTCCTAGAGACATCTGTATCTTTCCCCTCATTAAAAAGTGTGTCCCCACCTAACGACCTTCCTTTGTAGTGTGCATACTAATTGACTGAAAAATCCCTTTCTATAATCTTAAGTAGCAATATTTCCTAGTTCAGTAGGAAATTTACTTAATTTTGTGGAGGAATTAAAGCAACAAATTATAAGGCACATACACTGTTTTCAAAGAGTGGGTTTGGCTATGAAACCCATTCACCTTTGTTATTTCTCAAGGGACTGCTCTTTATGCAACAACTGTATTACTTTGTCTTTTGTGAAGGCTACTGTCAAGCCATTGTCAGCCTAGTATTTCACAGTATCCAAAACACACGAATGATTTGTGAGGGAAATCGTGTCAATGTATTTCTAGATGCAGCAAGTGATCAATAGAAATACATAGAACTTGGTCATGAGACAGTCTCCACATAAATCTCAGTGTGTTTAATCAAACCTATCCATTAACCCACAGAAAAATTCATGTTGGAATAGTGCAGCATATACATCCAAAGACCCAATTGCTCACCTGATCGTACCCACCTGGATGTTCTGCCTAGGTCTCAAATGCAGTAAGCTCTAAACAAAAATCATCATCCATCGCCCACCACCTGTATCCTTTGACTGTGTTCCTTCTCTTGATAAAGGACACACTATCCACCCTGTCTTCCAGAATAGAAATTTCAAAACCATCTTTAAGTGCCAATTCTTTTGGCAGTCCCCCTTCACCTCCAATATCACTGGGACCTCTGGCCATCAAGAAAACACAACTCTAAACACCCTCTCATGACAATTTATTAGTTACATTAAAAAGAACTAAACTCATCACATGACATTCAAAATACCCAACATAGAGATTATTGATTTACACTTTGTCTTCCTCCCTTAATATTCACCCACTATGTTGGGTGCAGTGGCTCATGCCTGTAATTCTAGCACTTTGGGAAGCTGAGGCCAGTGGATCATGTGAGTCCAGGAGTTTGAGACCAGCCTGGGCAACATAGTGAAACCCCATCTCTAGAAAAATGAGCTGGGCATGGTGGTGTGCACCCGTAATCCCAGCTACTTGGCAGGCTGAAGTGGGAGAATTGCTTGAACCTGGGAGTTTCAGGCTGCAGTGAGCTGTGATCAGGCCACTGCACTCCTGCAGCCTAAGTGACAGAGGGAGACCCTATATATATATATGCATATGTTTGGGATTTATATATATATCCCAAATATATATATTTATTATGCATATATATATGTACATATACACACACACATATATATTTGAATATATATACATATATGTGTATATATATATATATATATATATATATTTGAATCAGAGCAGAATTTGATTAGCCAGCCTGTTTGACACTTTATATCACAGAATGTAGACGATAAAATAATGTAATGATCCTTCAGGATTATGCTGCATTGGCTCTTGCACAAGTCACATGGATATTTCCATCTTTCTTCTGTATATATCCATATATACAGGGTCTCCCTCTGTCACTTAGGCTGCAGGATGTGTGTGTGTGTGTATATATATATATATATATATATATATATACACTCACAATAACATTATTATGAAGCCACACTGACTCCAAATACACTAAGCATTGTTGGAGCCACACCAAACCTCACTGTTTTCTGAACACAGTGTAAGCTTTCATGACCCCACAGTTTGGGGCTTGCTGTTTCATCTATGGGAATCTACCCTCCCTTTTCTTCCCTCATTCTGCCCCATCCAACATCATTACTCCTCCCTTTACCTCGTGGGCCTCGTGATCTCATCTATTCTTTAAGACCCAGTTCAAATTATTTTCTTTAGGAAATCTTCCCAGAAGTCTCCACCCCAGAGAAAAATCAATCCTCCTAACTTTATAGATCCACAGCACTTTACATATGCTTCTCTATTGTGGTACTTACTTCGTGTTAACTGGTTACTTACATATCTGCTTCCTTACTATATTAGAAACTCCAAAGAGACATCGTCCAATTACTATCAGATATTCAATAAATATTCACCAGATGAATGAATCATTAGCTGAACAATTGGTTTAAATAGTAAAGTTATTCTAGTACTCTGTGATTTTTAATGTGTAAATGACATCTCAGAGTTACTGAAAACTCCCTTTTCAATACGTCTCCTGAGGTCATCTTATGCATTTCTTCTGTGGGAGATATGCAAATTTAGAAACTGAAATAAGAAAATAAAGCCATCAAATAAGAAATAAAAAAAGGAAAGGAGAAGGAGGAGAATCTAATCATAAACCATCAATTTTCCCTATGACCCTAAAGAGACCAGTCAGCAGCTTTGAAAAATCATTCACTTGATAGATTGTGCTCAGAAGTAAGTTCTTTGGAAAAAAAAAGAATTAGAAAAATATTCTAAAATGCCAAAGGTTTTTGGGGTTTTGCAGTTGGTTTATTTGGCATTAGACTGTCACATCTCACTTTGAAAGGACAGAGTCACCCATCAGAACATTACACAACTCAGTCAGCTGTATTTGCTCCTAAGTGTATTTTGCATTTTCAATTACAGTTGCACCAGAGATACAGCCAACCTCAAAGAATTTCACTGAGAGCCACTCACATAAAACATGGCCTCGACATGTTAATTTAGCAGCACACATGGAACACCGGAGAGCCTGGCAGCCTTAACTTTGTATCAGGGCAGAATTTGATCAGCCAGCCTGTCTGACCCTTTATATCACAGAATATAGATGATAAAATAATGTTATGATCCTTAAGGATTATGCTACACTGGCTACTGCACAAGTCACATGGATATTTCCATCTTCCTTCTTAAGATTCATGTGTCTTGGTCTTCTCACCCATATCTCACATTAGAAAAAGAGTGGAATCCATCTCGCGGGCCGGTTTCTCCGAGGCACCTGGAACTCCTCTTCCCCAGTCTTTTCCAAAATGCCTTTCACAGAATGATAGTCTCACTAGAAGCTCCAGATAAATGGGTTCCATAGTTCTAATGTGTGTGTGTATATATATATATACACATTAGATATACACATATATAGATATATACATACACACACACACACACACACACACACACACACTGAATAGTATGTCCAGCCAGAGATTCATAGTACTTAGTAACAATATTAAATATCTGAGATGACTAAGGAAACAAATCATGTTAAATTAACTGGATCTGAATTTCTCAAACATCTGCCCTACTGAACACTTTTTTCTGTGCCACTGTTAATATTACATCAAAAAAGATGTTTACAGAAATTTACAAATAAAATACAGGATTCCAGTGACATCTGAGGTTCAGATAACAAAAATGTTTTAGTATGAGTATATCCCAAATACTTGTCCCAAATGGGATATCTATACTAAAAAAAACAAAAACAAAAAAAAAAAAAAAAAAAAAAAAAAATTCAACAGTGAGAATTTGACATGGCAGAGGGATGGTGAGATCTTGTGAAGATGTCCTGAGGTGATAAAGAAAAGAAGCAATAGGATCCTGAGATAGGAGATGGCAGACTCATCAACTAGCACCACCTATCAGTTTGCAGGTGCTCATCGCTATGCCAGCTCAGCCTTCCTGTGCCATCATAAGCCCCCAAGGATTGCGGAGGTCACATCAAACAGAACAGGACGGACATCAGGAGTGGGCCAGGTCTTTGTGGTTTGAGAGCCAGCTGAGTCTTCTAGAGTAAAAACAGAAGTTTCCTGCATAGATTTATGTGCAGGATATCTGATACGTGTTATGAGCAGGATATCTTCTTTTTTTACGGTAGTAAATTTTTTTTATTATACTTTAACTTCTAGGGTAGATGTGCATAACGTGCGGGTTTATTACATAGGTATACATGTGCCATGTTGGTTTGCTGCACCCATCAACTCATCATTTACATTAGATATTTCTCCTAATGCTATCCCTCCCACAACCCCCCACCCCCTGACAGGCCCTGGTGGGTGATGTTCCCCACACTGTGTCCATGTGTTCTCATTGTTCAATTCCCATCTATGAGTGAGAACATGTGGTGTTTGGTTTTCTGTCCTTGTTATAGTTTGCTGAGAATCATGGTTTCCAGCTTCATCCATGTCCCTGCAAAGAACATGAACTCATCCTTTTTTATGGCTGCATAGTATTCCGTGGTGTATATGTGCCACATTTTATTCATCCAGTCTATCATTGACGGACATTTGTGTTGGTTCCAAGTCTTTGCTATTGTGAATAGTGCCGCAATAAACATACGTGTGCATGTGTCTTTATAGTAGCATGATTTATAATCCTTTGGGTATATACCCAGTAATGGGACCGCTGGGTCAAATGGTATTTCTAGTTCTAGATCCTTGAGGAATCGCCACACCGTCTTCCACAATGGTTGAAATAATTTACACTCCCACCAACAGTGTAAAAGCATTCCTATTTCTCCACATCCTCTCCAGCACCTGTTGTTTCCTGACTTTTTAATGATCGCCATTCTAACTGGTGTGAGATGGTATCTCATTATGGTTTTGATTTGCATTTATGAGCAGGATATCTTCTATCTGTTGTTTATATCTTAGCAACAGTTATAAGACTCTGAGTAACATTTGAATTTCAGAAAAAATAAAAAATTTTTTTTTGCTAAATGAAACAGGTATAGAGGCCCTTGTCATAGAGCATAGAATCTAACAGGAAATAGAGCACCCCTGGACAATCTACTTACATAGTAACTCATTCGGAAATGTATTTTTACTATAAATATGAAGGCAACACTATTCAGCCACAAAATCTGAATAGTGTTGCCTTCATATTTATAGTAAAAATCCCTCAACCAGAAGTCACTTATTGGTTCTATCACTGTCTTTTTTTTTTTTTTTGAGATGGCATCTTGCTCTGTTGCCCAGCTAGAGTGCAGTAGCACGATCTCAACTCACTGCCACCTCCACCTCCCGGGTTCAAGCGATTCTCCTGCCTCAGCCTCCTGAGTAGCTGGAACTACAGGCACCCACCACCACACCTAGCTAATTTTTGTATTTTTAGTAGAGACAGCATTTCACCATATTGGCCAGGCTGGTCTCAAACTCCTGACCTCGTGATCTGCCCGCCTCGGCCTCCCAAAGTGCTGGGATTACAGGAATGAGCCACCGCGCCCAGCCTGTCATTTTTTATTGGACAACAAAATCACTCCCTCCCTACTTCCTCATCCATTAAATGAGGGAGTTGTATTAAATTAGTTCTAAGGTGTCGTCCAGCACTAACATCTTACAAAAACTATTGTTACACAATGAGAATAAGGGACAGAACTAGATAATGTAAGATGATACATGTGGTTTATGCATAATAAAAAGAAATAGAAAAATTAAGTTCCTTAGTTTCATTTATGGAGCTATTTTCTGGTCAATTCCTATTTTATTTCAAGAGAGAAATATCTAAATTATTTCCAATTATTGTAGACATTACCAGAATTAGCTCCTTTTAAATAAGCACTAATTGCTAAAGTCTCAATTTTAGACTGGAAGTATGTTCCCTGGGATTTAAAAAATAATGCCTCCTAGAAAGATGGATCCTTAACTGCTGTACGCAATCCCTGAATTTATTAGATTAGTGCCCAAATGAAACCCTTCCTGTGAATTCTTGTTTCCTAAAACAGGGCTCCTTTGGTGGGCAGATGAAAATAGAAATCTAGTTCAGATTTAGCCAACACTTTTAGAGTGCCTACTGTGAGTCAGACTTTAATTTCACACTCTTTCATTCTCACAGTCACATTATAAGGGATGGTAGACACAAACTAACTCTTCACCAAACCCATTTTCTCTTCTTCCTTTGCCCACATCAAGACCATATGAACCAGACTCCTTTCAAGAGTAGACATAAGAATGGAAACTTGCCAATGAAATGTGAGCAGAAGTCGTAGGGGTCACTTCCAAGGCACCTCACAGAAATTTCCTATGTGTAGTCCCCCTGCTCTTTGACCTTCTGCAGCCACATTGGAAGCCATGAGTTGAAGCTACAAGAGGCACAAGACAGAAAGTGCCTATGTCTTCAAATCATATTGAAGAAGAGCTACCCACTAACTGGAATACCCATTGAAGGCTTGAAATGAGCAGGAAATAAATTCCCATTGGGTGAAGCCACTAGGACTACACAGTTTATCTTTTTGTTGTTGTTGTTAACAACTTTGTGTATTCATTTTATTATATACCTACATTTACAAAATTGTAACAATGTGGCATATTGTCTTATGTAATTGCATGACAAGAATATTTCCAGATCCTTAGTATTGTTTTAATGGCTACATTTGTATAGACATTGCCATGATTTATTTAACCACTCTACTACTGGCAAGATACTTATGTGTTTTCTAATTTTTGATATAAGAAGAAGCATATAATAAAATATCTCATTATAATTAATTATGCACATTTATGACTATTTCTCATGAATTAAGTTCATAGGAATAGAAGTAATGGCGCAGTGCATAAACTCACTCTCTCTCTCTCATGGTAGCAATGCTTAGAATCCAAAGTGCATGTTCCTTTCATCCCGGAAATTTACACAGTCTGTCTTTTATAACAGTGAGCCTCAACCTTAGCTAATACTTGAAGTTAGCATTACTATCCTCATTTACACAGGAGGAGACAGTGACTGAGAGATCAAACAACTGAACTTACTGTCAATATGCTAGAACTGAATTCAATACCAGACCTCTCATTCCAAGTCCTGTGACTTTTCTAAAACAATGTTTTCCCTCTTCTAAAGTTTCTGATTTCTACAAGAATACTACATATGCTTTGCAGATCATTTGCAGGCTTTTCTTGAAAGAGAAATATTTTTCAAGCTCTTTCCAGAATCATATACAGAGATAAGGGAAGAGTCAATGAATTATTATCTTGGCAACAGCTAACGAAAAGATTAAATTCTTTCCTCGTTTTAATCAAATCAATTTGAAAAGGAATGCAACCCTTAATCCCAGGATTTATAACTATAACTTTTGTTCATGGAGTAAGCTTTGGGGGTAAATTCACTTCATTTTCCAGTGAACTTTATTTCCATATTTTATCATTTACCATGGAAAAAGAAAGATGAACAGACTATTGAATCTGTTGTTTAGGCCACCCAGTTTGTAGCACTTTGTTATGGCAGCCCCAGCAAACTAATCCAGATAGTTCTGCTAGGGATATGCAGAGAGGATGAGGCAGAAAAGAGGAACACTGGGATCAGTTAGGGGCTTATTATGGACCCCAGTATAAGGCAATGGCTGCCCACCATAGCTAGAGGCGGAGGAAATGCTAAGAAAATCACCAAAAGAATTGTTATGGCTACTAAGAAGGAACAATAGCTCTTGGTGTTTAATTAAATATGTCAAGTTAGGGGAAAAGAGGAGAAAAACTAATAACAAGATTTCAATTATAGGTGACATAGAAGATGGCAGCACCATTAACCAAGAGGCAAAAATTAGTATGATGAGAGTTTTTAGCAAAAGAATATTTGATTTTTGTGAAAATCTTCTCTGCCATTGCAATTGATGTGTTCCAAAGAATATTTGCATAGTCATTTTAAAAGTGTTTTCAATAAAGAGAAAGGTGGTTTAGGGGCTAGAGTTTCAGGCCCAAAACTGTAAAGTCTTTCTCATGAAGAAATTTTAATAACTTGTTTTGGTGGTAAGTATATAGCTGAGAAATCTATATATCACTAAACAAATTCTACCCTAGACCACATCCAGTTCTGGATTAAGAGTAATCACCTGTCTGGGAGGGTCGCTTTAGCCTGGGAGGTTGAGGCTACAGTGAGCCATAATCGCACCACTGCACTCCAGCCTGGGTTACAGAATAAGACTCTGTCCTAAAAATAAAAATAAAAAGAGTAATCACCTGTCTTTCTTACAGGAACCAGCAACTATCATTAACATAATTATTACATATTCTTATCGTATCATCTGTTTTAATAATAGGGCACAGAACAACTTACACAAAGCAATCATATTTGCTTATAATAGCTTTTTACTTGTGCTAATAGGTACTGGTTCCCAATCATAATTGTTTCATACAAATCATGTCTAATTAATATAATAGATTATATTATAACAATTTGAGTTTTGAAAATTTCTTTGAATATTAGCCAGGCACAGTGGCTCATGCTTGTAATCCCAGCACTTTGGGAGGCTAAGGTGGGCAGATCACCTGAGGTCAGTTCGAGACCAGCCTGGCCAACATGGTGAAAACCTGTCTCTACTAAAAATATACTCACAAGAAAAATTAGCTGGGTGTGGTGGCGGGTGCCTGTAATCTCAGCTACTTGGGAGGCTGAGGGGGGAGAATTGCTTGAACCCAGGTGGCGGAGGTTGCAGTGAGCCAAGATCACGCCACTGCACTCCAGCCTGGGCAACAGAGTGAGACTCCATCTCAAAAAAAAAAAAAAAAAGAAAATGTCTTTGAGTATTACTCTAGGCATCTCTCTGAACATGCCCATCAGGCAGTTAAACATAGGAAAGCACAGTTTACAAAAGAGATTGCAGCGAGAGATCCTAATAAGTAAAGCTTTCAGACTTATAAAGGCAAACACAAAGTCTTTCAAATAGGAAGCCATTTACAAACTCGTAAGCACAGGTAGGAGTTTTCAGAAAATCTAAAAAGACCAAGCCTAGGTCTTTAACAAGGTTAAAGTCGAAGATCAGAGCCCACCTTTATCTATCTACATGGATAGCTTTAAAGGGACTGTTCCGGCCTGTGTCCCAATGTGTCGAGTATTCATTCCTGCTATTTGACCAAATCTCAATACCTTCCTTTGAGTCTTACAAGCTTTAGATCTCTCAGATTTAAAGTCAGATATTCCAAAGGTAGGTTATACTTTCAGCTTTCAACATAGTTTCATTATAAGCAAGCAACATATAAGTAAAAGGATAGAATATCCATCCATCCTTCACTGATAACTTGCATGATGTAGCATCTTGGTAAGCCTTTATATGCATTGGAGGAGAAAAGTAAGGCATTTGGAAGTAAAATGTGAAGCCCTAAGGGGAGCAAAGCATATAGGAGAAGATATTGAAGAATCAGTGAGTTTGTCCTTCACAACCCAACTATGAGCTTCAGGAGAGCAGGAATAGTAATGGCTTTGTTTTCCACTGCATAACCAGCACCTCGCATAGAAAGTTGAAACATTAGAGGTATTCTTTATTTATTTATTTATTTATTTTATTTTATTTATTTATTTTTTTTTTTGAGACAGACTCTCGCTCTGTCGCCAGGCTGGAGTGCAGTGGCGCAATCTCGGCTCACTACAACCTCCGCCTCCAGGTTCAAGCAATTCTCCCGCCTCAACCTCTCGAGTAGCTGGGACTACAGGCAAGCACCACCACGCCTGGCTAATTTTTTTGTATTTTTAGTAGAGACGGGGTTTCACTATGTTGGCCAGGATGGTCTCGATCTCCTGATTTCGTGATCCACCTGCCTTGGCCTCCCAAAGTGCTGGGATAACAGGAACATTAGAGGTATTCTAATGTTTGTTGACAGAAAGTCAGAAGGGAGAGAGGGAGGAAAGGAGATGAAGAGGGAAAAGAGCAAAAGGAGATGGTGAGGGAAGGTGGCAGGAAGGGAAGAAGGGAGGGAGGAAATGAAGGGAGAAAAAGAGGGAGAAATTTGATTTTGAGCTGGGACATTGAGATAATGTCCCGAAGACAATGGCCAAGAGATTTCAGTCTGGAATGGAGAAAAGTTCTGGAAATAGTGACATGATATTGTGAATTTACTTAATGCCACTGAATTGTACACTTGAAAATACTTAAAATGACAACTTTTATGCTACATATATATTTTACCATGATAAAAAAAATTTTAATTAGATTTAAGTTGTTATCATCACTAGAGTATAAATGTTCTCTGTGTCCTCAAACTTTCTATAAAGTGTTAGAAACACAAATGCCTTGTGTAAGTGGATCTTAGTGAAAATCATGGAAAGGAAGTGTAAATATCTGAATCACGGTAGTCTAAACAGAAGCCAACCATAACATAGGAAGAAAATTCATGAAATGAACTAATTCTTCTCAAGTAGAAGCTCAGAGCCCAAGAAGGTAAGAAAAAAGTTAGACATCTTTCCCCAACCTGTCTACTCTCAGATTCCTCGGAGATGTTGGGAGCAGCCAAGACTTCCACCAAACAGCAAAAGGAGATAAGAGAGCTATTTTTGTTTCAATGTTAAATGACAGGATGGCTCAGCTGATACTTGGGTTACATGTGTATTATCTCAATTTACTCCTGAAAACAAAGGTGTAAGATGCTACCATTATCTCCGGTTCACACACAAATGAGCTAACTAAGGCTCAGAAACGTCGACAAACCTGCATCCAAGTGGCAGAACCAGGAAAAGTTACGCTCCTTCCCTGGAGCTATGAGATATTGGATACAAATTGCATTTCTAGGCTGTAAATGAAGAGAAAGAAATCATCACTGCCCTGTCTTTTAAAGGACTGTTCTCAAAAACAAACTTTGAAACTTTACAATTTATTATGTAATAAGGCAAAGAATGGAGAGAACTTCCAAAGTTCAAGTACAAATAGAATAGCTCTAATAGCAAAGAAGATGATTCCCAAAACAGAAATGAAGGCAAGAAAATAGCTTTGCAAGACAGCTACCACAGCCTTAAATGTTCACATTGTCACAATAAATAGCCCAGGCAAAAGCTTGCTCATATCTAACCATAAAGGCTATGTTCTTATATATTATTAATATAGAAATGTTATCTATTAGAGCCAAGTAACCATCTAAATAAAAAGATAAAGAAGGTACCTCTGTCTTTATATTTTTTATTGAAATCTAGAAAGCTGAAAGTTAAAAAAAATTAATCTGTCATCTTCTTAAAAAGTGGGAATTTTCCAAATTATATGTGAAGTGACTAAAATAAACAACAAATGAGAATCATGTAATAACAGTTTTGAAAGGGCAATGTAGAGTTCCCCTAGTGATTTCTATTTTAAAATAAATCAGAGCATTTCCAAAAGCCAGAGTGCTTATTTTAAAAAGAGAGGGCATGAAACTAATATAGACTAAAAACCATGTCTTGCTTTGTTGAGATATTACCATGAGCCATGCATACTAACATAATCCAATTAGGGGAATCCTAAGAGTAGAGCCATCAATGGGAAAAATTAAAAATATTGCATCTATATGGAAATAATCTATATATTTCACCTCTGAAAAACCATCAGAGAAATAAGAAATCCATTTTGCACTGACAACACAGAGTGAGATCAAATTCTCCACAAGACACCAGCATTTCTGTTATGAAAAAAGACACCCATTGTTGATGGCATGTGTACCTCATATGTCTCCATTTTGTGTAAAAATCATCTGCTTTTGTATCTCCTTGAGCAACTCTGAAAAGAAAATCAAGATGTTTTTCTGGACAGAACAAATGAGAAGGGCAAAAGCAAACCAGTTGGTAGCCAGTCTTCACTTCCTTAAAAAAAAAAAAAATGGCAAAAGGACTTAGCATGTCAACCTCCACCTATCCAGATGGTTTGATTTATTTAGTACACGAGTTCCAGGGAAGAACGAGCAAGAAGTATGACTAAGTATTAATATAAGCCAACAGGTTTTTAAGCTTCTTTTTAAGTCTCTCCTGCCCAGATTTACTAAAACACAGAGCTTTAATTTTCTCAGGGCTCTGACTCGAACAGTCAATTGGTATCCCTCGTTGGCAGATTCTACTAATCCACTACCATGAGTGAGGTGGGTATAAAGCTAGAGCCACTCTTTTGATGTGATTAATTTCAGGGCCTGAAAAGTGCCTTCTCTTTCTTTCTCCTTCTCCTTCCATCCCGATTGATCATGGAGGAATCTTTTCCAAAGGTTTCTACTGTGATCCTCTAACTAAATAAGACTCAGCACTTCTCAGTGATCCCACTGCTCCCTTCCCTGCACATCTTTCTGAAATACCTGGTTTTCTGGGTAACTTTTCTTTTTCCTAAATGTAAGTTATTCCATGTGCCCCTAGAAATGGAAGGAGACGTAGAAGACAAGTTACTCCTAGAAATCTCATAGCCCTGGCCTGTAATCCCAGCACTTTAGGAGGCCGAGGCGGCAGATCACCTGAGCTCAGGAGTTCAAAACCAGCCTGGCCAACGTGGTGAAACCTGTCTCTACTAAAACTACAAAAATTAGCCGGGCGTAGTGGTGAACGTCTGTAATCCCAGCTACTCTGGAGGCTGAGGCAGGAGAATCACTTGAACCCAGTAGGCAGAGTTTACAGTGAGCCAAGATCGTGCCACTGCACTCCAGCCTGGGCGACAGAGTGAGACTCCATCTCAAAAAAAAGAAAAAAAAGAAAAAGAAAAAGAAAGAAAGAAAAGAAAAGAAAAATCATAGCCCTTACTTCACCGCACAGCTGAAGACTCTCTCTGAACAAGTAAAATATAAGATAATCCTTGGTTTGGTCACAGGGCATAATGATTAAGCCCATATTCTAGGCTCAGGAAAAAAAAAATCAGACCCTGATCAGCAAAGACTCTTGCAAACAAGGAGCTCTGTTGAGAAAACTAAATACCACCTGTTCTCACTAATAAGTAGGAGCTAAACATTAGGTACACGTGGACATAAAGATAAAAACAATAGACACTGGCAACTGGAAGAGCGGGGAGTGAGGAAGAGGAAAAGGGTTGGAAAACTACCTATTGGGTACTATGTTCAATACCTGACAGATGGGTTCAATCATACCCCAAACCTCAGCATCACACAGTATACCCCTGTAGCAAACCTGCACATGTACCCCGCAAAAACTAAATTAAAAGTTGAAATGTTTAAAAAAGAATTCTGCTGAGACATACATTTGCAATGCCAACTAATGCAGGTTTATTGAGAAATACATGGTGAGACAAGCTCTGTTTTTGTGAGACACAAAAGCAGAGGCCAGGAGATACAGCAGCAAGGTGAAAACATGTCAAAAGCATCAGAGACTGGGGTGTGGATGGTAAAGCTTCTGGACACATCCAGAGGCATACACAGCACCAGTGAGCAACCCTTAAAACAAGCTTAGGGCTGGCCAGAAAAATTTTAGAGTGCTAAAGACAGCGTGTGCATGGATAGTAGCCAGCAGTCAGGCGGTCACAAGAAGGGTCAGCTATGAAGAGCTATTCAGGGACAAGCAGCATGCTGGAAGATCCTGGAAACAGCTGGCAGGTCGTGGAGTCTTGATTCGCTCACTGGCTCCTACACACTTAGCAGGTTCTTCGGCAGCTGGACACGCAGGACTGCTGATACGTCCTGGAGACCCCACAGGCTGGCTGGCAGACAGTAGAGACTCCTCCCACTGGTTGGCAGACAGTAGAGATGCCGCCCACTGGTTGGCAGACACTGGAGATGCCTCCCAGGGGCTGACATCCACTAGAGACAAAGGTGAGCGGCCGGCTGTAGGTAGTTGAGCAGGGGTTGGAAATACAGGTAGTTTGTCGAGAGCAAGTCACCTGGCAAGGGTTGGAGACACATGAAGTTCGCCGGTAACAGGTTGGCTGGCAAGCAGTGGGCTCACAGCAGGTCTCTTGACAGTGGTCCAGGAGCCAAGAGCCAGTCTGGAAGGAACTGGGCAAACAGATGCCGCCCAGGCAGTCAGCATCAGTGGTGGAAGTCGTGGTAACTTGGGCCACTGGAACAATGCAGCGTCCTCCAATGGGCCTGGAAGAGCAATTTCTTGTGGAGCAGTTGAAGGACATGATGTCAGACAGAGGGCTGCAGGTAGCTTGCTGAAGTTACCTCCTGAGTTGTGAATGTCACTCCAGACTCCTGAGCTTTTATATATCCTTGCTGGTGGGTGGGGCTCTCTCCCTGGTCTCCGTGGCTTCTTTGGCTCAGACCAGTTTGCCTTAGAACATCTTGTGAATCTACACATTAATTGTCTCTTAAGAAGCCTTCACCCTCATAAAGAAAGTTTAGTAGTTTGGTAACTAAATCACAAGTCTTCTGTACTGTACTTAGTCTGATTAAGAAGGCTGGTTGGCAGCTTCAAAGCTATTGGTCATCCCAGCCCACACGTTGTCCCTCATTCATCTTGCTTATGATGAGTGTTGACCTGACACTCATCCTACCAAAGATGCCACCATCCTACCATCACACACTCTCTCCCTCCCTACCAGGACCAATTACAAGCCCATGCCCTGTTTCATTTGTCACTGGACTTAATATCTTTTAAACATAACTTAATCAGTCACTCTACCACACCTAACGGAGCTCCTCATTGGGAAGGTGCCTCCTTGAATATGTTTCAAGACAACAGTGACAACACTTGACAGGAACAAAGGGCACAGAGACTTGTATCCAAAGTCTGAGCTGGCTCTCAAAATTAATCAACTGACTCAAACAAGATGCCCGTGGGAAGGCTAGAGGGCAGTGGGACCCACCCTTTATGTTCAACCAACAAAGCAAATTAGAAGCTAACTAAGTGCAACTGTATTTGTAGCCAAGACCTTTTCTAAGTAAATTGGATGAGCTTTATTCCTAAAATGTTTAATTTAATAACAGTGGATAATAGTGACTCCTGGGTCTCATTAATATGCCAGTGGAAAAGGCTTAGTTAATTTTTAAAATTATCATAATGTTAATTTGAAAGGGTACAGTGTCTTTCTCCCAATTTGTTCAATATGTTCAAAAGATATTTATTTTCACACATATAGATAGAATGCATTTTAATTATGGACAAACTAAAGGCTCTTCAAGGTCATTGTCTCCATCAGGGATAAGGGGGAGGCAGAGCTGGGGGAAGCAGGCACTTAATCAATGTTTGGTAATGAAGAGATGTGTGAAGAGTGTGCTATATTTAATTATTCTTTTTATGCTTGGGGAAGCTATAGGGATATCACTCTATTTTATTTCATCTCACTACAATATAATGAATTTTAAACACCAGAATGATGGCTCGTTTGGGTCCACCTGAACATAGATGAATAAACTGCCTCAACTCTGGCAAAATAAGCAACTTCAACATCGCTTCAAGTGGTCAGTGGTATTTCTGTCCCAAAACAGCTGTAGCATCTGACTCATTTTTAAACTAGCTTACATGAGGGAGCGTAAGGGAATAAAATGGATTTCCATGTATTTGAGGGCTACAGGTAAGCTATGTTTTAAATATCCACAAAGCAAACAGCGTTATGTCAGGACTCATCAGAAATCCCTAATTGGAAACTAACGACACACCCAAAGAAGAGGGTGCTGTGAGCAATAGCATGATTCCCAGATATCAGACCTCAATGTCCTGACCCTCCCTCAGTGACTCACCATGTGTTCCCAGGAACGGGGTGAAATTAATGAGATGACTACTTTCCACAATGTTGTGGCTATGCTCTTCCCACCACAGAGGGTATCTTAGTTGGTGTTTGAAGGCCTGAGTCCTTGGCCCTAGGGCCTGGCTTGCATGTTGTAAAATGGATTACTAGTTTACAGGCTTCTCCCAGCCACAGGTTCACAGGCTACTATGGAAGAGTACTTAACTGTGGCAATTCCCAAAATCTGAAGTGAGTAGTAGAGTTACAAAGGAGAACGTTTCAGTGCCTACTGCCACATTCCTGGAATGACAGACAATTGTATAAGTTATTACCTTGTCTTGATGTGTCTCTCCCATTGAAAGCTGGAAATTACAGATAAAAGGATCCTAGAAAATATCTTCCATCACTTCAGGAAAAAAGAAAATGAGTGTCTTTTAAGCACACAACTCTCTTCCAGGCATTGAGTTAAAGGTTTGTACAACTCAGCCGGGCACGGTGGCTCACGCCTGTAATCCTAGCACTTTGGGAGGCAAAGGCAGGCAGATCACGAGGTCAGGAGATCGAGATCATCCTGGCTAACATGGTGAAACCCCGTCTCTACTAAAAATACAAAAAATTAGCCAGGCGAGGTGGTGGGCGCCTGTAGTCCCAGCTACTCGGGAGGCTAAGGCAGAAGAATGGCATGAACCCGGGGGCGGAGCTTGCAGTGAGCCAAGATCGAGCCACTGCACTCCAGGCTGGGTGACAGAGAGAGACTCCGTCTCAAAAAAATAAATAAAATTTAAAAAAATAAAGGTTTGTACAACTCATCTCACTGAGTTCTTACAACAACTCTGTGGAGTAGGTATCATGTCACATACTGGAGCTGAAGTTCAGGGACCCTGGGTGGCTCGCCAAGGTCATGCAGTTTATATTTGACTAAGTTGAGATTCAACTAAAACAGAGTCTCTGAACTACCAACTCACACTGAGGATATTTAAATGTGATGAGATGCCTTCCTTCAAGTGTGAACAAGAATTTGTTATTTTTAATCAATCAATCAATACTTCATTGATGACATTATAAAGGATATAATCATTTCTCTTCTAGGTTCATCAATTGATTAACAATGGAAATAAATAAAATAGTAAGTCACAAGCACTGCTGTCCTACTTCGTATGTTTTGTTCATTCTGTATCCAATTTAACAATTTTTAATCCTTAGAATAAGACACAAGGTCACTACAAACAAAGCAAAAAAGAATAGAGAAACATTAATAGCTTGAAGCTATAGTTTGAAATTATAATTATGTATAATAGCTGTGCACACAACAAATTTTCAGAGCGTAGCAGATAAGTGAATTGATTTTTCAGTCTTATCCATTTTCCAGAGTCTGCCATTTTTCAGGTGCTAAATAGAGGGAAAATGTTGAGTAGATCCCTTAGATTAATTATTAAAAGAAACTTCAGCTTACATTGTGACTACAAGCAGATTATTTCTGAAGTCTTATATTAAAATGATTTCAGAGTTTGTGAATAACATTTCTCATAAAGGTCTTGCCAACGTGAAAAATCGATACACTTCTCTGCTATTCTCTGAAAATACACCATGCCACACAGAGGTAGGCAAGCTACTTGATACTCTCATGCATTTTATTGTCACATGCAAGCACTTTGACTCTTTATCTGCATTCACTGTATGTTGCAAAAGTAAAGAAACATGTACTGACAGTCACATAAGCTTGATGAAACTCTACACAATTTTAATTTGACAATGTTGTTCAATGAAATTAATAAATCATCCTTTCCTTGGAATGTAAGAAAAAATTACACGGCCAATTGCTGTCACTATGTAGTTAGGCACAACCTCAAACTTCAACTCAGCAAAAAGTCTTGTGAAGATTATTATTCTCATGTCTGCAGAGCGTGAAGTGAGGGGATGGGTAATAGGAGCAGATGAGGAGAGATCGAGGAACTACTACCCATTATCTTCATCACTGATGGATAATTTGCTCTCATTTGTATAGAACAATCTAAGCCTTATACAATAATTATCACAGGCTGGAAATGAGCAATTCTTTCACTCAAAACTGAATCACAGCAATCATTTACAAGGCCAAGCATTTGAGAGTAAAATGAGCTAAGCATGTGAGGGAGGCTGGAGGTTTGATAGGCAGAAAGGATATTTTTCATCACAAATTTGATAATAATGTTGACCAACGCCAGTTCAGAGAAAACCACTTAGCCTCATCGAATGGAGGAATAGTGAACTTGTGGAAAAATTAATATATATGAAATGAAATGCTGTCATTCTGCACTTTTTCAGAATGATCACCCTCTCAAATTGAAGCTATTCATTGTCTCTTAAGAAATATAAAAAGGAAATTCAGAAGCTTAAGTGTAGAACTTAATGGTTGTTTTAAAAATTAAATACATCTTGGCTGAGTTGTTCTGCTTTCTTTCCAACTTCCCACGGACCTCTGGGTTGAATCTCCAGAATCTTTATTAACCAAGACATTATAAAGCCCTGGAGGCTCAGTGATTTGCACCACAAAATGGAACTGAAATTCATTTTCCAATCTCTTTTCAAAAAGCATCAATCATAAGAAGGGTTGAATAATTTGGGCTGGAAGGAACTCTAGGGCAGAAAGCAGAAGGTGAAAGAAACAAGCAAAGACCAGCAAAATAGTTGCTGCTTTTTGAACCCGAAAATAGCAATCACCAGCTACATGACTTGTGTAAAAATAAACCCTCAGAGGACAGTGTCAAGGTTGAAAAATTCTAAATTGAACCATTCTCTCTGTTGATGCCTGTTTTCAGATTCATGTGGTTTTTCATGTGTGTCTTCAATGGAGATCAAAATCAGGGTGCTGTCAAGAAAGGTGAGTAGAATCCCAAGTGTTTTTCAGCACAACTAACTCCCATGTGGCAAAGCCCATGTGTCGTTGGCATGGGCTCCAGTCCTGGCCTTCCAAATAAAGAGAGGGAGACCCATTTGTAACCAGACATGAGTAATGTTTATGTACAGGGCCTAAGAGAGAAGGCACCGAGTCTCCCAAGATGTATCATCCTTCCCTGATCCAGAATTGTTCAGGGCCTACTAGGTACTCTGTGGGGTAAGGATACTGGAATCTATGTAGGAGACAGGTAAAGTGGATAGGTCTTCTCTTAACATGACTTAATTGACCTGTGCTTATGCCCTTTCAACATAGTTCTTCTTGGTCTGATCTGCCTGTCTGGGGGATTAGGAGTGTAACATTAGGCCAGCACTATCTCAGGTTGGTAATTAGACTTCCAGTGCTGCATTTTAAATTCTTCTCATACAATTCTCTTATCTGATTGATGAGAAGCCAAGTCCGAAACAGGGAGCATCTTTGCCAAGCACATCGAACATTCTTGTGCACTACTTCGAAACTGTCTCACTTCATTTCTTACTGTAGCCTCTTTGCACACACTTAAGCCAGTTTCATGATGGTGCAGTCCCAAAGTGCTTCCTTCACTTTGAGGCAACTCACGTGCTCCTTGCTTCCTGCTAGGTCTTCTCTGATGCCATGGCAAGGAAAGTCCATGTTAATTTTCTCTGCACTCACATATGTACCACCCAGAAGTGGGGTCAAGTGTAGGCAACAGAGAATGCAAACCAAAGGATGAAAACTCCCCACTTTTGTCCTCCAGGTAGATAATACTTGATATGGTTTTGTCATGTCTCCACCCAAATCTCATCTTCAATTGTAGCTCCTGTAATTCCCATGTGTTGTGGGAGACACCCAATAGGAGATAATTGAATCATGGAGGCGGCTTCCCCTATACTGTTCTCATGGTAGTGAATAAGTCTCACAATATCTGATGGTTTTACAAAGGGAAACCCCTTTTGCTTGGTTCTCATTCTCTCTTGTCTGCCGCCATGTAAGATGTGCTTTTGCCTTCCACCATGATTGTGAGGCCTCCACAGCCACGTGGAACTGTGAGTCCATTAAACATTTTTTTCTTTATAAATTGCTCCATCTCAGGTATGTATTTATCAGCAGCCTGAAAACGGACTAATACAGTACTGAAACTCACTTCAGGAAGTCCCATGGGATCACGCACAAGTTGCTTGCAATGGTGGCTGACTTGATAACACTTTCTTGTGGTTGCTTTCCCTACTCTTCTATTTCACTACCCTTGCACTGCAATCCCTGGAATAAAACACCAAAACTGTCTCAAGCTTTGCTTTTCAGGGAACTTGGGTTGAGACACCCAGATTCCAAATATTTGCTATTTGAAAGAATTAGAAATAATAACCAGGCCTTCTAATTCCCAGCTTAGGCCCCTAAGGGTACATGCATGCCTCTGTCCATGCAATCCCAAGAAAAACTTGTACACAAGCTGAGCATCCAGCAAGTGACATTTGGGTGTTTAAAGCCATTTCTGCAATGGCCAAATCAGTAACTACAAAAGTCTTGAAGTGCAGCTAGATTCTTGGTAGATTGTCACATGTATTCCTAGTAATGTGGATCTACTATGCTGGTTCCTTAACATAGGCCAGTCCCTAAGAGTAACATCCAAAACATCAAAAGTTTGGCAAATATTATTGTCAGTTTCGTGTCACTGTTGTTTTCCAAAACGAAAAGATGCTTTTTAACAAAGTAAGACATGCACCTACTGTGAAATGGGAGAAAATTTTAGGTAGTAAATGGACAACTCCTTTATAGTTTTAATTAGTCATCCATTTATTTTTAAATGTATTAATAAAATAGGGCTAGGTTATCCAAGCCATAATTTTGAGGATATTACATAAAATGAAGCTTAAGCAAGTTTTTTTAAAGTGAGTTACTATAAATAAACATAAAAGTTAATATAATATAAAAGTTAAACTAAAATAATATTTGCAATGGTGAAGATATGAAAATAATGACAAAAATTATCAAGATAAAAATCACAGCAGTGTGTTTAATAAATATTTAAATGATTTAATACAATGGTTTCATAGATACTGAATAAGTAGTTTAGTTTTTTAATTTTTCAAAATTCACTTTATTTTAGAGAATATGATCATTTAACAATCCCCATTCACAACATTCGCGCGCACACACACACACACACACACACACTCCAAGTACCCTGCTCCCTCTTCTGTTTATCAATTACTTTGTAACAAATCACCCCAAAACTTAGTAGCATAAAACAGCCATTTATGATGTCCATGGCTTCTGTGGCTTGGGAATTTACACAAAGTGCAGCAGGGCAGTTCCTCTCTGCTCCAGATGGATGGGGAGCCTGCGATTGTCTGAAGTTTCATTTCTTCACATTTATGGCAGCTGACACTTGCCACTGTGGGAATACCTATGTATGGCCTCTTTATGGGCCAGGATTTCTCCAACACTGAGGCTGGTTCCAAGAGTGAGAACCTCAAGAGGGTATATATTAATATATTAATATATGCTTATATGATAAATATGTAAGTATATGATATATATCATATATAAGATACATATATATCATATATATGATAAATATATATCATATGCTTATATGATATATAAATATATTAATATAATTAACATGTAGTATTGTGTTAATATATTTATATATAATCTATATATTAATAGAATATCTTTATAATCAATATATAAATATATATTTATATATAAGTATATATTAATATATCACTTTTTCTGACCTAGGAAGTCATTGAACATCAATTTTGCTATACCCTAGATAACAAGGCATCCCAAAAGCCCATCCAGATACCAAGGGGAGGTAAAATGGACTCTACTTCTTGATGGGAAGTGGGAAAGTTCTGGAAGAGGACAAGAGGCTGAAAATATTGTTTTGGCCATGAAAATAAACTACTATCATTCTCCAAATTGCCAGCACACCAGGACTGGGAATCCCTGAGATGGGCTTAGGTGATGCTCATAAAAATTGAAATTTTATGTCTCACATCATTGGAAATGTTCAGAGTAGAGAGACAGCTCTTTATCAAGGAACACTGTGATGCGGATTCTTACAGGAATTAGAGAGACCAATGGATGCCTTCAACATCCTAAGGCCCATGTGCTTGATGCAGTGAATCAGGCTAATGACCAGCACCCTCGGTGCTTTCAAGGAGCTTCAGCCACTCCAGAGTCTTCATTTATTCTGGCTTGATTTCTTAATTAAACACTTGGCAGCTCCACAGCCTGTGGAGAACATGTGTATTCAGGGTTTTCCATATCAGATGAAGAGGTCAGGCACATGGAAGCTCTTGGGGACTCTACTGCAGACTATGGGAACTTCACCAGTCTTGACGGGTCAGCTTTTTGAAGATGACACAGTCTTATAGTCTTATATCATAAATGAAATTGTTTTGCAGTTAGTGGTGGATTGAAGACCATGAAGATGGAATTAACAACGGAAAAATAAAATACCAGTAGCAATGCTGAGAACACTGAATTGTTCCCAACTCAGCCTTCCATTTTCTGTATCCATTGTATATTCTAAGGTGGTTTCCTCAGGACGTCTCTGACTGATACTGAATTCCCATTATTTAGGGTGAAGATCAAACTGGATGCAAACATCTTTTGTGTTTTAAGACAATGTGTCTTTCCCTGCATGCTCCTGAGCCACAGGTAAAGAAGGTCACAGCCCAGGAAAAGGGTCAGTCATCTTAGACTGATCGTAAAGCATTGCTCAGTCCTTGCTTTTCTGATCACGGTTATCATCGATACTGAACTATGAAGTGAACCTGAAGCCAGCAGTTGCTTTAGCTAAAAGGCAAAAGAACTAAAGGTTGATAAAACGACCCTTCAGGAAACTAATCAACTGAGACTGATAACCAATCTCATCTTTCACATCACTTCTTAACTTCAGTATCCTTTTTTCCCTACTTATATCAACGCAGCCACCAACTCTTCTTTCCTTCCCAAGAAAGACATAGTATAAATTCCACAGTAACTTTTGGTTCCTACAAAAATATCTAATGTAAAAAAATATTAAGCTCAAGAAAGAAAACTAAAAAATAACTAGGAAGAACTAAAAGGAATGACTAATTTACAGTATGAAGAATTATATTATATATTATATAAGGGTAATGGTAATCCCCAGAATTTTGAGTAGTAATTCAGAAGACAAGCATGGTAATAAAAATTAATAAGAATCAATATAAAAAGAAAGCAATAAAGTGAATGAAATGTGGTGGGCATATTCGAAATAATCAACTTTTGAAGAGATGACTTCCAAATGGATTGTTTGCAAACCAGATTGTTTTCCACACCTCAACACCCACGCAGAAGCACAATTTTTGTTAGAGAACCTGTTGTCCAACTAATGAAAACACATAAAGGGTAATGTTATCTTTGCCTACAGGTAGAGGGCTGCAGGGCATCCAATCGGCCCCACAAATGCTCTTACTCTTCACTAGGCAAATTTATCTTTTTCAGACACGACAGACACGCCATTCAGATCATCCAATCCTTGAAATAGACTTTTCAATAGAATTCTGATATTAACTTGGTTTTTCAATTGTCCTTACCTACTAGAAATAAAACACCCTCAGTACTTAGCATAAGTATGCCAATCCGATTTCAATGTGAGTTACAGTTGCACCCCGGCTTGTACATCGGTCTCTTTAAAATTTGGCTAGCTTCACTTAGTCCTCCAGAACCTGCTAACCCTGGGTGAACTGACAAAATTAAAAGCCTCAGCAGCCAATTGAAGGAACAGACCCTGATCCTGTTGTCACTGCACACCTCCAATTAAAATGTAGACACCAGCTTCAGTCTGGACAGCTGACTCATCTCTCTCAATGACCAAACCATTTTATCTGCTACAGATAAGAGGTACACATTTCACTAAAAGACCATTTTCTCATATTATCTAATGAAATCCTCCTTCTCCAAGTACTTTTAGCAAATAGAATTCTCTTTTAAGTTGAATGATTTCAGTATAACAGAGGTTGAACTGACTAAATGACCTCTATGAAAAGTGGCTTCTGGTTTTCTGACATGCCCCTTGAATTTGATGCCTTAAGAAGAATGAGGAATGCATAAATGAAGATAAACGGAGAGCCATCAGAAAAGCTGTTTTGTAATGAGCAATAGTTGTTCTGATAAATTTTAAAAATTGAGCCTTAGCTTACATGCATCTAAAATTGCAGTGTATTTTTTTTCTGGCAACTCATCATGGCAAATAATTTGGTATATTGACCTTTGAATTTAGCATTTAAGTTTGCACATTATTGCATACCCAAATAGTACATTGTGTCCATTGAAATTACTTCTTGCATATCCCACTGCACTTTCTACTATTGCATATTTTAAATATCTTCCTCTTTAGTTATATATATTACATATTAGAAGCCATAAAACAGTATCCTAGCAGTAGTCCCACAAACCTTCATTTATATACAAACTTAAAAGCTAAGGCAAAATTTAAAATTTATCAGAACAATTATTGCTTGTTACAAAACAGCTCTTCCAATGGCTCTTCATTTATCTTCCTCATTTATGAATTCCTTATCCTTCTTAAGGCGTCAAATTAAAGGAGTACGTCAAAAGTTCTACAAGTTCCTTCCCCAACTTTCCCATTGACTCATTGCATGACCTGAGGCTCCTCATTGAGACTCCATGGGTCTATTTCATGATCATCTGTAAAACAGGGATAATGGGATCTGCCTCACCAGGGAGCTGCAAGAACTGAGTTATGGTTTGCAAAAGGCTTTGTGATTCACACATAAAAGGCACTACAAGAAAGCAAACTGTCATTGAGCATTACAAACAGTTTTCATCCCAATTATTTTAAAGTCAGAAAAGATTAATATTCTAAGCTTCCAAAAGATATTAAAGCAGCATGATGTTATATAGAATTTCCAAATCTAAGGCAGGCAATTGCTGATTCAAGTTGCTTTTTTTTTTCTAGGAACCAGAGACGTCATTCACAGATAAATGCAGGTAAAGGTAAAACTGAGGGAGATGTGAGGTACATACTTGGCTCTGAGATCTGGCAATAAGAGAGTTTCTCTGCTTTCAAGTTACCCATTGGAATCGAGCCCAAGAGAAATATAAATGAAATATCTTCCCAGTCTTCAGCCACTTACCCAAATCTGGTTTTGACCTAACTCTTCTTAAAGTTATAGCAATAATTTTCATGTATTAGGGATAAGTTAAGAGTTAACCTTATTAGGTTTTTTCTTACTACAGGACACTAAAAAATTAAATTGTAAATTGTACAAAGTGATGGCGAGACATCTATGCTGCACTTTAAATTTTCTACGAATAGCATAAGAGAAGGCTCCTAAGGCATTGAGTAGTCCCCACCTCCTTATTCTAAGGGATAGCTTCCAAGATCCCCAGTGGATGTCTGAAATCATGGATAGTGATCCTACATATACTGTTTTTTCCTGTATATACACACTTATGATAAAGTTTAATTTATAAATTAGGCATAGTATGTGATTAACAACAACAATAATAAAATAGAACCATTATAACAATATACTGTAATAAAAGTTATATGAATGTCTCTCTCTCTCTCTCTCAAAATATCTTGTACTGTCCTGAGGGTAACTAAAACCACAGAAAGGGAAACCATGAAAAAGGGGAGACAACTGTATTCATAGCTTGTAAAGTTATAATATTTGATATTAATAATCACATTTAGCTGCATTGTACTTATTTTCACCTTTAAATTACAACCGCACAGGGAAGGAGTAAATTTTCTCCTATTATCATTTGTTGTATTTCTGTATTAAAAGCCTCTTGGGCACTCTTGGCACTGAAAATATCATAATAATAATTTAAAAGATTAACATTCACCCTCTTCCAATTAAGAGAGTGCCATAGCTGCAGTGATACAAAGGTGAATGCCAATGTCTTGGCTATAATATAAATAATGGGACTAGAAATTAGCAATACATAAAGAATGAAAAGAAGAAAAGAATGGTTTTTTAAAAAAGTGATTACCACAATGATTAAAAAAAAAATTAAACCAAGGATGGCCAATAGACTTAGGGCAACCAAGGGACTTCTTCTGGAGAAATTCTTAAAATTTCAAGTTTCACAACAGCCTTGCCAGATTTCTATTACAGAAAACCCAATTATCCAGATAATTTGCATAATTTAAATGAGGCAAATGAAAAACATTGGCTGTATAGGGTATCTCAGAGTTTACTGTGAAGATTACAGATGAAAAGTGTGCTCAACTGAGCTAAGAGTTGGGGTTCGACTCTGAAAGCAAGGCTTGGACATCAGAGGTGGGGCTTGGTCACCAGAACAAATTGAGGACTAGCTAAAACAGGTCCAGCATGGAAGCATCTCATTATAAGACACACCTACCAGCACATCATGTCAGTTTACCATTGTCATGGCAACGCCCAGATGTTACCACTCCTTTCTATGGCAACGACCCAACCAGTCAGCAGTTACCACCATTTTCCTAGAAATTTCTGCATAAACCACTCCTTATTTGCATGTAATTAAAAGTGGGTATAAATATGAGTGCACAGCTGCTTCTGAGCTGCTACCCTGGGCATGCTGCCTATAAGGTAGCCCTGCTCCACAAGGAGCAGTACCTGTGCTTTTGTACAGAGGTACTTGCCACTTCAGTAAAAGTTGCTGTTTAACATCACTGGCTCACCCTTGCTTTCCTGGGAGAAGCCAAGAACTCTCCTGAGCTAAGCCCCAGTTTGGGGGTTGTCTGTCCTGCCTCACCACCACTTAGCCATCTAGAACCTTGGGAAAAGCAATAAGACTGCTAATCCCCTTTTTGCTAACTATAAATGGAAACAATAATGGGGCCTACATAGACTTTGTGGGAGGCCTAATAAAGTAATGTCTGGGACATGTAGACATTCGATACATAATGGTTCTTCCACTCCCCTTTTTCTTTCATTTAAGACAGGGCTTTGTAGGGGCCCAATTTTTCCCAAATAAGAATTTCAATTTGTTTAAAGTTGTCATAGATTCCTAACCATATATAACTTCTTAGTGCATGCAATTAATAAAATATAGAATCCAAACAACCTGTAATAGTTAACAATTACAGCTTTATACTTTTAGATCATGAATAGGGCTCAAGATTTTAACATGAATCCCCAAATTTTGTACTAGCTACAGTTAAAATGTATTTCATTTCTTCATAACCTTTATAGCTATGGCCAAGATCAACTCACTACGCTATCATTCCTCACCATGGTGGCAGGGATAAAGGTGGTCTGCCTATGCTTTAGGACCCACAGTTCTGAAAGAGGATGCCTGAAGTGGTGGGTAATACTTCACGCAGGTGGAGGGGAGTGGGGAATGGGTGGGTTCCAAACTTGTCTAAAGTAATTCTAATGACAGTAGAGAGCAAACAAATATCCTTAGGAAATACTGGTAGAACCCATTGGGAGGGAGCCTAAAGCAGCCCAGAGCAAGTGCAAAAAAAATTTTGAAGACTTATATTGTGTCTTAATATCACGGTAGAACCATTATTATCCCAAAAGTCAGCAGCTGATTCTTCTTAATGAAAGAATCATTCCAAACTGCCTTATTTAGGAACTTTGGTCAGTTCTTCGGAATAGAGGATGAGGCTCTCAGAGCACTATTGTCAGCAGAAGCCAAGGCAACAAAGAGGCAGCTCGCTCGCTGAACCACTGGTACAATTGGAATTGCTGGGGAGAAAAGAGGAAAGTGTCAAGAAATAGGAGAGGGACAGAGAGCACAGATGGAGGAGGAGATAATGAGCCAATCTCATATTTTAAGGCTTAGAGATCTCACGGAAATTATGTCAGCTATCTGCATGTCATAGAAGAGCATAACGCTGATCTATGCTCTTTATCTGTGCTTAACAAAACTTCCTCCAAAGGTAGTGTTGAAAAGGAATTTCAAGAACAGTAATATCTGTTTTCCACTGTGAAGTTGTCCAAGCTGTTGTTACATGTTCCCTCCCCCACCTCCCCTTCATCAGTATGGATGATTCATACTAGTGAGGTTTGTATGTGTGTGTTGGAAAGGGCCTAATTTTCACATTTGGTCAACTCAAATGTTGACAAAAGGAGCATGCATCAGATAGATATCCAAAACAATTCCTGGAAATAGGAATTCAACCCTATGTTAGGGTGTAGGCTGAGAATACTAAGTGCCCTATGAATACATTAGAGTCTTCAAATGCCTTCGGACTTCCACAAAGTTGCAATGAACTAATCATAGCTAGATACCGAGCCAGTGTTTTAATTTGTAGTACTTTGATGATGAGAGAAGCTGTTATTTATTTATTGTTATATCGTGTTATTTATTTATTACTTTTTTAGTGAATTGTCCACTTATGGCTATGCCCAATTTTCTGTTCAGGCACTTATTTTTCTTACTCATTTGTAACAAACCTTTACATATTAAACATACAAGCTCTTTCACAGGGATTACAATATTTTTTTCTTCTACTACTCTTGCCTTTTAATTCGGATCACTGTATTGTTGACATACAGTTATAAACTATAGATTTTTTAAATAATTTCTTCCTATGTTACTTAGGCTTAAACAGACCTTCACCATACCAAAAGGTTCATCTACTTCTTCTACTCGTTTGGTAAGAAATTTTTTTTTGACATGTAACTATAACTTTTCTGGAATTTAACTTGCTATAACTTTATTTAGAATGTTGAGATGAAATTTATAAATGAGATTGGTGTTATGGATTTTTTTTCTACTTTCATGACCAGATTGGGGTAATAATAGTTTGTAAAATAATACCAGCTATCTATATGTCATAAAAGAGTGTATACAGTATAACACTGATCTATATTCTTTACCTGTGCTTAACAAAGTAACAGAGCTTACTAGTTCAGTGTTCTGGGCCCAAAGCATTTTCAGAAAGTAATTTTTGAAAAATATTTTAATGTCTAGTTTGATATTTTGTTCAGATGCTCCGATTTTTTATTTTTTCCTTCTCATTGAATCATTTTTATATTCATATTCCCTCCTATTCATTCATTCTTGAGATTTTAAATTTTAGAAAAGGGTTTAAGTATTTGCTCGTAATTTTTAATCTCAATAGCTGTCATTTCATTCCCTTTTTATGCAGATATTTTATTTTTAGTTTTTCTAATTTCATTAATTTCTGCCGTCTGTGTTATTTTCCCTTTCTCTTTTGTAAACTATATCATGTTATTTACCAAATTTTTATTTATATACTAAATATATTTCTGTTATAGAAAATATAGCTTTAAATCTATTATGTCATCTGAATTTATTATATTATTTAGATATATCTTAGCATTATTTCCTATTTCTTCTGTTATATACTGAAAAAAGGACGTGTATTTTTTTAGTTTCTTGACTTGTTCTTGAATTTGTGTTTTTTATACAATTTGATCTTTTTTTAGTTTGGATTACAGAATGTTATTACACTCGTCTTTTTTTAATCACAAACCATTTTTGTTCTGTTTCATACTTTTACCTTGAAGCCTAATTGTTTAATATTATTACTGTAACTCCAGATGTTTTGTTTGATTTTCTTAATGTAGTGTTTTTATTTTTGTTTTTGAGACAGAGTTTTGCTCTTGTTACCCAGGCTGGAGTGCAATGGCGTGATCTCTGCTCACTGCAACCTCCACCTTCTGGGTTCAGGTGATTCTCCTGCCTCAGCCTCCCAAGTAGCTGAGATTACAGGCATGCACCACCATGCCCAGCTAATTTTTGCAATTTTAGTAGAGGCAAGGTTTCACCATGTTGGTCAGCCTGGTCTTGAACTCCTGACCTCAGGTGATCCACCCACCTTGGCCTCCCAAAGTGCTGGGATTACAGGTGTGAACCTTAATGTAGTTTTTCTTACCCTTTTACTCTTGACCTTTCTGCACTGTTTTATTTTATGAGTACTCATAATAAATAGCTCACATTCAGATATCGTTTCTGATCCAGTCCTAATATTTAGGTTTTAATAAGAAGTAATGTGCTCAGGGCCGGGTGCAGTGGCTCATGCCTGTAATCCCAGCACTTTGGAAGGCCAAGGTGAGGTGGGCAGATCACCTGAGGTCAGGAGTTTAAGACCAGCCTGGTCTACATGGTGAAACCCGATCTCTACTAAAACTACAAAAATTAGCCAGGCTTGGTGGCACACACCTGTAATCCCAGCTTCTAGGGAGGCTGAGGTACGAGAATTGCTTGAACCCAGAAGGCGGTGGTTGCAGTAAGCAGAGATCGCACCACTGCACTCCAGCCTGGAGGACAGAGCCAGACTCCATCTCAAAAAAAAAAGATGTGTTCATATTTATTTCATGTTTGGGTTTGCTTTTGTCAGCCCATTTTGTAAGTCCTATTTTAAGATTTCTTACTTTTTTACCATTATTTTGATGTGTTAATAATATTTTCATTTATTTTTTTCAATCATACATCTTTATTCAATTCTATATGTCATCACCTTGTAAAATATTTTAAGACATACTTCTCATAAAAGCCAAGAATTGCAAATATTCCAAAAGTTCACCAACATTAGAAGGGATAAATAAATTATATGAATAGATAATGAAATCCTATAAAGTAATAAAATTAAATAAACTAGGCTAGATCAACAACATGAATGACCCAAACTGTTGAACAAAAAAAAGCAACATACAAAATAATACATACATACAGAATTTTATTCTGCTTACATAATGTTCGAAAGCAGGCAAAAGTAAACCATATTGTTCAGGTGGCAAAATGATTTTATTTCAAGATCAAAAAAGTTAGGATGATATTCATGGCTAAGGGGAAGGAATGAATTTAGAATCAGAGAGGAACAAAGCAGGCTGCTGGGGTAGGCTGGTGTCAGACTCCTTCTGCCCCTGAGCGGTGGTTACACTGGTGTTAGCTTGATGATTAAAGCACCAAATCCTACGCATTCATCGTGTGCAAGATTCTATATGGAACACTGCATCTCACAATGAAATAATCTCACACATCTTTGTAATTTAAAGAGGTTAATGTCAGAAAATATACCATCAATTTCTTCTCCTCCATGTAACCTGAAGGCATTCATAATTTTACATCATGCCTCCAATTCCTCACTTGTTATTTTGTTAGTAAAACCCAATTTCTATTTTTTAAATTTGTATCACTTTTCAATAACTATTTATGGCCTACTTAGCTGACTTTACAACTACAATCATAAGACTCATTTAATTATTTTTTTCACTATTGACCATTAGTCATTTTGAGGTTTTCTTTTTAATTTCCAGTAGCTTAAGAAGAGAACGTTATTAGCAGTCTACTTTTTTAGCCAATTATTATCTGAAAATGTACTTCAGTTGCATTCCATGTGAATAAAAACCCAATTAACTATTAAACAAAAAAATTTTAAAGCCAAACATATTTGTTCTCAAAATCCTGAAAGTCGTGCTTCATTTCTTCTTGCAGTTAATGTTCGGAAGACAATTCTGAAACAACACGTTCCTTCTGTTACATCTCCAGGATTCATGAACCATATTATCTTCTCTCTCATCAATTTCATTCTTTATCCCCTTCATCTGAATTCTGGAAAGCTTCTCAAAGTTGTTTTCCACATTATGATTCATTACATCATAGAAAAACTTTTCCATTTTAAGCCTCCTCATACAGATTTTAGTCTTTCTCATGCAAATTTTAAATCAGCGATTACATTTTAGTTTCCTTTATCTTTTCCTGCCTCATCCAACTCACTGAATTTTCGCTTGCTTGCTCTCTCTGTCTCCCTCAGCTGGATCCCTTTTTAATCTGTTTCCTGTTTTTCTTTTCCCCATGCTTCTGCTTCATATTTTCTAGAGTTTTATTGAAAGCACGAAGAGATCATTTTACATTTGTTCTCTTTCTTGTGGAAAATATTTTAGAAATACAACATCTGCATCTTCTTCCTTTTAAGCTTGAGAACATTTTCTTCAGTATCGTATTGAGGCCTTCTGGTGTGATCCATCCATATTTAATGAGGATGGCTCAGACTCTTTGGACCCCTCTCATCCACCGTGTATTTTTCCTTAAAATTTCCTTTTCAGACCTTTGGCAGAAAGCTTAGTTGCTCTAAATTACATGGGTACGCGGCTGTTTCAGAGACTGAGGAAATGGAGAAGCAACTCTATCTGGTGATCCACTCTGCTGAGGATCAGCTGTCAGCCTTTTTCTCTCTGTGGCTTGTCGTACTGCCCAGGTTCGTGGCAAATCTTAAGCAATCTGCTTCGCCAGGCTACTGCTTAGCACATCAAATGGAAAAAATCAAAGGTGTCTACAAGACATCTTGCCTCCCTGGCAGCTTTTTGCTTAATGTGAATCCTATATGAACTCTCATATCTCCTAATGCAAGCACTTTCATATACTCTTGATCCACATCCATGAACAAGGAGTTGAGTGAACCCAAGTCACCTTCTCCAGGGTACACACAGCTGTCAGACTCATCCCTCCTAATTCATCACCAGTGGGACTTTCTAAAAGTCTCAGCCCCATATCCTTTGTTTTGGAAAAATCTACATTAAGTATAAAGAAACTAACTAATATCCCCAGCTTTTTAACTGTACTTTCCCATAATTTCCAGTGATCATGTTTGCTTCTTGATATTTATATATTTCTTCAGTTGTTTCTATGAGGACCCAAGGTAGAAGTGTTATGTTATACAAATTATCACAGTCTTTGTTGTCTGGAAGTCATAATATAAATATTTTTAAACCAAGAAATGAGCTAGAAATTCCAGAATTTTCCAAGTGGGTCAGTCCTGACGGAAAAAAATGAAAAAAGTAGTGAGAGAAAGGAAGGAGAGAAGCTTGAAGTATTTCACTCTTGGCAAGCCTCAAATAATACACCTGTCATTTTGGTGAGCCATCTTATTCAGGCTGCTTTTAACTCAATTTTCAGGTGAGTCACCTCAAAACTTCAAACTGCAAAATGGTCAGCTTGCATCAGGGAGCAACGAAGCTCTCCCAAATCTTGTAAAATAAGATGATTTGTGAGCAGAATTACCCAAATACTATTTCTTGAGGTTATTTTAAGCTTTTGCTTTTCTTGCCTCCCTGATAACTTCAACTCAGATAACTACATGGAGCTTTACAGTGCTAATCTAGGAAAAAAATAATATTAAGATTGGTATTATTATAAATGAGAATCCAGTTATAGAAATAGATTAGCACAGTTTCATATTACACTGTAAAAACATCAAAATGAAATTAAACATCTTTCCTAAAGTCAGAAATCTTAAAATATATATAGTCTGAGTTTCCCCATGATCTGCTGAACAAGTTGAAATAATTATTTAATAACTAGAAAAATATGATGGACACATTTCACATGTTTCCTGGGGGTGAGAAATATTTCCTGGTGTTTTTTTATTCCCATTAAGTGACAAGTTGACGAAGAATAGAGCATGTGAGACACAAAGAAAGAATAATGTCTACATGCCCCAGAATGAGAAGTTTGTCTATAGCAAAAGAGAGACCACTGCTGCCACCAAGCTACAGCCTGACCCTAGGCCCACTGTCCCCCGAATTCAGGATTCAGCTGCAGAAAAAAACGAACAACTGTTAAAGAAAAAAAACTCTTCAAAGGCACTTGTTAAAGCAGAATAGGAAGTCTTTATTCAGGATCATCACATTGGGCATAGCGGTCACTGCGGTGGGATTTTGCACCGGAAGAGAGAGATTGGACTCAGCTTTGAATACAGCATGGGCAAGTGGGGATTTACAGCCAAGGAGCAGTGTGGGGGTCGGTGGATGGAAAATTATTAAGAGGAACCATCAGAGATAAGAGGAATTCTGGCTAAACTGACCTACAAGGATTCTTGCTGAAGAGGGACAAGGGTGATCAGACATCATCTGGGGGATGGTAGAGAAAGAGAAGCCTAATTAGGTATCAAAGGTGGAGGGTTTTTGCTAAGCTGACTTAGCGGAGTTCTTGGCTAAAACTGGATTTTACAAGGAAATGCAAGGACAAGCTTAGGAGAAGCTTCAGGAGCCTGAGTAAAGTTTGGTCAAAGATATTTGTTATAACATAAACTCCTCTGTCTCATATTCCTGTACTTCCAAGCGATTCAACTATCTTGAAGGTCCTCCTGACCAGCTCTGACAATCTGATCAGCAAAATGTATGAATTTGTAAAGTGCTACATCGGCAATTTAGCCATAAAACTAGATGTTGATGAAATCATGTTGTACCCGTTATCTACCATAATGCTACATAACAAAGCACCCCAAAACCAGTGGTGTAAAAAAATATAAGCATTTAATTTACCCAGAGGTCTGTGGGTTGTTGGTCTAGGCTGAGTTCGATTGAGCAGTACTTCTGGCCTCAGCTGGCTCAGTCTCAAGTCCGGGGGTAGCTGGTTGTTAGCTGATCTAGGACGGCCTCAGCTGGGGTGTCTGGGACAACTCAGCTCTGCTCCATGTGCCTCATCTTACAGCAAGCAAGCCAGGCATGTTCTCATGGAAATCACAAAGCTGCAAGAGACTCATCAAAAGCATGCAATGCTTGTTCCGCCTTCTTCTTGGGTTACATTTTCTAACATGCCATTGTACAATGCAAGTCATGTGCTCAATCTAAAGTCAAGGGATGAGATGGAATACCCAGCCCAAAGGGCACTGAAGAATTACAAGGCAAAGGGAGTGGTGCAGGGAGGGGTGTAGAATGGGAGCTGCTATGCAATCAATCTACTGCACACCTTTAATGCCACTTTGTCTCCCATTTGAGCCATGGCAATGCTGACTACGCTGGTTACTTAATAACAAACCTAATCCCTGGGTTAGGACGTCAAAATCTTAAACTACCCACCCAAATGAAGATATCTAGTCAACTAGCTCCAAAACAGTGGCAATTAAGCCACTGAATAATTATGATTAGCAATAGATAAAATTTAATTACTAATAGATAAACAAAATTAGTTCATATCCCAGTAACACATGCAACCGTGGTAAATCCACCTTTGTTCTCATCTGATGGAATTCAAGATTATTTTCTAACAAAGCAGCAAGTTCTGGAGAAAGGTTGGAGTAAAATCTTTATTGGGCATTAAGGCAGGCAAGTTAAGGGTAAGTAACAAAATGAGGTTCCCTGAAAATAAAATCAACCCTTTGAAAGTGCAGGGTCATGAGTATTCCAAACAATAATATACAAAAATAAATTGAAAATCACAGATATATTTCCTCAAAATCATCATTAGAAATGTATCACCCACACATTTAAAATATCTGTATTAAAGATTTTCATGGTTAGATCTGCACTGGGTGCTTTAAAAGCAAATTCTGTCTCTAGTTTGAAGCAGATTGACTGGCTATGCTTTCTTAGTTGTTGCATGGATTTGTTTGAGATCAAACTTTTTCTCCAAACAGCTGAATATGATTCAAATATCTCTGGTTCAATAAATTTTTGAGTTAAAATTTGGAGTATATTTCGCACTTCAACATGCTGAGATAGGAAACCCAAATTGCTTGTAATGGTATAAATGTTTCCATAGTAGGAAATGATGGAATAAATTAAGTTCTTAACATTCATGCTTTTGTAATAAATTCAGTAATAACCTTTTCGATCATTGGCACAGTCTATGTTTTGTAAACTTAATCTAATCAGCTGATTTGGATATTTCATCAGAAGAAATTTTGGTTGATAGGTTCATAACTTTTACAGCTTGTTCAATGAAAACTGATTGGATTTTGCATATCTCGTAGTTTTTCCTGACTCTGATCAAAGTCATGTTAATGATAGTCCTTCCAACCCAAAGGACTTTGAATAAAACAATTCTCTACCAAGGCAGCAGAATCACACCCCATTCCAACTCAATTCTTTTTTGGCTGGTTATCTGTGAAGTTTCTTTCCTCTTTCGTGATCCACTTTGTTTCTATCTCTAGGATAAGAAAGAATTTCTCTAAAAAACTGCTGCACTAACGATTTTAACTCTTTTTTTTTTTGAGACTAAAATATGAAGCAGATCACACGGTACAGTGTGGTAAGAGTCCTAACAGCAGTAGGCACCTTTTATCCAATTTCCCTTATAATCAGCACGTGGGTTGTTTCAGACAGCTGGTTGGGCTGAGGCACTTTCAGAGACCATAGAATACAGCAAAGTCTCCTTATCCACAGATAATTCTATGCCATGCCAACATAAAGCCTTCTCAGCAATCCTAAAAGGGAAAATGGAAAGATTCTACAAATATCTTTCATTTGTAGAGCTGAGCGACATCCCCAGACTTGCCTCAATTTTCAGTCCTAGTTGTCATATGGAATGAACAAAATTATGAAAGAAGCTCTTAATAAGAGAAAGGTTTATTTCTTCCTAAATCTAATATTAGTGCAGTTTGAATAGGCATTCAAAGAAAAGATAATGAAACTTCATTGATGGAATTTTATGAAAGGTGTCAGGAAATAAAAAAGCAAATTTATGTCTTCTCACTCTTGAATAAAGAAGATTTTACTAATAGCTAAAATACACCACAATAATACAATAGCAAATTTTTTTCTATCCTCTGCTCCCATTGCTGAACACCCCTCAAAGTGATCTGAAACTGTTATTTTACATTCTGCCCAGCCTTTCCCTACCTTAACTTTCTCCAGCCTCAGTAACATTGCTGAAATTATTCTCCTGAAGGTCACCAATGACTGCTTTACATTTTACCTTATTTTATTGTAAATGGTAATGAAACCGCCTTTGCAAAAGTTATAACTGAGGAAATTACGACAGTGAAAGAGATCAGACTTAACCGACTCCATCTTGCTTCTAACCTTTAAACTAACTTTGGGAAGGAATTCAGTTCATGGGTTGACTCTGAAACAAAATTGATAACAGCCCTTTCCCAAAATATCGCCCTTCTTGCCTGGGGACCAGTCTGCATTTGCAGAAATAACAAATGAGCTGCAAGATTAGAAATTATGGTTTAGGGGTCATGCAGCCTCTGGTTCCAAGAGTCTGAACCTCCCCAAATTGCTCAAAATGTAAAATCAGTGCAAATTGCTCAAAATGTAAAATCAGTGCAAATTGCTCAAAATGTAAAATCAGTGCCTCAGATATTCTGCAGACCCTGCATTGGCTGGATCAACTGACACCACCCAGACGGGTAATCTGGCTCGACCAGTTCTGCGATCCCACCCAGGAAGAGAAAACAGCAAGAAAAACTCACTTCAACCCCGTAGGATTCCATCTCCAACCTGACCAATCCACACTCCCCACTTCCCAAGCCCCTACCCGCCAAAATATCTTTAAAAACTCTGATCCCCAAATGCTTGGGGAGACTGATTTGAGTAATAATAAAACTCCAGTCTCCAGCACAGCCGGCTCTGTGCAAATTACTCTTTCCAACGCAATTCCCCTGTCTTGATAAATCGGCTCTAACTAGGCAGCGGGCAAGGTGAACTCACTGCGCGATTACAATAACACATAAACAGAAAATCACATAAAACAAAAACACTAATAAATTATCACAACATATTTGTAAAATATCAACTATCTCTCAGGACAAAAAAAAAGAACGTTGTCTAATCTCTCTCTCCTCCTCGAAGACCATCTCTATCCTTATGCCTAACACTGTGTTTTGTTTTTCCTGCTTTTCATCTTTTTATGAATGGATTCATGTGCCTCCCTTATTACGGAATTCTGTCTGGCTTATTATGGAATTGTGTGTCTAGCTTATTTCTTCAATATTCTGATGGTGAGATTTATCCATGCCATTGCATGCATCAGTTCATTCATTTGCATTGTTATACAGCGTTCGTATTGTATGACTATTGCACAATTTATCTATATTACTACTGATTAACATTTAGATCATTTCCAATATTTGGCTATAATAATGTTGCTATGAACATTCTTATATAGTCTCTTGCTGCACTTGCACACACATGTCTGTTGGGTAACTAAAAGTCAAATTTCAAGACCATACAGTACATATGTATTAACACTAATAGGTAATTAGCAATCTTACATATTTCTACTTCCCCTATCAGTTTGGGAAAGTTTCATTTCCAGTTCAACATTTGGTGTTGTCAGTCATTGTAATTTTAGCAATTTAGGGATACACATTGTACCTCCTAGTGGCTTTAGTTTGTAATTTTCTGATTAGCACAACACTTTTCCGTGTCTGTGGCTACTTAAAGGAATCTTTTGTGAAATACCTGTTCAACTCTCTTGCCTGTTTTTCTATTAAACTACCGTTTTCTTATTGACTTGTGGTGTTCCTTTATATGATATGGACACTAGCTCTTTGTCAGTTACTTGTCATGCAAATGTCTCCTGCTGCTTGGTGGTTTACCTTTTTTACTTTCTTAATAAAATACCTTAATCTTGACACCGTCCTGTCTATTGACATTTCCTTTACATTTAATGTGTTTGAGGGTCGTGTTTATGAAATCTTTCTTCAACTGGAGTTTATACATATATTCTCCTAGCTTTTCTTTCACAAGTTTTTATGCTTCTGCTTTTCACATTGTAATAGAGAATCTAGGGAATTGATTTTTTGTGTACTATGTGAAGTAGAGGTAAAGCCTAAATTTTCCTCCTGAGGATGTCCAATTGCCCCAGAACCATGTATTGAAAAGATTCCTTTTGCCCACTGTCCTGCAGCACCACCTTTAACAGAAATAAATTGTTCTGTTTCTAGAACATCTATTATATCCTTTGATCTAGTTTTCCTTGTGCCAATATCACATTGTCTTAATTACAGTACAGCTTTATAGTAGGTCTTGACATCTTTTTTTTTTTTTTTTTTTTTTTTGAGACAGGGTCTCACTCTGTCGCCCAGGCTGGAGTGCAGAAGCACGATCTTGGCTCATTGCAAGCTGTGCCTCCCGGGTTCACGCCATTCTCCTGCCTCAGCCTCTCGAGTAGCTGGGACTACAGGCGCCCACCACCACACCTGGCTAATTTTTTGTATTTTTAGTAGAGATGGGATTTCACCGTGTTAGGCAGGATGGTCTCGATCTCCTGACCTCGTGATCTGCCCGCCTCAGCCTCCTAAAGTGCTGGGATTACAGGCGCGAGCCAGCGTGCCAGCTTTGACATCTTTATAGCATAAATCTCTCAACTTCTTTTACTTCAAGAGTGTGTTGGCTATCCTTGGCTCTTTGCATGTATAGATATATATACATGCAAACATATATATATATATATAAACTTGTAGGGAAATTAATATCTTTATAATATTGAGTCATCCAATCTATAACATGGTATAGCCATCCATTTCTTTTATTTCTCTCAATAATATTTTATAGTTTTCTGTGTAGAGACTGTACACATCTTTCACTAGATTTATTCTTAGGTGTCATATTTTATGTTATTATACATAGCATTTTTAAATTTTATTGTCTATTTGTTGCTGACACACAGAAATACTTTTGATTTTATATACAGACCTTATGCTCAGAAAATATGCTAATTTTGCTTACTACTTCTACCAATTTACTTGTGCTTTTGTTCCTAATTTTGTCCACACGTGATCATAGGATCTGTGATACGATAGCTTTATTCCTTTCTTTCTAATTCTAAAGAATTTTGTTTCTTATATTTGCCTTTTTGCACAGACTCCAATAAAATGATGACTAGAAGTGACAAATATCGGGCATTCTTATTTCAAACACTAATGTCTCAAAATTTCACCACTAAATATAATGTTTGCTGAAGTCTTATTATAGATATTATTGACCTGGTTAATGAAATTCCCTTATATTTTTCCTATGCTATGTGTTCAATGTATTATTATAAACAGATGTTAAGTTTTATATACTTTTTCTGCATCTATTGGGAGGACCAAATGATTTTTCCCTCTTAATGTTTCTTTATGCTATACTTATTTTCAAATAGTTAACTAACCTTGCTTTTCTGCGATCATTTTACTTTTCATTGAGTTATAACTTATGTAAAATAAACCTCATTGATTCTACATATACAATTTGATGAAGTTTGGTAAGTGCATACAGTCATGTAACCATCACCATAATCAAGATACACAATAAATCCATCCTAATCCCTAAAATGTTTCGTCATGCCCTATGGCTGTCAATCACCACCTCTGATGAGTGGCTTCAGGGAAATATTAATTTGCTTTCTATCATTACCGTTTTGCCTTTCTTTGAGTTTTAGGTAAATGAAATAACAGATTATGTAGTCTGTGGTGTTGGAATTATTTCACTATTTTTGAGATTCACTGTTTCCAAAATCCAGTGCATTGTTGCATGCATTAATATTTTACTGCTTTTTACTTCTGAATAGTATTCCACAATATAGAAATACCACAATTTTTTTAATCATTTGCCAATTGATGGCCATTTGAGTTGTTTACACTTTTTGGCATCTATGAACAATACTGGTATGAATATTGTTGTACAATATATTATATGCACCTATGTCCCATTTCTCTTGAATTAATAACTAGTAATGGGATTACTGAGTTGTATGTTAGGTGCAGGTGTATGTTTAACTTTATAAGACATTGCTATATTGTTTTCCAAAGTATTTGTACAAGTTTTGCATTCCCACTAACACTATTGTCATGCATCCTCACCAACACTTGGTATGGTCAGTCTTTTTAATGTCAGCCAACCTAATAACATGTGATATCTCATTTGGGGTTTTATTCTGCATTTCTCTGAAAACTAATGATATTAAATATTTTCATATGATTATTGGCTCGTTAGATACTTTAATTTGTGAAGTATCTGCCCAAATTTTTTGTACATTTTAAATTAGGTTTTCTTATTATTGGGTTCTCTAAATTATTCTTAAAATATTCTTTAAAGTATAATTTAAAGAATTATTAAATTATTCTTTAAACACATCTTTAACTGCATCCCACATTTTGATATGTAGTATTTTTATTATCATTGATTTAAATTATTTTCCCTTATGGTGTCTTTTTTGGCCCATCAGTCATTCATTTCCAAAAGTGGGGATTTTCTGGTTAACATTTTTATAATTGACAAATAATATTTGTCTATATTTATGAGGTACAATGTGATGTTTTAATTTCTGTATACATTATCAAATGATTAAATAAAGCTAAATAACATTTCCTTCACCTCATATTGTTTTTGTGGCACAGACATTTAAAATCTGCTCTCTTAACAATTTTGCAATATATGTTACATCATTATGAACTATAGTTACCTTGCTGTGCAATAGATCTCAAAAACACATTCCTTCTAATTGAAACTGTACCTTTTGGCCAACATTTCATTCTCCAATCCCCACCTCCAGCCTTTGGTAACCATCACTCTATTCTCTACTTCTATGAGATTAACTTTGTTATATTTCACATATAAGTGAGATCATGCAGTATTTGTCTTCTGTGCCTGGCTTATTTCACTTAGCAAAATCTCCTCCAGGTTTATCCATGTTGTCACAAATGACAATTCCCTTCTTCTTATGGCTGAATATATTTCATTTTGTATATACACTACATATTCTTATTCATTCATCCATAATGGACACTTAGGTTGATTCCATTCTGGTTAACTTTTTGTTACTGATTTGTAGTTTAATTGGTCTTCACTCAGTGACATTTTCCATATGATTTCAACCCCTAGAAATTTCAGGGAACTTGCTTTATGGTCTTGCATGTGGTCAATTTATGTCAATATTCCATGTCTGCTTGAAAACAAAGTTCATTTTACAGTTGTTGAGTACAGTTCTCATGTATTTAATTAGGTGGTAGTTACTCATGTTTTTTAATTCTATTTTCTTACTGATATTTCTGTCTGGTTGCCCATGCATTTTTTGAGAGAGGCGCTTTTAAATGTTTCGCTATGATTAGGAATTTTTCCACTTCTGATAATTTTTGCTTTATATAAGTCTATGTTATTAGGTATATGCAAACATGGAATTTTTATCTTCTTGTGAATTGAATATTTTATTATTTCCAACACTTCATCTGTATTTTATTTATTTTTTGTCCTAAAATGTATGTTGCCTGGTATGTAAATATATATACAAACTTTCCTTTGGTAGGGTTTGCATGGTATATCTTTTCTCATCTGTTTTCCTTTTAACCTTATATTTTTGAGGCATGTCATTTATAAGCTATAAATTGTTAACGTTTTATCCCATTTGACAAACTTTGTGTTCTAATTGGACAGCTTAGTTCATTGACAATTAATATAATTAGTGACATATTTCAATTTGCATCTACTGTCATACTCAGTCCCTTCTATTTATCTAACCTGTTCTTTTTTTTCTTTATCCTTTTAGATAAAATATTCTTATTATTCCACTTTTTATCACTATTAGCTTAGTGCTAATATCTGACCTTACTATTCTTCACTTATTTCCCTAAAAATTACATTATTCATCCTTCAGTTATCAAAATCTAACGTTACATGGGACTTTTTGGCTCTTCCAGAGGAAGGTAAAAAATTGAAACATTTTTAATTTCATTAATTCCCCTCCCATTTATATAATATTGTCATATTTTCTCATAAGGTTCTACTTTTATGTTTTACATAGTCATTAAACATTTACATTTCTTCATCTGTTTCTCATTTTTATTGTTCTTTATTTCTTCCTGTATCTCACATTCTGAGCCTGAATAATCTTTCTCTGTCTTTGGCATAGATTACAGGTGATGAATTCTGCCAGGTTTTACTTATCTAAAAATGCTGTTTATCTATTTTTGGATGTTATTTTCCCTGGATACAAAATTCACAGTAGCAAGTTATTTACTATGAGCACTCTGAGAACTCTGAAGATAACATTTTATTACCAGCTAGCTTTCATTGTTTCAATTCTGCAGTCAGCTTGTCACTAATAGTTGTCCCTTTGAAAGTAGTTTGGCTTTTTCTCCTCTGAATGTCTGAATGCTTTTATTATTTTTCTTTGTTTTTGGCTTTCAGATGTTTTAATACGACAAGCTCAGGTTTGTTTGTTTGTTATTCTCTTGCTCAGGATCTGTAGGGATGATTGAATATGTGACTTTATGGTTTTTGCTAACTTTAGAGAATTCTCAGATTCAATCTCATCATATATTGCTTCCAGCCCATTATCTCTCTTTTATGCTCCAGGGGATCCAACTCATTTTTTTCAATGTTGTTTTCACTCTCTTCTCTGTTTCCTAATTTTAACTCTCCATATTTCACTTTGTATTTTGCAGTTGTAGATTTACATGTGGTTCATTTTTACAGTTACTACTTTCTTGCCAAATTTTTCAACGTTTTATTTTATTTTCTGGAGCATATTAAGCATAGCTATTTTAAAATTTAGATTTGATAATATCATTATTTGAAGCTCCTGTAGGTTTTTCTTTGGTCATTAATTTTGGATTTTGATCTATGTTGTTTTGTCACCTGCTTATTTTCTGTTGAATACCAGACATTATTAGTTCGAAAATTGGAGAAATAATTATACAAGTTGTAGAAATAATAGGAATCCTGTGTTATCTTCTTCCAGGAAAAAAAAAATCTTTTCTTTTTCTAGTAGATGTCCAAGGTAACAAATAATCTGGACTTGCCTTGAATTCAATTTCAGGAATTAAAATAATTCAAAGTGTGGCTTCAGTCCTTGCAAGGACTCTTCTAATTCAAATTTACCCCAACTCCCAGAGCATAACCTTTTGGGTTCTCAACTTAAAATAGGGAGTTTTACAATGTTCCAACAGAAGGTACCTCAATTTTTTTCTCCCAAGCCACAAAAAACTTCCAAAATTTCTTCCCAGTTATCTTGGCTTCTCAATTTTCTTTTCCAGATTTTGGTAGCTACCTCTAAGTAAAAAATACCCCTCAATGCCAGTCTCACTTCTCTGAGTGAGTCAACCCAATTGCTTCTCTAATAACTTCAAGCAGATAAACTCTTTTTTTCTTTGACATTTTGTCCAGATTTTCTAATTGTTCTCAACAGGAGGTTTAACTCAGATTAACTACCTCATCATTCCTGGAGAATAATAACTCATTGGTTTCAAAATCCAGGCTTTTTTTTCTGAATTCTCATTCTCCTTTAACTCTCTGAGGCACTCAATTCTGTTGCTTAATTTCTTACTTGAAATTTTTCATTTTCATCACATTATACATTTCTGATTTTTAAAATTTTCTTATTGCTCTATATATTTCTACATATACTCTATATTCCTTCCTCACTTATTTTACAGGACTATGTTTATTTTTATACATGTTCTTTTATATAGGTGTATCTCAGGATAAATAACCCTTCTAAATATATCCCTTCAATAAGTGGATCTACTCCTACAGCTACAGTTACATGGATGATTTCTACATCTTCATCTTTAGTCCTAAAATATCGTTTATGCTCACATCTCATATTTTAAACTTCCTAGAAGACATCTTCATTTAGATAGTCAGTCACCACCTCTCTCTAAGCATGTCTGTTACCTCCCTTCCAAGCCAATGTTTCATCACAACTAAACTATTTTGAAGGGTCCAGGCCACTGGGCAGGGACAGAAACAAACACAGAAAAGGAGCAGAAGAAGGCATACGTGCCAAAAAGAGCCACATTAAGCTAGTTGGTGACTTCCTGGATTTAGGAAATAGAGAAGAGAGAATTGAACATGATCCCAGGTTTTCTTTTTCTTTTTTGAGACGGAGTCTCACTCTGTCCCCCAGGCTGGAGTGCAGTGGCGCAATCTCGGCTCACTGCAAGCTCTGCCTCCTGGGTTCGTGCCATTCTCCTGCCTCAGCCTCCTTAGTAGCTGGGACTACAGGCGCTTGCCACCATGCCCGGCTAATTTTTGTATTTTTAGTAGAGAAGGGGTTTCACCGTGTTAGCCAGGATGGTCTCGATCTCCTGACCTGGCGATCAACCTGCCTCAGCCTCCCAAAGTGCTGGGATTTCAGGCTTGAGCCACCGTGCCCAGCGATCCCAGGTTTTCTTGATTGAAAGATGAAAAAGTGCCTTCATTTGATATAAATTAGTTAAATGGGAAGAGAACAGTTTGGGAGAGAGAGGTGCTGTGTGTGTCTTCTTTTCTTTTTTTCTTTTTAGTGACAGATTCTTGCTATGTTGCTCAGGCTGGCTTTGAACTCCTAGGCTCAAGTGATCCTCCCACCTCAGCCTCCAGAGAACTTGGGACTCCAGGTGGTGCCCATCCTGCCTGGATATGTGCTTGTGTTCTTGTCACCCACCTTCCTATCCCCACACCCGCCCTTCACCGTCACCTCCATTAGAAATATATTCTGAATAATGTTTTCATATTCCTCCTCCTAAAACACAACATTCTCACATCACTCCAAATATTAAGAATCTAGAGTGTCTCCTGTTACCTTCTGTACAGACTCCAAACTTCTCTGCTGAATTTTCAAGGTCATTTGTAATCTGTTTCCACTCTACCTAGCCATTATTTCCCATGATGCAACCTCTACTCTAATCAATAACTTTCCTCAAAAATTTCATCTTTCTCATTTCCAGAAGCTGGGAAGTCACAAAATCCACTCTAACAAGAAGTAAAAAGCTGAACAAGCTGAAAAAGCAACAATGCTTCTTAGGTTCATCGGGGAAATGAGGTGACAGGGCGAATCATAACCCCCCAAATTGGAAAGACAGACAGGTGGAAACCAAGAGTCACAACTTACTGGAGCAGAAACCTATAAGCAGAAACTCTGGGCAGATAGAAAAACCCAAACTCTCATTGATGAATTTCTGGAGGCTCAGTGTGGACAAGTCTGAGAGTTAAAAACTTCATGGGAGGCTCAGGCATAAGGGGTCCCCTCTGTTTTTGTGAATTTTACCTCCAGAAGCTCTGCTAGGTTCTCACAGTGAAGACTGGAGAAAAATCCCCTCATGCTCCTGGCAGGGAGCAGTAAAAAGCTACCACTTTGAAATACACAGAGTCTTCTATTCTTCATAACAAAACTCTCCATCAAGAGAAACTATTATACTCTTTAAAGCCATCAGAGAACAGCAGACTAAAGAATGCTAAATAAACTAAATTCCTAAAGAAATGAGTCCTTCCTGAATTAGCCAAGACTGGTGGCCTCTACCAACCCTAAAGTGAGAGCACAGCAGTCAGAATGACTCTGCACTAAGCAGAAGAAGTGTTCTACAATAGAAAAAAAGAAAATCACCTTAACAGCCACAGGGAGGCTGGCATGGCTGACTTCAATCTAGAGGACTCCCAAACAAATATTGGTCTTCCTCGCTTCACAATTCTTTCCCACATAACTTTAGCGGAATAAATGACAGCACTAGGACCCTAGGATCAGGAAGGGAAAGGGGAGAAAGAGGGAAGGGAAGAGATATCTTTAGTTCTGGGTAATTCAATTTCAAAATTCTGCTTAAAGATATTAACACCAGAAGTTAATTGAGACTGCCTAGAGTCAACCAACCCATTACTGAACCCAGCTTCTGGTTTGATTGGATACTTTAATTCCTCACTCTAGCTGCCTTTAAAAAAAAATGGAAAGGCAAGCCTTTTCTGAGTTCATGAATATCTAATTTTGTTTCTACTGCTGTTTCATATACAAGGTCTAGTATATAATAAAATATTATAATACAGGTAAAGAAGTAAGAAAATATGACCCATAATTAAGACAAAAATAGTCACTAGAAGGAGACCCAAAGATGACCCAAATGTTGAACTAACTTTAAAAACACCATATTAATTTTATTAACTTACATTATATTTAACTCTATTACTTAGAGGAACAATGAGGCCTTTCAGCATAAAAAAGAACTAAAGTATTATTATTAGGTGGACTTAACGGAAGACTAGACAGAGCAAGAGAACGGGACAGTGTACTGAAAAATAAGACAATAGAATTAGTTTTCCAAATTGAAGCATGAGAGAAAAAAGGAATAGAAACAAATCAAAGCACACAAACAGAAAATCACAGACATGAAGGGAAAACATGAAATTGTCTAATTTATATGCAATTGGAGTTACAGAGCAGAGAAGAAAGAAAATGGAGGAAGAAACTTTAAAGAGATCATGGCTGAGAATTTTCTAAAATTTAAAGTCATCAACTCACAAATCCAAGAATGCAGCAAACATTAAAGATAATTTTTAAAATAAAATTTAAAAGTAGACACATTATAGTTCAAACAGCTGTATAGCCAGACTTAAGAGTCCGTCTTCAAAGCATTCAGATAAAAAGACTCATTCTGTTCACAGAAACTACATTGACAATAATTACTAACTTCTCATCAGAAGAAAAAGAAAAATGGGAGATAATGGAATAATTTCTTACTATAGCCAGCAACAAATTATTCAAAAAATGAAAGTGAAATAAAGATGTTTTCAGACCAATAAAAGCTCAGGAAGTTCATTGCTACAAGAAATAGTAAAGGAACTTCCTCACAGTAAAAGAAGGAATGGAGACAATGGAGAAAGGCCAACCACACTGCAAAGTTTATCATGCCTCGCTGTTGGTTCGGACCCTCATTCCTCATCACGACGCGGTCTCAGTGTGGAGCAGAAAGCAGCGAAAGGTACATACTCTGAAGGAGAAACAACTGCAGGTTGTCTCAGTCTGTTCTCATACTGCTATAAAGAAATACCTGAGACTGGGTAATTTATAAAGGAAAGAGGTTTAATTGACTCACAGTTCCCCATGGATGGGGAGGTTTCAGCAAACTTACAGTCATGGCAGAAGAAGGGGAAACAAGGACCTTCTTCAGAAGGTGGCAGGAAAGAGCAGACAGCAGGGGAAACTGCCACTGATAAAATCATCAGATTTCGTGAGAACTCACTCACAATCACGAGAACATCCTGGCGGAAACTGGCCCCCCATGATCCAATCATCTCTCACCAGGTCTCTCCATTGACATATGGGGATTAGGGGAATTACAATTTGAGATGAGATTTGGGTGGGGACACAGAGCCAAACCATATCACAGGTTAAAATGGTCAATAAAAGCAAAGGTGAATACTTGGTATTTGTTTGCCTTTAAAGAATGGCAGCAACAGAGAAACTCTCAGAGCTGGAGACTGGGTGATATACACATGAGGTATTACAGAGCTGAAAGCCCATATGATGGCTCAGTTTTCCTCATTGTGGCAAGCTCAACCCAATGATTGGGCTAATTGGAAAAAAGAGGGTCACCCCTCCCCCAAAAGAATAGTATTGCCTAATGTTAGGGAAACTGGTACCCAGCTGAATGGTTTCAATAGTACAGAAGGGAAATGTCAAAAGACAAAAATGTTGTAATCTTGAAGGCAAAACTCTTATTTTCAGAAAAGATAATTATTTGTCTGGAAAAGGTAGAGATTACATCGAGAAATGATTACAAATGTGATACTTTAGTACGATGATTGTTCATAAGTAAAAATACCAAAATCAAGTGTTTTCTCATAAGCCAAAAATACGCAATGAGAAAACATTTATAAAAAGCATATTAATAAATTTAATGTGAAGTGTAATAATTTTACATAACTTATAGCACTAAAGGCCATTCACTTTACACCTGTGCATTTAAAAAATAAATAAAAAGTTAAAGATATTAATTCTCTCCCAATTTATTTGCAAATTTAATGCAATCCTAATCAAAATTCCGGCTTAAAAGAGAAAAAGTCATGAAAGCAGCAAGGCATAAAACAGTAAAGTCAAAACAATAGAATAGAATCGGGAAGGCCTGGTGCGGTGGCTTATGCCTGTAATCCCATCTTTGGGAGGCGGAGGTGGGCAGATCACCTGAGGTCGGGAGTTCAAGACCAGCCTGACCAACATGGAGAAACCGTCTCTACTAAAAACACAAAAATTAGCCAGGCGTGGTGGCACATGCCTGTAATCCCAGGTACTCGGGAGGCTGAGGCAGGAGAATCACTTGAACCCAGGAGGCGGAGGTTGCAGTGAGCCAAGATCACACCACTGCACTCCAGCCTGGGCAACAAGAGCGAAATGCCGCCTCAAAAAAAAAAAAAAAAAAAAGAATAGAATCAGGAAACAGATATCAGGTAATTTTGCATTTATATGGCAATTTAGGAAATAATTAAAGGATCAGTCTCAATAGTGGAGAAAGGATGGACTACTTCCAGTAAAATAATGTTAGTGTAACTAATAAGCCATTTGGAACATTTTATTAATACCTAAGAAATACAGAAGGCTCAAAATTTAAACATTTCTTTAAAAAAAACTTTCGGCCAGGCGTGGGTGTTCACGCCTGTAATCCCAGCACTTTGGGAGGCCAAGGTGGGCAGATTACAAGGTCAGGAAATTAAGACTATCCTGGCCAACACGGTGAAATCCCATCTCTACTAAAAATACAAACATTGGCTGGGCTTGGTGGGGAGCATCTGTAGTTCCAGCTACTGGGGAGGCTGAGGCAGGAGAATTGCTTGAACCTGGGAGGCGGAGGCTGCAGTGAGCCAAGTTCACGCCACAGCAAAAAAAAAAAAAAAAAAAGAAAAAAAGAAAAGAAAGAAAGAAAAAAGAAAATTTTCATTTCACTTATAGTATATAGCTTAACATTCAATCCTTGGAGTGCCTGGTAATAGAAGACTCTTAATAAAAAGATTGCTGAATAACTGAATAAAAACAGAGCCATATTTAGGGGCTGTATTCCATCCCTACAAAAGCTAGAAAATGAGTGTTTAATAAGGAAACTGTGAGTTTATATTTGAGTTTGGAACAACTGAGTTTAAGATACATATTGTACCCTTTTTATTTCCCCTGCAGCAACTAATACAATTTTAGGATCTACATACTAAAGCTTCAGTAAATAAAGTATTGATTGATTCAACATAAATACTATGGTTTATTTCTAAATGGCAAGGAAAAATCACATGTAAGAGGTTTCCATTTGAAAGAATTCCACTATTCATCAAAATTTTCATCTATTCTCAAGATTGTTTATTTTAAACTAGGTTTGGAGTAGCAAAGCATATGAATTTTATATTAGAAAACATGAGAAGGATATAAAAGTTTGTTTTCTGCATTCTTTCAAAATTCTTATTTTGAAGGCCTTCTGGGCAAATAAACTATTGGAACTTGTCATCATTTAAACTATGTCCTATAAAGATGAAATCAGTAAGATTTAGAGCACTGCTTGCACCGCACAGCGCATGTTTTAGTAAATACTCAAAATGGATTTCTCTCCCAAAGAAAAAGCTTAAATTAAGTAAATTACTAGATGACAATTTAGCAGTATGTGTCTCAGAAGTCTGAGGGTGGAGCAGATACGTTGGGTTCCCCAGCTTGCCTTCGGGGTGGTTTTATTTTAGGCTTACAATCCAGAAGTCTAGAAATGAGTGATTCAATCTAGTAATTCTGGTTTTGAGTCTAAAATGTTGCTCTAAGAAGAGTCTTTCACTTTCTACATTTGGGATACCATTATTCTGCTTCACTGGAAGTAAAGAGAATGGACTGGCCAGGAATGGCCAAAGATATCTGGAAGGATAACTTGATCTAATAGCTCCCTTATACAGGTGCATAAGTAGAAACTTAACATTCTTATAAAATCTTGAGAGGGACAATCATATCGCTTAGTCACATAACAATCTATTACATAGCTGAGATCTGCAAAGGAAAGAGAAATTTTATATCGGAGAGGGGCCAGGGATGAAAGAGGGGAGGACCACTTTGAAGCATAGAACACTCTCAGAGAAGGCTAGTGTAGTAAGAAGGTGGTGATCCAGTGAAAAGATGTCAACAGGACTCTGTAGGTCCAGGATTCAGGATCAGGACAGAAAAGTTGCTGGGAAGCAGGAGATGGTAGAAGAAAAATAGCTGAAAAGGTTGTAGTGGGGACATGGTGACAGTCCAAAGTCCATTCCAAACCTCCTTGTTTTGTTGCCTCAAAGTTGTGAGAGGAATTAAAATCAACTTCAGAGGTAGAATTTAAGTATTTTAAATCAATCATTCTCAAAATGCCATGGTCCTGAACTAGCAGTATTAGCATTAGCTGAAAGTGGTTAGAAATGCAAATCATGAACTGGCCCCACCCCAGACTTACTGAGACTCTGAAAGTGAAGTCCAGTGGACCATGTTTCAAAAAGCCCTGCAGATGGGTCTGATGCTCCCTCAAACCTGGGAAACAATGGTTTAAACCCATTGTGGTAATTCAATCCCTTGAGACAGTGAAATGGCCTAGGTCAAAGGGTACACATATTCTCCCAGAATCGATTTTCAGATCGCGGCTAGATGCATGGCCTAAGCTGACCTCATCTAACCAAAGAGAAGATTTCTCTCTGTATTCTGCCTCCCTACCCCCCAAGAAATAAATAATTTGGCACTTAGTTACCATTACCTCATCAAGAGAGGGAATAAAGCTTAGAAAGATGCTGTCTCAGTTCGTTTGGGGCTGCTATAACAGAATGCCTAAGATCAAGTAATTTATAAGAAACAGAGATTCATTTTTTACAGTTAGGGAAGCAGGGAAGTCTAAGGTCAAGGGTTGCATCTGGTGATAGCCTTTGTGCTATGTCATCTCATGGCACAAGGTGAAACAGCAAGAAAGCATACATGTCTGAGAAAGAGGAAGGGGGCCAAGCCCATCCTTTTATCAGGAACCCATTCCATTGATAATTATCTATCCCCACCATAACAGCACTAAACAACTCATGAAGGCAGAGCCTCTTAAAGGTCCCACATCTCAACACTCTTGCAATGGGATTAAGTTTCCAGCACATAGCTTTGGGGGACACATTCAAACTACAGCAGATGCCAATTCTTCAAATGCCTGCCTGTAGAGGACAGGCAAAGAGACAATGTTCAGTGACATTGAATCACAGGGTCAACCAACCTAAGTCTGCCCTACCCAATGACACTTCATAGCTGAGCAAATAAACTTCCTCATTGTTTAAGCCCTTGTAAGTCAGATTTTCTGAAATGTTTCCTCACTGATGGAGGTCACAATCTTCACTACTTGACAAGTGTCACTAGTCTGGTATCACCAACCTAAAGTCAAATGCTGGCGTGAAAAATCAATAAAGGCATGCAAGTGAAAAGTCAGTAACATTGTAGGCACAATAGAACTTTAAGTAAAATGACAGGTGTGAAATATAAAGAGATAGTCCCAACTATCCAACAACCAATGGAGTAGATATAATTCATAGTAAAGCTCCCTCCCACATTTCTAACAACAGAATTTGAAAGAGATTTTGTAAAACATATAAACTGGTATTTCCTTTATAAAATAGACAGTGCAGGATAAGACCATGGAAGGAAAACTAAGGGCAACTTTTGGATCACCTTTCCCCTCTACTTACTTCTATAAAATGAAGTAAAATAGACCGAATGGCCTCAGAGAGGATGACCAACTAACTCTCCAAACTCACTCAGGACTGGAGTTTCTCTAGACATGTGCCTTTCAATGCTTAAAGCAGTTACAAACACACCAGGATGGTTGGTCACTTTCCTCTGTGGACAAGTCTTGGACCAGAATTTAAGTCAATTAGATTTGAAAATTAACATTCTTTAATGTTTAGGGAGAGTCAGGTGACTATTTTCCCTGAAGAATCATATTGTGTTGACACCCAGTTACATCCTCCTTCACATTGAGTGTTAACATCATTCTCACGGCTGTATCTAAATTAGCTTTCTTAGGGCACTGGCCAGGTGTAGCCTCTCAGAATGCTCTCAGCTGGAAAATGGAGGGCACTTCCAATTCCTTCGACCCATCTTTCTGTAATCATTTCAAATTTCCATTTTCCCTAGGGTATTATGTTAAATTTCATTCTCATGAGAGCTCTTGGAAAAAGCTCTGACTAAAAACTTTCCCACCAATAGCTTGCCCCCAAAGACTATGCAGTTGGAAACTGAAACTCACTTTTGAAAGACAAAACAAAAGCATCCTTGCAAATGGATGGCAGACTGGACGCATGCCCTGTTTCTGTCCCCAGGTATTCTCCTCTTCCAGCAACACGTATGATATCCAGAGATCACAAAATAAAATGTGAATGTTTTCACTAGATCAAATAAATGAGGCACAAAATAGCATAAGAACTTATTCATTACACAAATTGTATTAGTAAATTAGAGGCAGAATTGGAAAAAACATGTGTTTACCCACATTCCAGAAATATCTTGACTCTCTCTATGCCTAAACCAACTGGGGAAAATTAGTAGAAACATTATATAAAAACAAAATACAAAACAGTAAATTTATTGTCTCTCGAAATTAAAATAAACACAGAAAGAAACATTACGGTTTCAATTTTATCAGCATTAACAACACAATTTAGCTTGAAAACACTAATAGGAAGAAAAGAGGATTGTGATATTATTACTACATAAAGAGCCAAATATTTACTTTCATGGTTCTTAGTCTTTTAACCTTCTTACCTGTTACTAAATACATGATGCTCTGAAATTTGTTTTGGCATTACTAAAGAATATCCATTGTGTAGAATTGCAAACACTGCTGGTAGTCTTGACATTTAAGGAGCAGGTGGTCTGACGAAATGCTCCAGCATTCTATAACCTAACAATTTGGATTCCATACCTGAACAAACAGGGAAAGAGTAGGTTAAATTTCCTGACCCCTGAAGTTTTCCAAAGGGCAAATTTAATAACTGCATTCCCAGTTGGTGATTGGGAGGTGGGAGAGAAGAGGGTTGAGGAAGCTCTTGGAGGATTAAAAAGCTACTGTGACAGCTGCCCACAACACACTATGCTGGTGAGAAGCAGGATGAAGAGCAATCACCCCAGAGAATTAAGTGGCTGCAGTGGTGCTGCCAGAACTTGGCTGAGAAATAACGCTTCCACAATCTTAGAAATAAGTGCTGAAATTTGCCAACTGATCTTCCTCTTTTAGGAGAATCAAGGTTATAAAAACAGAGCAATGCATTTGATTAATACAATTAATACATGCTTTTTGCTAGACAGAACAATAATGTTTAAACACACCAAACTAAGCTTCTTTACTGAAGCACAAAATGATATGATCTAACTGATAAACTCAAGGTTCAAACCCTAAGGACATCACTGCACTTGACAAGACTGTGTATTATTATAGAACTAATGACCATTCTCTCCAGGACCAATGCATCTGTGTCATTGTCCCTTGCAATTTAATAGTTAATATGTGTTAGTGTACTATGTTGCAGGCAGTGTTTTGACTAATTTAAGCCTCATAACAATGAAAGGAGGTCGGGGTACTATAATTGTTACCATTTAACAGATAAAGAATCAAAGTTACACAGATATTAGATACATCACCCAAAGTTACCTCTCTAGTGACTAACAGAGCTGAACTTAAACCCAAGAAGTCTGGCCTGGATGTCCACACCCCTAAACCACTATAATATATTGTTTTCCTGGTAAGAAATAACTCGGTCTTACTCAAAGCTTGTGACAAACATATTAAGCTTTTAGAAAATGTTGTAAATGTTTCTTTATACTTCTCATCTCATCTGATTGCCTTTCAATCAGTCAATGCCCAGGCCACTTAGGATGGGCACCAGGAAGCCCTTCTCCCCTCGTCAAATTTTTCTCTTCCTTTTCTACTCCATGGCTCCCCTTGCACCATCCCCCGCTGCCCTTGGTGGCTGAAGCTCAAGCAGCTGCTTGCACCTCATTCCAAGTCCAGGGGTTCTTACTCGAGTCCCCATGCTGGGAGTGTGGAAGTGAGCCTCCCTTTCTTCAGAGTAAAGCATCTACAAGACAAACTTCTATTTTGACTCTGTTAATTGCCTCTCATCACTGAAGTGTTATTTTGAAGTGTTATCATGTTGAAGACTCTTCCCGCCAGATACCAGTGAAGAGGAAAAAAAAAAAACAAAATGAGGACGAAGAAATAAAGAATTCTAACCCATAAAACACACAAAACTGTACATACAATTTCAGCAGGCTTGTAGACTCCTTGAAACCCCTGCCATAGGGCAATACTGAGCAAAAGACAACTTTTTAACTGAAAAAAAAAACTTTTGTTTATTCTTGAAAGGATGTCGCCCATTTGGTAACAGTTGGGGGAAAAAGCAATTTTGTTCAACTGTATCTCAAAAGTGCCTCCCAAGAGAAGATATGTGGACATGGGACCTGTCAGGGAAACACTGAGTATGTCCTCCTGCATAGACCTTAGCAGGTGAAGATGACAAACAGATTCCTTAAGAATCCACCCTGCTGTCTGCATGGCCTGAATCACACTAGTATAGGAGAAAGAACACTGACCCATGTTACCAGACTTAATTGTTAGTCTCTGCTTTTCTAGTATGTTGCTCTGGTATCTTGAATAGTTAATTCCCTTCTGTTCCTCTCAGTTTTTTCATCTGTAAAATGAAGTCTTCAGCTTAATAATCCTTAAAGTCCCTGTGATCATTTACTGTTGGATCTGATGTTGAGAGAATCGATGAGAGGAGCTTGAAAGACTCCTTGGAGTTGGTCCTTGGACCAGATAATCCTTAGACTAAACCTCTACCTGCAGGAGAAACAAACCCCTGCCAACAAGAAACTCAACAAAAACAATCACCAGTTTTTGTATGTACTCCCTTGAATGTACCAGGCAAGATGCCAGGTGTGCACTTTAAACAAAGGACATAGAAAAGGTGGGGGACTATCCCCATCTGTCCCCAAACCCTCTCTTGACTGCAGTTAACAAGCAGACTAAGTTTTGCTTGGCTTCAATACACACTGGAACCAGGAATTAATCAGATACCAGGCCCTGACACAACACTGAGGGTGCTCTGCTTCCAGGGACTGCATGTTCCTGCCACCTTCCTAGACTCAACCAGATGCATTGAACGTTGCCTTTTTTGTCTGCAAAAACAAACAAGTGGTGTGTCCTTAGAGGGAAATGTACTAGTCCACATCTCACAGCACCAAGGTCAGGACTAGGATGAGACAAACAGGTGACTAGGGCACAAAATTTAAGGAGGCAAGATCATGCAAATGTTGACGCTGCCCTTGTAGAACCCTGAAAGTCAGTGCCTCCTTAAATTCTATGCCCTGAGCTCCTAACTCCAGATCATGCCAGTGCAGATTCCAAACTTGCATGACCTTGCCTCCTTAAATTTTGTGCCCTGGGCACCTTGCTTGTCCCATCCTGAACCAGACCCTAGTGCTGTGTGATGTGAACGAGTACATCTCCCTCTAAGAACACCACTGTTTGTTTATTTTTGCAGACAAGGATGGCAACATTCAATGTACCTAGTTGAGTAAGGAGGATGGCAAGAATGCTCAGTCCCTGGAAGCTGAACACCTCATTATAGTACCAGAGCCTGGCATCTGCATAATTCCTGGTTCTTATTTGTACTGAAGACCAAATGAAACTCACCAAGGCCCAGTCCTGCATTGTGCACTGGGTTGCACATACTCAATAAGAATTTGTAGACTTGCATTTTCTCTTCAACTTTTTATTCCTCTTGATGATCACTTTAACCAACTGCTCAAGAAAATTTTAAAAACAAGTGGAGCTCAACTCAAATTTATTTTTCCAACCTTAAAATATCAATTATTTAATTTTAATGTGCATAAAAATCACCTGTGGGATGTCTCAAAAATCCATATTCCACCTGTTACCGTATGAGGGCTTCCATAATGAAGTACCATATACTGGGTGTCTTAAACAACAGAAATTAACTTTCTCACAGTTCCAGAGGCTATATGTCCAAGATCAAAGTATCTGCAGGTTTGATTTCTTCTGAGGCTTCTCTCCATGGCTTATAAATGGCTGTCTTCTTCCTCTTCCTTCACGAGATCTTTCTATGCATCCGTGTTCCTGATCTCCTCTTCTTAGGACACCAACCATATTGGATTAGGGCCCACCCTAAAGGTCTCATTTTAACTTACTCACCTCTTTAAAAGCCCTATCTCCAAACAGTCACATTGTCAGGTACTGTAAGGCCTTCAACGTATGAATTTTGAGAAGACACAATTCAGCCCACACCACCTCCTCACTCTAGCCCCTACATTTTGATCCCATAAATCTTAATTGGGGCCAGAGACCTTTTATGGGTTTCTTTCTGTTTTATTTTGTTTTGCTTCGGTTTTCATAAACACCTCCGTGATTCTAACAACATAAAATATACTTTGAAAGGAACACTACGTTAGGCTCCTTTCTCCTGAATTCCCAAGAATTCCCTCAGGGAACTCTCCCCACTTCCCTTCCTAACTTATTTTCATGAGCCACTCATAGTTTCTCCACCAGTTTGTAAGCTTGGGGTTATTTGTCCTCTTCTTAATAGTTTTGGTCTATATCCAATGTATTTAACCACTTTTCAGAGGTACACATGAGTTAATGAAACCAAATTTCATCAAGAAAAAACATAATTTGTCTTTGAGTTTGCATCTCAGTGGCTGAGAAACAGAATCAGAGTAAAAAAATCTTTAACAAAACATGAGAAACCAAGTTCCCATTCCATCTTCAGGAGCAGCCATTTTTCTGTGAACATAGGAAGCACTGTAGATCTTTTAAAGAAAAGCTACTAGCAAAGTTGATGTTAGCACAGAAATCTTCATGGAATTAAGCACAGTCCCTGCCTTGGAGGCCTCCAGACAATGCTGACCCCTTAGGGCTCCCATGGGAACACCTAAGGAATACAACGTACTTGACTCGCAGCTACAGTCAACTAAACCAATGATAGCACACCACCAGCAATGAAATACACGCCAGTTCCAGCCAGATGTATCTGTCCTTTCTCAGTTTCAGCATACATTGACCACAAGAATTTCAAAAGAATACTTTTCTAAGAGATTCCACTGATCCTGTGCTTCCAGTTTGGCTGCAAACTGCTAGAGCAGCATTTTTTTTCCAGCTGGCAATAACCCAAAGCAAAAAGCAAAACACCCAACCCACAGGCATATTTACCACTTGAAGTTTTTGAACAGAAGCCTGTGAATTAATCAAGATCTTAAAGGCACTTTTCAATTTGTCTTTTAATAACATGATAGAATCTAGAAACGTTATATTTCCTTCCCTCTCAAGCATAGCATTCCACCCTACAACATGGTTTACTCAATGAAAGCATTTTATATGAAATTCCAAAAATATAGAAATAAGATTTATAATTTCACACTTAGTTTGTTTTGATCAGATTTTTTAAATGTTTACAATGTTTTGATAAGGAAAATCAGAAGCAAAACCAAAAACTATTTCTGATTTAAAAACCTGAAATATTAAGATGTGTCATGTGATAAAATTTAATGCATGTATGAAGAGGTTTTCTGAAAGAGGTTTTATTTTCCCAATTCAATCAATGTTTGTCCAAGATAAGGACAGAAACAGCATTTCAAGGATGTTCTCAAAGATATACTAAAAAAGATGCAAAGACTCCAACTTACAGGCTGCCACTGACAGAGTTAGCTCAATTGAAAAAGTAATCTACTTCAAGAATATCAATATTTTATAAATCCAAGACAATAGCAAAAGACACAAATGTACCTTCAGTAGAAGTAGTGTGACCATGAACCAACTAATAACTCAAGGTTACCCTTTCTGCCAAGGATATGTGTCCAATCCGTAATAATTTGCCAGTCCCCAAATTGTCTCATCAGTCATCTCCAATTATAAATGTATCCAGGGAACTAGTCTGAAAAATAGTAATGCCCTTTTTTCCTTTCTCTTCCTCATCCTTCTTCCTTTAAATGCAGTGTGGGGATGTGATGAGCAGCACAGCGGCGACAGTGGTAACCATCAAGAGAAATGCATGATCAGCAAGATGGCTGACTAGAGGTGCCTAACACTAGTTTCCCCTCAACATAAAAAGGACCAAAATAACAAATAAACAACTAGATATAGACTAGAGCATCTAAAAGAGAGTGCTGGAATACCAGGGAGTAGAGGGAGCCCTGTGGAGCATAATGAAAACTCAGGATGTCAGCATAGAGAAGAGAACGAAGCATGCTGCTTCCATCACATCTTCTCCCCAGTTGAGACTGGTTTGGAGCCAAAACGTGCATTTTTTTTTTTACAGGAAAAAAGATAAGGAGGGGATCCTGAACAGCCTTCATTACCACCATGGATACCTGCAGTCTTTGCTACTGGAGAGTCTCACAGTGCTCACAGACCCTGAGCCCTGTCTAGGGAGATGCCTCAAGTTCATATGGCCTCACTGCTTCAGAGAAGAATCCCATGTTATGCCTTTCCCAACACCCACAACCCAAGCTTCTAAGGCACAGCACCATCTTGAAACTGTAGCCACTGCTATCTGCTAGAGTAAGCACTGCATCTCTACCATCATTTCACCAAATGGAACAATTGCGACCCCAGTGCAAAAGATCACTGCTCCCCTGCCCTCAAGTAACAAGCAGTCCTGCATGCAGAGAAGCAAAGCCCAAGTCAGTGCACCCACAGTATACACTCTCTTGGTATGGGAACCAATCCAATGCCGCACCCCCAGGAAGGCTACCCCTAAGCCAGTGGACCCACTGAGTTCATCCCTTCAGCTTAGGAACCAGCCCAGTGTCCCAACCCCAGCAAGGCCACCACAAATGCCCCTTAGCTTGAGAAACAACCTGATGCCTTTCCCCTGGTGAGGTCACTCCCAAACCAGCAGACCCAGTGCACACACCCCTTGACTTCAGCACCAGCTGGCCTTCTTCCCCCAATAAAGCCATGCCACCACCACCACAAACCCACAAACTCCTGCAGTCTAGGCCACTGAGGCACTCACAGGCATTGCTAATGTTGATTATTGCTGAAAAAGACTTCACATTTACTACATAACTGCATCATTAAAAAAACAAAAACCACGCACAATACCCAACCACCACCCAAGAACTCATCTGCAAGAGAAGTCTTTCCCTATGAAAGCTACTCCATAAAATTGGAAAAGGTGAATGTTCTTGACACCACAAAAGGAACTCAATAATTCTCGAATAACTGGCCCCCAAAGAAAAGGAAATTTCCAAAATGCCTGAAATGGAATTCAAAACAATAATCCTAAGGAAATTTAGTGAGATACAAGAGACTATAGGTAGACAATTCAATAAAATTAGAACAATTCATGATATGAATGAGAAAATCAACAAAGAGATGGATTTTTTTAAAAAAAGAACCAAGTAGAATCTCAGAGCTAATAAATTCAATAAATGAAATTTAATATACAACTGAGGGTTTCAACAAACTAGATCAAGCAGAAGTAAGCATTTCTGAACCTAATGACAGGTTTTTTTTTTAAATAACCCAGTCAGATTTAAAAAAAGAAGAATTAAAAAGAATGAAGAAAGCCCATGATACTTACAGGCCAACGTTAAGTGAACAAATGTTTGCATTATGAGGGTTCAGAAGGATAAGAGATGGAGAAAGTTATAGAAAACTTATTTAACAAAATATAGCTGAACACTTTCCAAGTCTTGGGAAAGATATGGGAAGTTCAGATCTAGGAAGTTCAGAAGTTCTCAAATAGATTTCACCCAAAAATATCCTCTCTGAGGCACATCGTAATCAAATCAAAAGTCAAAGTCAGAGAATTATAAAAGCAGAAAGAGAAAAGTGTTAAGTTACATATGAGACAGTTCCCACTAGACTGAGCAGATTTCTCAGCAGAAACCTTGCAGGCCAGGAGAGAATGGGATGATATAGTCAAAATGCTAAAAGACATAAAAACTACCAATCAAAAATACCATACCCTGCAAAACTATCCTTCAGAAATGAAGGAGAAATAAAGTCTTTCCCAAACAAGCAAAATGTGGAAGAATTTATCACCACTAGACAAGCCTTACAAAAAATGCTTAAGGAAGTGTTTCAACAGGAAACAAAAGGAAAGTCATTACTATCAGTGTACTGTAGCGATGGTATGAAAATGTTTCAAATATCTAGTATGAAGGTTGAAAGCCAAAATGGCCAAAAGTAACTATAGCTACAATAAGTTGTTAGGGAACCCACAATACGAAAACATGTAAATTAAGGCAACAAAAATATAAATTGTAGGTGGAGGATAAAAATCTAGTGTATATATGCAACCAAAGTTAAGTTGTTATCAGCTTAAAATAGTATAACTACAAGATTCCTTATGTTAGCCCCATGGTAACCACAGAGAAAAAAAATATAGCAGATGCAAGAGACAGAAGGAGAAAGGAATCAAAGCTTATCAGTAGAGAAAACCACCAAATCAGAAATATAAGCAATAAGAAAGAAAGAAGCAAATAATCTACAAAACAATCAGAAAACAGTTAACAAAATGGCAGGAACAAGTCCATTTAATAAACTTGAATGTAAATGGATTAAATTCTCCAATTAAAATGCACAGCAAAAGAAACAATCATCAGAGTGAACAGAAAACCTAGAGAATGGGTCAAAATTCTTGCAGTCTATCCATTTGACAAAGGTCTAATATCCAGAATCTCAAGGAGCTTAAATTTACAGGAAAAAAACAACCTCATTAAAAAGTAGGCAAAGGACATGAACAGACACTTCTCAAAAGAGGATGTACATGCAGCCAACAAACATATGAAAAAAAAGCTCAACATCACTGATCATTAGAGAAATGCAAATCAAAACCACAATGAAATACCATCTCATGCCAATCAGAATGGCTACTAGTAAAAAGTCAAAAAAACAACAGATGTTGGTGAGGTTGTGGAGAAAAAAGAACACTTTTACACTGTTGGTAGGAGTGTAAATTAGTTCAACCATTGTGGCAATTTCTCAAAGACCTAGAAACAGAAATACCATTTGACCAAGCAATCCCATTATTGGGTACATACCCAAAGGAATATAAATCATTCTATTATAAAGATACATGCATGCATATGTTCATTGCAGCACTATAGCAAAGTCATGGAATCAACCTAAATGCCCATCAATGATAGACTGGATAAAGAAAATGTGGTACATACACACGATGGAATACTATGCAGCCATAAGATGAGAGCATGTCCTTTGCAGGGACATGGATGGAGATGGAAGCCATTATCCTCAGCAAACTAATGCAGGAACAGAAAACCGACCACCACATGTTCTCACTTGCAAATGGGAGTTAATTTATGAGAACACATGGACACGTGGGGAGGAACAACACACACTGGGCACCTGTTCGGGGGGAAGGAGGGAGAGCATCAAGAAGATTAGCTAATGAATGCTGGGTTTAATACCTGGGTGACAGGATGATCTGTGCAGTAAACCACCATGGCACACATTTACCTATTAACAAACCTGTACATTCTGCACATGTACCCCTGAACTTAAAATAAAAGTTGAAAAAAAAAAGAGGAGAGAGTAATGGAATAGTTTTTTTTTTAAGACCCTACTATATACTGCCTATGTGAAACTCATTTTACCTATAAGGATGCACAAAGACTGAAAGTGAAGTGATAGAAAAAGATATTCCACACAAATGGAAACCAAAAAAACCCCAAAGTAGCTATACATCTATGAAATAAGTAGACTAACTCAGAAACTGGAAAAAGAAACAAAGACTGTCATTTCAGCTGAAAGATCTATTCAGCAGAAGGATATAACAATCATAAATATATATGAACCCAACACTGGAGCACCCAAATATAAAAAGCAAACATTATTAGATTTAAAGGGAAATATAGACTATAATATGTAATAGTAGCAGCCAGGCACAGTGGCTCATGCCTGTAATTGCAGCACTTTGGGAGGCCAAGGCTGTGGATCACCCCAGGTCAGGATTTCAAGATAAACCTGGCCAACATGGCAAACGCCTTCTCTACTAAAAATATAAAAATTAGAATTGGTAGTATTCCATATAAATATATATATCCATATATATACACACACACATACATATCCATATATACATAGATATACAAATATATACATATATATACCTATATACATATATATTCATATATCCATATATAGATATATACATATATCCATAAATATCCATATATCCATATATAGATGTATATCCATATATATCCATATATCCACATATGGATATATATATATATCTCCATATATACATATACAGATATATATACATATATATCCATATATACATATATCCATATATATCCATATATACATATATATATCCATATATATCCATATATACATATATATTTATGTAATTTCTCAACCTAATCTCCAAGTTCAAGATACTTTTGTATGATACTAGGCATTTAATCGATTCCTAAACAACTGAGGGTCTTGGGAATTTAACCATGTCAATGCAGCCTTTTTTTATATTATTAACTGAAGAAACTGGGTTCCCTTTAAAGTTTTTTAAAATTAGAAAATAGAAAGAAGTCAGAAGAAACCAAGTCAGGACTGTAAGGTGGATGCCCCTGTTTGATGAGAGGAATGAGCAGGTGCATTGTCATGGTGGAGAACGTCTTGCTGGTGAAGCTTTCCCAGGTGTTCTTCTGCTAAAGCTTTGGCCAAGTTTTAAAAACACTCTCACAATAAGCAGATATTATTATTTTGCCCTTGAGAACATCAATAAGAAAAATGCATTGAGCATCCCTCAGAATTGTTGCCATGACCTTTGCACTTGATCAGTCTGCTTTAGCTTTGAGTGGACCACTTCCACCTCTTGATAGCCATGGCTTTGATTATGCTTTGGATCATATGGGTAAACCATGCCCTATCTCCTGCTGTAATTTTTTGAAGAAATCCTTCAGGATCTTGATCTTACTCGTTTAAAATTTCCACTGAAAGATCTGTTCTGAGATGGTATCTCATTGTGGTTTTGCTTTGCATTTCTCTGATGGCCAGTGATGATGAGCATTTTTTCATGTGTTTTTTGGCTGCATAAATGTCTTCTTTTGAGAAGTGTCTGTTCATGTCCTTTGCCCACTTTTTGATGGGGTTGTTTTTTTCTTGTAAATTTCTTTGAGTTCATTGTAGATTCTGGATATTAGCCCTTTGTCAGATGAGTAGGTTGTGAAAATTTTCTCCCAGTTAGAATGGCAATCATTAAAAAGTCAGGAAACAACAGGTGCTGGAGAGGATGTGGAGAAATAGGAACACTTTTACACTGTTGGTGGGACTGTAAACTAGTTCAACCATTGTGGAAGTCAGTGTGGCGATTCCTCAGGGATCTAGAACTAGAAATACCATTTGACCCAGCCATCCCATTACTGGGTATATACCCAAAGGACTATAAATCATGCTGCTATAAAGACACATGCACACGTATGTTTATTGCGGCACTATTCACAATAGCAAAGACCTGGAACCAACCCAAATGTCCAACAATGATAGACTGGATTAAGAAAATGTGGCACATATACACCACGGAATACTATGCGCCATAAAAAATGATGAGTTCATGTCCTTTGTAGGGACATGGATGAAATCAGAAATCATCATTCTCAGTAAACTATCGCAAGAACAAAAAACCAAACACAGCATATTCTCACTCATAGGTGGGAATTGAACAATGAGAACACATGGACACAGGAAGGGGAACATCACACTCTGGGGCCTGTTGTGGGATGGGGGGAGGGGGGAGGGATAGCATTGGGAGATATACCTAATGCTAGATGACAAGTTAGTGGGTGCAGCGCACCAGCATGGCACATGTATACATATGTAACTAACCTGCACATTGTGCACATGTACCCTAAAACTTAAAGTATAATAATAATAAAAAAAAGAAAGAAAGATCTGTTCTGTCTGCAGCTGATCTGGGCACAACAGTTGTGCTCTCATCAAGTGGAAAGTGTGATCAACTTCAATGTTTCAGCCAGAATTGTGTAAATTAAATGAATTGAGATGTCTGTGATGTTGGCTATTGTTTCTGCTGTTAACCGTCAGTCCTTTTCATCCAGGGCATAAACAAGATGAATTATTTTCCCAAAAATTGATGTGGCTGGTCTGCCGCTTCAGGCTTCGTCTTCAACATTGTCTCATCCCTTCTTAAAGTAAGTTATCCATTTGTAAACTGCTGATTTCTTTGGGACATTGTCCCTATAAATTTTTCATAAAGCGTCAGTGATTTTACCACCCTTCTAAGCTTTATTATAAATCTGATGTTTAGCAAAACTCATGTTGCTCTAATAGGGGTTCTTTTAAAATTGATAGCTTATCTTTCTTAGTGCCTCAAACTAGATTGTGTTCAAATATGTTATAAGTTAGTGTGAGTTTATTTAGGTGCCAAAAAATTGAAATCCATGAATAATTTATCATAATACTTATTTTGCATGAACTTTTTGAAGCCCCCCTCATAAGAGATGAACCCACCACTAGTATCATACTAAATAGTGAAAAATTGAAAGCCTTTCCACTAGGATCAGGAATAAGAGAAAGATACCCACTTTTACGAGTTTTATTCAACATAGTTCTGGAGGTTCTAGCCAGAGCAAGTGGGCAGAAGAAAGAAATAAAGGGCATTTAAATTGGAAAAGAAGAAGTCAAATTATCCTAGTTGTAGATAACATGATTTTTACATAGAGAAAACTTAAGGATTCCACAAAAATCTTTTAGAACTGATATGTCAACTTAGTAAACTTGCAGGATACAAAATCACCTACAAAAATCAGTAGCATTTCTCTACACTAACAATGATCCACCTTAAAAAGCAATCAAGAAAGCAATTCTTTTTTACAATAGCTACCCCCAACAAAAAAATCCCTAGGGATAAATGTAAACAAAGAGGTGAAAGATCTCTACAGAAAAAAAAAAAAAAAAAAAAAGTTAAAAAAAAAAATTGTTGAAAGAATTTGAAGAGGGGCCAGGCACGGTGGTTTATGCCTGTAATCCCAGAACCCTGGGAGGCCAAGATGGGCAGATGGCTTGCACTCAGGAGTTTGAGACTAGCCTGGGCAACATAGTGAAACCCCGTCTTTACTAAAAATACAAAAATAAACTGGTGTGGTGGTGTGCACCTGTAATCCCAGCTACTCAGGAGACTCGGGTACAAGAATCTCAACAGAAGCATATCTCATGTTCAAGAATTTGAAGAATTAATGTCATTAAAATGTCCATACTACCCAAAGTGATCTACAGATTCAATGTAATCCCTATGAAAATACCAATGACATTCTTCACAGAAATAAAAAGAATAATTCTAAAACTTATATAAAACCACAAAAGACCCTAAAGCAATGCTGAGCAAAAAGAATAGAGCTGGAGGCATCACACTACCTGACTTTATACTACAAAGTTATAGTAAGCAAAACAGCACGATAGTAGCATAAAAACAGACATATACGTCAATGGAACAGAAGGGAGAACCCAAAAATAAATCCATGAATTTACAGCCAATACATTTTTTACAAAGCTGCCAAGAAGATACATTGGGAAAAGAATTGCCTCTTGAATAAATGGTGCGGGGTAAGCTGGATATCCATATACAGAAGAAAGAACCCAGACCTCTATCTCTCACCACATACAAAAATCAACCCAAAATGAACTAAATACTTAAGTGTAAGGCTGTAAACTATAATATGAAACTACTGGAAGAAAGCATTGGGGAAATGCTACAAGACATTGGTCTAGGCAAAGATTTTTTTGGGGTAGGACCTCAAAAGCACAGTCATCAAAAGCAAAAATAGACAAATAAGATTACATTAGGATAAAAAGTTTCTGTACCGCAAAGAAAACAATCAACAAAGTGTAGAGGCAACCTACAGAATGGGAGAAAATATTCGCAGGGAGAAACTACATGACAGGGAATCAATAACCAGAATATATAAGGAACTCAAACAACTCAATAGCAAAACACAAATAATCTGAGTTTTAAATGGGCAAAAGACTGAAATCAACAGTTCTCAAAAGAAGACATACAAATGGCCAACAGGTATATGAAAAATGCTCAACATCACTAATCAGCAGATAAATGCAAATCAAACCACAATGGGGTATCATCTCACCCCAGTTGAAATGGCTATTATCAAAGGACAAAAGATAACAAGTGTTGGGGAAAAAATAGAAAAAAAGGATCCCTTATAAACTATTGGAGAAATGTAAATTAGCATAGTCATTGTAGAAAACAGTATGGAGTTTTTCAAAAATTAAAAATACAAATACTGTATGATCCAGCAGCCCCACTACTTGGTATATACCCAGAGGAAAGGAAATCCATGTATCAGAGACATATCTGCACTCTCGTGTTTATAACAGCACCATTCACAATAGCCAAGATAGGGTTTAACCTAAGTGTCCAACAATGGTGAATGGATAAAGAAAATGTAGTGTACATACACAATGGAATACTATCCAGCCATTAAAAAGAATGAAATCCTGACATGTGACAACTTTAATGAACCTGGAGGACATTATAGTAAGTGAAATAAGCCAGGTCCAGAAAGACAAATACCTCATGATCTCACTCACATGTGGAATATCAAAAAGCTTACTTCATCCAAGGAGAGAGTAGAACAGCGGTTACCAGAGACCTGCGAAAGTAGGAGGGAGGAGGGGATACGGAGAGGTTGGTCAACAGGTACAAAGTTACAGTTAGGAGGAGTAAATGCTGGTTTCTACTGCACAGTAGAATGAGTAAAGTTAACAATAATGTATATTTCAAAATAGCCAGAGAGGTAATTTTGAATATTTTCACTGATATGGGTTGGCTGTGTCCCCACCAAAATCTCAACTTGAATTGTATCTCCCAGAATTCCCACGTTTTGGGAGAAACCCAGGGGGAAGTAATTGAATCTTCCCCGAGCCATTCTCATGATAGTGAGTAAGTCTCATGAGAGCTGATGGGTTTATCAGGAGTTTCCGCTTTTGCTTCTTCCTCATTTTCTCTTGCTGCCGCCATGTAGGCAGAGCCTTTCACCTTCTGCCATGATTGTGAGGCCTCCACAGCCACATGGAACTGTAAGTCCGATTAAACCCCTTTCTTTAGTAAATTGCCCAGTCTCAGTATGACTTTATCAGCAGCATAAAAAAAGGACTAATACACTCACCGCAAAGAAATGAGAAATGTTTGAGGTGAAAGGTATGCTAATTACCTTGATTTGATCATTACACAATGTAACATGTATTGAAACATAACATTGTACCTCATAAATATGTGCAATCATGTGTCGATTAAAATTTTAAAAAGAGAAATATGCACAAGATGAAAAGCTATCACTTTAATCCTGGTGGAGCCAACGGATAGATAAAACGTGGACCCTTGACATACCACTGGGCTGATCAACAGAGCTGAGAACCTCCTGTCTCCAGACTTCTGGTTCATTAGTTAATGAATGCCTTGTGATTTAAGCCAGTGGTGCTCAAAGTGAGACACCTAGACAAGCAGCAGCATGGCCATGGAACTTGTCAGAAATGCAAATCCTTGGGCACCACCCTAGACTAAATGAAAAACCCTGGGGGTGAGGCCCAGCAACCTGTTCTTTAACAAGTCCTCCAGGTGATGCTGATGCAAGCTAAACTTTGAGAACCTCTAATTTAAGCCATCGGTAGTTGTGTTTTGGTTATTTTTGACTGAAAGGGTTCCTGACTAACATGAGCAATTGTGTCAGATCTCAGTAAGTGTGTCTTCTCTATTATTTATTACACAGGATTTTTCTTCTAACAATCCCTATTGCTCTGTTGATGGCAGCAGCAGGCCATTCAAAGCGGCTGCTGCCATGGCACCTGCTGCGGTGGGGTGTGGGCCCTGGCCACCGGTCCTCAGGTGCTGACGCTGAGGCAAACGGTGTCTGGGGCTTGCCACCTGGGAGCTGCTGCAGTGGGGCCAGACAGGGCCAGGCCACCCTCCAGCAAGGGAATGGCATAGTCAGGCATGGAGGGGTCCCAAGGTGAAGATGGGCCCAGGGTAGTGCTGCCCTTGCACATGGAGCACAGGGACTGGGCCCAGAACATGGAGTGGTGGCCACACTTCAGGGGCCTGGGACAGGAAGCAGGAGTGGCACCCATTTCCCAGACCCAGCCAGCCAAGCAGCTGCTGCGCCCACCCTGCCCACGGTACCAGGGTCCTGTGCCTCAGCAGGAGGCTCAATGCGGGGCTGCCTGAGGCCGTGTCCATAGGATCCACCCCACGTCAGGGTGACTGCAGAGCCTGGCACTCCCACAGCCAGGCTGGGGCCCGCAAGCTGCTCCCAGAGGCTACCCCCAGCAGGATTGTGAGCTGGATTGGGGGGGGGGGGCACCCCTGAGCACCAGGGTGTAGGAGGAACTTGCGGCAATGTCACCCCTGCCTCAGTCGCCAGCCCAGCCAGGCAAGGGGCTGGAGCCCTGCCCCAGCTGCAAGGAGGCAAACAGGGCAGCAGAAGCGGCTGTGGGAGTAGCAGTGGCTGCAGTGCGTCCCCTGTGCCCCATGTCCCCAAGGCAGCTGATTGTGCTACCCCCACCCTCGAACAGCCTAGCAAGACCCACTCCCAGGCCCAGAGCCTCCTCTGCAGGCTCAACCTCACTCCTTGTCGTGTCGCAGGAGCCCATGAGCACCCGGCCAAAGGCACAGCCAGGACTTCCAGGACCAGTCCCAGGAGCCTCAAGTTCATTTGTGCAAGGTTGGCTTGGACCACCATGCCACCCCCACCTCAACCACTGCCACTTCAGGGAGATGCAGAAAAGGGGCATGGCCAGGGCTGTGTACTCTGCAGAGCTGGGGACAGGCAGGAGCCTCAACCCACCCTTCCCCAACCCATTGGCAGGGTTGGAGCTCCCCAGGAGCAACTGTAGCCACCCAGCTCACGGCTGTGGGCCTAGGCCTCCCAGTCCTCTTGGGGCAGGAGGGCCCCCTCCATAACCGCAGACTCGGGGGTGTCTGTTCCCGCTGCCTGGCCTCTCCCCACTCCCAGCACCTGCTCCGATCTTGAAGCAGAGTTGGGGCACTGTTGCAGCCCAGCTGGGTATGTGCAGGCTCAGGGAAGTGCTGACATGCTGGTCCCATGCCACCTCAGCCCCTCTGGACTTTGGGCACCAATGGAGGGAGGCCAAGATGGGGCTCGAGAGCAGCTCAGAACTGGCCTGCAGCAGCCCCTTGGCTCCAGCAGCCTGGATGCCATGGGTAGGAGGATGCACACAGGCTCTTGGGTGGGAAGGGGTGGGTCCCCAGTGAGGCCCCACCTTCAGGCCAGGGAGGGCCTGAAGGCTGGGGCTCAGGCTTCTAGTCCCACAGACCAGAGTGGGGACTTGTGGTGCCTTTTCCTACCTGCCTATAACTGCCCATGGACCAACTGGCACTCACTTCCACCACTCTGAGGCCCATAAAAGCCCCATGCTCAGCCAGCACAGAGCAGAGGATGGAGAGATGTCAAGCTGCAGAGAGAAGCTACCCTCTCCAGTGCCCCTCTCTGCTGCCAGCAGCAGATGTCGGGATGACCAATGGCAGAGAGGAGCCATCCACTCCAGGCCTCCTCTCTGCTGTCAGCTGCAGAGACGATGCAATGACCTGCCTCGAGAGACAAGCCACCCACTCCAGGGCCTCCTCTCTGCTGAGAGCTGAACTCTCAATGGGACAATCTGCCTACAGGGAAGAGATACCCACTGCAGGTCTCTTCTGAGCCGTTCCAATACTCAATAAAGCTCTTCATGTTGCTCACCTTCCACTTGTCTGTGTACCTCATTCTTCCTAGATGCAGAACAAGAATTTGGGCAAAGGCACCATGGCCACAGAGGTTTCCAGCCAGAAAAATGACACCCCAAAAATCCAGTAACACTGTCACAAGGTTACAGTTTACTTACAGTGCACATAAATATTCAGAGAAAATCATCATTTCTTTACTAAATGTTCTATATTTTTTGCCAATTTCTACCTTGCTAAATGGTGTGTGTGTGTGTATCATGTACACACGTTTGTGTGCATCAGAACAATTAGTCAATATTCTTATCTTTGCAGGTTGAAATAATCTCTTTTTAGTGTAGTCTACTCAAAGTCAAATTCTTACTAAAGCTGATTTATTGTTGTTTGGCCTTCTCAGCCTCTTTAGTTGCAGTGCTTAGTCTCTCTCAGCACTCCTCTCCTAGTGGGGGGTGGCCCATGCAATTTTTTGGCAATGGGATGGAAGCATCCCAGATCCATATTATCTTCTGGCTCCAATGATCTCTGGGCCAATGTCCCCTGCCTACCTGGTCATGCTCCTAGTGATGGCACTGATGGCTGGATTTGGTGGTTGGTGTAACAAAAACTTTTGTTCCTCCTTTGTCCAGTCCCTTCTGGAACTTTCTGTCTGCCTGACTACCCTGAGATCTGTGGTCTTTGCAATTCCTTGGAGTCTTGGGTCTGGAATCCCTTGTCAGTGCCACGCCCTCCACACAGTGTCTGGCCTTGCTTGTAGCATCACATCATCCCACCCCAACAAGTTGAATGGTTCTAAGTCCCCAGTGAAGGCCTACAAGAAATTTTGAGTCCTGTTCATGCCATGAATGATTCCGGAAAGCAAAACTCAATCCTAACCTTGATCTGAAGCATAAAATTCACTTTGCTAGTCTATCCCATGTTGGTAAAGAAGAAACCTTTGAGATGGTTTCATTTTAGAGTTTTTAAAGTCCTTTGCTTATCTAAAAGGCCAAAGACCTGAAGTTCCCAACCTAGGATGATGTTGTTTCCCAGGAGACCCTTGACAATGTCTGGGCGGGCACCTTGGGTTGTCATAACTTGGGGGGAGGTTGCTACTGGCATCTAATGAGCAGAGGCCAGGGATGATGTTAAACACCCTAGTAGATTGTGGTTGGCAGCATCCAAGATTCCTTCCCCTGGTAGCCATGCCTTGCATAACCCTCTCTTCCTGCATATGGACAGGACCTATGAAAATGATGAGATATTGCTCTTATGTTTATGTTACTTCCTATGGCCAATGGAACTTGGCAGATGCAATTAAGATCCCTAATCAGTTGACTTTGAGGTAAGCAAAATGAGACTATTCTGTGTGGACCTCACCTAATCAGGTGAACCTTAAAAGAGACAAGAAGCAGTAGTAAACAAGCTCCTGCTGGCCTTGCAGAAGCAAATAACCCATGCGGGGGTTCTTGGGAATTTTTAATTCAGGGGGCCTCGTGGCAGGAACTGCAGGTGGCCTCTAAGAGCTGAGAGTGACTCTTATCCAATAAGTCAGCAAGAAAATAGAGACTCCCATTTTATAACCATAAGGAACTGAACTCTGCCAACAATCTGAGTAAGCTTGAAAGAGAATCCCAAACCTCAGATGAGAATTGCCCAAGCAACACCTCAATTTCAGCCTTGTAACTCCCTAAGCAGGGCGCCCAGCGAGGCAGCAATTGGACTTCTGACCCACGGAAACTGAGAGATAATGGATGTATGTGAATTTAAATCATTAAGTTTGAGGTAATTTGCTATGTAGCAATAGAAAACCAATACAAATACACAGGAAAGCCCCCACAAAACAAGGCATTATCTGCCCAAAATAGCAACAGTGCCACTGTTGAGAAACCATGCCCTGGAGGGAACATGTGTGTCCTCCCCACCACTCTTTCCCCCTATCCCTAAAGAACAGAAGGAGAGAATGTCCGAGCATTTCACTTTCTCAGCCTGTACTCCTATTTTACTCTTTTCTAGGTTCACAAACCACAAAGCTGTGTACATAAAGTGTGGGGAGAGGAGCAGGAAGCAGATATCTGGGAGACTTTGGAAAAAACTGGAATCTCCTCAAGGAGAGATGCCCAAGCAAGTAGGGCAGCTGTGAGCCAGAGAAAGGTCAATGGGAGTTAGTACTGAGTTTTGATGCATGAGGTGCAATGAAAGCATGTCTTCTTAACCCATGACATTGTCAGCAACATCTTTTTTCTTGTTAATGCTGTGTGTCTTTAGATTTGCTTTTGAGTGTTGCCAACAAGACACTGAAAATAAGAGTCCTGCTTTGTAGTGAGAATGAGGGTGAGAACAGAGACTTTCCTGGTTACTTGTGAAATTCCCAGGAAGACTTTTCGCAGCTGGCATTACGATGCCAATTATTATAATTTTATGGATGAGGAAATTGAGGCTAACAGATGTTGGGCAATTTTCCAAAGTTATTTAGCTAATGATCCACCAAACAAGGATTTTAGACTTCAGGATGTCTAATGATGGCTCCTACAGGATCCTCACTGCTCTATTACCATGTATTCATTACTTCCATAAAGATTCTGTATAGCAGGGGCACTCAATGCTGGTTACACTCAAATGACCCAGGAAGCTTTTAACATAACTCTGACGTCCTGGTCCTCCTCTTGCTCATCCCCACACCTGAACATCAGAGAATCTGATTTCATTGCACTGGGACATGGTCCCAGGACTAGCAAGAGCTCCTAGATGGTTCTCATATGTGTGCCCAGGGTTAAGAACCATTATTCTAAAAACATGATTCTCTTTAGTCCATAGTGATTACAATATGTCCAAGCCCATTTGTTTCTTTGGCATTTTTCAAATCATTTCTCTTTCTGTGATATCAATGATTACATAATCTTATTTATCATTCTAAGGGCCTGGGTTTGTTTGTTGTTAGTTTGTTTCCACAGGAAAAATATACAGCGGCAAAGCAGGTAGCAAATGCTAAAAAGAGATGCAGTGATGTAAAGAGAAGCCCTGTAGCACTTTCTCAGCAGGCCATCCCTCGCAAAGTATCACCCTTGGCATTCGCTGACTCTTAAACTATTTAATCTTGGTCACAAGTACACAAACAAGGAACAAACAATGTAGTAAGTCTTCAACTTACCACTTGTAACTGGAATATATTGAGACACTGCCTTATCTCACACCCCTTTTGTATCTAAATATTAAGAATGACTGTAAGGATTTCTTTTTCCTTTTCTTTTTTTTTTTTTTTTTTTTTTGAGACAGAGTCTCACTCTGTCGCCCAGGCTGGAGTGCAGTGGCATGATTTCAGCTCACTGCAACCTCTGCCTCCTGGGTTCAGGCAATCTTCCTGCCTCAGCCTCCCAAGTAGCTGGGATTACAGGCACCCACAACCACACCCGGCTAATTTTTGTATTTTTAGTAGAGATGGGGTTTCACCATGTTGGCCAGGCTGCTCTCAAACTCCTGAACCCAAGTGATCCACGCACCTTGGCCTCCCAAAGTGCTGGGATTACAGGCGTGAACCACCACATCTAGTCAGGATTTCTTCTTAAAATGTATTTACTATTCCTTTCCTTTCAGAAATTGTTTTTTATTTTTTTATTTGAAGAGGACAGGGGAGAGAACTGATGAAGATTAAGATGCTCAGGTACAATTAAAATTAACCAATCCCCAATCACATTTACAGGAAACGTGAGGTGCCTGATTTTTTTTCCATTCATCATGATTATTTAATTTAGCCACATAAACAATGTACAGCATCCTTCATCATCTCACAGATCAAAAGCAGAGCAAAAGTACATGTGTCCCAAATAACCAACAACAAACATTATTTTTCATGGAATCATACTTACAAAGCTGAGCAAACTGGCTGCCCAAATTAAAATTCCCAGACCTGTAACCCACACTGCAATGAACCTGGAGTCTTTTTCTTTTCATTTTTTTTTTTTATTTGAGACGGAGTCTCCCTCTGTCACCCAGGCTGGAGTGCAGTGGCATGATCTCGGCTCACTGCAACCTCCACCTTCAGAGTTCAAGCGATTCTCCTGCCTCAGCCTCCCAAGTAGCTGGGACTACAGGCATGCGCCACCATGCCCGGGTAATTTTTTGTATTTTTAGTAGAGATGGGGTTTCACCATGTTGGTCAGGCTGGTCTCAAATTCCTGACCTCAAACGATCCACCTGCCTCGGCCTCCAAAGTGCTGGGATTACTGGAGTGAGCCACCACACCCGGCAAACCTGGAGTCTTCATGTCATCTCTGCCACAGTGCAGCATGTGGGCACAACAGACCCGTGGAAGAATCAGTACATCCAAGACCTGACTCAGAGTGAAGGCATCCCAGCCTACAGATCTAAACTCATAACATATATCCCTACCTTGTTACATACACCTATTCTCACTTATGAACAAGGTTTTATATGGTATGATATCCACCTGGTAATTTAAGGAGGTAAGCATTGATAATAACAATGATGAGAGCTAATGTCCATAAAACCCCAACAATGTACAGAGTCTGCTCTCAGCCCCTCGGGTGTCTTATCCCCTAAGTCCTCAGTTCCAGTGGCAATTTCTTAGAGAACACCTGTATGACCTCCCTGACTAGGTCAATTGTTCCAATCACATGCTCTCCTGGTACCTCAAAATTGTATATATATATATATATATATATATATATATATATATATATATATATATATGTTATATTTACCATTATACCATTTTATATACATATATATACACAAACGTATATATACACATAAACACATATCTACACACATATACGTTCATATGTGTGTATATATTTATATATGTATATGTATGTGTATATATATAATTTCAAGGTGCAAGTAGACATGAAACACGTAGTAGTCATTTAAACTTCGCTGACAGCCCTATGAGGTGCATGACGAAGAAACTGAGGCCAGGAAAAGAGAATAACATCTCAGTGTGATAGGGTTTGTAAGCAGTACAGCAGGGATTTCAATACAGATTGTCTGGTTCCAAACCCCTTCCATGGGAAAAAAAAAAAAAAGGAAAGAAAGAAAAAAGAAAGTAAAAACGAGAGGAGAGGAGAGAGGAGAGGGCATTAAGTAAAGAAACCTGCTTAATCAGTAATTCCTGCATTCATATTGCAGGTAAATTAGACCTAACTTCAAACTATATCTGGGAGAAAAAATGTCCATGAAAGTCTTTCTCACTAAAACAAAAAATAAAGGCATTAGGCTGATTGGTAGAGGTGCTTGCCCTGCACAAGTCTAATAATGACCAGAGCTTCTGCTGAACTGTAGGAGGCAGCATTGTGGTTACCCTCTCTCTACCTGGCATTCAGGACTTGCCAGGCCAGCCTCATCCTTCCTCATTTCTCATGGTCTACTGTACTACCACATCTACTCTGCCTACCACCTCCCACTAATCACCTGCCCGCATTGTTGCTGGAGTCATCTTTTGAATATGTACCTCTTCAAGAAATGGCCATGACTTCATATTATCCTTGGGATGAAGGATCCCAAACTTTCTCAGTCACAGCGATTTTGTGTTTTGGTCATTTTTCATGGCACTCTCAAGTAAAAACAAACAAACAAACAAAAAAACCTACTACCCTACCGATGTATTACTTGGGTCCAAATAACTTAATAGTAGTAGCTCATGGGGTGTCCAAGAGATGTTGCCGTTTCCCTCAAACATTTAAAATATCTCAGGGCAGCCCTGTAGGTTCATTGTGGCACCTCCAGGCACCTAAGCATACAGTTTGGAAAATTCATCTTATGAGGATTCACACCAAAGGCCTTAGAGCAGCCATCTATGCCCTGCCAATTCTCCTTTACTCACCCGCCTGGTCTCATACTTGTGGCTCCCCCCTCAACTCTCCGTTTCAACCACATTTCTAGGCCACTTACAAATACCACCTTCTACCCAAAAGACTTTCTCCCCATCCAACCCACCAAACCTTTTTGCTTAAGTGAGGCTTGCTTATCCCCTAAGTCCTCAGTTCCAGTGGCAATTTCTTAGAGAACACCTGTATGATCTCCCTGACTAGGTCAATTGTTCTAATCACATGCTCTCCTGGTACCTCAAAATTGTATAAATATATATATATGTTATATTTACCATTATACCATTTTATATATGTATATATACACACAAACTTATATATACACATAAATACATATCTACACACATATACGTTCATATGTGTGTATATATTTATATATGTATGTGTATATATATAATTTCAAGGTGCAAGTAGAGTGCATATAAGGGTGTGGGGGGGGAGGGGTGTGTGTAGTGTGGATGGGTGTGTGTTTCTTTAATGAGTTTCTGATTCATGACTCACTGTAAGTTCCATGAGATCAAGAGTCCTATCAACCATAGCAGCCCTAGCAGTAAGTCTGGCACGTAGTAGACATGAAAAACGTTCGTACTGAATAAATAAGTGAATCAATGAATCTACACTTAGCAGCACAATCAGCCTCCTGAAGTGCCTTAGTAGTCATTACTTCTGGATTTTGCTCTCATTTTGTTAACAACAATGGCCTTCTATTTCTTTGACCACTTCTGAATCATACCCGACTTTTAAGGCTTGGCTTAAATCCTACATCATCCATGAAGCCCTCCAAAACCACGAAGCCCACACTCGTTTTGCCCTTCTCAGAATACCCAGTCTGCTTACATTCTATAGCCTGATCTTACATAGCCTCATGTCTTCAAAGAGATGAGCAACTTTCTTGAACAGAGGGTGACTACTTCAAAGCTTCATACCTAGTAGGGTACAATTAACACCTATTGATCCATTACTCCACTTCTTTTTCTTAAGGAAGAAGACGGAGAAACGTGGATTAAAGTGTCTTCACTTCTCTATGTGAGTAACGTACCTACTGTACCTCATTTTCCTCTGTTTTCTCTCTTCAGGGGTCAGGGTATGCTCACACACTCCCATAAACTGACTTCTAGCCTCTCTCCATGCTCTCCAGCAGTCTCTAGTGGAAATCAGGGCTGCACGACCCAAAGACTCACAATAAAAGCTGACTAAGCTCTTTAACATCATGACTTTCAAGGCTTAGAACAAAACTATGTAATTCCAAAAGCAAATGTTATCATCTCAATTTTACAAAAGAGAAAAATAGGGGTTCAAAATATAAAAAGATGAGCCCAAAATATATTAGACACTTGTGGTAAATTAGGTTATTTTCGGAAATATTCACCCCTTCCTTTATTCGACTCTATTTCCCCACCCTTGGCTTTGGGTGGGCCATGTGACCTTCTTTGGTCAAGGTAGAAGTGAGGTGCTGCTAATTCCAAGCCTTTACAGGTCTTGTACATTTCCACTTGATCTCTTGTCCTTCTGCCATGCCAAGGGGAAGAATATGTCCAGGTCAGCACACCACATACTGCAGGAAGACAAGAGATGCATATTACACAGCCACCCTAGTGGGACCCCGTATGCATAGCCAACCCTGAACGAACCCACAGACATGTTAGCAAAACCAACTGAGATCAGCAGAGCTGATTGAGGCCAGCTGGCTTCAGTCAGTCAACATAAATATGTAAGCCAAATAAGCATTTTTACCATTGAGATTTCCATGGTTGTTGTCTTTCAGCATTAGCTAACTAATAAATCTGTTCTTAGAAGAATGAATGAATAAGTGAATGAGTGGGGGCCTCCAATCAGTTGGTTAGTAACTCGGACATGGAAGGTTTTGTGAATCCTGGTCTTTTGTTTGTTCTACTCCTCTTGTTTTCTCTCTAGCTGGAGAAGAATGCTGTAAAAGAATTTAAAAGTTAGGAAAAAAGAGATGATGTAGCCTGGGCAACAAAATGAGACCCCATCTCTACAAAAAATTTTTCAAATTGGCCAGGTGTGGTAGTATGCACCTGTGGTCCTAGCAACCCAGGAGGCTGAGGTAGGAGGATCACTTGAGCCCAGGAGGTCAAGACTGCATTGAGCCATGATTGTGCCACTGCACTCTAGCCTGGGCAACAGAGCAAGACCCTCTCTCAAAATAAAAAAAAAGATGGTGGACAAAAAAGGAAATTGAACTAAGTACATGGACTAAAGAAATAATTATGCTCGCCAGGCTCCAAAATGCAAATAATGCCTGAATAGTATCAGTTGTTTTTCAATCCCTAAAACAAAATGAATTTAATCTGAATAGGAAAGGCTTGGATTAGATCTGAAAGAGAACCTCCAAACTATAGGAGTTATTAAGATTGAAATCATGCCACCAAATGCATCAGAGGAATCTGTAATATCGTTTCTACAGATTTCAGAAATAATGTATATGCTCGTCTTTGCAGAAAGTTTTAGGCTGATGTCTTCCAAAGGTAGACATGCAGGCAGGAGATAGGCTAGCTCTCCAGCTGCTAGAAAAATACAGATTTCTAGACTCAACCACCCCAAGATTCAAACTAAGTAGGTAGAGGGAAGGCCCAGGAATTCATAGTTTTAAAAGGTCCCAAGAGGGTCTGATATACAGCCAGATTTGGGACCCTCTAGTTGAAGGGGTGAGTGCTGAGGAACCTGATCATTGACCTTAGCAGCATCTTCCTGTGGTTTCTTATTTCTCTGAAGGTATTGAGTGAAGACTAGAGTCTATCAAGCAGCCTGCTGGTGGATAGAAGGAAGATGTAGGAGGAAAAAAAGGCAGTGAGGCCATTTCATTCAAATATGTTTTACAAATTTTAAATGTAAATTTAGTTATGATTTCCTCAAGTTTCTCATTAATTTCTTAGTTGATCTTTCTTACTTTCTTGAAGATTCTGTATACACTGCAAGTACTAGGCTGGCCACTTTGCCTCAGATCAGATTTAGTTAACAGGGCACGGTTTATCTCAGCTATGATGCTTCTATTCTTGTGTTTTATTTTAGGACAAATTTTCATTTTTATTGTTACCATTAGGTCACATTTTTCTCCCAATTAATGAATATGAATCATTGGCTCAAAGTAGTCTTCTTGAAGTACAAAGCAGATATTTAAAAAGTAATATGAATGGAAGAATTCTGGATAATGTAAATGTAAATGGTGAACAGGAATTTATTACAAATATGGATTGTAAATTTGTGTATACTAAGATAACAGTGAATATGATTATATAAGAGCAAGAAAGAAAAGCATGAATATAATATCTGTTCATTGAGTCTTGTTGAACTGGCAATCTGTCACCCTAGCGAGTAGTCTACTGTGAAATTTTGTCAAATAGTATCCTAAAGAAATCAAAACTTTTTTATAATTTTTGGTTTGTTTTTTTGAAACAATGTCTTGATCTGTTAGCCCAGGCTGGAGTGCAGTGGTACAGTCATGGCTCACTGTAGGCTTGACCTCTCAGCTCAAGCAATCCTCCCACCTCAGCCTCCCAAGTAGCTGGGACTACAGGTGTGTGCCACTATGACCAGCTAATTTTTATTTATTTTACTTTTTATAGAGACAGGGTCTCATTATATTGCCCAGGCTGGCATTTTCATAATTTTTAAAGCAAGTCCAATAACATCTTTTTGTTATAGCAACTTCACCTACACACAGCTTCTAATCTATCAGAACTAAACTGCTATAGATTGTCCATCCCAACTGACCTCATAGATGAAGTACAGAAAAGTTAAACACCTTGAGATCAGGAGCTACTGATTACAATGGCCAGAACTAAAGCTCAAATCTCCTAGTTTGTGTGTGTGTGTGTATGTGTATGCACACGTGTGTGTGTGTGCATGTGTATTTGACGTGTAGTAAGCTATTCCCGTTTATCATCTCATATCACATAACATTTTATCATATTATTTTCATTCAATAATTCTATCACGTGTCTTGTATCATTTCCACCCAATAAACTTGGGGAGATCTGGGGGAAAAAAAAACAGTAGTTGGCAAACACAGGGCCTGTTGAGGACAAAGACAGTCTCCATTTGAACTCTCAGCCACTCCCAACCTACTTTCCATTCCTCTTCTAAAAGATGGGTCCTGGTTTTTCATGGAAAGCTCACTGTGTTCTGCGTACCATTAGCCATTTGAGAATCCCCTGGCATCCTATTCTTAAAATTACATTTGGCAAGTCTGTGCTCTACATTCGGCTAAATCTACTTCAAAAATACCCCCTCTGGAGTTTTTGTAAGCAAGTTCAAAGTCATGTATAATGATTTGTACATTTGTACTTTCCCTTACGAACTGCTAGGATAATCACCTAGGCAGTGGAAGCCAGCTCCAGAGTGTCAGTATTCAGCTGTTAGCATTAGCAGTCATGGCTGATAACACATTATGTTCCAAATAGATCAGCTAGAAGCCTATGTGTCAGGGAACACATGTTGAGTCCTCGATAAAATGGCAATTCAACCACATGTTCAGTTGGGTGGCAGTTTATGTGTCTAGGGAGTGAGCTGTGCCAGAGTGCAACAGAGCAGATCATTTCATTTTCTCGAATCCGTAAATTCTAACACCTCCCTTCTTCCTAAACCCTCCTGAACTCACACCACTTCACCCATCATGAAAATAAGATATTTACCCTCACTCACAAATCTCAGTTGATCTGTTTTGTTAGCTGCAGCATACCTCATCTGAAACCATTTCTTATTATTGTTAGATTTATTTTTTAATTTAGTGTAGTAACAAGAACATCAGCCAAAAAAAAACCTGAGGCTTAGTTTAAAAAATTGTCTGAGCTGAGCCAATAATTGTATTTAATAAAACTTGAGTATTTTTTCCTACAAGGCACTTACTCTGTACCTACTTTTTCTTCATAAGCAAGTATAAAACAATCAGTTCCCAAGTTTCCCATTTTATAGCTGATTAGAAACATTTAAAAAATGGAATTGAAGAGGTAAAATTTGAGTGAACAATGGACAACTGGACATCAAGGGAGACGATAAAAAATTAAAACGAGAGATTATGAGAATCAAAAACATAATTCATTTTATGTAATGCCAGATAACCCAATAATCTTCAGTGGCCCAGAAGGCACCAGATTTTCTATAATATCAAATAATTTATGGGCCTAATAATAGCGTGAGTAAAGGTACTTGTCACAAGGCATTCATAAAAGGACAAAAAAGGTGAAACAGCTTAATCATCCAACAATGAAGTAACCATTAAAATTATAAATACCCATGCAATCAAACATTCTACAACATTTTCTCACTTTTTTGTTGATACATAATAATTGTACATATTTTGGGGATATATGTGATATTTTGATACATGTATACAATATATAAAGATCAAATCAGGGTAATCGGGATATCCATTACCTCAAGCACTTGTCAGTTCTTTGTGTTGAAAAATTCCAATTCTCTTCTAGCTATTTTGAAATACACAATGAGTTAATGTTAACTATAGCAACCCTATTGTTCTATCAAACACTAGAATTTATTCCTTCCACCTAACTATTTTTCTAACCATTAACCAACTTTTCTTTACTACTCCCTTCCCCCTACTTTTCCCAGCCTTGGGAACCACCATTCTATCCTCTACTTCCATGAAATCCACTATTTTTCTGTGGGGTGGTGGGGCAGTGGAGGGGAACAGAGTCTCAATCTGTCACCCAGGCTGGAGTGCAGTGGCACGATCTCAGCTCACTGCAACCTCCACCTCCTGGGTTCAAGTGATTCTCCTGCCTCAGCATACTGAGTGGCTGGGATTACAGGTGTGCATCACCACACCTGGCTGGCGTTTTTTTTTTTTGTAATTTTAGTAGAAATGGGGTTTCACCATATTGGCCAGGCTGGTCTTGAACTCCAGACCTCAAGTGATCCGCCCGCCTCGGCCTCCCAAAGTGCTGGGATTACAAGCATGAGCCACCATGCCCTACTGAAATCCACTATTTTAGCTCCCATATATGAATGAGAACATGCAATATTTGTCTATCTGTGCCTAGTTTATTTCACTTAATGAACTCCAGCTCCACCCATGTTGCTGCAAATGACAGGATTTTATTCTTTCTTTCTTTCTTTTTTTTTTTTTTTTTTTTTTTTTTTTTTTGAGACGGAGTCTTGCTCTGTCTCCCAGGCTGGGGTGCAGTGGCACAATCTTGGCTCACTGCAACCTCTGCCTCCCAGGTTCAAGTGATTCTCCTGCCTCAGCCTCCTGAGTAGCTGGGACTACAGGTGCATGCCACCATGCCCAGCTAATTTTTTTATTTTTAGTAGAGACAGGGTTTCACCATGTTGGCCAGGCTGGTCTCGAACTCCTGACCTCAAGTGATCCACCCTCCTCAGCCTCCCAAAGTGCTGGGATTACAGGCATGAGCCACCATGCCCGGCGATGACATGATCTTATAGTTAGAAAAACCTCAAGACTCAACCAAAAATCTCTTAGAAACTGATAAATGAATTCACTGAAGTTGCAGGATACAAAACCAAGCAAAGACATCACAAGAAAACAATGGATCAACCAACATCCTTTATGGATATAGATGTAAAAGTCCTCAACAAAATACCAGCAAACTGGAGCCAGCAACATATTGAAAGGATAGCATGCCATAGCCAAGTGGAATTTATCCCAGAAAGGCAAGATTGGTTCAACATGCAAAAATCAACCAATGTAATACATCATATTAATAAAGAACAATAAGAACATGATTACCTCAGTGATGGAGAAAAAGCATTTTACAAAATCTAACAACATGGATGATAAAAACATTCAACAAACAAGGAATAGAAGCTAATCTCTCACCTGATAAAAAATTCACAACTGACATCACACTTAATAGATAAAGACTAATAGTCCCCCCAACCAAAGATCAGAAATAAGGCAAGAATATCTGCTGTCACCATTCTATCCAGTATTGTACTGGAAGTTCTAGTAGGGCAATTAGGCAAGAAAAAGAAATAAATGTCATTCAGATTGAAGAGGAAGAAGTAAAACTGTCTTTATGTGCAGATTACATTGTCTTCTATGTAGAAAATCCTGAGGAATCCCAAAGAAACTATTAGAGCTAATAAATGACTGCAGCAAGCTTTCAGGGTAGAAGATACAAAAATCAATTATATTTTTTAATACTGAATGAATAATTTAAGAATGAATTTTTTAAAAATCTTTATAATAGAATCGAAAATAAGAAAATACTTAGGAACAAATTTAACAAAATAAGTGTAAGACTTATACACTGAAAATATAAAATATTGCTGAAAAGAATTAAGACCTCAATAAAAGGAAAGACTGTTTGTGGATCTAAAAACTAATTATTATGAAGATGACAATACTTCCTTTATTGATTCTACGCAATTGCCTATAAAGCTCTCGGCTGCCTTTTTTTGCAAAAACTGACAAGGTGATTCTAAAATTCATATAGAAATGCATGGGACCCAGAATAGCCAAAATAATCTTGAAAAAGAAAAGAAAAGCTGCATAACACACACTTCTTAATTTCAAAACTTACTACAAAGCTACTATGATCAAGACTGTATGGTACCTACATAAGGATAGACATACAGATTAATTTGATAAAATGAGAGTACAGGAATAAATTCTTACATTTATAGTCAACTGACTTTTGACAAAGATATCAAAAAATTCAATTAGAGAAACAACAGCCTTAACACTGATGCTGTGACAAATGAGTATCTACATGCAAAAAAGAGTAAAGTCAAATTCCTACCTCACACCATACACAGAGATTAACTCAAAATTGATCAAAGACCTAACTGTAAGAACTAAAACTATAACATTCTTAGAAGAAAATATAAGCATAACATTTTTATTTTGATTTTAGGCTTCTTTATATATAGGCCTGAGTGGAAAAGCACAAACTGTCTTTCCTTTGCTCTCACACCATAACAATCAACATAGACAATTTCTGTGACCCAGAGTGTGGGAGCTCCACCTTACCAGCAAGCAAGCAATGAATTTGCCATGGGACACAAGCGGGGTGTCCTGCAATCCGACTCAATTCTGATGCTATCTACCTGGAGATAGCAGCAGATCCCACAGGTCGAGGTTGAGGCCCCACCTTCAGATGCCAATTGCAAGCCCCAGATTGTTTTTACCTGCACTTCTGACTGGCTGCCTATACATCTGGGATCCCACTACCTTCTCCTTGAGGCCAGTCAATTTGCTAGAGTGGCTTACAGAACTCAGAGAAACACTTACTTACCTTTACCAGTCTATTGTAAAAAATATTACAAAGGATACAGATAAAAAGATGTATACAGTGAGGTATGGGGGAAAGGGCATGGCACCCCCAAGGAACTTCCACATGTTCAGCTATCAGGAAGCTCTTTGAATCCTGTGCTCCTGGGCCTTCTATGGAGACTTCATGGGATAGGCATGATTGACAACCATGTAGAAATGTGACTTGACCAAAAGAGTATGATCTAATACTAATAGACTGAGTAAGGAAACCCAGCAGGGCGTGTCTGTTCAGATTCCTCTTGGCTTCTCTGTGCAGTTTTTCTTCCTCCAGAGTGTGGGGCAGGACCCCTTCTAAAATGGGGGTTTATGACCTAAAATCAGACCAGGTAGGTCAGAGAATTTCTTTAAGGGCAGTTCAAAGACAAAAGATTAGAGTATATTTACATTTTTTTCCATGACCTGCTTTGGGGAGAAAATACAAGAGCTGCGGGAGTATGAGCCAGAAGCTGTGAATGAAATATATATATATATATATATATATATATATATATATATATATATATATATATATATGTTTTATATACATAAATATCACAATTGTGGAATTCGTCCATTGTCTGACAAATGAGTTGTAGATATTCCAAGATTCTAAGATTATCACGTGTTTGACTTTGCTCATAAAGGTTTTGCCAGGCAATAATTTTTGTATTTTTATGTGGTTAAATTTAATTAATAATTTTTATTGCCTACATATTTTGTAACATATCTAACAGGGCCTTCTACATGGTGAAATTATTAAAATATCAAAGAACAGGGTGGCAGAGACTGCTGGATGTCCACCAAAATCTGTTTTGCATTTTTACCATCAAGAATTGAAGTTGAGCAAATGATGACGCAGCTCAAGACCTTATTTCCCAATATCCCTTGCATCTATGTGAAACCACATGGTTAAGTAACTATCAGTGAAATGTAAGCAAATATATGTAACTTCTAGGGATGGCTTCCTCAGAGTAGGAACACAATGTGCCTGCAAACTAGCTTCACTCCTGCAGCAGGGGACATTTTCCTAGCACATGTGATACAGTAAGAGGGAAGGAAATTGTATCTTTGACAGACCATGGGGAGCAGAGCTAATCACCACTCTAAACCATTGACTCCAAGATTTTTATTTTAACAGGAAAATAACTTACTGTTTTCTTTTAAAACAAATTGTATGTCCTCTGTTACAGCAGATAAGATTTAATGCTGTTTTCTTTTACCATTTAGCTTTTAGATCAATCCAGAATTCATCCTGAGATAAGGTGTGAGTTATGAATCCAAACACACAGTTATTTCTTTCTAAATGGCTTCATTTTTTCCCTTCTGAAATTTGAACTGTATCATTTACTAAATTATTGTATAGACTTAGATCTATTTCTGGACTTTCTATTCAAGTGCCAATAACCACTACACCTTTATGATGTTTTAACATCAATCCAGTAGTACTGTGTCCTTGTTTTGCTTGCAATTTTCAGACTATTTTTTCATAGCTGTTCTTGTTGCTTATTATTCCATAATTTAATTTATAAATTCCAACACAATTCCCAATAAAATACCAATATTCTATTTTTAATTGGCAAAACTAATTCTAAAGTTCATTGAGCTTTCTTTGTAATGAGAATACATTTCTTTAGTGTTGGAATTGGAAATTTTACTTGATTCTTCTTTAAATCTCTTTTTTCCTATATTGCATTATCCACCACCACTCCCAATCCTAGTCCTTGGGTTTCAGTTCCATCATGTCTTAATAATTTTAAACATATTTAGTGTATATTCTCTTTATATCCTCATTGTAGGTATATTATCTCAAAGTCTAATATTCTAGAATCCAGCATCCTGATCTCACTGTTTATGATTCCCTGTCTCACTAATTTTGGCTCATATCATCATTTGGTCATTTTGATTAGTAATTATTAAGGGTTTATTTTTCTGTGAAAAATCCCTTATGCCTCAATTTGTATCTGCTTCTTCAAGCAGCTTAATGAATATCACTGGTATCAGACTAATTTGCATATGAGTTTCTTTTCTTCAGAGTCTCAGACTACCGCACTTGTAAAATTCAAACCCCAAAACTATGTGATACGGACACCTACAGTTTTAAATTCCCACTAAGAACCTAGCAAGAAAGGGAACAAATATTTGGGGTTCTCCCTGTTCTGTTATTTTCTAATCCACAGATGGGTGCCACCTCTTCCAGGATCCCAACTTAAAGATGGTGTGTAGGTTCCAGGATCTATCTCTTATGGGGCCCAGACCTCATCCCCTTTCACCTCACAGATGTTAAGTCCAAGCCCTAACTCCAAGCCTGACAGCCCCAGCCCAAGCAGCCACATCAGCTCACATGCTTTCCACTCTGGTGATAAGTTCTGGCTTTGTTTCCAACACCTGGGATTTCCTTTTCTTTTCTTTTCTTTTTTTAATTTAAAAAAGTTTTATTGAGCCAAAAACAATTCATGAATCAGGCAGCCTCCGAAGCCAGAGTAGGCTCACAGGACTCCAGCACAGCCTTGTAGTGGAAGATTTATAGACAGAACAGAAATGGAAGTGAGGGACAGAAACATCTGGATTGGTTACAGTTGGACATTTGCCTTACTTGGCACTTTAGTCCCTTCTCCACGACTAGCAGCAGCAGAGCAGTCAGAGAGACACCCAGAGTCATGATAGCTGCACACTGCCTGGGGAAATGATGCAACACTCTGAGACCCAAAAGAGCAATTTGTAATATTACCAAGTGATTCTGTTTATTAGAGTCTGGTTATTATGATTTATTTAAAAGAAAGTAGAGGATAATATTAGCCTAAAGTCCAGGGAAGCCAGTCACAATCACGATACTATCTGCTGATTCCAATGTAGTTTTAACATTTCTTATCCCTCAACTTTTATCTCTAGAATCCGAATGAACAACTGAGTCCAAAATAGGCCTCCCAATTCTGTTCGACTTCCCCTTAATGCTCCTAGCCTGAAAAAGTTAACAGATTAATAGTGATTTATTAGTGATTTATTTCAGAGTATCCTTCTTTAAAATAACATGAAGCCAATAGAAGATCCAAAAACATGAGCGGTCCATGGGAAAAATCCTGCCACAGATGTGAGGTATGGAAGGGAAGTCAGAGTTTGTTTTCCCATTGAATGTCTTTAGCTGAGGCAGGTACCCTCCAGAAGCCCACAGGTCTACCTATTCTCATTGCCTTATATGGACCCAATCCCACAGTTTACTGTTCCCATCTGCCCAGAAGAGAGTTTAGTCTTTGACCATAGAATACATTCAAGAACATTTCATGTGCCAATCTTCTGGTTCTCAATGAAGTTTTAAGATTCCCTAGACACCAAATTATAGGAACTATAGAAATAATACACATTGTATATTTGCATAAATTTCATGTAAATTTCTCCTTTCCTTGTTCTATTGCCTGGACACAGCTTCTTACATGCCTATATGCCTTTACACACTATTTTCAGTCTTTCAACAATGAATTCCTTCAACCCTACTCCCACTACAGCTTTCTGGCCATGTCCTACTCATTTTCAAGTCATAGTTCAATCATTGCTTTCCTGAGAAATGCTTCCTGCTGCCACAGGGCAACCTTAAATTCTTCCTCCACTACGACTTATATATATGACTCCATCCTTTACTACTATTGGTTTGTGACATGGTTAGGCTTTGTTTCCCCACCCAAGTCTCATCTTGACTTGTAATCCCCATAATCCCCACGTGTCAATGGAGAGACCAAGTGGAGGTAATTGACTCATGGGGTGGTTTCCCTCACGCTGTTCTCATGATACTATGTTCTCACGAGATCTGATGGTTTTATAAGGGGCTCTTCCCCATTGACTCGGCACTTCTCCTACCTGCTGTCTTGTGAAGAAGGTGCCTTGCTTCCCCTTTGCCTTCTGACATGATTCTAAGTTTCCTGAGGCCTCCTCAGCCATGTGGAATTGTGAGTCAATTAAATCTCTTTCCTTTCTAAATTACCTAGTCTTGGGCAGTTTTTTATAGCAGTGTGAGAGTGGACTAATACAGTTTGTATTTAAATTCCTCAGGAGTAGAGACCTTTTTTTTTAATGTCTAGTTCTCTTATACCTAACATCATACCTAGCACATAGGTATACATATTAAATTTGTGAAACACTGTTCTAGCACATAGTATGTTCTCAATATCTATTCAATGAATTAATGAATAAATGAAGAGGTGTAATTTAGTTGAATCACACTGTCCCTGAGACTAATGTCACACTTTCAGTATTCAGATGTGCAAATAAGTTTAACTTTTCCTGAGAGCAGTCTTCACCCTTGACCAGTCCAGCACTCTGATAACTTTTTATGAGATAAGTCAAATTTCGTATGGGATGACTCTGTCATTTCTTTACCACTACTGGAAACAGGCACTGCTCCTGGGAACTGCTGGTGGAATTATCTCTGAGTTTAAATGACAGCATACTTTCTTGGAGTTGAAACATCCATTATCTTAGGTTTCCTATGGCTGTCTAAACATTTACAGTCAATTGCTAGTGTGTGCTCACCCATTTCCTATTGCAATCTATGTTACATAAAAAAAAGAATATCACTTTTTAAAATCTTTCTCCTGTCTGGAGGTGAGAAGTTTGTCTCTGTCACAGATGTAAGGTGGTGTGAAATCAAAATGAGACTTTTTAGGTTTTTATTCTATGAGCTAAGTAGCATTTCTACAGGATTTTACCTTAGAGACCTCAATCTCAAACTTTTTATAAAAGTGTACTTTTTCCAACACAGAGATTGTTTCCAAGTTTGATGCTTGACCCAAAAGCCACGCTGGTATAGGAAAATTGAGTCCGATTAGTGTTCAGCCTCTAATGCCTGGAATTGTTGTGTGTGGACTAGCAGCAGTGTCATTTCCTGGAATTTGGGGTCCCAGACCAGAATTTCTCAATCAAATCTGTACTTTAACAAGATCCCCAGGTGATCTGAATACATATTAAATGTGGGAAACACTGTTCTAGAATTTCCATCTGATATGGTTTGGGTCTGTGTCCCCGCCCAAATTTCACGTTGAATTGTAATCCCCAATGTTGGAAGTGGTGCTTGGTGGGAGGTGATTGGATCATGAGGGCCGACTTCCACCTTGGTGCTCTTCTGGTAATAGTGAGTTCTCATGAAATCTGGCTGTTTAAAAGTGTGTGGCACCTCCTTCTTTTCTCTCTTGCTCCTGCTCCACCATGTAGGAGACCGGGCTCCCTCTTCACCTTCCACCATGACTGTAAGTTTCCTGAGGCCTCCCTGGAAGCCAAGCAGATGCTGCCTGTGGAACCATGAACCAATTAATCCTCTTTTCTTTATAAATTACCCAGTCTCAGATATTTCTTTATTGCAATGCGAGAATGAACTAATACACTATTCTAAAGCACAAGCTTCCTCCTTGAATTTCTGCTCAGTGCCCAGTAAGTTCAAATACGTGTATTCGCCATTTCCCTCCCCATCCAGATCATGGGTCAGAATTGCTTTTCTTTTTTATGCATGTATCCCTTAGGAAGCTTTTAGCTGCAAGTAAACACGAACAAGCAGGCACACACGTGCACATATATGCACAAGCTCAGTAACTCAAGAGGATTTATTATCTCATATAACAAGAGGTACTAAGATGAAGAAGTTGCAGGGCTAGTCAATTAGGCAGCCCAGTGAGTTCACCAGGGACCCAATGTTCCTTCTGTGGTTCCTCTCAGCCAATCTTAGCATGGTCTCCTCAGGTTAGTTCCCTTTATTGCCCCAAGATGTCTGCCATAGTTCCAAGCATCACATGCAGAAACGAAAATACCAGCAGCAGAAAATAACTGTTTCCTCATGTCCATCTATTTTTAAGAACGAGGAAAACATTTTTCAGAATTCCCCCAGCAGATTTCCCTTTGTATGGCATTGGCCAGAATCATATCACATGACTTGACCTGGACCTATCATTGGCAAGGGGTACAGCTCCTCCTTGGCTGGCTTAGACCAAGCATTGCTCATTCTTAGTGGCCGATTCTAAAGTGTGCTTCCCAAGACAGATAAAGAGTGGAAAATGTACAAAATACTGTTTGGTTACCAGGGAAGAATGTAGGCAGGAGGTGGGGAGGGGAATGAGGTATAAGCAGTAGCAGGATTTCCAAAAGCAAAATTAATAATCCCAAGCATGGCTGGGCGCAGTGACTCATGCCTGTAATCCCAGCACTTTTGGAGGCCAAAGCCGGCAGATTGCTTGAGGTCAGGAGTTCAAGACCAGCTTGGCCAACACAATGAAACCCCATCTCTATTAAAAATGCAAAAATTAGCCAGGCGTGGTGGTGTACGACTATAATCCCAGCTACTTGGGAGGTTGAGGCAGGAGTATAGCTTGAACCTGGGAGGCGAAGGTTGTAGTGAGCTGAGATCGTGCCACTGCACTCCAGCCTGGGTGGCAGAGTGAGACTCTGTCAAAAAAAAAAAAAATCCCAAACATAAGTCAAATAAACAAAAGGAAATTTATCTTTTTTTCCTTTTAACTGAAAGAACACTGGTTACAATAGGCCTATGATAGGACTCACCGTCAGATCTCAGCCTCAAATAACTAGCACAGTCTCCCTGAGCACTCCCTTTTACCTGCTCCTGCTGCCCAGTCAGCTAAATCCAACCTTGACCCTTCCAATGGAGCAGGGCCAAGAAGGGGACACAGAAGCTGGTGTTCTGCCATTGTGCTGCTACTTGGATCTCTAGGGCCTAACCCAGCAAACCCCGGCAGGTTTTTTAGAACAGACTCCAGCCATTCAGTATAATTCTTCTCCCCACCACTAGTAAGCAATGAGATAGGGTTGCTATGGGCTGGACTCCTTCAGCCAAATAAGTCTGCAATTATTTGTGGCTATAGCAACATTATTTGGTGTTTCAGATGGGAGGAGGAAGGAATAAGAAGAAATACATACACACACACACACACACACACACACACACACACACACACACACACACACCAGAAAGCAAGATAGTTGAAGATAATAATACTCAAATATTAGCATGCCTAAGCATCATCTACTTCACAGGTCAGTAATGAGAAGGAAAAAAATCCAGATTTTTAATTGGCATCCCAAGCGATTCCAATGAAAGTGCTCTTTTAAATCATTCTTGAGAAAGAGTGTTGAGCTAGGGAAACAAAGTATTTATTTTCTTTATCCTTTGATTCAATGTTGCCCCAATATCTCTTCGGATTAAGAACAAGGATCATTTTCCTGCTACAGAATGCTATTCTTACTAGGGTAGGTTGTCTGTTCCAACCCAGGGATGAAACAACAAAGTCAATGGAAGGGGTGAGAGAGTGTGTGTGTGTGTGTGTGTGTGTTTGTGCAAGTGTACACAAGCACTCAGCCTTTGAAACAGACTTAATCAACTACCACAGAATGGTGGAACACTGGGTTCTGGTCCCAGCTCTGCCTCTTAGGAGCCAACTGACATTGATCATATCACAGCCTCTCTAGCTCTCAATTTTTTCATCTGTAAGATGGAGACAGTAATACCTACCTTGCTTCACAGAACTGCAGGAGGACTCAAATAAAAAACTGTATGTGAAAGAAACTTGTAAACAGGATAACGCTATAAAAATTTATTCCTTTTCAATGTTGATTTATAAAATTATTTCCCCCTCAATATCAAAAGCCTTTAAAATTTTATATTTCTGCTCTGTGCAACATCCTCCTCATCTTAGTAATTTCATAAGAGCTGTTCATTCTGTTTCACTGGCTTCTATCCACATGGCAACAAACAGGGTCTTATCTTCACTCACTCACTCATAGGCTATATGAGAGTAACACTGGCGGTATTAACTTGAAATGTCTGGTCTGGAATTTTTGACTTGCCCTTTGAAAGACCCTGAAAGTTCAAAAGTAATATATTTTTGGCCGGGCACGGTGGCTCACGCCTGTAATCCCAGGACTTTGGGAGACTAAGGCAGGCGGATCACGAGGTCAGGAGTTTGAGACCAGCCTGGCCAACATAGTGAAACTCCGTCTCTACTAGAAACACAAAAATTAGCCAGGCATGGCAGCGCGCACCTGTAGTCCCAGCTACTCAGGAGGCTGAGGCAGGAGAACCGCTTGAACTCAGGAGGCGGAGGTTGTGGTGAGTCAAGATCTCGCACCACTGCACTCCAGCCTGGGCAACAGAGCAAGAGTCCATCTCAAAAAAAAAAAAAAAAAAAAAAGTAATACATTTTTGTCCAGTGTAGCCAAGAAAATGCTGGAAACAAGAGCTGTTTCCGTTTCTGCCTTACTAACATCACAAAAAAAAAAAGAAAGAAAGAATAAAACCTGCCAAAAATACTATTCTAAATGTTTAAAGGAGACTTTCAAATGGGAGATGAATAAAATTATTTCCATAAAAGATAAAGATAGAAGCATCAGAAATAATCAAAGAAGCAGCAGCAACTTTTTACTGAATCAAAAATTGATCACAATGAGAAATATATCACTTGCTCCTACTTACAAAGAGTTGTTCCTATTCTCTTCGGCAACACTGAACTATGTTTTCACGCTAATACATCCAGTAAAATTGCTTCCTATTTTTATTTGTGATTTTCATTACTGATTCCACTTGGGACAGAAATAAATAGAATATGTGCATCAGGATCTCCCTAGCAATTTTGCACCAACCTCATGTGGTTCTGTCAATGAAGGCAATTATAATTCTGAATGAATATGCTTGATGTTCACTTAGCAGGAAACTGAACTCAGAGAAGATTTTTGCCCTTTCATTTTAATGTACACACCAGGTGGCACCCAAAGTAGTCAAATACAAATGTCTCCCACCCTGTATTCAAAAGAAATAATCATAGTACCAGGAGCTATCAAATCAGAACATTTTCTCGGGCACGGAGTGACATAAAGGGATAACAATATCTAAGGGCCACATACCTGTTGTTGCCCAAAGACACAAGGCAGGAACCATAAACCAAAAAGAAACACCTGTCCAGGCTGAAGGCAGCAGGACTTATTTACCAGATAATTGTATCCATAAGTCCTTGCACTGCCCAAATTCTCACTTTACACACAGAAACTTCAAGGACTAACTTTTATGATTCAGATTCTAGTTGGCTTTATAATGGCCCACCCAAAGATACCAGGTCCCAATACCGGGAACCTATAAATGTTACTTTATAAAGAAAAAAAAGATCTTGCAGATGTGATTATTGGGAAAGTTGTCCTGGATTATGCAGGTGGGCTTTAAATGCAATCAAAAGTGTCCTTATGGCAGGGCACGGTGGCTCATGCCTATAATCCCAGCATTTTAGGAGGCCGAGGTGGGTGGATCACCTGAGGTCGGGAGTTCAAGACCAGCCTGACCAACATGGTGAAACCCTGTCTCTACTAAAAACACAAAATTAGCTGGGCCTGGTGGCGCATGCCTGTAATTCCAGCTACTTGGGAGGCTGAAGCAGGAGAATCGCTTGAACCCGGGAGGCAGAGGTTGCAGTGAGCCAAGATGGCGCCATTGCACTCCAGCCTGGCCAACAAGAGCGAAACTCTGGCTCAAAAAAAAAAGAGAGGGGGTGCCCTTACAAGAAAGATGCAGAGGGCAATTATGCACACACAGAGGAGAAGGCAGTATGATGAGAGAGGCAGAGATTGGAGTAATGTGGGCACAAGTCAAGGAACTCTGGTGAGCACCAGAAGCTGGAAGAGGCAAGAAACTAAACCTTCCCTAGAGCCTCCAGAGAGAACACAGCCCTGCCTACACCTTGACTTCAGCCCAAGGAAACTGAGGTTGAACTTCTGGCCTCTAGAACTGTCAGAAAATAAACCATCCAGCGTGCAGTAAGTTGTCACAGCAGTCACAAGAAACTAAGACATAGACCCAAGTCATCTTATTTTTCTACTTCCCTTCCAGCCCCCCACGTCATCCAAACTAAATTTGCCATCCCCATTATGCATACCTATGTCTCTATGCTTTCTTGATTAGAATACCCCATTTCTCTGAAATAAACCTTATGCATCCTCAAAAAATAATTCTCATGTCACATTCTCCACATTTGAGGTTGAGATTTCAATGTCCAAATGAAGGGCTCTCCAAAGCAGATTTATACAACCACCAAGATCAAAGATAGATTTAATGCTTTTTTTTAAGATAATTAACTTTTAATTACATGTATAGTATAGCCCGGTTCCTAGAGAAGTTTCCGGTTTGTTCAGCTCAGTCAAACCATGGCAGGAGGAGGATCAGACCCTTATCCCCACACAAATTGACCAAATCCTTCACCCTCTGTTCCCTGTGGCCTGTGAGTATCTCAGCTGCTGGACAATGACCCCTAGTGATGGTCCCTCCGAGTTCCACACTCTAGGGTGGCTGGTGCCAAATCACATGCAGGCCTCTTTCTGATATTGTGGCTGGTGGTCCTTTGTCTGATTCCCACTTTGAGGGCTGTCTGCTCCTGGCTCCATTTGAGATGCCCTTTCAATGCCTTCTTCCCTCATCTCCCAATGCCAGTCTCAATCTGGAGTTGGGGAACAAAAAAACCTGTTTCACACCGAGCCCCATGGTTATTTTTTTATTCTGTATCTTGGTTTTTTAAAATAATTTTTAAAATTAATCTTTCATTGAGTAAGCAAACAACATACATTATAAGAAAGAAATTTAATCAGAAGGATATAAAACAGATGTGAAATTTTCCTTTTCATCTCTCCCAATCTCTCCTCCATCTCTCCAGAGTTGACAATATCTCTAAAATCCTGCTAAGTATTTTCTCTAACTACATTATCATATATATGACCTGTATGTCCTAAAAAGTTATTTTATATTTTATTTTAAAATACAGCATACAAACAAGGTGTATAAGAAAACATACATGGACAGTTTAAAGAATACTCAAACCTGTAAACTCACCACCCAGATAAAGAGAGAATTAACATCCCTCAGAAACCCTCCTATGTCTCTCCCAAATTGCATTCCCTTTCCAGCCCCTTAAAGGTATCCTGATTTTTATGTACATCATTCCCTTGGTGGTCATTAGATTTGTTCGTGATTGTTCTGGCTCTCTCCTTCTGGCCACTTGGTAGAACTGCACTTGCCCACACACTGATACTACGCTTGGTTATGTCACTTTTTTGGCAAAAGAAACGTGGTCAGAAGCGACTGGGTTGAAGCTTTCAAAAATCAATGTGAGCTTTGCCACATCCTCTTTTTCTGTCTGCCTCTGGCCATGCTCTGGATGGTAGCTGCTCCGCAGCTCAAATCCTAAAGAAACAAAACCATGACTTCAAGCCACTGAAGTTTTGGGATTGTTGGTGACCACAGCAGAGCATAGGCTACCCTGGCCAATACAATCCCTGTGCTTCTCAATATAGTTTTTATCCATTGAGTACAACTGCAAACAGCGTATTGTTCAGTTTGACTGTCTGTTATCTTTACCTAACTGCAAGCCAGTGACACACACTATCCTCTGATTTTCCAATGTTTTATTTTTAAAGTTAGTCATATTGTATATGAGTTGAACATGTTGTATGTAGTTGTTAATTTTTACAACTATATAGCATTCCACTGCATGAATATACCATGATTTATCCATTCCAACATTGATCCACACTTAGGCTCCCATTGGGGAACATTACAAGGAGGTATCCTTTTTAGGAGTAAGAGTTTCTCTAGATGGATACTCAGCAGTAGAATTTCACCTGAATTCCAAGCTAGTTCATTTCACTTTTATATACCCTAACCTACACATACCAGGAATAATTTAAGGCCAGGATATTTGTTTCTCTTTCTGTCTACATGTTTCTCTCATTTGAAATTTGCTGTGCTGAGGGCAGTTCCACACCAATGGATACAGTCACTCACAGACTAACAGCACGATGGTTAAGAGGTGGCATCCCTACACCCTCAAACAACATTCCACAGAGTTTCTCTTAAATTACATTTATAGTTTTTCAAAGGGAAAAGTAAGTCCTCTTCAATAATTTATGTTTTGTTTTTGACCCTCTGTTAATATGATTTGGAGACATTTACTTTCTTCTAGACAAGCAAATTACATTAAATCTAATTTAATGCCGTGAACTATTTAGCAACTATTAGGAATATGGAATATGCTGGGCATTGTGAAGGCGATCAAGTCACACAAAACAAAGTCCTGGCTCTCAGGATACAGCCATGATCCTAGTTGAGAAAAGATTTAAGCCTTTCCATCCATTCAAAGCAATGTGAACTCTTATAATGGCACCTCACCATCGAAATCCAGACACCTGGCAACTTTGTCTGTTTAGGTTGCCACCAAGAAGCAATCCTTTTGTAAGAAAGATGCCACAAAATGCATGCAGTATGCATAGGGATTCCCTTGGTCCTTACAGCCTATTAATACTTTTAGTGCCCACAGTTTTATTAAGCTAACATCTGGTTTATAAGGCTACCACAAGTCAGGACTAGCAAGTAAAAGGCGGCAAGCAAGAGCAAGGACAAGTGACAGCAAACTTGTGACAGCTAGGGAGAAGACCAAAGAGCATAAAATGCAGATAAGCACACTGACACATCAAGTGAGGCATACAAGGACGAGCTGCCCTTCACGAATCAATAAGTCCTGAGGCATTCTGCATTTCAGCAGAGCCTAGAAAACAGCTGTGCCTACTAATGGCCTTGGTGTATCAGGAAAAGATGATGCAGGCCCAGTCTATTCTATGTAAGCAGCAAAGTGAAGGTAAAATACAATTTAAAGGTCTTCTATCTAAAGAGTTATGCTGTTAGAGAGCTCTGAACCTGAAGTCAACATATTTTCCAGGTCAAAATCTCGGGTATCTAACTATTATTTCTTTTAAGCTCTATTATATGCCATGAGCTATGTACATGTTCCTCCACCTCAAAGACAAAGGCCATTATCCTTATTAAATTGAGACACAGAGAGGTTAAGAAATGTTCTCGGTCACACATATGCCACCTAGTTAATCCAAGATACGTACTCTTGTCTTTCTGACTCCAAAATCTATGCTGTGTCATTATCCCACGTGGCTCTATGTATCCAAAAGTCACCTTTCTAAGGTTACTAAAATGGTACATTTTTCTCTCTGTACATTTTACAAAATTAATAGTAAAAGGTTTAAGTTTATAACCCAGAGTTATCAGTATGCTTGAGTTACATATCTGCCTTAGGGAATAATTAGATATCTAGGTTGCTACTGTGTTTAATTTGTACCTACCATATGCCCTGGTGCCCTGTGGAGGAATGGATGAAGAATCTTTCGGCTGACTGCTGAGTTCCCCAGATCCTGAGATCAGAGACTGCTGGGAGGTAGGGGCGGGCTTCCCACCAGAACTTCTGGAGGTCAGCCTGGTAGCAGATGAAGCAGGGTGTCCTGGCCCATCCCAACACAGCAATGGAGGCTGTGTCACATAAGCATATTTATTCAGCAAATGCAGACTTCTGAGTTTTGTTCTAAAAAGGCAGTTTATGGAAAGAGCTGAAGTAGAAAAGAAAGCTCCTGGGCACACCCAGCAGCATCCTTGGGAACAAGGACAGATCCTTGGAGGCCACAAACACACCTAGCCACACATTCATAAAGAGCAGAACTAGAACTAAGGGGAGACCAGAAATCTCAGGGATCAATACATAACAATTTAATTCAATACTTGAAAATATAGCAATGAATAGAAAAAGTTAATGACTAACAAAATATTATGAAGTAGGATTCATATTACTAATTTTTCCCTTTGCTTCAGGATTCAATAGGGCTTTGCACAACAGAGAGCTAACAAAAGTGGTTTTTTTTAAAAAGGAGGGTGATTACATGGTTATAGAAAGCTAATGATTTGGGAGATAATTTTTAAATTATCAATTTCACTAAATGAAGGAAACAGTAATTATCTTCTTGCAGTCTTGTTAAGTCTGGGAGACTCATGCAGCATGAAATAGTAATTCTCAATTATAAGTCTGCTCAAAACATCCACCATGAGAGGTCTGGCCAAGGAACAATCTTAAAAGTAGCTTAAAGGTACTGTCAGATTGCAGAGCCCAGTGATGCTGGGCTTGGCCACATGACTGACTTTGGCCAGTGGAACATGGGCAGAAGGGAAAGACTAACAGTACCAAGCCTAGGCCTTAGGAGACATCAAATGTTTCTACTCTCTTCCCTTGCAGTTCTACCATTGTCATGAATACCCTGCTTGTCCCCAAAAAGTGAGAGTCACGTGAATCCAAGATAAACTAAACTCATGGCTGGAAGCCAAACCCAGCCAACCATATTGGGATCATCAGAGCTCCCCAGCCACTCCTGAGGTGCAAAAGTGGACAATAGACGCTTATTCCTGTGGAATTTTGTGACTGTCTGTTACACAGCAATAGCTCATTGATGCATTCTCAGTACACCAAAATATTCAGTAGCTTCTTAAGCTTTTGTATGGATCATTGATTCTCAACCCTGAGTGCACAATAAAGTGGATATTCAATTGTCAGAATACCAATGCCCAAGTCTCATCTTAGACTGGTTGTTTCAGAATCTCTAGTGGTAGCTCCTGGATATAAGGCTTTATTTTTAGCTTTTAGCTTTTATTATTATTTTTACTTGACCCATAAGAATTGTACATATTTATGGAATACGGTGTGATTTTTTTTTCAGTTTCCCAGATAATTTTAAATGTGCATCCAGGGTCAATAACATTGATGTAGATACGAAGGTACAGAAATATCTCTAGCATGAAGAAGTGCATCTGTATCCCCATTTGCTGTGACTAAACAATCCCTCTCCACTGCCAGAGAACTTTGATGGGAGGCAGGTCTGCAGGGGGAGTTATACAGTGTCCAAAGTGTCCATGCAGTGAGGTGATGGCTATGCCTGGTGAGCTACACAGAACCAGAGGACTACACTAGAATTTGTGTGTTATGAAAATATTTGTTGAGATCATAAGTTGAAACAGATGGACTAATAAAACAGACTAGATGGAGAATAGAAGTTAACATGTGGAGTCAAACTGAGAGGAGGAAGGATAGGGTTGATGAAAAAGAGAAAACACTTGGACTAGAAAAGCAAAAATTGGCTAGAAGTTTTCCATGGATTCCAACGGCATTGGAATCACCCAGGAAATGTAGAATCTCAATGCCTATCCCAGTTCTACTTCATCAGAATCTGAATTTTAATCAGATTTCCAGGTGATATGTATGCACATGCAAGTTTGAGAATTGCTACTTTAGCAAGTTCCAGAAATGAAGTGCATGGACATCCAGATGATTTCCATACTCTGCTGCTGTGTGATTGTATAGACCAGCACAGTCACACTGGGATTGAGATGGGACATAAAGTGGCAGGGGTGCATACATTCAACGAACCCAACAGCTATTCCAAATTATTTAAATTTTAAATTTAAAAGAATGAGGGTTAAGCCAGAAGAAATTCTGATTTACAATAGTGAGACCCAAGCACAGATAATTTTCAAAAGTTACTGAGATGATTCTAAATCAACAGCCAAAGTTGAGAATCACCACTTTCTGCCCTTTAAAATTAAAACTTGTCCTTATCAACTATGATGCTAAAATAGATTAGTATATATGCTTTAAAACTTCTATACTGAAAGCTTGGTTCATACATGACTTCTATCTACAAAAGCTAATGAGAAAGCAAAGATTGACACAAAATATTTTACTTTGTCATTACATTGTCTATTTTTCAAGAGAAAAGAACAAAACAAAGTATAATTGTATCATTTAGTGTTTTGGCCAAAAACACAGAAACTCTTCTAGGAAATTCCAAATAGGAAGTGATTTAATACACAGTTAAATGATTACAAATCTCTGAAAGAGGTGGAAGAGTCAAGCTCAGCCCACACTGTTGCTAGCTCTCAAGTATGCCATTCATTTTCAGAGAATCAAGAAATTGCTACTATTCTCTAGACCTGGAATTGGAAAAACACTACTGACGACCACTGATGTGTGGATCCCCAGGGTGGTGATACGCAAGAGAATACCTAAAGGATCTTGCAAGGGTTGGTGTCCTAGTAAGTCCAGGCTGCTATAGTCAGTTAGCAAAGACTGGATGACTTAAACATGGATTTTTTCATAGTTCTGGAGGCTGGAAGTCTGAGACAAAGGTGCCAGCATGGTCAGGCTCTTGATGAGGGCCCCCTTCATGGTTATGTCCTCCCATGGTCTCTCCTGCATGCAGGTCGAAAGGAAGCAAGCTTTCTCTTGTCTCTTTTTATAAAGGCTCTAATCTTATCATAAGGGCTCCACCTTAATTACCTTCCAAAAGCCCCATCGCATTGAGGATTACAGTTTCAAAATATGAATGTAGGGCGTACACAAACATTTAGTCCATAGTAGATGACCTTCCACATGTTGTATAATCACAGACCATGCTTCCCTTTCTCCTTTGTTGATGAAAAAGCCAAACTCTGTAAAATATTTGAACAAATTTATTCTGAGCCAAATATGAGGCCCATGACACATGACATAGCCTCAGGAGGTCCTGAGAACATGTGCCTAAAGTGGTTGGGTTCCAGCTTGATTTTATACATTTTGAGGAGACAGAAGTTACAGGCAAAGACATAAATCAATACATGTAAGTTTTACATTGATTCAGCCTGGAAAAGTAGGCCATCTCGAAGTGGGCAGGGGGAGGCTTCCAGGTCATAAGTGGATGCAAAGATTTCCTAATTGGCAATTGGCTGAAAGAGTAAAGTTTTGCCTAAAGAGTTAAAGTCAGCAGAAAGAAATGCTTGGGGTTAGAATAAGGTGGGAGTTGGGGGTGGAAGCCAAGGTTTTGCTACGTAGATGAAGCCTCCAAATAGCAGGCTTCAGAGAGAATAGATGATAAATGTCCTTTATCAAACCTTAAAAGGCATTAGACTCTTAGTTAGATCTCTCCAGGATCAGGAAAATACCTGGAAAGGGAAGGGGATTCTCTACAGAATGTAGATTTTTCCCACAAGAGACAGTTTTGCAGGGACATTTCAAAATAGATCAAAAAATGTATTTTGGGGTAAAATACTTCCATTTCTTTCAGGGCCTGCTATCTCTTAATGTGATGCTATCCTAGAATCAGGCTGGAATATGGTACTTTATTGCTACAAACAGACTGTTTTGTCACTCTTAAAATATCTGGTTTAATGTTAATGCTGGTCAGTTGTGCCTAAATTCCAAAGGATGGAGAGAATAATGAAGCATGTCTGACCCACCATTCCCATCATGGCCTGAACTAGATTTTCAGGTTTCATGGCTATCTTCTTGCCTGAGATAAGGGGTCCTTTCAGTCAGTTGGAGGGCTTAGAATTTTGGTTTTGGTCTACACCTTCCAAATCATGAATAAATCCCCTCCCACCCCATTAGTAGAAACTAAACCAAAACCCAGCTGGCCAAGGATTCTTAAAATTTCAGCTCCCAAACTTCCAAATACCACAATAGAGAGGAGAGAAATTCAGCAAAATAGCACCTGTCAGTAACAAAATGGTAGTTAGAAAGACCAGGTTGCTTTATTGAAAAACAAGTTGGCAAATTGATGTAAAGAAATAATCATCTGGCCAGGCGCAGTGGCTCACACCTGTAATCCCAGCACTTTGGGAGGCTGAAGCAGACAGATCATTTGAGCCTAGAAGTTTGAGACCAGTCTGGGCAACATGGCAAAACCCCATCTCTACAAAAAAAAAACAAAAAAAAAATACAAAAATTAGCCAGGCATGGTGGTGCATGCCTATAGTCCCAGCTACCTGGGAGGCTGAGGTGGGAGGGTCACTTGAGCAAAGAAGAGGGAGGTTACAGTGAGCCAAGATCCTGCCACTGCCCTCCAGCCTGGGCAACAAAGTCCTGAAAAAAGGAAAGAGAGAGAGAAAGAAGGAAAGAAAGGAAGGAAAGAAGGAAGGAATGGAGGGAGGGAGGGAGGGAGGGAGGGAGGGAGGGAGGAAGGAAAAGGAAGATTTGACTAACAGGCAGAGTTTAAGAGCAAACTCTAGAGTCCATAGCCTGAGTACCAATCCTGGTTCAACCCCTTACTAGATGTGTAATTTTGAGCAATGCCTCAATGCCCTCACCAGCAAAATGGGGATGATAATAATAATTACTTCATAGCATTGTCATGGAGAGTGATTGTGTACATTAAGTACTTAAGAAATATATCTGGCAGAGAATTATCACTCCGTAAATGTAAGCAAAAATGATATAGGTGAGGCAATTTTTGAATTAAAGGAATCACTTTTTTGTAAATTTAGTGTTATGAGCTGAATATTTGTGTCCTCCCAAAATTCATATGTGAAGTCCTAACCTCAAATGTGATGGCCTCTGGAGGTGAGGTCTTCGGAAGACAATTACTCTTAGATGAGGTCATGAAGATAGGGCTCTCATGATGAGATTAGTTCCCTTATAAAAAGAGGAAGACAAAGTACATACACTGAGGAAAGGCCATGCAAGCACATGTCAAGAAGGTGGCCATCTGCAAGCCAGAAAGAGAGCCCTCCCGAGACACCAAATCTGTCAGCACCTTGATCTTGGACTTTCCAGCCCCCAGAACTATGAGAAATAGAGTCTGTTGGTTCAAGCCACGTGAGTCTATGGTATTTTGTTACAGCAGCTCAAACTGGTGATGACATTGAGTAAACTACATTTGTGTATAATCTGAGAAGATTTTTCCAGGAGGATTATAAATATAGAAGAACATAGTTGTCAAGAATTAAGATCTTCATTCTGAGCAGAATCTAAACTCTTTTCATGCAAGAAATTTTTATCCTCAGGTCCTGTCCAGTTTCTTACAATTGATCTGATATTTGAAGATGGATGTGATAACTGTGCCCCTGCTGAGGAGAAACCTAGAATCTCTAAAAAGTAAAGTAGTGGAATCTGGCATCAGATGGTCCCAGGTCCTGTCCCAACTCTACTAACTGCTTGCACAGAGCCCCTCAAGGCATCACTTAACCCCTCTGAGCCTCAATTATTCATCTATCGAAAGGAGATAAGGACAAAACCATATCCAGATAAATTTCAATGAGCTGCTGTATTAGAAAAAACTTCTGAAACTATCATACAAATGTTAATTGGTATTATTAGTGAAGAAACCTTTTCCAAAAGACCTCAAGCACAGTGCTGAGCATTCTTAGGATTTCAAAAAGTTACTTTGAAAATCGGCGCTCTTGTCTCCATCTCAATCTCCCTACTCCTATAACTTTTGGCTTCTGTTAAACATCTGGTCAGACTTAAAAGAGCAAGTTAGAAGGGGAATTAGTCATTTTACACAACGTCTTAGTTAATTATCTACTACAGAGGTAAATAAATAAGACTTTGTTGTTTAGTTTTTTGTTCGTTGTTGTTTTGTTATTTTTTTTTTTTAGAGATGGGGCCTTGCCACATTGTCCAGGCTAAACTCCAATTCCTGGGCTCAAATGATCCCGCTATCTCAGACTCTCAAGTAGCTTGTACTATAGGTGCATGTCACTGTGCCTGGCAGGACTTGTTACTTAAATAATCAATACATCTGAATCTTGACCAGAGATATGCATGCATTTTTTTCCAGCCATGTCTTCCAGGTTTCCAAGCAGCATTTATCTTTACCTAGCTGTGCTACACGTGGTTGTGCAGGTAGCGCACTGCACACACAGGAGGGTGACATCACATAGCCTGATGTCCTCTAGAGCTTTGCAAAACAGACCTGCCTAGCTCTGCACGGCAGCCTGATTTGGCCAAATACTTTTCTCTGTCACTCAGGGACCTATCTTCCAAGAAATAGCCCATAGATATATAGTCTTCACCTTCCAGATTCCCTACTAATTGAGATTTGGAAATGTTGTTTATCCTAAATTTTGTGTCTCTCATTACCAGCTAATAGACGATTAGCAGGGCTGGTTTCATAGACAGGCATGCAGCCTGTGCAGAAACATCAGGCCCTGGACTTGGTTTAATGCTTTACTGTCTCCATCTTGAAATTCTTTTTTTTTTTTTTTTGAGATGGAGTCTTGCTCTGTTGCCTGCCCAGGCTAGAATGCAGTGGCACGATCTTGGCTCACTGCAACCTTTGCCTCCCAGGTTCAAGCAATTCTCCTGCCTCAACCTCCTGAGTAGCTGGGATTACAGGTGCATGCCACCACGCCCAGCTAATTTTTGTATTTTTAGTAGAGACAGGGTTTCACCATGTTGGTGGGGCTGGTCTCAAACTCCTGACCTTGTGATCCACCCACCTGGGCCTCCCAAAGTGCTGGGATTACAGGCGTGAGCCACCGTGCCTGGCCAAAATTCTTAATAATGTTTTGAACAAGGAGCCTGCATTGTCATTTTGCACTGAAAATTATGGGCCAGTCCCAATGATTAAAGTAAATAAAATTCAAAAGCTCATCAAATTGTATCCAGATATGAGAAGGCTTATAAAGAAGTTGTCAGCAGGGATGCATGTATTAAGATCTGCAATAACCTGCACAGGTGGTCTACCTCAGAATCATTTGGAGAGTTTGTAATGTATGCAGATTCCTGGGCCCACATGCTGGAGATTCTGATTCAGTAGGTGTGCAACTCTGGTGGGTTTATGTGTGTTTGTGTGTGTATGTGGGTTTCTTTTTCTTTTGTAAATGTCACGTCATTCCAGCGTGCAGCCATGTCAGGAAATTATTGCTTTGGGACATGCTACATCTTACGAAGAAGTGGAATCAGAAGGAGTCAATTTCAGTGTAAGCCCGTAAGTTGTCCTTCACGTGTTCACTGAGATTAGGGTGTCTCTTTGCTCTGCTCTGCTATTGAAATTCCTTTCCCAGGAGCCTAAGAAAAAGACTTCAAACCTTAAACATGGGAGAAATGGCTTTTAAAAGTCAAGCGTCTTTTAATCAGATGGTGTTAAAAATCTAAGATTAAAAAGTTAGGAGCTTTTTGCATTTTTCCCCCACTCCTCCTATCACTGGAGGATTTTTAGTGACTGGAGAGGGTGTTTCAAAACACCCCTGAATGGTCACAACTTCAGAAAAGAGAATATGGGGATAGGAAAGTAAAATGAGATTGTTTGGTACATGAGTATCACTCTGGAAAATTCCATGGATGGGAGGATGTTCCAGGTGCACATTTTAAGCAATAACTCAGCACAGAGTCAGATTGTGCAGTGTAACAAAACTGTCCTTAGCTGCATATTTGTCAGTCTTTCTGGAAGGTTCCCAGCTCCCCCAAGATGGCAGCTGGCTCTCGTCCCTGAGGTCAGAAAGAACCCCTCCCCCGCTGCCCTAGGACTCACAGATTTCTTCACAAAAGACACAAACTCTGCATGGTCAAAGCACATCACACATGTTCTATTTTCAAGTTTCTCTGTTTTATTGTGTTTGATTTTTTTTCTTTTTTTTTCCTGAAACAGGATCTCACCGTGTTGCCCAGACTGCAGTGCAGTGGCACAATCTCAGCTCACTGCAACCTTCACCTCCCGGTTCAAGCAATTCTCCTGCCTCAGCCTCCCGAGTAGCCGGGATTACATGTGCACGCCACCATGCCCAGCTAATTTTTGTATTTTTAGTAGAGACAGGGTTTCACCATGTTGGCCAAGCTGGTCTCAAACTCCTGACCTCATAATCCCCCACCTCGACCTCAAAAAGTGCTGGGATTACAGGTGTGAACCACTGCACCCATCCTATCGTGTTTTATTTTTGTTTGTTTTTTTGTTTCTCTTTTTTTGGTGGGGCAGGAAGCAGAGTGGACCGTTTTCTATTTGTTATCAAGATAAATAAATCAGGCAAACCACCACTTTATTCTAAAGATCTGTTTTGAGAGAGCCATAGTCAGTTTCCCCAGTGTAAGGAGGAAATCATTCCTATATACTAGAAAACTTTTCAAAATTTTTTCAGGATACAAAACAAATTCATTCACTCAAGTTTATTCAAGGGTGGCTGATGTCAGGAGAATTGTGCACAGGAGTTCACTGTGTATCAATCTGACACTGAACCAGTCTCTAACCCATGGCAAGGACTGAGAAGTGGATGAAACCACACTAAGAGGATACCCCTCAGGTCATCCTTTCACGAGTTTAACTCAAAAATAGGCAGGGAGCCGGAAACATGTCTGCAAGGCATTACAGAACCCATGCATCATTACAGGGGATTACTGAGACGTAGGGGTGGAGGAGCAGGGATAGAGACCTCTCCTCAGCCCATCTAAACCCTCTCCCACCACTACAGCCATCCTCTTCAGCACAGATGAGCGCTCACACCTCCTACGCCTCCTTCCCCAGAGCCTTACAGAAATTTCCAGACCCGTTGTCTATTTTGGAGAGTGAAACTTGCGATAGGATGACCAAGGAGTCTTCTTTTGGTGTGACTTCCTCCACTTCTCAGCCTATGACATAGGTTAACTCGAGACTGGTTCAATATGAAATTGATGCCCAGTGGGCTCAAAGCTTCTACTTCACAGGCTTCTCATGTACAGCCAAATGTTCCTTCACCTGGGAACGTTCTGAAGAGTGTTGTTACTATCTTAAGGGAATATGCTTTTAATTTAATGGTTGCCAAGAGCAGCAATCTTAGAAGTGTGGTGCCAGCTCTCCTCAGAGGCTGTCTTCAAAGGTCAAAGGGACCCTCAGGAACTGATTCTCCAAAGTGCTAAGGGACCACGCTAGGCTCATAAATCAAAGGGAAAAAATACATCCAAACTCCCTTCTGGGAGGCTACAGTCTAGACTGTCTTATATGCTCTTTGTTATCCATTAAAATAGGCAGTAAAATGTCAACACATAAAACAAAATATTCACAAAGAGAAATAAAATTCAGTAGAGTTACATATTCTGATAGAATTTTCAAAACCACTAGGTCCATGTAGCAACTAGAGAGGTGGCTGGAGAAGGGTTATTTCAAATCCAGGAGAGATGTTAGGCACAGAGTGAACAGGAGTAAGAAACGGGCTAGAAACAGGCAATTCGCTAATGGTCTTTATTCAGAAAAACAGAATCCACTGATACTTATACCCTCATTGTCCTCCTGAGCTAAAGGCTGGAGACATTGGGCCTGGAGTAAAGGAAATGTAATCCTAGGCCCCTACATGATCCAACAATAACCCATTGCCACAGCTATGTAAACAACAGCTAGCAGGTTTCAACTCTCCACATCAACTCCTGGACAGCCTCAGAAGACTTGCCGATGTCTGCAGAACCACATAAATGTTAAAGATTCTGGCAACAGTGAGAAGAGAGGAAGGAACAAGGAGGAAGAAAGTCAGAGGTATTAAGATAGAGAATGTATAAAAAGGGAAATTGTGATAAAAATGTATGGAAGGAAAAAATGGCTTACTACCTTATTATTTAAAGTTACAATGATGATCAACAGAAATTTTAAAAAAATACAAAAAACAACAAAAGGAGGGAAAGGAGGTGATCAGAGGGTATCACAGTAGTGTGAGTTAAACCTTTGTCATAATGGGAAGTCAATAAATGGGACTTAATTTTTTTTAATCAAGTAATTTTTTGAGTTGTGGAGTTAAGACATAGAACGACCAAAAAAAAAAAAAATCAAAGGAGTTTTCTCCAGGAAGTGGAACTGATGTCAGAGAAGGGCTGGGGGGAGACAATAGCTTTTTATAAAATCTCCAGTATCACATCATGGTTTCCGTGCATACTGACAAGGTATAGAAACTCAGACCTGGCCGGGCATGATGGCTCACGCATGTAATCCTAGCACTTTGGGAGGCCAAGGTGGGTGGATCACGAGGTCAGGAGTTCAAGACCAGCCTGGCCAACATGGTGAAACCCCATCTCTACTAAAAATACAAAAATTAGCCAGGTGTGGTGGCGTGCGCCTATAATCACGGCAACTCAGGAGGCTGAGGCAGGAAACCTGCTTGAACCTGAGAGGCAGAGGTTACAGTGAGCCTAGATCGCACCACTGCACTGCAGCCTGGGCGACAGAGCAAGACTCCGTCTCAGGAAAAAAAAAAAAAAAAGAAATACTGAGACCTTACCACCTATGTGATTTTAGGCAACTTTAACTTTTCCATGCACAGTGTCCTCATTTATAAAATGGGACCAGTAATAATGCTTACTTCATACAGTTGGAAGAATGACATTGGATGATACAACTACAGCACTTAGTGCAATGCCTGACCAACAGTAGGTTCTCAATGAAGGTTGGCTATAAATAATATTTGTTTATTATTATTATTATTATCACCGGAGAGTTGCTTTTATTCACTTAATACATCACGAACAGCTCCACAAATATAGATCTATGGGTCATTCTTGAACAGCTGCATTAAAGTCCGTAGAGTGGACTGGCATAATTATTCAGCCTTCGGACTAAGGTTCAAACAAGCTTCTTATCTAAATCTCATGGTTTCTCAACCTCAGCTCTACTTACATTTTGGGTCAAATTATTATTTGTTGTGGAGGGTTGTCCTGTGGGTCATAGGGTGTTTGGCAGCATCCCTGACCTTGACCCACAGGGTGTACCACCACCCCCAAGTTCTAGCAACCAGAATTGTCTGCAGACATTGCCAAATGTCCCCTGGAAGGGAGGGGGAGATAGAACTGCCCCAACATGAGAACATGCCTCAAATCCATCCTAAAAACTTCAGGGACTGTTCACCTGCAGCCGGGTTTCTTCTCATGAGAAAACTTTCTGAAGCTAGTTACAGGCAGACATAAAATACTACAGTCCCCATTTCATGTCACTCACCTGAAAGCAAGGGTCAGAGACACAGCTTTGCTGTGCCCTCAGTTTAAGATACACTTTACAAGAGTTTGGAGAAGAAACAAGAGATATGATTCAAGGTAGTAATAACACTAACCCCTCCAATCAAATAAACTAGTTGAGGCTGGGCGCAGTGGCTCATGCCTGTAATCCCAAACTTGGGGAGGCCGAGCAGGCTGATCACACTTGAAGTTAGGACTTCAAGACCAGCCTGGCCAACATGGTGAAACCTCATCTCTACTAAAAATACAAAAAAAATCAGCCAGGCATGGTGGTAGGCTCCTGTAATCCCAGCTACTTGGGAGGCTGAGGCAGGAGAACCACTGGAACATAGGAGGCAGAGGCTGCAGTGAGCTGAGATCACGCCACTACACTCCAGCCTGGGTGACAGAGTGAGATTCCATCTCAAAAATAAATGAAAATAAACTGATGGAAAAAAATACTGAGCTGATATCATTCATGCTCTTGCCTTTTGCAATCTCAGTTTATCATAATCTTATTAAATGAGATTAACAGATACAGTTTCAGTAGGGCCAGAAATAATGTTTGTTCTTCCACAAATTTCTTCCTAACCAAGGCCAACAGCCTTGCCATTATGTGTCAAATGACTCAGAAGAAACAGACTCCACGAGGCCCAGCCCCATAACTAGGTGAGGACAAAGCTCAAAATCCACATCTAAATAACACTAGCTCAGAGGTGATCTTCATATACAGGAGGAGGGGACAGCTAATAAATGCAAGTATAATCTCCTAATTATAAATAGCATTTTAACTTAGAGTTCTGTTTAGCAAAATTATTTCCATATCCTTGGGGATGGCTTATAATAATGGTGCTTTGCCAATGTGGTTTCAGAAAATTCTATTAAATGAAAAATCCTGTAGAACAGATGTGTTCACAAGTCCCTGTCCACACAGCAGCCAAACTGCTTAATGAAAACACCGCTATGGTTCAGAATTGTGCTTTCTACTGTTATAGGATTGTTATATTAGCATCTCAGAAGAGTAAAGAAGGTTGGAAAGGAATGAGAGAGAGGAAATTACCAGAACTAGGGGTCAGGGATGGAATATCTCCAAGGCAAGTACCTCAACATGATACAGAATAAAAGGAAGATGATAAAAGAAGTGCTGTTTTTTAAAAAATAGCAAAACCAGGACATAGAAATGAAATGCCTGATTTAAACTAAATCAAGTAAATAACACCACCTCTGTGCTCTGTATATATTGAAAATGCATACATTTCCAATTACATATAATTGGAATGTAACAAAGCTATTTCCAACTCCCTCAAATTCATTAAAATGAGATTTTTTGCCTGTCTTCAAGAGCTGTTTCTTACTCAAATCATCCTCATACCAGGTTACTCCAAGGACCACTTAGTTTGTTCTCAAAAGTTATACATGAAATTCTATGTGATTCTTCCACAACCATTTGCAGTGACTGTTTGGTCATCTTTGGAATAACTGATAAATGTTCATATTTTGTCTCCAAAGCAAGCAAGAACAACCCCATTTGAGGGTTTGCAGCAAAGACGCTCCTCGATGGCATTTCTCTTTTGCTGTGTGTGTGTGTTTACATCTAACACAGCATGACCTTGCCCCCAAAGAGCTTTACTTCCAAGTAACACACAGCCCAAAACTCTCACTGCTGTGGTTTGAATGTTTGTCCCCTCCAACACTCAAGTTGAAACTTAATCCTCAATGTAACAGACTTAACAAGTGGGCCCTTTAAAAGGTGACACGGTCATGAGGGCTTTGCCTTCATGAATGGATGACTACGCTTATGGATTAATGGATTAATTGATTAATGGATTATTATCAAGGGACGAGGTTTGCTATCATAAAAGTGGGTCTGTTATAAAAACCAGTTAGGCCATCACTCATGTGCCTCCTTGCCATCAATTCCCGGCACCACCTCAGGATTCTATAGAGAGTCCCCAACAGCAAGAAAGTCCTCACAAGATGTTGCCCCTAGACTTTGGACTTCCCAGCCTCCAGAACTGTAAGAAATAAAATTATTTATTTATAAATTATCAAGTCTCAGGTATTCAGTGATAATAACAGAAAACAGACTAAGACACATGTCTACCCCATGTATCTGTTTTTTTTTTTTTTTTTTTGAGATGGAGTCTCACTCTGTCACCCAGGCTGGAGTACAATGATGCGATCTTGGCTCACTGCAACCTCCACCTCCCAGGTTCAAGTGATTCTCCTGTCTCAGCCTCCAGAGTAGCTGGGATTACAGGCACACGCCGCCAAGCCTGGCTAATTTTTTGTATTTTAGTAGAGACGGGGTTTTACCGTGTTATACAGGCTGGTCTCAAACTCTTGAGCTCAGGCAATCCACCCGCCTCAGCCTCCCAAAGTGCTAAGATTACAGGCGTGAGCCACCATACCCAGCCTACTCCATCCATCTTGAAACTGCAAATAAGGACAATTTTATCCCATTAAAAATAAGGTAATTTTAAAGAAAGCCAATAATTTAATTTCAGAGAATAACAGAGTAGACTAGTAAAAATAAAGGTTAACCTTGAAAATAATAATATTGGCAATTTTAAAGGCCACGAAGCTGAAGGATAAAATTTCAATTTATTTTTGAAGTTAAACCTGGCTAAGGACTACCAAAAGTATTGAGATTTTTATCAAATAGCATGCCTCTCCTCCTAGAGATATCACCACACACATTTTTCACTTGAACAGATGAGTTTTTATCTTAAAAAATAAAAGTTTAGATCAAAGCTGGGAAAATGCTTCTCATTAGAAAGAATGTAAAACAAATATTTTAATAAAATCTATCCCCTAAGACATTTCTGAGGTGATGCTGACACTGCATGCCTCAGTTTAAATTAAAACTAATATACCCAATTTCACAGATCTCTGAAACCATCTTTGATAGCAGTTACGCTATTAGTTGCTTTCCAGCTCTTGCTGAAAATATAAATAGTGAACGTCTTATCTGAATTTGCTGATGCAGGCAGTAATAGAATTCTTTTACATTTAAACAGAGAGGTACAGCTAGATTTGTCTTTTCCACTGGCTTTATTAAAAGAGATTAATATACGTATCGTCCTTTCACAATTTCCAATGCACATACATTATCTCATGTAATCTTTCCAACCAGTCTGTGAGTTTGGTAATATTATCATCATTTTTAGTGAAGTAATTAGATGCTGGAGAAGGAATGGATTTTTGCCAAATATTAATCAACTCAAAAGAGGTACGGATAGAATTCAGTAAAACCACCCAGCTTTTATAGAGTATATCTTGTCTTCCTCACATAAATGAATGAGTTACCCCCCCACCAACAAGTATACACTCATACGCAAAAGACACAGCTTGTTTCAAAAACTTGAAACAATTGGTGATTTATTTGAGAAATTCTTCAGACTTGAAATCTTTGATAACCAATTTTCTCCTTATGGCCTGTAGTCTTTGTTTGATTACTTAGTGACTTCCAAGTTAAACTGAAAGTGAAACACTCTACTGCTTGGGGGCCTGCTGGGTTCTCCAAGGACAGCCATAATGACATCATCCCCCAGTGAACCCCACTTCAATAGCATTTTTAATTTTTCATTCAAATAATACACACACAAAGTCCTAAAGTCTTTCCTAACTCCAGTGTCAATTAATCAAGCAAATAAAACTCCTTTCATTTTCATTTTTGAAATGTTTTAGAAGACTTCCTGTGATTTTCAATTTGCTTGCTAAAATTAGGTTATTCAAGAATTTTCTAAAAATATGTATTGACTTGAAAAAAACGTTGTTTAGCATTTTCCCATCCCTCTCACTTCCAATACTATTTCACAGACAGATTTCTCAATGAAAACAGCCTACTAAATTACTTAGACCTTGTGAAGAATATACAAACAGAAAGACACACAGCGGGCTTCATCAGGTGTGTGACTAAATTAAGTTGGAAACTAGCATGACAGTTGTGTGTGCACGCGCTGGAACTAGGCTGCCCGAGTTCTCATCTCAGCCTTACTATTTTTACTAACACTAAGAATTTGGGGCACATTATTTAGAGTTTCTGTGCTTCAGTTTCCTTATCTGTAAAATGGGCATGGTAATCATGGTTCTTTTACCTCATTGGTTTACTGTGAGAATTAAGGGAGTCAGTCAAGGTAAAGGTACTTTGAAAAGTAGCAGGCACAAAGAAAGTGCTATAGAAATACAATATTGACTGCTATCATTATAGCAATGCAAACAATCTCCCTCTTGATCATTCAAAGAAAAAAAAATTAAAGCATTTTCATGTTAAACACACACTCATTTTTTCCCTGCCTTCTTTCTAAGATTTTAGGTCAGGGCTTAGCAAACTGCTGCCAGTAGGCCAAATCCAGCCCACTATCTTTTTGTACAACAAGCGATCTAAGAGTGGCTTTTACATTTTTAAATGATTGAGAAGAAAAAACTAAAAGAAGAAGAATATGGCATATCTGAAAATTATATGAAATGTAAGATTCCATAATAAAAGATAACTGGAAACCCAACAAGCTTATTCGTTTACATGGTGTCTGAGGCTGCTTTTGTGCTACGAGGCAGACTGAGTAGTTGTGAGACCTCATGGCTCACAAAGCTGAAAACATTTACTATCCGGCCCTTACAGGAAAAGTGGCCAGCTCATTATTTTCTTGGTGATTGGTGTGAGCATTGCAAACTTTAGAATGTTTCTAAACTTTAGAAATATTCACTTTCTGTGAATGAAGGGAGGTGCAGATGAATCCTAAAAGGAAAAATTCAGATTCAGGAAAATCACAAGATAAAACTCAAGTACTTAGGATTGTTCCTTCTGAAGCGTTCTAGGAAAGGTATGGTGATGAAGTCCATTAAAAGTATATGCTAAACTAAATTGTATATATACTATGAGATTTGATTATTCATAATAACTAAAAATATTCCACATTCACAGCATAGATGCTCAGTTTTATGATGAAACTTTTGTACAGCAGCTGAAAATGTATAGGGCTTCATTCCAATCCCCTGCACAGCCAGCTTTACCACTTTCTTTTCTTTCATTTTTTAATGCATTGCATATTAAAGTCAAATTTTGACCTGAAAAATCAAACATTAGCTATGAGATAAGTTTACCTAGCCTGCCCACTTTCTCATTTGTCTCTGGGATTCTTCTAATTTTTTCTGGGTAGAATCAGTTCTTTCTTTTCTCAATAGCCATAATCTCATACTTAGTCTTCTCCCACAGTTATTTTATGGCACTTTATTATGGAAATATTCATATTTAGAATTTTTTTCATTGTCATGGCCTTCCTACTATTGTCTTCAACTTTCCTCATCACCGATGAAATCTTTTCTTATACTTTGGTGAGGCCAAGTTGAAGAAGAATAAAATGGAAAGTTCTGTTCATGTCTGTAGTTTTTTTCTTGCTTAAGCAATTTCATTTTTTATTATTTTAATAGAATTACTTTTCCTAATAATATGATTTCCCTTATAAGTTCATGCAACAACAACAGCTCTGGGGATATTACAGTTAATGAGCACTAGGATTCAGGAGTCCTGTGGAAAGTCACCAAAAGTCCATCAGCTCCTTTTCTTTGTCTGTGAAATGAAAACATCCAAAGAGATGGCTCTGCATTTCTATGTAACTCTGAGTTTCTAAGATTCTTGCTTTATTCACAATTCTTGTAGTTATTGGGTCTTTCCATAGATAATAGTTTCTAACATTGGATCAAACCATTTATTTCTAATTCTCCACAACTCTGTATTCTATACAATAGTTCTAAATTCTAGATTATTACATCACTTTCTAATTCTCTCCTTTACTATGAGCTTATGATTCAGATTCATCCAGCTGTGTTTGCAGCTCTATTTAGCAGGACTAGCGGTTGAATGTGAGCCCCTAGGGAGGTGAGCCCCAGGCATATGCAAACCCATTAGGGCAGCTAAAAACACCACTTCCCTTGCAGGAAGAGTGGGAGTTATTGAAAGCCCAGGACTTTTCTTGTCCAGTGTATACAAGGGAAAGTAGAGTAACAACATTTAAAATTACAAAAGTAATACAAAAATCATGCTCTTTTTAAAAATTCAAATTTTGAAGAATTAGATATAAGAGACAAAATTACCCACTTCATCCTCTTAAAATAAGACCACTCCCTTAGGCAACCAGAGTATCCTTCCAGAACTTTCTTTATGCATTCATGTGAATAAATACAGATTTATAGGTACAGATATAGATTTAGGTATCTTTTTACTCTTACAAACATTAATTTATACTACACATATTATTCTGAAACTCTGAAACTTGCAACTTTTTAACTTAATGCTACATCTTGGAGTTCCTTTCGTTTCAGGACATATAGATCTAATTGATTCTTTTTATTGGTTTCATAGAATCCTTATATTACCAATTTCTAGTGATGGATATATAAGTTATTTCTAATTTATTTAATCTGACAAATAAATAATGTTATATGTTTTTCTTTGTGCATATATGTAAATGTTCTGTGAGACAGAAAACCTAGGTTAAAGGAAATTAGTATTTTAAATTCAGGTGAAAACTGCCAAATCCCTTCAAGCATTATTTGCTACTTTACATTCCCATCAATAACATGTAACAAATGTTCACTTTTCCACACCATCTCTACCATAAATATTATTTTTGTTAGCCCAATGAATGAAAAATGCTCATTTTTTGTTATTTTAATTTGCATTTTTTGGTTAAGTTAGCTTACTAATTTTTCACATTCCCATGGACTGTGAATAGATTTTTCCTTATCATTGTCCATTTTTCTATTGGGTAATTTGTTTTATTGACTAGAGAATGCCTTATATATTATAGAAATTAATCTTTTGTTTATTATTTATATTGTTTGTCTCATTATACTACCTATATTTTAACTTTGCTTATGGGCAAGTTTAAAATTTTAAACTGTATATCTTTATGGTATCTGCGTTCTGTGTCTTAATTAGGAAAATCTTCCCCACTCAAAGGTTATTAAAATGTCCTGCATGTTCTTCTTATATTTATAGGGTGTTTTTTTCAGTTTATGTCTTTAAACCATATGGAATTTATTTTTGTATATGGCATAAGGTATAGAATAATTTTTTCAAACGTTATCGTCCATGCATCATGTATGAAACAGTCCATTTATAAATGTTTAATTACAAAAGACACATGATTCTGTGGATTCTCAATTCTATCCCATTATTTTTCTATTTCCGTGCCAAAACCACAAAAAACCACACTGCTGTGGAAAGTTCCCTCTCTTTTCTTTCTTTCCTTTTTTTTGTGAGACGGAGTCTCGCTCTGTCGCCCAGGTTGGAGTGCAGTGGCACAATCGTGGCTCACTGCCAAGCTCCGCCTCCCGGGTTCACGCCATTCTCCTGCCTCAGCTTCCTGAGTAGCTGGGACTACAGGCGCCCGCCACCATGCCCAGCTAATTTTTTGTATTTTTGGTAGAGATGGGGTTTCACCGTGTTAGCCAGGATGATCTCGATCTCCTGACCTCGTGATCCGCCCGCCTCAGCCTCCCAAAGTGCTGGGATTACAGGCATGAGCCACCGTGCCCAACCCAAAGCATATTTTTACTTGAAGAAAAATCTAAAAAAAAAAAATTTATTGGAATTACATTGAATTTATAAATTAACTTGGGAAGAAATTACCAGTTTACACTTCTGCCTTCCCATCCAGAAATACTGTGTATTATTCATCATTTCTTTTATGTTTTTCAATAGAGTGTTCTAATTTTCCTTGTATGTTTCTTAGGCTCTGAGGTTTATCCTTAGGCATTTCAGTGTTTCTGAGGTTCTGCACTTATTCTTAGGCATTTTGGTATTTTTATTATTATGAATAACATCTATTTTTATGAGCTACTCTTAGACATCAGTAAATTTGTGATCTCAGTGTTTGGTCTTACATTCAGGCAAATCAATGAATTATCATATTAGTTCTAAAAGCTTTTTGGTTTGTCTTTGATTTTCTAGGTAGAAAATCATACCAACTACAAATGATTGTGGTTTTATCACTTCCATTTCAATGTTTGTACACTATTTCCCTCTTGTCATGTTTCATTGGCTGGTATCTGCAGTACAATCAGGAGTAATAATAGAGCTCTTGATTTTAATTAATGTGCTCCCCGTGTTTCACTATTACATGTTTGCTCTTTTGGCAGATACCTTTTATCTAAATTTAAGAGGCTATTTCTTCCTAGTTTTACCAGGAATATCTGTTGAATTTTTATAAATTGCTTTTTCTGTACCTGGCAAGATAATCATGTAATTTTTCTCTTTTTCTTTAATAAACTGAAAAATGCTAATATATTTCATAGTATAGAAACATGCTTTCATTTCTGAAATAACTGTTCAGTCCTGATGTGTTATTCCTTTTGATCATCACTAGGTTTCATTGGCAAATATTTTCCTTCGAATTTTTAAATTTATTTCTGTAAATAAAGTTAGCCTGTGATTTTCTTTTGTTAGGCTGAATTTGTTCAGTTTGGAAATCAAAATTAAAATCATCAAAGAATAAACAAACAAGCAAAAAATATTTGTGAAAAATTTACAGAGGACTCTGGTTTAAAGTTTCTGTTCCTGTAGGAGTCTAATCCTGTAACACTGACAAGAAAACTATAGGAAACTGAGATTTTATATACCTGTAATTTGCTGTTGCAAATTATAGGTGTAACCCAGATATTAAACAGGTGATACTGGCAAGGAACAATCAGAAACCAACTTTATTATTTTCTCCCCCTGCTAGTCAAGGCCATTTTGTGTTGCTGATTCTCTTTACCTGTGGATGAAATCTTGTCTTGCTCCTGGTAAAATCTTGTATGAACCCCCATAGGACATCCCTTCACTCTATGGTTACTAACTGCTCTCTATTCACTTGCACTCCTAAGGGTAGTTTCATTTCAGTAATTAAATCTAACATCTTGTGTAACAGTCAAACTCCAAACTTTATTTCAAAGTGAGAGGAGGAAGGGCCTCTGCCCTGAATACCTCACCCTCCAAGCTGTGGCTTCTAACTCCTCTAGGACCAGAGCCAAAGAGGAGAGAAGAGGTAAGGAGACAGGAAAGAACTCACTTGAAGGGCATCTCTGTGATCTAGCTTTGGTTCTTGCTGGTGTTTAATGACAATGCTGCTGTGGGATGCTTTCTGTCTTCTTTGGACAACATCTCCAAGCTGGGGATCCCTCACCTCTAGTTCTCTTGATGAGTATAAACGTATCTTCTTGCTTATAGCTTAGAATTCCTCCTTCAGTCCTGGCATCTAGTGGCACACCTCCAACCCCACTCTGTTGATATTTTCTTGCTCCTCCTGGAAGCCCTGCTGGCAGGATCTAAAACAACTCCAAGCTGCTGCCCTGACATGTGGCCTTCATCTGGCCCCCAGGTGACAGAAATGTCTGACTCACCATCAGACGGAGGACACCAGACCCAAACACAGCCCTGTCCTCAGCTGCCACAGCTGGTCCAGCCAGCCTCTCACCTGTGAAGGTTTTTTTGTAGGCATATGTTATGCACCGCAGGGTTCACAGCTCCAGCTGTGCAAATAAACCTCTTCAAGCCACCTCTCTTACCTTGAAAAAAGTGAATCATTTTTAGGTTAGGGGGTGAGGAGTGTGCAAGAGAGGTCTGGAGCTTGGGTGAAAAATGAAACTCAAAGCCCAAGTTTTCCCAAACCAATCCTCTCTCCAAACTCCAGGTTCTTCTCTCAGACTCCCCAACCTCTTTTATGGCCTTGTGTAGGAGGTCAGCTAAGGGCCACGAAACAGGATTTTGGCCCCTCCTTTGCAAGTTCCAGGGACTCTGGAGTCCCAGTCTTCCACTTTGGAATGTGGGAGTCGTTGAGGCATCATCTTGGAACTATCAACCAAAAATGAGATAGGAAAGAGTATTCGGGAGAGGTAGACTATTTATCCCACACATTTAAATTTACCTTTGAATTATTTACCTTCAGATGAATATCCAAAAGAAAACTGGTTTTCTCACTCACAGTGTCTCTAGTCCCTCAACACTTAAAATCTTCACTCTGGGAAATAAATTATACAATAACTTAAGTGTGTTCTTAAGCCAAGCCAACAGACCAAACATCTTTGATGTGTGGCTAAAAGCTGGGCCATGATGAATCCGAATTTCATTTTTCTTTTCAGTCTATGGGCTTCACTCCTTGACTTTGATCCACCCTTCATAAAGCTATAGGCAAACGTATCACCGATTTTGTTCTTATACACTACACATACATTCACACACCCTCACATTCGTCTTGTACTAGAGATGGCAACCTATAAAAGATGACACAGCAGTGACTCAAGAGTTTGAGCAGCTACCTCACCCCTTTATATACGCCTTCATCCAAAATTCTCCCTGGGAAGCCTCCTTGAGGTTCAAGGCCACTAGGCAAGCAGGCATCTGTCTCCCTGGAAATGCTAGCAGATCATCACCCCAGGAGAATCCCAACTGAGAGGAGAAAGGAAAATAAATAAAATAATTGTTTTAATGAATAAACAAATATGGAATATAGTCCAGGGCCCTGGGTATCTGCATGAGCATGGGACAGAGAAACTAACAATTGTGAATCAGGAGAAGCCAGGTCACAAGAAGCAGTCATTTCCCTCTAGGCCACCACCCCAGCATCTCTAAATGTAGGAATGTGAGCAAAGTAATTCCTAAAATTCTAGGATTCTAATTAGTGTTGAGGTGATTATGTTTCTTTTCTTTTCTTTTCTTTCTTTTTTTAGACAAAGTCTTGCTCTGTAGCCCAGGCTGGAGTGCAGTGGTGTGATCTCAGCTCACTGCAACCTCTGCCTCCCAGGTTCAAGCAATTCTCCTGCCTCAGCCTCCAGAGTAGTTGGGATTACAGGCAGGCACCACTGCACCCGGCTAATTTTTCGTATTTTCAGTAGAGATGAGGTTTCACCATGTTGGCCACGCTGGTCTTGAACTCCTGACCTCAGGTAATCCACCCGCCTCGGCCTCCCAAAGTGCTAGGATTACAGGTGTGAGCCACTGTGCCCGGCCAATTATGTTCCTTTTACACTGATTTTCTTGGAGCATCAGTTCTAACTAGGATTCCTCAGGGTACAGATAAGAAACATTCCATAATGATTCTCTACAATAGGGATAGACAAACTAAGGGACCCTCATGCAAGCCAGGCTGCCACCTGTTTTTGTACCACTTTGAGCTAAGAATAATTTTTAAATGGTTGGAAAAGATCAAAAGAAAAAATAATATTTTATAACCTATGAAAATTATATGAAATTCAAAATTGAGCTTCTATAAATACAGTTTTATTGGAACCCAGCCATGCTCCTTTGTTTGTGTCTCCCTGGCTACTTTCACACTACAATGGCAGAGTAGAGTAATTGCAATTGAGTGTGCATACGGCACACAAGGCCTAGAATATTTACTCTGTGGCCCTTTAAGGAAAACTGCTCCACAATCAGGAAGAAGGTCATGGAAAAGGAGGTGACATCAGTGGGAAGAGGCAGTCTGGCTCCAATTCACTCCCTAGAACAATGGTGGATGTCTCCCAAGTAGCACTGGTATTTCTGCCTTCTACTAAAAAAGAAAAAATTTTTTTTGAGACGGAGTCTCACTCTGTTGCCCCAGGCTGGAGTGCACTGGTGCAGTCTTGGCTCACTGCAACCTCTGCCTCCCAGGTTCAAGCGATTCTCCTGCCTCAGCCTCCTGAGTAGCTGGGATTACAGGCGTATGCCACCATGCCTGGCTAATTTTTGTATTTTTAGTACAGACAAGGTTTCACCATATTGGTCAGGCTGGTCTCAAACTGCTGAACTCGTGATTCACCCGCCTCGGCCTCCCAAAGTGCTGGGATTACAGGCGTGAGCCACCACGCCTGGCCTAAAAAATTTAAAAATCCAAAACCACTGAGGCCCAGAACAGGTATCTTTTGGGATTCTAGAAGAGTAAAATGGGGTGGGAGGGGAAGTAGAAAGGGAAAAAAAAAAAAAAAAAAAAAGACCATGGGAGTCAAGTCAGTGATTTCTCACATACAAATGATCTAAAAAGTTTCTGGGCTCCTGGTAAAGCCAAATGATCTGGGCTGCATTCCAGGTCCAAGATGTCCTGATTTCCTATTTTTGTTCCCTTTCAGGTCTCAGATTTCAAAACTTTACTGTTACCCTATTTAGGGTCACTATGAAAATAGCTTAGAAGTCAGCCTTAGAATTTCAATTCAGAGATATCAGAGACTTTTGTACTAGGGACCTAAAACCTTTAAAAGATGTTTGTTTTATTGCCTCCAAATGCCTACTTTCAAAGTTTTGCCAGGAACACGTAAGCCAACAAGGAGCTTATATCTGTGGGTTGACTAAAATCCCGTAAAAGCTATTAGAGTATAAGCTTCCAATGAAACTGTAAGTTTCCCCAATTAAATCGATAATACCTTGAGTGGAAAGCATGCCAGCTCCAGCTCCCCTCAAACTGCCTAGCACCTAGTAAGATGCCATTGTAAATACTTGCTGAATAAACGTTCTATATATTCAGAGTTTGCTTGTTGTTACATATTGCAACTGTGTGTTAATTATTGACATAATTCTGGGTATTTAATACATTTTGTGTTAATTATTGACATAATTCTGCGTATTTAATACATGTTAATGTGATCATATTAACTTACATAAGCATTTGCATGCACACATCACTATGCCATACATAAGGAATTCTACATACACAAATGAAAGATAGCAGATACACTGTCTGCCCCTACAGACCAATCCAGAGATTTGTGTCACATGGACCAAGATGATATTCATTCACAAAATGAGAATCTGCTATATGAAATGAGCACTGTGAAAACATTTCCCAAATGCCAAGTAAACATAACCCCTCCTGTAAATATACACGAAGAAGAAAGCAAATTCCTACGAAAGCAACAGACACAACTTTTGACTGCTGAATCTGGGTGAACATTTGGGAGTGAGACAAACCAAACAATCCATTTCCTAAGTAATAGCAAAAGCATTCTTTGGATAACCTCCATTAGAAGTTATTGTTTTCCCTCATAAAGCTAAGAATACTTAATAGAATTTCTCTCATTACAGCATGAATTCACAAGTAATTACATCAGGAATACGTAAAAGAGGTATTAGCAGAACCAGTCAAAACAAGAATCTGGAGCAAGTTGGTACCATCAGCACTTACACAGAATGCACAATTAGCCATTAAGAGCATAAAGCATTAGAATAATAGAAACACAGTGGCTAAAGCTGTGAGTATTTCAGACACTTGACTTGGAATATATCCAGTAGCTGACACAAAGTCTCATTCTCAAGTTCAAAGAAAACTTTCTTCTATTATTAAAAAGAGGTACTAGGCAAAATAGTTTCTACTAACCTTTGTAGTCAATGTCCTGGGCCCCAGAACAGGAGTGCTGTGCAGGGTTCTTGATTCCCTGTAAAGGAAACCAACTCTGGTTACTTGAAGGCAAAATGCAATTTATCAGGAGGATATAGGGTAGATGACAGGATTCAGGCAAAGACTAGTCAACCAAGCACAGAAAAGTGGACAAAATAAAAGAAGGCCAGAACCACAGCCAAAATCCTAATAGAAGATCCTACATAGATTCTTACTGTGGCCTCATTATTACTAGCACCACTGCCAACCCTGGACAGGGAATTCTAGAATGCCCCCTGCTTCTTTGCCCCATGGCCCGAGTCAAAATCCAAGGTAGGAATACGCCAGGCTTACCTTATTCAAATGTCCATTGCCTTGCTGCAATGGGAGCAGAGCAGCTGGAAACTCAGGCCTCCTTAATGGGAACCAGGGTCCTGCTGCCACCCATCTTGAGCTTTCCCAAAATAGGGATGGTCTTCAGAGTCTCAACTAATGTCCTTTTTGGATTTGACTCCTCTTTCTCAAGGAACTGCAAAATAAACACAGCTATCACTATTACACAAAAAAGGAAATAAACTACAATACTAGATGAAGTATAAGTCTAGGGACTATATACCTACTATATATGTTCTACAGTAAGTCTTATGGAGAAATAACACTTCACTTCTGTATGCTTTTCTAGTCCTTCTAGAATTGAAACCAGTGAGGGGCAATTTAAGGTCAACATCTGCTCCTCACATGCCTTCCACAGCAATATGATGTGAGCACTGCAGTTCCATTGAGCTGTGGCAATTGGGGTAGTTTAGGAAGACAGTGGAGAACAGCAAGACAGTTAGATCCCAGTGAAAGGAGGAAGTGCCCATGTTTATCCCAACAATGAAGTGCATGTTGAGAAGTGTTGGGAACCTTCAGCTTCAACTCCACAGCAACAGAGAAGAGACTTAGGACTGAAGGATCCCTAACCAACAATGAGATAGCTGCAGACATGCATAGCAGCAGTATTTTCTGTTCAGCTTGTAAACACCCAAATGTGGAAAGCTAATCAATAGCACAGCTATGTGATGTCAACACACTGACTTTTGCCTTGGGCTGGAAGTCCCTGGTTCAGTCAACCCACTCCCATGAGAGACACTCACAGCCCCAGAGTTTATCAAAATCTAAAGCCATCCAGTTCTTAATTACTTCTCTTTCATAATTAAAAAGAAACTCAGACTACATTTCTAAATTTCTTTGGACAAAGAATGTTTTGTTAACTCAAGTGCTCAGTTGGGTTATAAATCCTCAAAGCTAATGCCAATAGATCTACAACAAGAAGAGTGATTTTTGTCTGCAATTTTTTTAATGGCCCCCATTTTAGAAAAGACAAACATTTATCTACTCAATGCACAATGCAGTGTGGTAAGTACCTCCGCTGTCTTATGAAAGAACACTCAAACTATTTGTACGTTTTGGGTAGATTTATTTCCTAGTGATTGCAACTGGATACATTTTTCAGGTCAAAGGGAAGGACACAGTCCTTGCTGCAGAGAAAAGCCATAAGTACCCAATCCTCACAGCAGGAGTTGGTGACCTGATACTGAAGGGCTGAATCCAGCCCAGGATCAGGGCAAGTTCTGCCTGCTTTGCCCCAGTCTCCTGTCCTCGGGTTGCAGACACATAAGAGGCTGGTATGCTGGACCGAAGGACTGAAGCAGAATGAGACCACATGCATTCAACCCAGCAGGGGGAGCGGGGCTGGGCATCCCACCCCAGAAGCCAAGCCTACCAGGCAACCTTTCTAAGGCTTGGCAAAGGCATGCTATAATTAGACATTAACATCTAATAAATAATAAGTGAATGCCACTGTAAAGCACTTTGCAAATGGAGAGGACACTATAAGTATGTCCCTGTCATCAATAATCATGGTGTTCTAGGTAATCACAGCATTCAGGAAGCAGTTTAGACACAGGCAGCCTCAGCAGGGATACCACTAATGTCCAAAGGCCTAAGCATACAATTTTTCAAATACCTGCCCTGGCTGGAAGGCTGCCCAGTAAAGATGACAAGCCCACAGAGCTCAGGAGGTCATTCCTGAGAGCTCCACAGAAGATGTAAACACTGCCAGGGAAAATCATTCCGTTTCCTTAAAGAATATTTGGAGCAGCAAGCTCACTTGTAGATTTACTAAAGTGGAAATCTACGCTAGAAGCAGCAGAGCCCCTAGAAGCAGCAGAAACTGAGAAAATATTTAAATAATACAAAAAAGTCAGCCACCCTCACTAGCCACCTTCATAATCCCAATTAACATCAATAAGATTTCAAGGAGAATGTCAGATGTTAGATGCTGTCCATTGAACAATTTTAAGAGGAATTCTAATTCTTTTATAGTCTAGTTTTATGTGTGTGTGGATTATTTACCTGGGAGTAATTGTAGCTTTTTGCAGAGACTTGGATTTTTATTTTATATTTTATTACTTTCTAGTTGTACAAAAATTTTCATTGCAGCATTTGTCCAAAATCTGCAGCCCTCACTCATTTCTCCATTTTTGGATGTCTACACTGCTGAAAGTGGGCACTACACAGATTGTATATCGTCTAATCATATTCTCCTTTTTGAGACAGAGTCTTGCTCTGTTGCCCAGGCTGGAGTGCAATGGCGTGATCTCGGCTCACTGCAACCTCCTCTGCCTCCCAGGTTCAAGGGATTCTCCTGCCTCAGCCTCCTAAATAGCTGGGATTACAGGCACCTGCCACCATGCCCAGCTAATTTTTGTATTTTCAGTAGAGACAGGGTTTCACCATGTTGGCCAGGCTGGTCTCGAACTTCTGACCTCAGGTGATCCACCCACCTGAGATTACAGGCGAGAGCCACCGCGCCCGGCCAATATTCTCCATTTTTGATGTGTACTTAAATCTGTCTCTTCATCTCCACGCTAAAACCCTAGAGACCATGGACAGTGTTTTAGGGTATATCTTTGGATTTCCTCTGGGACTAACATGATAATGCGATTTAGTAAATTTTTTGCACAAATTGCTCTACTATAAGATCCTCTAACTGGACATTTCCAATCTTAATATTCTGAAAACTTCATGCAATTTTTTTGGAAATAATTTAGGCAGAAGTGAAGTTCACCTTTGCTTGCAAGTTCCTACTTCATAGGCCGGTTGATCATTTAAACAAAATCATTTAAACAACATCTCAGGGAAGAACACTTAGTACTTAAGGACAAAGCAGGTATGCTCAAGACCTTCCGAGATCCCCATTTACTTTAGAGTTGACAAGCTCACCCACAGCTCATTTAAAGGAAAGGAAAAACGGTGAGCAGTTTTCCTAACAAGGTATTTCTAACACTTTCAGGCCTCCTCTTTTGAGAGCTTTTTTAAAAAAATATACTATTGAATTTTCCATTTATCTACAAAACCATTAAACAGTCAGTGCCCCCAAGCAAACAACAGAGACATTTAAAAGAAAAACCCAAGAAATCACTCCTCATCCCACTCCACCCTTCCAAGATAACCAATATCAGCATTTTGAAGTATGTTTTCATGTTTTTCTTGTGGAAACATACCAAAACATGTATATTTACATACAGCTTTTGGTTGGTCGGTTGGTTGTTTTGGGGGGTTTTGCTTGTTTGTTTGGGTTTTTTCTTTTTGGCAAAACTGAGATCATATTATACATATTATATTGCAACTTGCTTGTTTTTTACTCACCAATGCATAAAGAACACTTTTCCAGGTCACCTTATCAATCATTCTCCTTCTTTTCAATACTTACATTATATTCCTTTGTGCATGTATACTATTTTTTTCAACTTTTCCTATCATTGAACAATCGGGAGTTTTCCACTGTACAACTCACTTCATTTGTCTACCTTAGTTTGTACTCTAAGCTTTTCTCTAACTCTAAAATTTTGAATTCACCTAAAATAAAATTCAGTTCTTTGGAGAAATAAAAGCTATTTTCTTGGTCAAATTAGTAAATATTTATTAAATCAAATTTCTTAAAACTAATTTGGATCTGACCTTTAGAACATTCTGATATTCTTCAGGACATCAGCACGTTCTAGAATAGTACTTTTATAACAGAGAATGTTCACACCTCCATAATTCATTTAAAATAAGTAAAATATGCTGCTGAAAATTCTGGCACAATTTGTATTACTGTAACACAGATTCAGTTGTGTATGTGTGTGTGTGTGTGTGTGTGTGTATATATATATAAAATGTGTGTGTGTATATATATGTGTATATATATGTGTGTGTGTATATATATGTGTGTATATATATATATACACACACACACACACACACACAAACATTTTCTACATGGTGTTCTGGGGAACACTGTCTAGGGAAACGCTAATAGTGATCAAGTAAGTTTAGGCCAATCAGTTTTAAATTAAATATATGATTTTTAAATTCTGATTTTCTTGCGAAGGTGATCACTTCTAATCTCTTTCCCTAGCTTTCCTCTTAAGCAACAGAGATATATCTGTACATCTTTATTGAACATCTGTATATCTTTACATCCCTACTGTATATCTATACATCCGTATGTCTCTACTGTACATCCATACATCTATACATCTCTATTGTACGTCTATACATCTGTCTCTACTGTACATCTATACATCTGCATGTCTCTACTATATGTCTGTACAGCTATACATGCTACATCTATATATCTGTACATCTCTACTGTATGTCTATACATCTATACATCTATACTGTACATCTACACATCTGCCCATTGTTACTGTACATCTGTACATCTCTACTTGTCTGTACATCTATACATCTATACATCTGTACATCTCTACTGAACATCTGTACATCTGTATAGCTCTATTGAACATCTATACATCTGCCCATCTTTACTGTACATCTGTACATCTCTGCTGTGTGTCTGTACATCTATACATCTCTACTATACATCTATACATCTGTACATCCCTACTGAACATCTGTATATCTGTATATCTCTACTGTATGTCTATACATCTGTATATGTCTATGGCACATCTATACATCCGTATGTCTCCATTGTATGTCTGTACATCTGTACATCTCTACTATAAATCTATATATCTGTACATGTCTACTGTACATCTGTACACCTGCACATCTCTACTGTATATCTATACATCTGCACATCTCTATCGTTAAGTCTGTACAACTGCATGTCTCTACTGTACATCTGTACATCTACACATCTCTACCATATGTATGTACTTCTATACATCTTTACTGTACATCTATACACCTGCACATCTATATATCTGTATGTCTCAACTGTACTGACCAGATACAGAGGACCTCATACTGCAAGGTCCCTAGTACCAGGCACACAGAGCCACCAGGCAAATATATGTAGCCCTCTAGCATCCCTGCCCACCCCTTCTCAGCACACCTCTTTATTCTGCATACATTGTCCCTTGCTGAAACATTAAGCAATCAGTCCAGATGGAAGTAAAAAATCATCCTCCTCATTTTTTCTATGCCCTCAATCTTTTTTATTCTTAAGGCTAAAATAAAGTGACATTTGGTTTCACTTTTTAAAAGTTTGTCACTCATAAGAAACCACCTGAAAGTATGTAGGAAAGTGGCTTAGTTTTAACCCAGCAATCAGAATGCCACTTAACCACAGGCATATGGATATTCAATTCTCACCTCCAGCAAAAGAGAAAAATGAGGCTTGGCCTTAACGCGTCCACATCAGGGAAACTGGAAGCTCGTCTTGGGAATTCAAACAGCCTGAGGCCTTTTCACAAAGCCCAATCAAGCCCTCCCACCCCCACTCACAATTCGACTCTTACTTTCACAGTGCATCAAAATAGACAGGAATTACTTTTTCAAACTGGGTAAAATCCAGAAGATTTGTCTTGGGTATCTACTCCTTGGGAAAAACCGTGCTAGAGACTGAGAATCAAAAGAAACTCTTTCTAATAAACTTAAAGCTTTAATTGAAGCAATAAATCAAATGCACAGAGATGAGCAGCGCAGGATGCTAGGGGGTAAGAGCCTAACGGCTTACCACTGTTCTCCCAAACGAGAGTGCTTGCACCTGGCTGAACAAGACTTCTGGGGCAGGGCTGAGAACCACAGATAAGAACCACCTGGGATTGATAAAGGGCCTGCCCAGCACACGCCTACCTCATCAGACTATGAGGATGAGTGCCCTGGAATCTAAGCTTTGAATCAGCTCTCCAGGGGATTCCAATAGACACTAAAATCTTAAAGTCATAGGACTACATTTTTTCTTGAAATGTGGTTACCAGACCAGCAACACCTGAATCTTATCAGTAATGAGAATGCGTCCCTACGCTACAGACCTACTGCATCAAAAATTCTGGCAATGGACTCAGTGATCGCTGTTTAACGAGCCCTCCAGGTGGTTTTGATGAAATGCTGAAAGTTTGAGAACCGTGGCTATCGTATGTCTCTGCAGACCTCAGTTTGAAAAATATTGCAGTAGCCAATAAGAACACAGGAGTTTAATGAGGGAGGCCATTGCCTGAAGCAGGAACAGCCTGTAGACCCTTAAAAGAGAAGAGCTCATCTAGAGGATGTGGCATTGAAATAATGGATTACACAGTGGAAAAGAAGAAGGAAAATGAAAGAAAATGACAATTGGCAGATCTACGCATCAATAATCACTTCAGTGAGCAGAGAAGTTTCATGCCATTTTTGAATTATAGGATTTACAGTTAGGCATGCTAAGCTTGATCTGGGAGAACGTAAGAGTTACAGGAAAGTGTGGACTTTCTTATTCAGGCATTGAGGAAACCTTAAAGGATAATGAGTTAGGGAATATCAAGACACAAGATTATGTTTAGGAGATGTGATTATGCATTAATGCACTTAGAGAAATGTAAAGGAGGGTTGAAAAGTAGGAAATTAGATTAAAAGTCTTGCAGTATTTCAGAAATAAGGTTATGCGGGTCTGCATTAGGGTGCTGGCTGTAAGAGGCAAAGTTAAATAGATACAGAGGTGAAAGGAAGAAAAATGGGCTGTACTTGGAGTTTGGATGGGGTAGGGGAGAGTGAAGGAGGAACCGAAAAAGGAAGGGAGATGAGAAGGAGGAAAGTGGATAAAAATGACAGCCCAGCTTCAAGGCTGATCAATAAGGAGCATTTATGAACACAGGAAATCCTGAAGGGGTATGAGCTTGGGGCAGGGAGTGGGGAACGGGGGTGGGGGAGATTTGGAGCCTCATCATTTCTCACAATTATCTCTACTCTTTTTATCACGTTCAGTTCTCAAATCATTCTACTGCAAAGGCGATGAAGATAATAATTCTACAAGCTCTGTGGCAACTGGATACCAAGGCCCTTCTGGCTTACAAAGAGAGAAAGTCTAAATTTACCCAAGAAATGTTGTTTATCCGTATTACATCTGGAGAGCAACTTCAATCTTAATCCTCAAAATCTTCCAGGAAATTCCCCAGGGAACCTAGAATGCTGGCTCTCATTTACAGTAGCTAAAGACACCTTGGTTAACTTGGATGTACATTTAACCTAAAGTATCTGTAATTTCAAATTTGCCAACAAAAAACATTAACTCTGCCTTTGCATGAAAACATATCAGTTAAGGAGGCCCAATTTGAAGCAGTCTGAATGCACATTTTTGCTTCTGCCTCCTCATTAATGGTATGCAAGTGTGTTGCTAAAACATGTAAACATTTCAGGGCGTAGAAAAACCTCCTTGATGCCAGCATTCCTGCTTAATTCTTCCCTCTCCTGGCAAACCTTCTGGAATGTAGTAGTTAAACTCCCAGGTGTGCTGATGGGTAACAGAATGATTAAAGAATAATAAAACACTAAAGGTCACTTTCTGGTTCAGGATTTGGAGATGACCTAGCTCCATGCAAACTGAGTCAGAGGCTCTGGACTTGACTCAGAGGTGGTGCTTGCATAGGGCGGATTAAAATGCTCTACAAAGCAGAAGCCAGAAACACACACCAGGATGGGAGACAGGGATGCCTGTTAACAACCACTGCTGCCAACTGAAAGGGCTCCCAATGACCAAAGCTGGAAGAAGTTAAGCAATAAAATAAATAACATTATATGAGATTATAATGCAAAATATAAAATAAGCATTCATAAACTCATACTCATTATATTACTTTCCTAAGGCTGCCATAACAAATTAACACACAGTCTGTGACTTAGACAATAGAAATTTGTTTTCTCACAATTCTCAAGGATAAAAATCTGAAATTAAGCTGTTGGCTGGGCTACACTCCCTCTGAGACTCTAGGAGGAGAATCCATTCTTTGTCTCCTCCAGCTTCTGGTGGCTCCAGATGTCCCTGGTCTTGTGTCTGCATAACTCCAACCTCTGCCTCCATCTCCACACGGCCTTCTCCTGGGTGAACCTCCTCTTCTGTGTCTTATAAGGATGCTTGGCATTGGATTTAGGACCCACCTAGATAATCCAGTATAATCTTGTTTTGAAATTCTTAACTTAGTCACAACTGCGATGACTTCTTTGCAAATAAGGTCACATTCACAAGTTGCAGGGATTAGGTAGTGGGCATATCTTTTTGGGAGCCACCGTTCAAACCACTATGCTGATATAAATGAATGATTGATTGAATAAATGGCTGAGTAAACAGGCAAATAAATAGAGAGGATAGACAACTCTCCCACGCAAAAGAATTTTAAATAATTTATGGAGCTACTCCCCACTCAAGAATGTGGAACAAAATTCTCTACTCCTTAAACATGGGCTGTACATAGTGACTTCCTTCCAAAGAGTACAGTGTGAGAGGGGGTGGGGAGAGAGTAACTCTACAGTGGAGAAAGCTAACGAACACTACCCAGGCCAGGTGATCAATGTTATGTCAACAGCAAAGAGTCATGTTAATAGCATGATGTGAAGAGAATGGCATTTGTTTCTGTTGTCTTCCTTCAAAAAAAAAAAAAACAACAACATAACCCCCTCCCAACGCTGAAAAAAGCATCAGAAAAAAGCTTCATTGAAAAAAAAAATCTGCAAAATACATGACTAGTACTCCTCAAAGCTTCTCAAGGCCACCAAAACCAAAGTCTGAAAAAATGTCACAGTCTAAATGAGCCTAATGAGATGGGACAACAAAGCGAAATGCAGGATCCTGGACAAGAAAAAAGGAGGTTCAGTAAAAATTTAGGAAGTGAAAGAAGGGTGGACTTTAGTTAATATCAATGTATCGATGTTGGTTTATTAGCTGTGACAGGTGAACCACAGTAATGTGAGATAAGGATAGCCAGGCCTTGGGTCTATGAGAACACCCTGAACTACCTATCTTTGCAGCTTTTCTTTAAATCTAAAACTGAGCCAGGCACGGTGGCTCCACCTGTAAACCCAACACTTAGGGAGGCCGAGGCAGGTGAATCACCTGAGGTCAGGAGTTCGAGACCAGCCTGGCCAACATGGCAAAATCCCATCTCTACTGGAAATACAAAAAATTAGCCGGGCGTGGTGGCATGTACCTGTAATTCCAGCTACTCGGAAGGCTGAGACAGGAGAATCGCTTGAACCCGGGAAGCGGAGGTTGCAGTGAGCAGAGATCCCACCTTTGCACCCCAGACTGGGCAACAAGAGTAAGACACCATCTCAAAAAAAAAAAAAAAAAACTAAAACTATTCTAAAATAAAAATGTATTTTTAAGATCTGAATATTGCTGCATTCCTTTGATAAAGGGATGGGGGCCTAATCCAGGGGTTCTCAGCCTCAGCACTACTGACTTTTGTTGGAGGAAGTTTTTTGTACATTGTAGGATGTTAAGCAGCATCCCTGGCCTTCATTCACTAGATGCTAGAAGCACACCTCCCTTCCCAGTTTGTGTACACCCAGATACAGCTCCTGACATTGGCAAGGAGTGAGGCAAAATCATTCCTGGTCCAGGACCACTGACCCTGTCCAAGGCAGAGAGGCCAGATGTCATGAGAAAAACAAACTTATCCAAATCCAAGTGCTGGCTATGCCACTTACCTGCTGTGTGACCTCAGGCAACTGACTTCTCTAAGCTCTGATTTTTCATCCTTTTTTATTTTATCGTATTTTATTTTATTTTATTTTATTTTAGACAGAGTCTCGCTCTATCACCCAGGCTGGAGTGCAGTGGCGTGATCTTGGCTCACTGCAACCTCCACCTCCTGGGTTCAAGCAATCCTCCTGCCTCAGCCTCCCGAGTAGCTGAGACTACAGGCCGGTGCCACCACACGCAGCCAATTTTTGAATTTTTCACAGAGATGGGGTTTTGCCGTCTTGGCCAGGCTGGTCTCAAACTCCTGACCTCAGGCAATCTGCCCACCTCAGCCTCCCAAAGTCCTGGGATTACAAGCATGAGCCACCACACCAGGCCCAATTTCTCATCTTTAAATGAGAATAATGAATCTCTACTTCCTAGGTAATTGTGAGGATAAAAACATGTGAAGATTTTAGCACAAGTGCCTGAATATAGTAAATTAAATATAAGATACAAGTTGTGGTTATTTTGATAACAATTCATAATCCTTCGCTCTGAGAAGGATTAGTAATGTCTTCTGAGCAGACATGAGGAGGCTTTAATTAACACCCAGGCCCTCAAATCCTTTAACAGTAGATGTAGCTCAGGAAGGCCATGCAACGCCTGTTGATGGCTTGTCCCAAATGTCATCGTGACCCAAGCTAAGTGATGAGCTTATTGAACATCTGACATTGATGAGCTTCTTTTGAAATAGGTTTCATTTTTCTCCAAGCACTTCCTTCCAACGTACCTGGTCTGAGTCCTGTTCCCAGTTCTTGACGGCAAAGGAGCTTATTGGTCAGTTGCAGTGGTAAGAAGGGCCTTCTTATAAATTGATTTCTGCAGACATGACTCACTAATGTAACTTAAACTTCAGCCTCAGGTCCATGTCACAACACAAGCCTGGCCCTGGAGTGGGGATGTGTAATGGGGGCCATACTCTCTCTTCTCCCTCCCTGTCCTGACACCTGTTCCTCCAGAGCCAGGCAGGTGGGAACCAGATCAGAGAAGAAGAGGCACACGTCCCTCCTCCCGGGTGCTAGTGAGTTACCCACTGGGAGATGTCCACATACTGGCTCTTTCTTGGGGTGCATGGAAGAGTTTTCAAAAGCCTGCAGGGAACTTTACCCTGGTAGGTCCCCTATAGGGGCGATCTGCTCTGCTGTCTCCAGTTCCTGCCCTAACAGTGCATCCACACAACTGTTACTGCTGTAATTCCCTGACCACCGCAGGATATCCTCTTGGCCATTGTATCCTCAAGGCACTTTTGCCAGGTTATCGCCCATTATTTCATTTGGTCCATAGGAATGCATACATTTGTACCAGACAAAAGGTGTGAGTGTCACCCTCCCAGCTGCCTTCTCTCAACTTCCTGACATCACAAACTGCTCTTATCAGCCTTCCCTCTCCACAGTTATGAAAGCAAGCAAGAGGTACAAGCTCATAAACTCACGTGCATGCACAGACTCCGGGAAATGTGTCACATTCTCCCAAGAAGGTTCTCACCACCCCCTACCACACGGAGACGGATCTTTGGATTTCTTCAGCTAAGCAGGCCTCCAGTCACTAAATCAGTCTCCGCTCTTGTTGGCATGCTCCTATCTCCAAAAGGCGACCTGGAGCCCTGGCCCTCAGGCAGCATAAGGAGGGAACAGAGCCTCACTGCCTAAGACCTCTTGCTAGATCAGTAACCACTCTTTCCATGAATCCCCCTTTCTACCAATGCTCTTCTTGAATGAAATGTCATGAAATCTAGTCTTCTCTTTACATAGAGTGTGGGGGTAGCACAACAATCCACTCTTCTTTAGTGAGGCATTTGGAAGAGGAATTTGCCACCTCCTAGCATTCCCTTTAAGATATGGAAACACCTACTGCTTATTATCCTCAGCTTTGGGACTTTAGCTGAAAGCCCTGACAATAGGAAATGTCTCCTTCGGCATCCCGTTAATCTGTGTGCAGCTGCATTATAAATAGTATTACTGGCAGGGTACCATGGCTCACGCCTGTAATCCCAACTCTTTGGGAGATCACCTGAGGCCAGGAGTTCAAGACTAGCCTGGGCAACATGGAGAAACCTTGTCTCTACTAAAAATAAAAAAAAAAAATAGCTGGGCGTGGTGGCACATCCCTTTAACCCCAGCTACTCAGATAGCTACTCACTTGCTGAGGCACGTGAATCGCTTGAACCTGGGAGGTAGAAGTTGCAGGGAGCCGAGATTGTGCCACTGCTCTCCACCCTGGGCGACAGAGACTCTGTCTCAAAAAATAAAGTATTATTTAAATTCTTGGCAATCTGAGATGTTGACCAGGTAGAGGGTTTATCCCACCAGATACAATAAAAGATAGATCCTATTGCATCTAATAGTAACTCAGCTGGCCAGGGTCTGTGCTAAGGCATGCAAAATAAACACTGGGAAGGCAAGGGTAGTGACAGCAGGAAGAAAAGGAATAAATAAACCTATCACACGCCAGCATCATGAAGATGTTACCGAGAGCCCATGGCTATTGGGATCCTGAAGTAACACGAGGAAACAAAGATCAGTTTCACACACAGAAATAGGGAAGACATGTTGATGTCATGAAGATCCTCAAAGGGACCTCAGGGATGACCATCCTTACCGTAGCTCTAAAGTGACAACCTGAGCCAGGCTTACATCACAAAGAGGAGAATAAGAGAAACCCTCATCCCATGGTGACATCCCAAGACTGTCTCCTGATCTAGCCCCCTCCCATCACCACGCCAACCAGGAGGCGTCAGCCTGGCACTAACGCGGAGATGTCTGTGCTCAGGGTCTGCCTGTTTTCTCTTGGGAGCTGTGGGGATCTTGTGTTGCTCACTGCTACTTCTTGGACTTTCAGCCTTCTCCATGCGCAGCATCAATAGCTGAGAAAACATTCCGAATCACACTGACCCTATTTATTAAGCAAAGGAAGAATATTCTAAGATATAAGGAACAGCTGATTACTGCTATAATGTTGTTTAATAGATAAGAACTAAAGGATGTTGGAAGGTTGTGACATTGGTCAACCAGAAGGAAATTTAGAAGGAAATGTTAACCAGGGTAGCCTTGATGCCAGCCCCCCATTTCTTAGAAGTTGAGAGCTAAAGGGTATCAGAACAGCTCCTGAGCGTCCCAACAAGGATTCCTAGATTTACTCAATTTGAAGATACCATCAATTGTGAGACACAACAAAAAATGGGAGGAAATAACAATTCACCAAAATTTTAAACATTCGATCAATAGTAAGGTGCTTCTCAATTTCATAAATATTAAAATGTGATGGGAAAAACTAATCAGAAAAAGAGAATAATTAAATGACTCCTAGGACTAGAAGAAAACCTCGAAAGGTCTTTCAGCTGACCCCATGCCTTGAGGCGGGCCCCTACACTTCCGCCCAAATCAGAGAAAGTCTGACTAATGTTAAAGATTAGGTTCTTTTCATTTTCCATGCCATTCCCTCAGTGAGAGTGAATTATAATTTGCCACGAATATAAAGAAGAGAGAAAAAAGTACATACAATTTGCATACTAAAAATTGGAATACTAATGAAGACAAATCACTCCCCTCTGGGAGATGATCTGCTACTAAAATCCTTTTCCTCTGCTTTTAACTTGGCTTAGTGAAAAATAAATAATTTTTTTAAACTGCAGGGGGTGGGCAATGAGCTTCATTTAGAAAGTATTTCAAAGGTACCCTGGCTTTGTGCATTTTAAACATGAATTTCAGTAGATGCATTTATCTTTTTAACTATATTGTGCACGCATGCTAAGTTATATATGGCTCTTACAAGAATACGAAATTAGAATCTGCCCCACTGCAGAGAAAAGTGAAACACTCTTCATTATACCAGGCAGTGTAGGGTAACCTCCGGCTTTGAGTCAGCTGAACCTAAGTTTGAAATTCAACTTTATAACTCACTTCGGCATCCCACCTCTATCTCTTGAACTTCTGTTTCTTGATTTATAAAATGGTGCAAATAATTCCCACACGTTACATTCAGGAATCGGTGAGATAACAGGTGTATATAACACTTTACACAGTGCCAGGGATTCGGTAAGGTTTTGGTCTATCATCTCGGCCCCTTTAAAAACAACCATTATAATAGAGTTTTTCAAAGTAAATGCTAATTTTAAAGTGAATCACATTGTTCCTAATTATGCTGGTTTAGATTGCAACTTTCATGGGAAATGAGGAGGCAGCATTTTGTTTTTACTTAATAAACAAATGGTGCCTAGTTTATGCCACGCTCCATATGAGGTGTGAGAATGGACAGAGAGAAGACTGTGACACAGTTCTGGTTCCCCAAGGTTCCACCATCTAGTAGCCCACTGAGGAGCAGGGCGAAGCCTCGCCAGACACAGTGAGCCAGGCTCTAATAGAGGCATGGTACCAGGGGCAGGGCCCTCAAAGAGGCGTCTGACAACCTGGAACACTGAAAAGGGCTCCATAGAGGTACAGGAACTGGAGTACAGCAAGATGTGGATGAAGCAGGGTGGGGTCTGCAGTGAGAACTGGATGCCCTGTTGCTCAGAAGGAAGGGAATCGGCTCTCATCACGGCTGTCAGCCAAGGGGCCCGGGGAAGAGAACACGCCTTCTATCTGCATAGCTGCCGGAGCATCCAAAGGTCCAGAAAGGTCTGGGCTCCTTCAACTTTATTCCTCAGGGACTCTGCAAAGCCTCAGATCAACTTTCTGACCGGCCCTGCTTGGCTTCCTCTTCTCCTGTCTCAGGATTCCACGGCCTGCAGCCCCAGTGCTTTTACTGCGTTTCACGGCCCTCTTGTATATTAGATTCTAATTCCCGATGCTTCTTCTCAAGACCCCTTTTCCTAGAAAATCCATAGAAACTTTCATGGTTGCTAAAGCTTAGAAAAATGTCTTGCCCCAGGCTGGCTTCAAAGGATCACACGAAACCAGCAGCTCACCTCTCTGGTATTGATGCAGTTTCTCCAGAGCTGCAATGACCCCTAATGCCATCACAAATGACAGTCTTGGATCAAATTTAGGGTCCAATGTAGAAAGAATGTGGGCATTGAGAGGAAAAGGGTCTGGAATGTGCAGCCACTAAATCATCATGGAGCAGAGAAAACACCTGAATGTACTGAGACTAAGCCATTGGCTTCTGAAAGAAAGACAGGAGCTCTAGAATTTACCACCTCAAAGAGAACATTAGAAAGAGCCTTCAAAAGGAATGAGAAGCCCCAACCTCCCTCTGAGCATCCTTGTTCTTGCTCCGACATTCCTCTGCCTGCTTTGATTTTTCTTTCAAGCCACAGATTCGTACCTGGCACAACAATGCGCAAACTCCATAGCCTGGCATTTTTCCACCTAATATTCACCCCTGGTGGAGACTGATTTATGTATAAATTGTCTTGGCATAACAGGTGACACTTTGTAACTTGGCTGTCCTTCACTGTCAACAGGGGCTCCTGAAACATGCCTTCCTCACCTGCCTGGTGACTCTGCACCTGTGATTCTCAGTGGCTGCTCGCTCACCCCTTGACTTGCTGGCAGAGGCGGAGGCTGCTGATGGCTGGTATTCATCTCCCCACAGTGGCACCTCATGGTCCTCAACTCCAAGATGCAGAGGGAGCAAGGGAAGACGCAAGCCCCTCTGTCATCTCATCTGATGGAAATAGTCACGTGGTGTTGGATCAGGCAGGGCCCTCACTGGGGGACTTCTGTTCCAGAACCATCCCCAAGCTGTTACCACCTTTCGATCTCCTTTGGCAACTGGTCTATGATCAAATGACTTTGGGATAAACTCTTGCCCAAAGTTGGGTCCATGGCTCTGACTGGATGCTCCTGAATGAGATAATGGAGAAAGGGAGGAGGAATGTTCACGTCTACGACCTCCCGGGAAAATAATTTGAGGCTAATTAAAAATAATTTAACTTAAATACAGTTGGGGTTTCCAGGGCAAAACACATCTCTTTGGATGGCAAGGATTAGAAAAATTACATTCAAAAAACCAATGCTCTGAAGCCCCGGTTTGCAAGAATTTGGCTTTTCTCTGCATTTTTGCAAGAAACATAAATTGTCTGCAATACATTCCAAAGATCCTCACCCAACAGCACAAGCCAAAGTGCTTACATAGCACAACCTTGATGGTTCTCAGCCCACCCTCGGTAATGGATAATTCTCATGACGTGAATAATTTGTTATCTCAAGTGTGAATAAGGTTAGACATTTCTCCTCACGAACGGTCTAAAAATAATACCATGAGAGCCTCTTATATATTGAGTCAGTTGCTCTTTGGCAAGAAAAGAAGTGTATGTAAGGTGAAAAGTGTATCCCTCTAATCTTTCTATTCTAACCAAATTATTTTATTTCATGATCTATATCCTACTAATTGCAGGTGTCAGAAATAATAGGTGCTAGCACTTACATGGTACTTACCACGTGCCAGTTACCAGTTGAAGTGCTTTCCTGAACACATCTAATCCCCCAAACTACTTTAGGATAGGTATTATGATTATCAAGTGCCTTTTAAAGATTATGAAACAAAGGCACAGAGAGGTTAAGTAGCTTGCCCAAGATCACACAGCTTGTCCTGTAAGAAGCCAAGCCTGTATTCATACCTGATGTTCTATGTGTAATGTCTGTGCACTTACCCATTATTACACTCTTATGTCTCTCTAAAAATGTCACATAGGTGAAAATGTCACAAGAGTGAAAAAAGTTAAACATGTTCAATATGTAACAAAAATATTTTAGGGGTTTTTTTTTTTTGTCTAAATTGGGGGATGTTCAGGGTCTCCAAGCAATTTGTGAAAATTATTTTATTACTAGTGCAAAAACAAACAAAAAAACCCAGAGATCATCTAATCCAACTCTTCCCATTTTTTATCAAGGAGACTGAGGCTCAGAGTAATAAAAAGATTTCCCTGAGAACTAAGATTTGGGTGTTTTTCTCCTAGTAATCATGAATAATACTACCAGACAATGGGCGCTTGGATCTTGGTCCAGATACTATTAATTAACCTTGGGTTAATCCTAAGCAGTTTTCTTAGTTCTGAAATGAGAAGCTTAAAATAAATGTTTTCTAAGGTTTCCTTAAGCTGCACTTTCAATGATTCTAAATTGACTGACTGGTGCAGGGTCAAATAGCTTCGTGGACAACGAAAAAAATAGGAAAAGGGTGGGAAAGGCAAGTAGAACTACTAAGAGGGGTCTGGAGGAATGGGGCTGCATCATCACTGGAGTGGGAACAGAATTCTCTGTGTTTCTTTTGTCTCCTCTGGGGACTGGTCTCAGAGCATGAAAGGGATAAATCAGAACATCAGCCCTTCACCTGATCTGTGTGTGAGTTAAAGCAAGACCTAGAGAGGACAGGGAACAGCAGAGTGTAGCTCAGTAATGACTTCCAAATTATGCAAAGGGAGATTTGGAATCAAGCTGAACCCATAATACTAAATTACAGTGCACCTTCAAGTACAGAGGAATTGAATTTCACTGGGGAATCTGAGGATTGGAGGCCTATAAACCCACAGAAGGGAGTTGTGCCAAAAAATATAACCAAGCAGCAAGTAGGATGACTAAAGAAATTGTGATGACCTTTTGTCTGCTCTTTTGTGACTATGAAAAATAAATGCATGCCCCCTTCCAAAAAAAAGAAAAAGAAAAAACTGCAGCAAAATCTGTTACACCAATGCCTATTGGAGAATATAAAGATTGGGAGGTCAAATTCCACATGTTTTAGCAGTGAGCAGATAGCATAACAGTAGGAAAGAAGATTGGATTAAAATCTGTAGGCTTACTAAAAGCAGAAGCCCCATAATATAAAAGGTCCCTGTAGGACCTTTTTATATTATGTGACTTTTTTTAATGTCTAGGAAAACATGAGCTCGCAGCCATTTTCAAAAGCTTTGAGGAGGACCTTGGACCTCCCTTGAAATGTTGGATTGACCTCCCCATAGTGTTAGCTAACTCTCCACACACAGAGTGAATGTCAGGTGACATTAAAAAGAACAGAACCAAGACTTCCCAGCAGAACTAAATGGAAAAAGATAATCGTTTCTCAATCTTGGCACTCTTAACATTTCAGGCTAATAATTTTTTGTTGTGAGGGGCTGTGCTGTATACAGTGTAGGAAGTTCACCAGCATCCCTGGTATATTAGTCTGCTCTCACACTGCTAATTATAGACATACCTGAGACTGAGTAATTTATAAAGGAAAGAGGTTTAATGGACTCATGGTTCCACATGGCTGGGGAGGCCTCATAATCATGGTGGAAGGTGAAGGAGGAGCAAAGTCACATCTTACATGGCGGCAGGCAAGAAGGGAGAGTGTGCAGGGGAACTCCCCTTTATCAAACCATCAGATCTCATGAGACTTATTCACTATCACAAGAACAGCATGGGAAAGACCCACCCCCAGGATTCAATTACCTCCCACCAGGGCCCTCCCACAACACATGGGAATTATAGGAGCTACAATTTGAGATTTGGGTGAGGACACAGCCAAATCATATCACCTGGCCTCTGCCCCCGGGTGCCAATAGCTTTGCCCCTGCCTCCAAGTTGAGACCAAAAATGTCTCAAGATATTGCCATATATCCCCAGAGTGGAGAGGAGGGCACAAAACTGCCCCTAGTTGAGAACCAGTGGAGTAGAATGATGAGATTAGAAAGTGGTTCAGCACTCAGAGGCACTGAAACTCAAAAAAAAGAAAAAAAAAAGCAGTCAAAACCAAAACCCCATGTATCATTTTAAGGCTTTTTATTCATGTTAATCAAGCTGAAAAAATCTGGAGATAATTTGAGATTCAAAGTTTTGTCACTAATTATTTTAACAAGTATTTTAACAAGTACTCTCCAGATGCCCATTGTATTTTCAAATTTTATTTTTTAAAGACCCATTATTTTTCTCTCCTAGGACTGTCAGCTCTCTTCTCCATATTCCTTTTTTTTAATGCTTGTCAAAGTTTAATCAACCTAATTATCAGATTTGAAAATGAATGGCTATAAAATGTGAGTTTCTAAAAACAGATCAATCAACACAATTGTGCACGCGCCTAATAAAAGGTTTCAGGGTTAGGTTCTCCATGCCAGGAAGCTGTGACCCCAGAGACAGTTTCTCAGCATAATAGATTAACCTGCCTATTACCAGCAAAGTCTGATAGCTAATGGCTCACCCTGATTCAATCATAATAGCTACCTGCAGTGAAGTGATGTATCAGATTCTTAACTCTCATGGATATGGTGCTTGGAAATTAGGGGAAGAGTGTCTGGGAATCTCAAGTTAACAGAAATGTTATGGGTTGAATTGTGTCCTACCTCCTGCAACCTAAAATTAATATATTGAAGACCTAGCCCTCAGTAGCTCAGAATGTGACCTTATTTGGGAATAGGGTTATTACAGATATAATCAGTTAAGATGAAGTCATGGTGTAGTAGGATGGGTCCCTAATCCAATATGACTGGTGTCTTGTAAAAAGAGGAAATCTGGACACAGACACAGGGAGAACCCCATATGAAGATGAAAACAGAGATTGGGGTGAGTCATCTACAAGTCAAGGAATGCCCAAACTTGCCAGCAAACCACCAAAGGCTGGAAGAGAGACCTGGAGCAGACTCTTCCTCACAGCCTCAGAAGGAACCAGCCCTGCTGACACCTGGATCTCATACTTCTGGCCTCCAGAACTGTGAGAGAATAAATTTCTTTAGCTTAGGCCACCCAGTCTGTGCGACTTCATGACAGCAGCCTTAGACAATGAATTCAAGAAGCCTATTTCTAGCCCTGCTCTAATTTACCTCTGTCCAGCCACATCCAGGACATGTGGCAGATAATCTTTCTTCAAACTGGCGTGGCCAAAATATCTCCCACTAGACTCAAGCAAATGGCATCAGCAGAAATTACCTTTTTTAAAGTGAGTACAATTCAAGTGATGCCCAGACGGTCACATCAGAGGCCTCAAGAACTCTGGCACTTCCCAGCACACTTGCAGGTTTCAGCCGAGATCACTTATGTACCTAAGCTCAAAACCATTGGCCCTCACAGCTCTGAAACTGGTTTTCCTTTCCTTCTACAAGAACATAATTTTTGTGTCTTCGTATAGGCTCCAGAAGCTTGCATGAAACAGATTTTTTTTTTTTTTTTTTTTTTTGAGACAGAGTCTCGCTCTGTCACCCAGGCTGGAATGCAGTGGCATGATCTCGGCTCACTGCAACCTCTGCCTCCTGAGTTCACACCATTCTCCTGCCTCAGCCTCCCAAGTAGCTGGGATTACAGGCACCTGCCACCACGCCCAGGTAATTTTTTTTTTGTATTTTTAGTAGAGACGGGGTTTCACTGTGTTAGCCAGGATGGTCTCGATCTCCTGACCTCGTGATCTGCCCGCCTCAGCCTCCCAAAGTGCTGGGATTACAGGCGTGAGCCACCGCGCCCAGCAACAGATTTTTAATGTACTTTTCCTTTTATAAACTATGTACAGAGCTGTCGTCACAAGAAAGCACAAGGCTCTCGAATACCTTCTTTGAGTGGTTATCAGGGAAAGAAATTCGGGAGATGCACAGTTTTCCCCAAAGGGATCTAATTCCCTTTTCTAAATCTTTAGCTTCCTGAATTAACAGGTTTAACAAAGGTAATCCAAAACCAAAGCTTTCACATGAGCTGTGTTCCAGAGATTATTTATAAAATGGCCTCATTGAGAAGCATTTTCTCACAGTGATAATATTATGAGTGAAAGAATCCTAGGCAGTTCAAGAAAACAAAAATAACTATTTAATCCATAATGTCACAGAAGCACCATTCCCAAAAAAGCAGGCTGAGTTTGACATCCTGGGACCAAGGGTTCCTGTACTTCCAAAGGGAAGGCCACTTTTCAAATGTTTTTAGTTCTCCCATTTATTTTACTTCCAGGAAGAAGTGGATGTTTTCATGTTAAATTTGGTTTGGCTGTGCAATAGGATATAGACTGGGGCTTTTCCTGACTCAGGATTAACTTAGGCACCAATCAGAAAATACTCATATGACTGTAAAATTCAAACCTCCACCGAGAAAATTTACAGGCTGGGTGCAGTGGTTCATGCCTATAATCCCAGAACTTTGGGAGGCTGAGGTGAGAGGATTGGATGAGCCCATGAGTTCAAGACCAGCCTGGGCAACATAGCAAGACCCCAGTCTCTTTAAAAAAAAATTTATTTCACCAGCACGGTGGCACACACCTGTGGTTGCCGCTACTCAGGAGGCTGAAGTGGGAGAATCGCTTGAGCCCAGGAGGTCAAGACTACAGTGAGCCAAGATCACACCACTGCACTCCAGCCTGGGTGACAGAGGAAGACCCTGTCTCATAAAAGAGGAAGGAAGGAAGGAAGGAAGGAAGGAAGGGAGGGAGGGAGGGAGGGAAGAAGGGAAGGAGAGAGTGAGGGAGGGAGGGACAGAAAAGAAAGTTTACACTGTGAATTGAAGACCTGCTCCAGGATTCTTGAATCCCTTCATCTATTTCAGGAATATAAAGACTAAAGGGAGTGGCAATTTAGAATGAAGGTTTCTTTGGTGAGAGCTGGTAATGTCCTCTAGCTGAGCCCCCTGAGCTGCCATCCTCATCTTGAGTGTGATGAGAGGGGCTTCTACTCTAGGGTGCTTTAAAACCATGTTTTCTGCAGTTGGGTGACTCCAAGGACCAGTGCCTACTGACCCCAGAAAAAGCTAAATAAAACTGTGAAATTTCAACTTCTGGCTATGAGAGCATAGCTTGCTTCAAAGCAGCTTTCCCTTAAATAAACTATAAAAGCTGAATTTCTATTTAAAGTAGCTATTTCAAACCACAGCAGATAAAGCAAAGTAGCCAACATTTGAGGAATCAAGATCCAAAGAGAAAGAAAATGCACTGATATGATCATAACATTCTCTGCCACATTTCTCCTCCTGGTGTTTGCCAATTTCTCAGTGGCATGGCAGAAAAGACAAAAGAGTCAGTACACACAGTTATCCCTCAGTGTCCATAGGGATTGGTTCTAAGACTCACCCCTCCCCCCAACCCCAATACAGATAATCTGTGGATGCAAGGGACTTAAGAGTCACTTACAGGCTGAGGCAGTGGCTCACACCTGTAATCCCTCGGCTTTGGGAGGCCGAGGGATTGGGGAACACGAGGTCAGGAGATCGAGACCATCCTGGCTAACACAGTGAAATCCCGTCTCTACTAAAAATACAAAAAATTAGCCGGGCGTGGTGGCATGAGCCTGTAGTCCCAGTTACTCAGGAAGCTGAGGCAGGAGAATCTCTTGAACCCGAGAGGCGGAGGTTGCAGTGAGCCAAGATTGCACCACTGCACTTCAGCCTGGCAACAGAGCAAGACTCCATCTCAAAAAAAAAAAAAAAAAGAGTCCCTTATATAAAATGGCATAGTATTTGAATGTAATCTATGCACATCCCTTTCTTATGCTTTAATCATCTCTAGGTTACTTATAATACCTAATACAATGTAAATGCTATATAAGTAGTTGTTATACTGTATTGCTTTTTATTTGTGTTATTTTTATTGGTTGCTTTCCTTTTTTTGTTGTTTGTTTTTAGACAGGATGTTGCTCTGTCATCCAGGCTGGGCTGGAGTGCAGTGGTGTGAACCACAACTCACTGCAGCCTTGATTTCCTGGCCTCAAGCAATCTTCCTGCCTCAGCCTCCTAAGTAACTGAGGTGCATGCCATCACACTCGACTAATGTTTCTAATTTTTTGCAGAGACACATCTCTTTATGTTGCCCAGGCTGGTCTTGAACTCCTGGGCTCAAGCCATCCTTCTGCCCTGGGCTCAAGCCATCCTCCTGGCATCAAAAAAACACCAGGCATGCCAAGAAATAGAACCAAGCGATTGTAAAAAAAGAGAGACGGGGAAAGAAAATGGACAACAGAAAGATACCCACAGCTCTTTAAACTAAATGTGATTGATGTGTTCAAGAATATAGATAGCAAGATGGGGAATTTTATCAGAGAATTGAAATATACTAAGAAACAATATATAAAATTTAGAAATAAAAAATTCATTAGCTGAAATTAATAACTCAAGAAACAGGGGTAACACCAGATTAGATAAACAGAAGAAATGATTAATGAACTGATATTGCTCATTATAAAAATAACTATTGAAGCATGAGAGGGGAAAAAAGGAAATACTTAAGAGTGGAATTGCTCTACGGAACAAGATAAAAGGCCTAAAGCATGTGTAAGTGGAGTCCCAGAAGGCAAAGGAAGAGAGAATGAACAGAAATATTTGAAGAGATTATGAATGAGCCTTTTCTGATACTGAAAGGCAGCCATAGACTCAAGAAGTTCTGCAAACCACATGCAAGACAATCACAAAGAAATCTACACCAAGGCATATTATGGCAAAAACTGCTAAGAACCAAAGATAAGGAGAAAAAGAAACACACTAACACTTTCAGAGAAGCATGAAACTTTCAAAACACTCTTTTCCTTCTGTAATCTTATTTCTATGAAGAGGTGCATATGGGACCCATTGACTCTCTCCTCTCTTATCCCCAAGCAGCCTATCCAGTAAGGTGGTCAAGTAAGGAGAATTTCTCTCTTTACAACCCAGTCAAGCAGCTCACTTCTTGAATTGGAAGATGCACTCTGTGTTAATCTGTGGCAGAGAGTGCTAGCTTCCTTCTCAATCATTACTCTCCCCTTCCTCTCTACAAACAGAACCAATGTGCCTAGCTAAAACCAAACAGAAACAACATCCCCTCATTATCCAGCATCAACTGTAGTTAGAAATGGCTATGGGACACAGTTCTAGCCAATAATAATTAAGCAGCATTTTTTCATGTGGCTACCAGGAAGCACCTTCAAATGGAATAGAATCAGTCGGCACACAGTTAGTTAGGCTTGTCCTCTTTGCTTTCCTCTTCTGACTTGAAGTGCAGCTATGATGGCAGGAGCTGCAGCAGGCATATTACAACTGAAAATGAAAGAAAAGCTAAAGAATTTCAAAAATCGATCTGGACATTCTTGAGCTGCTCCACAAACTATCGTCTGATTATCCCAAAACTTCTTTGTCATTTGAAAGGATCATAAAACACTAAGCCACTATTATTTGGATTGTTTTGATATATGCAGCTAAACCCAAACTCTGTTAGAGCTTCCCTTTTCTTGTGGCTTGAAACAAATCTGTAAAAAAATTCTTCTATTGAGTTCAGCTTGTTGCTGCTTTGAAGCTAAGGAAAGCCTCAAAATATCTGACCTAAGAAGAAACTAATCAGCTTCTTATTCTCACATGGCATTTTTTCAACAGAAGAGAGAGACAATTTAATACAAGATATATGATCATCAAATTCTGAGCCCTTGCTCAAGGGAAATCTGAGTAGCTAAGATGCAAGTCAATCTGTCTTTGGTCTCTAGTATCTACTTCAGTTCAGAACAGAGAGCACAGTATTTAATTATGTCTCAGATTCTGAACACAGAGGGGAATTGGGGAACAAGTTTCCTTCCAAATCAGAGCCTATGGTGAAGGAGCAGATTTTTTTTTCCAGTCCATCACAGAGCTATACTTTTATAAAATACAAGAAAACTGAGGCCAGGCATGGTGGTTCACACCTGTAATCCCAGCATTTTGGGAAGCCAAGGCAGGCAGATCACCTAAGGTCAGGAGTTCGAGACCAGCCTGGCCAACATGGTGAAACCCCATCTCTACTAAAAATACAAAATTAGCCCAGTGTGGTGGTGCATGCCTGTAATCCCAGCTACTTGGGAGGCTGAGGCAGCAGAATGGTTTGAACCCAGGAGGTGGAGTTTGCAGTGAGCCGAGATAGTGCCACTGCACTCCAGCCTGGGCAACAGAAGCGAAACTTTGTAAAAGAAGGAAGGAAGGAAGGAAGGGAGGGAGGGAGGAGGGAGGGAGGGAGGGAAAATTGAATTACTGGGAAAGTGAACATTTTTAAAAGCATACAAAATAGTTTTCTTAATATTATATTATCAATTCAAGAGACATAAAGTAATTGTCAAAATGCTTTTTTTTTTTAAAGTTTCTTAAGTCTTACTCTCAATTTTAGTACTTGTCTTACTGTGATCTACTAACAGGTCAAGTACCAGCACTGGTCCACAGACTACAAGTTGAATAGAACAGCTATTGCAATATCTTAGTCAGCTAGGGCTGCTACAACAAAGTGCCCCAAGCAGGGTGACTTAACAGAAACGTATTTCTCACAGTTCTGGATACTAGAAGCCCAAGATCAAGCAATCAGTAGGTTTCATCTCTCCAAAGGCCTTTCTCCTTGGCTTGCAGGTGGCTGCCTTCTTGCTGTGTGCTGTGTCCCCATCTGGCCTTTCCTCTGTGCACTTGTATCCCTCTCACTTCTTATAAGGACACCAGTCCTATGGAGTTAGGGTCCCAACCTTATGACCTCATTTAACATTAATTTTCTCATTAAAGTCCTATTTGCAAATGCAGTCACATTGGGGGTTAGAACATTAACATACGAATTTGAGGAGTCAGAATTCAATCCATAATAAGAGTAATGCTTATATAAGCTTCTTCAATCGTTCTCTGCCTTAGCCTCGTTAGAATCTGAAGAGAAAGACCTCTAGATGTCCTCTTATCTCTGAGGGGATTAGAAAGTGCAAAAAGAAAAAAAGAAAAGTCCCTCACAGACAGTGTTCGTTTATCCACAGTTCATCTCCAATCAAAAAAGATCATTTTAACAAATCAGCTTGTAAACCTCTCCATCATGGTTCTCCCACCTTCTTCATCTGTTCTGTTTATCTTTGCATAGATTTCCTCCAAAGAAGTCCTAAAGGATCAAAAAAACTTTTTTAATGAATATTTCAAAGTATGATTGAACAAAGCAACAGCTTTTGAAAAAAATTATACAGACTTTCCTTACTGTGACTGTTGGACCTGCTGTCTTTCTCAAGGGTTATATTTTTGTTTACATTTTACTTAGGTTTCCTTGGGATTTCATTTTGATGTGTGAGTTTTAGTGTGTGTTCCCGTAGCTCAGGGACAAGGATGGAGCTAATAGAGAGCAGAATTGTAAATCGGGTGTTTTCTCTAACACATTTGTAAGAGTGTGCTAGAATACTCCTGTGCTGGTATCTCTATCTCTTGCCAGCTGTGACCCATCTTGTGTGCACCCAAGCAGATATTTTGTCAGGAGGCCCATGAACCACACTAGTGTTCACTTTGTCTTGGAGTAAAGATTTTTCTTTCTCCTTTGCCTGCAACAGCATACATTTATACTGTCAAATCATATATTTTGTTCCTAAAGATGTCTTCATTTCTTTTTCTAATTCCACAGCAATCTGCTGATTTAACTCACGTCTCTAAGAGGTGACAGTTCAAGGAATCTGGTACATACAACCTGATATTTATAATCAGTTCTACTAATGGCTGCTTCAGTAAGTCTACTCTTGTTGATAATATTTCAGAAAATGAATGATTGTCAGACTACTTAAAATTGCATTTGTAACCAACAAATAAATATTTGAAAGCCTTGCTGCAAACTATGTACACTGAGAGGCCCTTCAAAGAAAATAGACACTCAGAAAGCCTTTCTTAAGTATTTGCAATCCTTTTTTTAATAAGATAAATTAGAATTTTATTTTATTTTATTTTATTTTATTTTTAGCGAGAGACAGGGTCTTGCTCTGTCACCCAGCCTGAAGTACAGTAGTACAATCATAACTCACTGCAGCCTCGACCTCCTGGGCTCAAGTAATCCTCCTTACTCAACTTCCCAAGTAGCGGAAACTACAGGCACACACCACCACACTTGGCTAGGTTTTTTTTTAATTTTTTGTAGAGATGGGGTCTTGCTATGTTGCCCAGGCTGGTTTCAAACTCCTGGACTCAAGCAATCTTCCCACCTTTGCCTCCCAGAGTGTTGGGATTAAAGGTGTGAGCCACCACATCTGGCAAATTAGAATTTTTAAGTAGGGCAAAGATGTATAGACTGCAGAAATATATTTTATTTATATGCTAATGTTATATTTCATCATATAAACTTTTGGGTCAGGCGTGGTGGCTCATGCCTATAATTCTAGCACTTTGGGAGCCTGAGGCAGGAGGATCACTTGAGGCCAGGAGTTCCAGACCAGCCTACCCAACATGGCAAAACCCCATCTCTACTAAAAATACAAAAATTAGCCAGGCATGGTGGCATATACCTGTAATCCCAGCTACTCGGGAGGCTGAGGCAGGAGAATTGCTTAACCCAGCAGGTGGAGGTTGCAGTGAGCCGAGATTGCATCACTGCACTCCAGCCTGGACAACAGAACAAGACTCCATCTCAAAATGAACCAACAAACAAAACAAACTTTTGGATTTTATTAAATCTACAAATAAAGACCAGAAAACTTCCTTGTGGAACCTATGCTCACCTATAACTGTTGTGAATGTTCAAATCACAGTTAACGTCCAGTCATACTTTTAAATGTACTTCTAACATTTTGTTTCCATGAAAATGTTTTTGCCTTATTAAGACTTGCTTAAAATAGCCTGTCCAAGCCTTTGTTTCTTGATCTGCAAAACTTAGAGAATTGGACTAACAGTTAAGAGGCATTTTAATTCCTTTATTCTTTTTACTGACCTGCATGTTTATCTTCTTGTGATCTAGTTGTTGCTATTCTTGCTTTAAAATTTCACATTATATTTCTTCAATTAAAATGTAAGCTCTTGGGAGCAGAAATCATACCATGTCTGTTTTATATATCAGCCTCAGTTTGATTTTGCTGCTATAACAAAATGAGACTAAGTAATTTACAAAAAGAGAAATACATCTCTTACAGTTCTGGAGGCTGAGAAATCCAAGATCAAGGCACCAGCAGATTCCATGCCTGGTGAGGGCTGTTCTCTGCTTCCAAGATGGCACCCTGTTCCTACATCCACACCTGGCAGAAGAGATGAATGCTGTGTCTTCAAACGACAGAAAATGGAAGGCCAAAAAGGGGTGCAGCTAGTTCCTTCCATCCCTTTTATAGTGGTTTTTGAGGTGGTTAACACCTCATTCATGAGGGTGAAGCTTTCACGACCTAGTCACCTCTCAAGGCCTACCTTTTAATATCATCACCTTGGGGTTTACATTCCAACATACGAGTTTTGGAGGGATGCATACATTTAAACCACAGCAATCCCCTATAGTGGTGCTACTGAAAGTACTGGGCCTCAAACTATTTGTTACTGGTCCCTGATGAGGTCAGGAGCTTATACCAAAATATAATTCAACCACACACATAGATCTGTTTAGTTGAGCCAACGTTTTTTTCTGAGAAGGACTTTCTTGATGAAGGAATCTGTATGTTGATTTACCTTTCTGGAATAAGCTTCCTATCTCACCATAACAAATGGTTCTGGGAAAAACACCAGTCTGTGGACTGTACTTTGAGTAGGACTGGTCTATAGAGATTTTCTATAAAGGTCTATTTAAAATTCTCAGTAAATATTGGTTGTTTGACAAATGACTCATCTGTTCACTTAATGGACACTGATAGAGCATTCATGATGGAAGATGGCAGTAAGAGGTACTATGGTGGGGCAGGATGGGGACACACAAGCCTATGGTTACTTACAGTCTATTAAGCAAGATGACATATTTTAAATAAGTGGAAAGTAGAACAAAAAATGTATAACAAAGGCACAAATAAAACACCATGAAAGTTCAAAAGAGGGAAGGAATTCATCTTACAAGTCACTTGGGAGAGGTAATCTGGAAACTTCTAACTTGAAGGCGGAGCAGAATGTTGAATGATGGAGTTGGGTATGGGGACCATCACCCAGAGCAAACACAGGATGCAAGGAAGCTGTAGACATGTTTAGGAGACCACCCAAGTTTGCTTACTACTGCCTTTCCTACTATTTGATTTGGGACAAGCATTCAAGCTCTGCACAGTATCTTGCCCGCACCTGTTAAAATGGAAATAATAAAAATAGTATTCATCTTATAGGGTGAAGATCAAAGGGCTTAATTCAAGTAAAGTGTTTAGAGCAATGGCCAGTGCTCAATAACTGTCAACTCTTGCTGTTCTCATTATCATTCATCACATTGTTTTTATGGAATGTTAACTTTGTACTAGCTCTTTGATTCTTTCAATATCTTCGGTTTTATGCTTTAGAAAATAAAAAAGCTACCGAAGTCTTTGAACTACCATGAGACCGAGAGTAGAGAAGAATGGATTAAGTCAGAAATGTGATGGTTACCTACAATTAAGGAGCAAAAGGAGAAAGCAAAATTAGCAAAGAAAACAAAAAAGCATTATCTGGGAGGTAGGAAGAAAACCAGATAAAGACGGGCAGTTGGAATCTGAGCTAGGAAAAAATGTTTTAGCCATTATAACAAAAATAATAATAATAAAAATAATAATAACAAATACTAACAAAAATAATAACAAAAATAGGCCATTAACAAAATCAGCTATTGGGGGAAGAAAAGAAGCAGTTGAATTTGAGAAGTATGACGTCATTCACAGCAACCCTTAAGGGAATTTCTTCAGGGTGACTGAAGCAGACACTAGATTGCAAGAAATAGAGAAGAGAGAAAACAGTGAGGAAAGGGAAGCAGTATAGATAATATACTCATTCTTTTGTATTTACTTTCTGTGACTGAACATGCATGTGTTTATAGGCCACTGAAATGACAGCCAACACCTAAAGGCAGCTTATCTCTCTTAAAGATAGGTCATAGACATCTATTGTTTTTTCTGTCCTACATCATCCCCAACTCGTTCTTTAAACTACTTCTACCTGTACCTCAAACATTGAAGGTGACATGAGCAATATATGGATTTCTCTTTTTTTTTTTTTTTTTTCCCTGAGACGGAGTCTCGCTCTGTCGCCAGGCTGGAGTGCTGTGGCACAATCTTGGCTCACTGCAACCTCCGACTCCCTGGTTCAAGTGATTCTCCTGCCTCAGCCTCCTGAGTAGCTGGGATTACAGGCACGCACCACCACGCCCAGCTAATTTTTGTATTTTTAGTAGAGATGGAGTTTCACTATGTTGGCCAGGATGGTCTCGATCTCCTGACTTTGTGATCCACCCACCTCGGCCTCCCAAAGTGCTGGGATTACAGACGTGAGCCACTGTGCCCAGCCAATATATGGATTTCTAAATGAGGTACCAGAGAGAAAGCATGAGTCCGTCCTTCCCGTGTAGTAAAAATTTTAAGATGAAAAACTTTGGTGCTTTCAGACGTTGTGTTTCTTCCCTGCTGGGCTAAGCCAGTCACTCTGCAAAGAAAGATAATGATTCCATTTCTCAGACAGAAGCAGATTGAAGAAATGAAGAGAAAGAATCCTAAGGGCAGCTAGACCCTAGTTACAGTTACTTCTGAGGCACAGCCACATTCTGCCTGCCCAGTGGTTTTCCCATGTCACACTTTCTTGCTTTCCATGAGCCAACATACTTACTCTCGTCTTAGGTACTCTGAGTTAGATATGTGCCCCCTTGAGACTTTAAATGACCTAATACAAGAAGGAATATATGCAACGAAGGCTTGGTAGATGTTGGAAATATTAGCACAATGATTTAGGACGATGGCATGCTATTCTTGAAATTGAAATGAAACATAAGGCAATAAAACACTTCTTGTTAATGTGAAAGAATGAAGATGGTTAAAGACACAGATGAAGTGGGTCTAAATCTCAGTCTTTAACTCAAGCAGGCAATACATATTGTATTTTTCTATAACTCAACCTAATTGTTATTATAAGCCCCCATCCCCCTGGGTTGGTGGAAATTTTATCCTAGTTGGTTCTGGCCTCCCTGCTTTCTTCTCCAGAGTTCTATCAATGTTCCAGGGTGCTTACAGAATCCTGAAACATGGCTGGGGAGAAGGGAGTTGAAATATTGGTCTGTGAAGTTTTCTGCCAAGTCATGTTTGTTTCTGCTCATGGTGACTTCAAGTCTGGTGGCTTTTCTGCTGTTTCCATATAATGCCAGTGGCAAGGGACTCTCACTATCACCTTTGTGCCACACCAGGGGTGCAATAATCTCTACTAGACTAAGAGCCCATCTGGTATACACCACGAGTCCAATTTCTCTCCGCAATTCTGCTAGACAAGGCAGCAGGTGCACTTTTGCTAGGATTTACGAAGAGCAGATCCTCTGTTCTCACATCATCCAAGAGGAATCTTCTAGTTTTGGGAAGGACTGAAGTGGGGCAGGGACAAGAATTCTTCTTTCATGTTTTTCCCCACCATTGAGTCCGTCCTTAGTTGCCCTCTTCTTCTTAAGAGCTCAGAGTATTTGAAACCAAAATCATTAAGACCCATCCTGTCCTACCTCTCCACTGAGACAATGAACATGGAGACAATTTACCGCTTCTATGGACAGGAAGGAAAAGCAGGAAATGTTGGAAGAAAACAAGTTGATAGAGGTTAATATCTCAAAAATATCCTAACACTCAGAGAACTTTAGAAATGAAATAAGAGAAAATGAGAGGAGTTCTCATTAGATGGACTTGATGATCTCGGTAAATGAAGAGATGAGAGTTTTCTGTGGGGAGAAGAGAGCTGAGGATTGACAGCTGATTCAGAGGATTGCTGAACAGCAGAAGGAGCTGGGCACCCAGACAACTTGAACTTACCCCCAAGCCCTCAGCACTGTTTCTCAGCTTCCTCTACCAGGTCCTGTCACCCAGAAATGGCATGAGAAAGGGTTCAGTAAGAAGTATCCAGACATGGATGTGACAAATGGGGACAGTGAAGGGCCAAGGGTGGTGAGGGATGCTAAGGTGCTGGCGAGGAAACTGCACAAAGGAGTCACGGGATCCAGGCTGGGTAGAGGGACAACGGAGGCAGACTGGGGCGAAGAGTTCAGACAAGAGACCAGAGCTGTGGGAGCAGATGTCCCAGTGAGGATGAAGAGCCACTTCAACACAAATGAGAACATGAGGGTTGGAGAAGCAGAGAATCCAGATCTGACAAAGTCCTAGGAGATGATAAAGAATACTGCTGGAAGGTCCACATACCCTGCCTATGCTGAGAACCAGGTCTGCTATTAAACCCAGAAACACCCACTCTAAGCCATCATCCACCCCAGGACCACCTATATCAGTTCCCGTGGACTCTCTAGTAAGTAGGAACTGGATTGTCCCAAGGAACCGGGAACTGTCCCCACCAAGTATTTGCTTAATTCAAGATTTCCAAAGTCTTATGAAAACAGGGACTAAGAACATGACCCATAAGGCACACATTGGGATATTAGCAATGTCAGACAGCCGTGTGGTGAAGAACGCCACAGAGTCTAAGGTCTGCTGCATGGGAACGGCTGAATGTTTCCACAAAGAGGGCATTAAGTTTTTAATCTTCATTTTGCACATGATTTTCGCTCTTCTTTGGGTAAGGCAAATCTCATCACTGGTTTTTGTTGTTGTGTTTTGACACAGGGTCTCACTCTGTCACCCAGGCTGGGGTGCAGTGGCAGGATCGTGGCTCACTGCTGCCTCAAACACCTAGGCTCAAGCAATCCTCCCACTTCAACCTCCCAAATAGCCATGACTACAGGCAGCACCACAATGCCCAGCTAATTTTTAATTTTTTTTTGTAAGAGAGGGTGGTCTCACTATGGTACCCAGGCTGCTCTTGAACTCCTGGCCTCAAGCAGTCCTCCCAGCTCAGCCTCCCAAAGTGCTGGGATAACAGCCATGAGCCACCGCACCCGGCCTCATCATTGGTTCTTACATTTTAAGTTTCTCTATTTACTGAGAATAATACCTTTCACTCAGCAATATTGTTCTTGGGATTAAAGTGCAAAGTGTACACTTAAAGCTGGGGAATTGGCAAACATCATGATTTTACCATCTCCACTGAAGAGCACTATTTTGCATTTCTAGAGAAATTTGAAGCTTCTGAGAGTTTCAGTGTCATCAGTTGGCTGGTGCCTGTGACCTTCTTACAGAACGAGATGGTGTATTCTACTTTTTGAATAATAAATAGGAAAAACAGGCATATTCTCAACAGAGATGGCATTTGAATAAAAGTGTTCTCAGCTTCCTGTCTTTTATTCAGGAAACTCGTTTCTAATCCTGCTTTATAAACACACACACTCTTTCCTTCCTGTTGATGGTATATTTCAATTGTTTCTGCTTGCTGAGGTCCTCAAAACACAAATGCAATCATCTCTATGCCTTGTTTACATTTGCTTCTTAGGAAATGCAATAATCTTACAGAAAGCCTCACTACCGTCTATTTTAAAATCTGGTACACTGGGCAGCTACTAACTAGTTATACACCAGGCACATAAGGAAATAAATCAAGCTTGCATGGAGGATCCCCAGCCAAGAGAAAGCTTTTTTTTTTCTTGTTTTTTTTTTTCTTGTTTTTTAACATTGGATTGGCAAATCGTATAATCAGGATCTCTCTAGGATTTTGTACCTGGCATAAAGGAAAACAATGTTGTGGAAGCTGTTTCGAGGGAACCTGAAATGCTCAAGGGCATGAGGGGAACTTCCCAACTCTCACTTGAAAAGATACAGACAAAAGCACACAGATACTGCACTGCAAAAATTTGACTAAGGATTGCAATAGAATTGGCCAACATCTCAACAGAGTTACATGATTGCCAGATTCTCTGAATTGCCTCAACACAGAGCCATTATTCTGAGTCTGGGAATGCTAAATGAAACCCATGCCTACTATGTATGCTTTAAATCAGAAACTAAAAAGACCGATTTTATTTCATTGTTGGTAGTATGTTGTTTTCATTTTCCGTTTATGCTTCTTTTGAAGTACCTGCTTCTTTTCCCTATTAAGTAATCATGAATTACACTTGCAAAGTACAGTATCTTTTGCTTTAAATCCCTCTTTGTGCCTGTTTTCTAATTCATCCTCAATAGACAGGACAGCTCTTGTCCAAATTTCACAGATGAAACGCAAAGAGGGAAAGTGCAGACTTAAGCAAAGCCTTTGGCAGAATCCACTACCCAGAGAGAGGCGCAGAAGCAAGACACAGTCTATGCAGTCTCCCTGGTCCAGGTCATGGGACTACCTTGGGTCCAGTCAACCTTGGACAATTGTACGAAGCCTTACAAAGCAACCACGGGAAGGATGACACTTGTTTAGTACAACACCATATTAACCATGTATTTCCAATGTTTTGACATCTTGGGGCCTTGCTAATCTTGAAAGCACTGTCACCCCCTGCCACAGACCCCCACCACCACTTCCCCAATGACTAGAAATAGTAAAGGACTCTCTTGCAAGCATGCTTTCCATATTCAAACCAACCAATCTCTTGAGAGGCAAGAGAGCCCATGCCTCTCAACCACCTCTTTTATTGGGCTCTGACACTCTCGGCCATTATTTCTTTGCCCAAATCACCCCAGAGCCAGGTACTAGACAAGTGAGGACATCTTCTGCACCTCAAAAACTGCTGAAATTATTCAAACGAACCAATTCTAAGCCAGCTTACCCTGCCTCCCCGCTCTTTCCCATGGAAACCACAGTAAAGAGTCTTGCCGATGTTTTCCCCTCTCTCCCTCTGCCTCCTGGCCAATGCTGATGCTTCTCTGTGTGCCCTGACTCCCCGTGGTATGGCATGTATGCCAGAGTTCCCCTCCGCTTGAAATCTATGACAAGTCATCTTTTCAATGGCAGTCATCTACTGACCCATTTGCCTCACTATATCTGAATAATAATGAAACCTACATTTGAAAACATGCACATTTCTTCTCTTCTATTCATTAAACCCTAAACAAATTAAAAATTAAAAGAAGCTTGGACCAGCAGATGAAAGATAATCCTAACATGTGCCTCTCCCTCCTGAGCCCCTGCAAAGCCATCACATGTGCAATCAACATGATTTCTGAATTGGAAGATTGTCTGCTCAGCTTGAGTTATTCCTTCAAGCTGAACAGGCAACAGAAAGCAGACAAGAAATGGCCTAGCTGATGATAAATGCCTAAATAAAAAAAAATCGTAACAGTCCTCCTCTTACACAGACCTCCACACACGTTCACCATAGGGTGATTCCATCAGTGCAGGGCTTGCTCACCGAAGGGATTGGTTAGAAGTGGCTTAACTTCCAATAGGACATTTGCATTGTAATGGGAGCATAGAGCAACTACTCTCATTCTTTAAGGCCTGTATTGGAAATATTTTTGGAACTGAAACAAGTTTGAGAGTTTATCCTGAGGTTGGGAGGTGGGGATGGGAGATAGGACCAGACTTTTTGAAAAATTCTATTTGTGGTTTTCTCAAGGTACAGAAGACTGCCAGGGAGAAAAAATTATTTCTTGTACATTTGAAATACAATCTGCCTTTTATAGATTGGTTTTAAGATATTATACTCTTCTTTTTATTTCAAAGAGCAGATGAAAATGGAAAATTGTTAGCTATTCTAAAAATCATATAATCATAATTATCAATTTGAATTCCTATTGCTAATTCTTGCTACTGCAGTGAAATGATTTATCATAAAACACATCTTGGGATTTTAATTGTGTGCACTTGAATTGTATTTGCATATTCTCAGCACACTTCATCATTTTCATTCCTGATAAAGCACTTCCAAAGAAACTTTGCTCTGTCAGTTTAAGAATGCATTGTTTTTTCATATCTTCAAAACTATGGGTAATTGCTATCACATTCTGAATATGTTTAGGATTAGAGGTAGCCTGGACTTTATGAAATGGTGCCACCAAGGTAAGATTTCAAAAATGCTGGTCTAGGTGTCCAACACTTAATGTTATTCATGTCCACATCCTGTAGAATATTATTTAAGGATTTTTTGAATGATGGTTGAAACTGAAGCAATAGTATTTCCCTTGAAAGTGAAATTTTCTCAAAACCTGTCTTCCTCCTACGTCGTTAAGGAACCAAGAAGCTACAAAGGAAAGGAGGCTGTTACGACATTAACCTAAGGGAGGAGACCACCCCTCATATTGTCTTATGCCCAATTTCTGCCTCCAAAGAAAGAAGTAAAAACTAAAAGGCAGAAATGAAATCCACAAGCAGACAGCCCGGCACCACACTCTGGACCTGGTAGTTAAAGATCGACCCCTGACCTAATTGGTTATGTTATCTATAGATTACAGACATTGTATAGAAAAGCACTGTGAAAACCCCTGTCCTGTTTTGTTCCGATCTAATTACCGGTGCATGCAGCCCCCAGGCACGTACCCCCCTGCTTGCTCAATCGATCACGACCCTCTCACGCACAACCCCTTAGAGTTGTGAGCCCTTAAAAGGGACAGGAATTGCTCGCTCAGGGAGCTCAGCTATTGAGACAGGAGTCCTGCCAATGCTCCCCGCCAAATAAACCGCTTCCTTCTTTAACTCGGTGTCTGAGGGGTTTTGTCCGCGGCTTGTCCTGCTACAAACCAACTGGATCCTATTCCACGGTTCCTTCTCTTTTCCTTCTTTCATCCTTGACTCATGGTCCCCAGCATCATGTTTTTCCCCTCTGAGGACAAAATGGACTCAGAGTCATGAACAAGCAAATGCATCACATGTTTTAAAAAATGATAGTAACCCTATTTAATGAATCCAACAAAAGCGCAAACCTAACCCTTCCCACCATCGAAGAACAAAGCTAATAATTAACACATATCACTTATTTAAGCTTTATTTGTGTACCTCAAATGTACATTGATATAAATGTCTAGACAATGGAAAGATCTTTTGCAGAGTTGAGGATTGTTCACTGAAAATTAACCCTAATCTAGCCAAATATATATATATGTGTGTGTGTGTATATATATGTGTATATATGTGTATATATATATATATTTGAGTTAATATATGTAAACTCAATTCTTTCTGTCTATATATTGAGTTATATATATTGAGATATATGTATCTATATACATTGAGTTAGTATATATATATAAACTCAATTCTCTTAGGCATCAATGTCAAAGGTGTTATGATACAATAATGCAGTAAATAACATAGCTGCAAAATATTTAAAACAAAAATTCAGAGAAGTACAGAAAAAAAACAGGCACTTCTACCATTATAGCACAATATTTTAACATACTTTTTCTGACACTAGATCAGACAGAAAATAAATTGGTAAGGATACAGATTGAACACTACCCAAAAATTATCTTATGTGCATATATGGAGCACTATATCTTCAAAATACATTATTTTCAAGAACATGAAGAATATTTATATTTAAAAAGATTTTAAAAGTGACCACGTCTTAAAGTCTTTAAACATGTCAAATAATTGATCTCATATAGATCACTTTTCAACCAAAAGTCAATTTAATTGTTACTTATAATGACAAAAACATATAGAAAAACCCCCATATGTTTGGGAATTTAAATGCACAAATTTAATAACTCATAGGTCAAAGAAGAAATCACAAGATAAATTATAAAATATTAAGAATTGAAATAACAAAAATAGCACATGCCCCATAAAACTTGTGATATAAAGGTAAAGTGGTATGTAGAGTAAAATTTATAAAGTAATATGATAATAGAATAGTAATAGAAAAGTCAATATGCTGAAAATTTATCTATATATCCAAAGAGTGCTAAAGGGATATAATAGAGGAAAGTAAACACATAACAGAAAGGAATGGTGATGTGAGAACTTGGTTATTTGAAAGAATAATAAAACTGACAGCCCTCTAACAAGTTTAATCTAAAAAAAGAGATAAAATAAATAATATTGGAATGAACATTAACCAAAATTATAGACACTATGCATATGAAAAAGATAACAGTACTAATAAATATGAAAACAGATGAGCAGATCATTGAAAAATATAATTTACAAAATGGCCTAGAGAACAACTAAAAAACAATAAATATGCTTATTAACTTTTTTTGAAATGAGTAAGTAAAAAACAACTTTCTAAAAAGAAAATATTAGTTCCACGTAGTTTGATTAGCCACCTCTGGGAATAAGTTAATTCCTGAAAAGGTAAGTTAATTCCTGAAAAGGTAAGTTTCTAAGAATAAAAGGAGAGACGCTCCCCAGTTCATTTTATAAAGCTAGTATCACTTTGTATGAAAAACTGGCAAGGGCATTATAAGAATGAAAAATTACAGACCAGTCTTCCAAATAGCAATGTAAAAATCATATATGTGTTTACATGCATGTGTGTGTTTTTATATATGCCAAAATTATATATATTTATATATGGTTCATTCAGAAATAAAAAGTAAAATGGCAAGCCATTAGTAGAAAAAGATATTTATATAGAGAGTAAATATATTTATTTATATCTTTATATATGACAAAAACATACATTGATAATTTAACATTTTTAATGTAATGTCTATTAACCAGTAAGAAAAAATAAAGACTATCCAATTAAAGTGGGAGGGAAGACAGGAAAATAGACCTGATCTAGACTTCACAAATGAGAATATTAATGATTTATCATAGCATGGAATGAAAATGATGAAGTGTGCTGAGAATATGCAAATACAATTCAAGTGCACACAATTAAAATCCCATATCATGATTAATCATAGCAAATGTGTGTGTATTCCTAGCAATAAATTGAGCAAAATATGCATAAGACTATGATAGACATATTAATTATTAAAAGACTTCAAATACAAGATATACCATGTTTGTGGATTAGAAGCAGCAATATAAAACAAGTCAGTTCTCTGCAAATTCATGATAAAGGCATTTACAGTCTACGTTGCAATGAATTTGTGTGTATGTGTGTATATTTAACTTGTCAAAAGAAATTTCCAACATATATATGGAAAAACATAGAGCCAGGACAACCAACACATTTTAAGACAACAAGTTAGTGAAGCTTGCTTTACCAGATATCAAGAATTCTTACAAAATGTTTACATTCATGACACTGTAGAATTATCACAGGGAAAAGCAACAGATCAATGAAACAGACTTGAAACTTGATTTATGTCAGAGCTGGCATTGCACACCAGTGGGAAAAGAATAGACTTTAAATAAACATTACTTAGACATTGTTATTGGTTTGGAAAAAATTAAATCAAAGCCCTTTTTAACCTCTTGCACAGAAACAGATTCCAGATAGATTAAAGACATAAATATGAAAGGCAAAACTATACAACTTTTAGTCAAAATATAGGACAACATATTTGTGATATTAGGAGAACGAAAAAAGTCTTTTTTTTTTTTTTTGGTAGATATGGGGTCTCAATATGTTGCTGAAGCTGGTCTCACTCCTGACCTCAAGCAATCCTCCCACATTGGCCTTCCAAAGTTCTGGGATTACAGGCAGGAGCCACCACACTGGGCCAGGAAAATTGTCTTAAGATGCAAAAGATGCAAGTCATTTTTTAAAAGAGATAAATTAGCTAAATTAAAATTAAGGATTTTTGGTCCTAAAAGATATGAAATATAAAAAGACAACCCACAAACTGGGAAAAAAAATGTTTGCCCTAGATGTTACTGGCAAAGGAATAGTAACTGAGCAAAGAACTTCTGCAAATCATTTTAAAAAGCAAATGACTGGTAGGAAACTGAAACAAAAAATGTAAACAGTTCTTCAGAGAAGAGAAAATCCAAGGACCAAAAAAATACAAGTAAGATTCTTAGTTTTGTTAATCGCCAAGAAAACAAAAATTCAAACCACAATTAGGTACTATATTATGACTTCCAGACTGACAAAAGTTAAAGAGCCTAACAAAATCTAATGTTGGCAAGGATATGGAATTATCCTTCTGGTGAGATTATAAATTGAGACAAGCATCTTTGAAGACTGTATCAACCAGCAAGTGTTTCTTCTAGAAGACAGGTGCATATTCATAGCAGTCCCTTTCATAATAAAAATAGCAAAAATCCAAATGTTCATCAAGGATAGCAGAGGTAACAAACTATGTGAGAGTCATGCAATGAAAACACTGCCTTCTAGAAGTGACAATTAATAATTTACAGGTAAATGTAAAAACATGGAGTATCTCAGAGACATAATGTTGAACTAAAAAAGGAAATATCATAACACATACACTATAATTTATCTATATAAAGTTCAAAAATATACAACATTAAATAATATGTTACTTAGGGATATACCGTCTGGGAAAACTAAAGTTACAAAAAGAGAGAGATAGGCTGGGTGCGGTGGCTCACACCTATAATCCCAGCACTTTGGGAGGCCGGGGCGGGCAGATCACAAGGTCAGGAGATCAAGACCATCCTGGCTAACATGGTGAAACCCTGTCTCTACTAAAAATACAAAAAATTAGCCAGACGCGGTGGCGGGCACCTGTAGTCCCAGCTACTCGAGAGGCTGAGGCAGGAGAATGGCGTGAACCCAGAAGGCGGAGCATGCAGTGACCCAAGATTGCACCACTGCACTCCAGCCTGGGCAACAGAGCTAGACTCAGTCTCAAAAAAAAAAAAAAAAAAGAGAGCGAGAGCGAGAGATAAACACAAGTTAATTCAGCCAGGGTGGTTTCCTCTGAGTAGAGAGGAAAGGGAATGGGACAAGGACTTCAATGGTAACAATAATTTTTTTTTTTTTGGTAGTGATAGTGGTGGTAACCAGGTGAGATACTCCAGATATTCACTGTATCATTAGTCTTTATATTTTATGCATATTTTACAAGTATTTTGGGGGTTTCCTCAACATTGAATTTAAAATTTTTTAATGAATTGTCTTCAAGGATTGTCTTTCAAGAAGTAGTGGCATATGGCCGGGCGCGGTGGCTCACGCCTGTAATCCCAGCACTTTGGGAGGCTGAGGTGGGTGGATCACGAGGTCAGGAGATCAAGACCATCCTGGCTAACACGGTGAAACTCTGTCTCTACTAAAAAAAAAAAAAAAAATACAAAACATTAGCCTGGCATGGTGGTGGGCGCCTGTAGTCCCAGTTACTCAGGAGGCTGAGGCAGGAGAATGGTGTGAACCCGGGAGGTGGAGCTTGCAGTGAGCCAAGATTGTGCCACTGCACTCCAGCCTGGGCGACAGAGCGAGACTCTATCTCAAAAAAAAAAAAAAAGTGGTGGCATAGATGGACAAAGAGTTGAAACCTTACCTAAACTGGATACTCTGGCTGAAATATGACAGCAGGGACAAAAAGGATCAGCTGCAGAGCTTTAGTCTCAGAGGAAGTGGCATAGCAGATCGAAAACCAAAGGAGAGGCTCAGATGTAATAAAACAATCTGGGGATCCAGTTACTAGAATGAGGTCATAGGAAAGGGCTAGATCACACAGAACAAAGCCAGAACCCAACCAGGGCTAACACTCCAAGTGAACCAGCACTAAGGCTGAATCATTTGAATTATTGTCCTGAGTTCCTTTGTCCCAAGGAAAAGCATGGATCCCATTGCTGTTGTACAGGGTTGAATATTAAAGGAGGAGCTTCAGAGAATCAAGCCTTAAACGAGAAGTCTGCAAAGGTGAGAAGCTAAGCAGGTCTTTATATCATTGTCAAGAAAAAAAGGAGTTTCTTCCTATTTTACAGGTAGAGGTCCCAAAATAAGTTAAAGTGACTTATCTGAAGTCATTTCATCATCAGTTTGGAAATAGAAATAGAATCCATCAGTCTTAGTTCTTTTTGTTGATGCCATCCCTGGTCTACACTCCTTCATTCATAAATTACTTAGCAGCTACACACACTCTATGCAGGAGGCAGGCCATGATTCACAGGCTTAGGTGTTTCAGACAAGGTTTTATTTCTTTATTTTCAGTTCCCATTTTTTTTTTGGCTCTAAAAATAGCAGCTGTGCTGAACAGTACTCAATGGAAGAAAGAAAGGAACTCATTTACAGAGCAGAGGACAAAAATAGTTTACCCAGCATTTATACTATGCTCTTTGGAGCTCAGGGTCAAAGATTTCAGCAGGAGTTTTCTTTAGTAACCTAAATTTACTTACTTTCTTTTACTACATCAAAATGGTTTTAAGTGTCTATTCACATAACAATGAATGTGAGGGTCTATCCAATGCCAACAAGTTGGATCACTACTGAGGTGGAAATAGCGTGGCTTAAACAAATCGACAGCATATAATTGAGGTCACAAAAAGATGTTTTGCTGGCAAAACCCAAGAGGCTGTGGTAATAAAGTATGCCTGAAAATGAGAGTAGAAAAGTATTTCCCTACGTAAGTGTTACAACTGCATCAGATGTTAAATTCACCTTCAGAATTATCTTGCTCAAAAGAGTAGACCTCTGCTTCCTAATGGAAAGAAGAAATTTTAAAATAAAACACATTTAAACAAGCCATATCTATCTACCACCAATTTTCTTTCTTTTTTTTTTTTTTTTTTTTTTTTTTTTTTTTTTTGAGACAGAGTCTTGCTCTGTTGCCCAGACTGGAGTGCAGTGGTACGATCTAGACTCACTGTAAGCTCCGCCTCCCAGGTTCACACCATTCTCCTGCCTCAGCCTCACGAGTAGCTGGGACTACAGGTGCCCACCACCACACCTCGCTAATTTTTTTTGTACGTTTAGTAGAGACGGGGTTTCACCGTGTTATCCAGGATGGTCTCCATCTTCCTGACCTGGTGATCCGCCCACCTCGAACTCCCAAAGTGCTGGGATTACAGGCGTTGAGCCACCACGCCCAGCTGATCTGCCACCAATTTTCTGTATGACCTCACATAAGCTTCCTCTGAGCTTTGGTTTCCCAACTGGTCAATGGCCATTCCTGGCTCCCCAAAGAGAAACAGTTACCAGAACACCTGGCTGAGCGTGAAGAGTCATTCAAATGGCGAATTGGAAGTACAGCTGAGATTGGATTCCATGGAATTTTCTCATGATAACCCTAGGAATATATGGGGGAAATGGGTAGAAGATAAGAGATCCAGCTATTCTGATTCATGAATTGCCCAATGAGAGGGGATTAGTGGTTTCTTTTTAATCTGAGAGGATGTATTAGATTTCTATTGGTGCAAAACACAATACCCAAAATTTAGCAACTTAAAACACCACATTTTATTATCTCACAGTTCTGTAGGTCAGAAATTCAGTAAGCCTGGCTGGGTTCTCTGCTTAGAATTTCATAAAACCAAAGTCAAGGCATCAGCCAGTCTGGGCCTTTATCTGGAGGTTCTGCAGAAGGATCTAATTCTAAACTCGTTCAGTTTGTTGACAGAATTCAGCTCTTTGTGGATGTAGGTCTGTGGTTCCCATTTACTTGCTGGCTGTTAGGTGGGAGCATCTCTCTGCTTCTAAGCAGCGCCTGCATCCCTTCATATGGGGTCCACTCCATGGTCAAAGTTAGCAACAGTATGTTGAATCTCCTCCATGCTTTGAATCTCTGACTTCTGCTATCAGTAGAGAAAACATTCTGCTTTTAAGAACTCATGTGATGAGCCGGGCGCGGTGGCTCATGCCTGTAATCCCAGCACTTTGGGAGGCCAAGGCGGGTGGATCACGAGGTCAGGAGATCAAGACCACGGTGAAACCCCGTCTCTACTAAAAATACAAAAAAATTAGCTGGGTGCGGTGGCAGGTGCCTGTAGTCCCAGCTACTCAGGAGGCTGAGGCAGGAGAATGGCGTGAACCTGGGAGGTGGAGCTTGCAGTGAGCCGAGATCACACCACTGCACTCTAGCCTGGGCAACAGAGCAAGACTCCGTCTCAAAAAAAAAAAAAGAACTCGTGTAATTAGATCAGACCTAACCAGATCATTGCAAGGTCATGTGCCATGTAACATAACACAATCATGAGAGTGTCATCTCATCCTATTCCCAGTTCCCATGAATCAGGGCAGGGCATTTTTGTGGAGGCCACTGTAGAAATTCTGCCTGTCACAAAGAAAGTAGCGGATAAGTCAGTAACATAGGTTTTGGTGAAGACTGATTTGCTTTCAAATTCCAGCTCTGTAATTTGAGTGGGTTTCTGTTTAAAGTCAGGTTAAATTGCTGAACTTCTCAAGCTTCGCTTTCTGTAGATTACAATCTACTTAGGAGCAGGGTACCAACTGCTACTTCCCATATACTTTGCACAGTGCCCAAGACATGCCAGTGTTTGCAAATATTTGAAAGGATGAATGAATGAATAACATTGAAAGTCATCCCCAAAACATACTATAAAGCTGTATTTGGCCCTGTTTTGTCAATGTTTCTTTCATTGACTTGGGCCAATGAGATTGTGTTAATGAATTTACCCAAACTGACTTGGGTCAATGAACAAAAACGGAGAAGCAATGTACATTAAAGAGATAAGTGAAATAAAGCTGGGCCAAACATTGGGTAACACAGCCGAAATTAAGAAGAGTCATGGCAAACTAAAAAAAAAACAAGCATTTCAATCAACTAAAATGAAGATTAATTAGTTTCCTTAATGACTTCGGCAGCTAGGAACCTCAGAGCTAGGTTTTTCTTAACTCAATTACAGTTTTCCCTTAGCCTAGGTTATCTAGCATAGTTGCCCTGCCTCTTGTCCTTTGTCTCTAATGCTTGATGGTTTTAATGTGATACTTTGTTTTACTGTAAATCACCTGAAAGCTTATTAGGACGTACACAAGATATAAAATATGACAAAATGGAAAAAAATCTGTTTTCTAAAATTTCTGGGGTCCTAAAGAAAAGAGCAGAAAGGGATTTTTCTCAAGGAGATCCAGAAACAGAATCACTTTCTTAAAGATTCACATAATGAATGGGTCACACATGGAGAGTGTGAGCTTGGGCAAAGCTAGGCTGGAATAGGCTCCAAGGCAAGATGGTGGAGGAAATGGCCTTACCTGATCATTTTTCCATCACACTCTGTGCCCCTCCCACCCTGAAACTTCAGTGAAAGTCCTAATCTGCCAAAATGCTATTATGTAAATGGGATTTTTTTTTCTTGGTGCAGATGGTTAAGGCCAGGTGGAGAAAGAAGATGGCACAAACTGAGTTACATAGACAGAAATGGGAGTAAGGAAAAGAGAGACTTTGAGCTATTATACATCTTTGAATGCTTTTATCATAATTGATGAGACACAGGAAGATGCCACAGGAAGACTGAAAAAATAAATTAATAATTATCAGATAAGCTTTAGTTCCTACCCTCATGTACCCTAAACCATTTGGCAAGGTTAGTCCTGAAGAAATTCATCCATTTAATGAGGGATTCAGTGCTCTCTCTCTAGATTTATTTTTAAAACCTAAGATTTTGAAAATATAGACATCTTTGTTATGTTTATAAGATTTAAAATTCAAATATTTTGTAGATTTAATACCTGTAACATATAATGATATGAAAGTACATAGATATATGAATCTAGATACTTAAGACCTGGAGTTCCAATAAGGCAGCTTGTACCGTTTTAGAGTGACAAAAAAGGTATCAGCCTAGAAAAACTTTCTATCAAGTGTGGAAAATTTACCCTGATCTTTCCACATCTCCATCATATGCATGTTTGAGCTACAATAAATTTAAAACAGAAATGGAGCAAGGGGTCCCTAAGATATGCAAAACAATCCAGAAAAGTAACTGTGGAAAGACCACCAATTCTCCCTTTTCGGGGCACACAGAGACAAAAGGTTGAATACTTGCTAATGGGAAAAGGAGCAGAACTAATATGTTTCATCTCATCCAAAGCAGTCAAAGGCAGCTATGTTTTCTCTATGTTCTCTTCTCTCCCTTTAGTGTGGCTGGAACAATGAGATAGCAGAGCTGTAAGACATAGCAGCCCAGATCCCTGAGTCACTATAGGAGAGCTCCAAGGAGAAGTGACTCACTGAGTAAGACTTAGACAAGAGTCATAAATAACTTTACTGGATTAAGCCTGAGATTTGAGGGTGTACTTGTTACTGCAGCATAGTCTGTATTATCCTGACTAATACCAAAACATTATTCCAAATCATAAACACAAATATTTCCTGATCTGAAGTCAATTGGGATTCAACTGTTTCAAATTACCTACAACACAAATTAGACATTATAGAGGAACTAGCAAAAGCTTACTTCTTTATTTATAGATATTTATCATCTACTGTCAACTAATAATAGATAAGAAAATAGCCAATAAATCAGGGACATTTACAAAATGCACAGAGATTTTGTTTTGTTTTACTACTTCCAAGCACCTCCCAGATAGTAGTCACCAAAGTTTAATTTAAAAAATATGAATTTTGGCTGGATGCAGTGGCTCACACCTGTAATCCCAGCACTTTGGGAGGCTGAGGCAGGTGAATTGCTTGAGCTCAGGGGTTCAAGACCAGTTTAGGCAACATGGTGAAACCCTGTCTCTACCAAAAATACAAAAATTAGCCGGGCATGGAGGTGCATGCTCCCCAGCTACTCAGGAGGCTGAGGCATGAGAATCACTTGAGCCCAGGAGGCAGAGGTTGCAGTGAGCCGAGATCATGCTACTGCACTCCAGCCTGGGTGACAGAGTAAGACCTGTCTCAAAAAATAAAATAAAAATAAAAAAATACTAATTTTAAGCAACACTGAAAAATTATTCCTAACCAATGTTCTGAACCTTATCAGACCCCAGCTTATTTTGCCACATAGGATTAGTGCCAATTAGGTTCCAGCACAAACAGGTGTTTTTAAAGCCTCCAGTCCTGGCATCATGGGGGGTAGAGAATGTCATCTCTCTCTGGGTCATCCGAATCGTTCTTAAAGGCTTCCTTTAAGACGTGAGCTTGGCATTCTATTTAGCTGGTGAATTGGGGATGAATGTACATTTTTCTTCTAAGCCTTGAAAGTTTAATCCATTCTGTGCAAGATAAATCTCAGCAGGCATTTGGGGAAAGTTGAATTTACTGAGAGGTTCATATGTGGTACATTATTTTTGTCAAATAGAAGATACTAGCTGCCAATGGGGTTATAAAAGCAACTGCCTGGCCAAGATTTGTGCTGATCACTATGTTTATCACCCTCATGAGTAACTCCTAGTTCTCAAGTCATTGTTTTTCCATATACATTTTTCAGACATATTCATTAGTATGAGGAATGTTTGATATCAACATCAATTTTGTTAAATCTCCGATCAGCTATCCCAAACACATCAGGCAACACTATTGAAATGCTGAAGGCTTTATATAAAATCATGAATACTGTTGCCTAACTAAAATATCTTTGAGAAACACAAAGGATATTAGTAACTGTATATCTTTACTTATCCAAACCATTTTAATAGAGTAGATAAATTAATTAAAGGATGGCAAACACCATTTTTGTTAATATATTTGCATCTTTCCTATCAGCATAACAAATTTTTCTCACAATATTCCAAAGAATAATTTAGCCTATTATATAATTTTCAAAATCATCCAGAACAATTTTAGGCATCAAAATTCCCTTTGAAGTTTTGTCAGTATTGAGCTAGATTTGTTTTCTCTGTTAATCATACACATCTCCTACTCATATTACCCGCAGCACACTCAGCAAATATACTCCGTGTCCACTGAGCAAAATGCACTTCCTATGTAAGCTAAAGAGAGAAACCCATAGGTAAGAAGTTTCTTAATTCATGTTTTTCACTTGATTTTCTTTGTGGTTACTGTTTAACTTTCTTTAGGTCTTATTCTTTCAGATACGATTAGATTTGTGACTAACAATACTAATAACATGTATATATCCTAAAGTTGAGGCTTAGACACATTAGGAGAAACTTTCCTAATCTCCTAAATTTTGGAATAGAAACTCACCACTCCCTTCTCAAAGACCTCCCTTCCCCACCTATGTCTCTATTATGGGCTGCTATATTTTGAGTTTCTTGACACCAAAAGCGATGTATTATTCATTTGAAATTTCCATATGACGTAGCCAGCATGTAATACAAAGTAGGTCCTCAAAAAAATTTGAACTATCTGAATTATCTGCTCCTAGAAGGCACTTTTGAAATCATGGAATATTATCAATTTTTAGACCATTTTAAATTGAAATATAACAAACATGCTGAAAAATACACACAACATAAATTTAATAACTTAGAAAGAACCTCCATGTAACCACTTCCAGATCAAAACATGGAAAATTGCCAGCACCTCAGAAGTCCCCCTCAAGTCCTCCCATGAATACTGTCTTCCCAAAGGTAACGACTATCCTGACTTCTAACCCTGTAATGTCGTTTTTCTTGTCTAAAAACTTAAATAAATGGGCTCATACTGTATTTATTCTACTATGCCTGGGTCCTTTCACTCCACATTATGATCGTGAGGTTCAGCCAGGTTGTTGCCTATAGCTCTAGTTTGGCCATTGTCATTGCTGTGTAATATTCCATTGTAAGACTATACTGCAATTTATTTTTCCATTATACTGTTGATAGACATTAGGTTGTTTATGGTGAAGTCCAGACGTGCACATTTTCCAGTTATGTGGCAAATATCTGTAGCTTGCCTTGAAAGCAAATAATTTTTCATTTATGCTTCTTGACAAAATGCAAGGCATTCTGCCTGACCCTGTAAGGGTGTACATATGGAGTGCTACTGTTGAGGTTTTTTGTCAGCTGCTGGGGCAAAAATAAACTCCACCTAGGGTGGGAGATATTTGACCAGAGTGTGTGAGTATGTGTGTGTATAAGAGGAAATGGGGTGAGAAGAGGGTGGAGAGCTATAAAAGAACACCATTATCCCCAAATTATCCCCAAACCACTGGACAGATTAAAAATGATTTTATATTATAACACTGATGAGCAAGTTTCTTAATCCACAAATATTCTTGACTGCCTTATACATGCCAGGTATTGTCATGACCACAGAATATACAATGGTGAATTAACACACACACAGATCCTGGAAGCTTGGGTCTGGTTCTGTGAAATGAATCAATAGAAATGAAACCAAGTGAGATATACCAGCCACAGAAAGACAAATACTGCCCGATTCCACTTTACATGAGGCATCCAAAAGAGTGAAATTTGTAGAATCCAAGAGTAGAATGGCAGTTACCAAGGGCTGGGTGAAGGGAGAAATAGGCAGTTACTGACAAAGAGGCATGAAGTTTAAGTCAGGCAAGGTGAACGGACCTTAGAGATCAGCTATACAGTATGGTACCTGTAGTCGACAATAATGTATGGTTGACTCAAACAGTTGTTAGGAGGGTAGATCTCATGTTAAGTGTTCTTACCACAGTAAAACAGAAAAAAAAATTAAACCAAATTTGCTCTACTATTAAAATTAGTTTATTGAAATAGAAGAAGAGTTGGTGCCATGTTGATATATTAATAAGGGAAGAGAGGGATTCACAGCTTGAAAGGTGGGATTCTAGGTCATTCTACAGGAAGGGCTCCCCTTGCTGCTGCCACTGATTCTGTTGTGTTTGTTGCCAGAATTGAGTCTTGACTTTGAAGAGTTCACAAGGCACCCTTTGCTGCTTTGTCTGGTTTATCAAGAAAGTGGCTGCGCAATTCACAGAGGGGGTAAAAAGACCTGAAAGGAGAATTAAGTCAGGATGATAGACAGATTCTAGTGATCCAAAGAATGAGTTCACTCTTCAGTAGAAGGCAGAGAATCCATATCCTCCGTAGTATAATGGTCGGCAACAGCTGAATCCATAGCCTCCGTAGCCACAGCCATAGCCCAACCTGCGGAAGCTGCCATAGCCGCAGCCATAGCCATAGCCCCAGCCACCAAAGCCTCCATAGCCATAGCCCAGGCCTCCATAATAGCTTCTGTAGTAGCTCATGGTTCAGCAACTGTAGATGTGTTTGGAGGTCAAGGGCAAGTTTCCTGAGTACAACTATCACCAGCTTCCCTGGGACTTTTATACATCCTCAGTGATTAGTGGGGTAGACTTCTCATGGCGTAGATTCAATTGCATGAAAAAAAACTCACTCATCTTAAAACTGTAGGACAATTCCTGACACTAATTAAAGATGTTTTCATTCGATTTCTGTGCAGTTTGGATTCCACAGGATGATTATGCTGTCTTCAAAGCCCTCTTGCTTTGACCATCATAGTTAAAGCTCTATAATCAGACATAAGAGCAGCAATCAGCTCCCATTTTGTCACCTAAAATTGTTCTTTCATTACAGCCCCTTCCCAGTATCCAATTCTTAATGTATTCCTTGCACAAATATTTAATGCCCAACTAATGCATCCCAGGCACTATGCTCAGAGCTAGAGATATGGCTGTAAATAAGAACTGCCCTTCCCAATCCCATGAGTTTTTCCCCTTCATCTTTGTTATTTAAGTTAGTGAAGTAATAGAAGAGGTACACTTACTGTATAAATCCAACAAAATGTAGCTGATAGCACAAAAGGATCACATTTATTTTTTTAAGAGAGAGAGAAAAACCCAAATGGAAAAATTTTGTTTCCTTACACATTACTACCCTTTTAACTCAATGTTGTTTATGAAACTTTTGATAGCTCTTAGCTCTTACTGCAAGACTTTTTCATTATTCAATGTTTATATAGGAAATAACACTAGGGGCAAGAGCCGTGGGTGTGATTTTTGCAAAGTGATACCATATTCTTCATCTTTGTAATCTTCTTTTTAAAAAATAATCTTCTAAAGAGATTAACATCTGAGTACTGGATCTACCCATCTGACTCCACAGTCACAGGTAGGCAGGCAGCCCTCTCTGCCTTACTAAATTCCTAACACAATCAGCAAAGAGGTTTTAAAAAGCTGTTTTCCAAATTCTGGGATTCCATCTTCTGCTCTCTAAGGAAACCTTAATTAAACTACAATTTACAGAAATATGTAAAATTAAAAATACTTAAATATGACATTTTCTTTTTGAAGAATGAAGCCCACTGAAGTGTTCATGATAAGGGTCAGAATCACTTCTACTTAGCCATTGGTATCAAAACCAATTTCAAGCACATAAGCAGTACGACTATTCTATATACTATTAATAATCACTTCAGATAGAATAATATAATATCAGAACTGGTGTAACCCTCTTACTTTACAGATGATGAAACAGAATTGGAGAAGATTGGTCAGATCACCCAGTGAGTGACAAAACCCAGACTAGAACCTAAATCATTCACTTTCACCTGTTTTTTTTCATCATCACATTTTTATAGATGTTGTACAACAAAGGCAAAAGCAAGAAATATTGTATTATCACAACAGAAGAATGAAAATGCTCCTTTGCTTTCTCGGTTGGTGAGCTTTCTCATTTTGATTTTTGATCTATATGCTGATTGGTCTGTTCCTTTCCTTTGGGCCAGAACTCAAAGGACTAAAATTAGCAAGTGGACACTGAAAGTCACATCCACTTATTCTCAATGAGATTACAATGGAGATGCCTGTTGCATTGATTGTTCAAGAGATGTAAAACTGAGAGGGGAGAACAAAAATAGGTTCAAAAGTTTTGAAGTGGAAAGTTGAAGCCCAACTCTTTCTTGTCTTAGAGTTAAAAGTATATGTATTCACTAAGAGATAAATATTAAAGCAAAACAAGATGTAAAATGGGACTCAGTTTTAGCTGAGAACCTGTATCATCAGTGACAACAGCTCTCACATCCCCAAGAAAGGTGGTAATCTACCTAAGAAGGACTTGCAAAGGGAGCTACAGAAACCTAGATCCGCAGTCTGCAACTAATTGAAATCACCTTTGCAATAATTTTAACTGAGAAAATTATAACAGTGAAAGAGATCTGATCTAACCGATTCCTTCTTGCTTCTAACCTCTAAGCTGTCCTTGTTCATTCCTGGGTGTAGGCCAAACTAACTTTGGGAGGAATTTAGTTTATAGTTTAACTTCAAAACAAGGATGATAACAGCCCTTTCCTGAGATGAACCCCCTTCTTGCATGAGGACCAGTCTGCCTTTGTAGGACTAACAAATGAACTATAAGATTAGAAGCCAGGTGTGGTGGCTCACCTGAGGTCAGGAGTTTGAGACCAGCCTGACCTATATGGTGAAACCCCATCTCTACTAAAAATACAAAAATTAGCTGGGCATGGTGGCGGGCACCTTGGGAGGCTGAGACAGGAGAATTGCTTGAACCCAGGAGGCGGAGGTTGCAGTGAGCCAAGATTGTACCACTGCACTCCAGCCTGGGTGACAGAGCAAGACTCCATCTCAAAAAAAAAAAAAAAAGATTAGAAAGTATGGCTTCAGAGTCATGCCACCAGAGGCTCCAGCTGCAAGATTCTCAACCTCCCTAAGTTGCTCCTGGGAATAACATCACTGTCGTAAAACCTAAGATCAGCACTTGAAATATTTTGCAGACTTTGCCTTCTGATGCACCAAGGGATGCCACCCAGACAAGTAATCTGGCTCAACCAGTTCTGCAATCCCACCCAGAAACAGAAGATAGCAAGAAAACCCACTTCAACCCGCTGATTTCATCCTGACCCAGCCACTCAGTACTCCCCACTTCCCGATCCCCTACCCACCAAATTATCCTTAAAAACCCTGATCCTCAGATTTTCAGGGAGACTGATTTGAGTAATAACAAAACTCCAGTCTCCCATACAGCTGGCTCTGTGAGAATTAAATTCTTTATTCCAATTCCCCCATCTTGGTAAATCGGCTCTGTCTAGTCAGCAGGCAAGAACCCATTAGCCGGTTACACTAAGCTCCTATCTCCAGTCATGAAATAGGCTGGAGAGGCCAAGCGTTAGGAAGGGGAAGAGATTTCTTTGGAAATGTTTTTCAATAACCTTTTCTAGCCAGCTTCCACGGAAGTGTACTGTATCCCTTGAATTTGGAAGACACAGCCGACTGCTGACTCAGGGCTGGGAAAGTGACTACAGGTGAGAGACAGGGCTGAACGGTCCATGGCAATGAGCCAAGGCTGAGTTTCAGAGTAACTGTGCCCTCATCTGTGACTGTTCAAAGATACATGGTTCCCGGCTACCAGATAGGAATCTAGGGTGGGAATACCACCGAGTTGATTTCAAAGGGATCCTGGTCAAGAGAGTGAAGCAACCTCAGCCAAAGCAATTTGGATGGTCCCATGAGATACAGAAAGTGAGGGAGGATGTGAGCAGTCCACTAGAGGGACTGTTATACCAGAGCACTGATAAGAGGCCCATGAGTGCAGGAGTCAGCTCCGAAAGATCCACAATTCAGGGAACCCTCTTGCCAGATTGTCAGAGGCATGCGTCTCTCCCCTACTCCCCGTTTTAACACCGGAAGAGTCAGAGCAGCCTAGAGCTGAGACCAATGCTTAAGGGAGAGGTCTGCCCTGCCTCTCTTACCACTGCCAGTTTACAGGTTTACAGAGGAAAGGTGAAGCCCAACTCTTTCTTGCACAAGAGTTGTTAAAAGTAATATATTTCAGTACAGTAGAAAGCATAAGAAACACTTTCTGTGGCAGTCAGCTAGACGGTGCCCAGGTTCTTAGAAAAACCTTTTCCAAAGAAATCACTTCTACTTCCTTCACTTCTAATATGAGATTATAGGAAAGAAAAAAAAAGTCATTTCTCCTTCCTAACTTGGCCTCTCCAACATATTTAATGACTGGGGCTTAGCCACGGCTGGTACAGGCTGGCAGGGGTCTGAAAGCTTTGTCTCTGAAAGTTTTTGAAGTTTGATTATCACTGAGCTGTACATTTTCAATCTTGAACTGAAACCATTCTTGAGACTAAAATAATCAGAGAGCTTGTTTTGTTTTTATTAATCTAAAAGAGAAAGGAAATAGTATGGCACCTGAAATGTGACTGAAAAAAGAGAGAAAAAAATAGCCTTCAAAATAATTCTTAATGGAAGTTGTGGGAGGAAAAATGTAAGTCATCTTCTAAAAATGTAAGTCCTTTTGAGTTCCACTTATTCAGCATAACAATTATAAATTATAAAATATATTTAGTAGCACTAGTGCAGTTTTGGTAATATGCACAAATTATACCTGAGAAAGTACTGATCTGATATTCGTGGTAAAATCATTCCTCCGAACTGAGCTGACTTACAGAGCTAACGAGATATGTGTGTGTGTGTGTGTGTGTGTGTGTATACACACACACATATATACTTACATATACTTGCAGAGCTAACTATATATGCACACATACATACACATATATACATACACACACATATATACACATATACACATATATATACACATATATACATGTCTACATGGTCAGTGATGTAAGGAGACTATTTTTAAATGTATATAAGCAGAAATTTTGTGTTTATATAAAAACATTGATACACACTTTTATTTTTTTCTCCATTTATGGGCCATACTAAGTTTTAGGATGTAAAAGCATAGCCCAAATCCTGGATGCTATGTGACCCCAAGGTAATACTCTTGAGCTGCTTCTGCCAGAGGGCTGATTCATGGCTTCACAAGTAAGGAGCCCTGATGTTCTACCAAGGGGAGTGTGTCTTCAGCCTGGACACCAAGGAGAAAGTGCTTCTTCCCACTCAAGGGAATCCAAACACCTCTCCTACTGCCACAGCAAACAGAACCTCCATCACATCAGAAAAACAAATGCAGCTGGAAAAAGAAGACCACAGAGTCAGAGCATTCAGGCCAGCGAGACCCAGAGCTGCAGTCTCAGGCCAACGTTTCTTTAAGGAGGCAGCCAGCTTTTGGCAGACAGTACAGAAAAGTAAATATATCCTTAGACATCCATTGATAAAGGCTGAGTGATTGAGAGAAAAACTGCCTTTAAAGACAGAAAAATAAGCTATCAGAAGTGAGGAAGAGAGATCTAATGAAAGAATCAGACAGGGTACAAAGAAGAGAACCCAGATTGGAAGATAATTTTTTTTCTGAGGAAAAAATGGAGATAATCATGATTAAAAATAATCATTGCCTTTATAAAGACCTACTCTTACTCTGTGGAAACCAGGATTTGTAGATCCTTTATCGTTGTTTAGCTGGGATACTAGTCCTAGAATATCAAGCCAATGTGCTTTCATTCTTGGCAATCCCTGCGACCACATGAAAGCACTGGGGTTCTCTGGGAAACCGACTTGGGAAAGGAGTTGTGAGTGTGGGATGTTTAGTAAGGAGAGCCCTAGGATCCGCCCTAAGGAAGGGAGCTTGGGCTGACCTCTCAAGTCCTCCGCAGCTAGACTGGCCCTTCAGTGCTGTGCCAGATGACCAGGCCTTTATATTCCTATACTTATCAGTCATCAGATGTGGGAAGAAGTGTGAGCTTGGGTGAGCAGCTCAGCAGCTGAGCCAATCCTGGAAGGGGGTGACAGCTGCAGGTTGTGTACTCACCATACTCCCAGTGCCTGGGGAACAAGTCAGTTCTTGGAGGGGATCTGGCAGCACATCCTGGTGTTGAGCACATGCTATCCCAGGCTCCTGCTGCAGATGCTGCCCGGGCCCCGCCTGTATGCTCAGACCCTCAATGCCAGCAGTCCTCCTGATACAGTTTGGCTCTGTGTCCCCACCCAAATCTCATGTTGAATTGTAATCCCCATGTGTTGGACGAAGTGCCTGGTGGGAGGTGACTGAATCATAGGGGTGGACTTCCCCCTTGTTGTTCTTGTGATAGTGAGTTCTCACAAGATCTGGTTGTACAAAAATGTGTAGCACCTCCCCCTTCAGTCTCTGTCCTGCCACAATGTGAAGAAGGTGCTTGCTTCCCCCTTCACCCTTCTGCCATGACTGTAAGCTTCCTGAGGCCTCCCAGTCATGCTTCCTGTATAGCCTGCAGAACTGTGAGTCAATTAAACCTCTTTCCTTCTAAAATTACCTAGTCTCTAATAGTTTTTTTTTTTTCTTTTGAGATATTGTCTCACTCTGTTACCCAGACTGGAGTGCAGTGTTGTGATCTTGGCTCACTGCAACCTCCTCCTCCCAGGTTCAAGTGATTCTCCTGCCTCAGCCTCCCAAGTAGCTGGGACTACAGGCATGCACCATCATGCCTGGCTAATTTTTGTATATTTTTTTTAGTAGAGGTGGTGTTTCACCATATTGGCCAGGCTGGTCTCAAACTCCTGACCTCATGATCTGCCCACCTCAGCCTCCCAAAGTGCTGGGATTACAGGCGTGACCTGGTAGTTCTTTATAACAGTCGAAGAATGGACTAATACACCTCCCACGGATGGAATCCACATTGCTGTGCCTGCTGGCTTTTGGCTGAACCACTGAAGCAGCTTTGCTCATAAGTGAGAACATTTGGAAGTGCCAGGGAATGAATGTCTCCCTCCCTCCCACCAGCAGCCCTTAATCACTGACTCTTGGGAGTTAATAAAGACCCAGCTACCTGGCCCCTCCATAGGCTAGTTCTGATGTATGTTTTCCACTATTCCTCCAGTTTCCACGGGAGATTAAGCGCCAGTTACCCACTGCAGGAACTGTCTTAATGGCCCACCCTTTGCTGTCCACCTTCCCCTCTATTTCTCACTTTCCCACTCCCCTACCTCTGTTCCCTCCCCCTCCCAAATAAACTACTCCCAAATAAAATCTTTGTCTAAGGATCTACTTCTGGGAGAAGCCAAACTAAACAGTTCCCATACTAAATATATATATATGTGTGTCTAGTAGACACAGATCACAGAGTTTCTGCTATTAAAAAAAAAACAATGCGTAGAGATTAATGCCACCAGGAAGAAGAAGGATATAATATAGTGAAATCCTTTCGAAGAAGAAAAAGGAAATAGAAAACCTACTGTTTCAGGCTGCTATTTTTTAAAACCATAAAATGTATGGCTTATATCAATAGAAATCTATTTCTCACAATTCTGGAGTCTGGGAAGTCTAAGATCAAGGTGGCAGTAGATTTGGTCTCTGGTGAAGGTCTGCTCCCTCATTCATAGATGGCACCTTCTCACTGTGTTCTCTCATGGTGGAAGAGGCAAGCTAGCTCTCTGGGTTCCCTTTTATAAGGACACTAATGCCATTCATGCAGGCTATGTCCTCACTACCTCATCACCTTCCCAAAGCCCTACCTCCTAACACAATCATCGCAGGGATTAGAATTCCAACATAGGAATTTGGAGGAGACACAAGCATTCAGACTGTAGCACCCACTCTGTATAATGCACTGGAGTATGAAAGAAAGAGTGGAAGAAATTGTAGACACAAGTCCTCACCTTCCCCTTCTCAAGATAGAAGTCTGTAGCATGAAGGACAACTAGAAACATCCAGGCAGGCAGTGTTAGAGAAATACAATTAACAACAACATATCTCCAACCCAGAAAACTTCCCACAAAGGAAGAAGAGGAAGAAAACAATTTCATTATTGAATAAACATTGAACCAGAACGTGGTACACATCACAGGCGACCCACTAAGAAATTGTGAAGACAGAAAGAAGTCTCACCTTTTTATACAGCCAAGCAGATACAGAGTGTTACATACATGTTCTCAAAATAAACAACACCTACGCCTCCATAAGAGGACTTGGCAGCATGATTTGTCACACATGGCTCATCCTAGATTCACTGAGTAACTGCAGTGGCCATCTGTGTTTCCCAATTGGCTTTATTCAAAGGAAAAATAAACTTCTTATATCCTGATGATAGAAGGTAGTTTGGGATCAAGACACCTGCCAAAGTGACAGAGAATTTACAATGACAAGTTTTCTAAAGCAAATGCTCTAAGAAAAAGGAGGTCTCTTCCCTTATTTTCAACAGAAACAATGACACTTTTTTTTTTTTTTTTTTTTGAGATGGAGTCTTGCTCTTGTCGCCCAGGCTGAGTGCAACAGCACGATCTCAGCTCACTGCAATCTCCACCTCCCAAGTTCGGGTGATTCTATTGCCTCAGCCTCCTGAGTAGCTGGGATTACAGGCATCTGCCACCACACCCAGCTAATTTTTTCTATTTTTAGTAGACACGGTTTCACCATGTTGGCCAGGCTGGTCCCGAACTCCTGACCTCAGGTGATCCACCCGCCTTGGCCCCCCAAAGTGCTGGGATTACAGGCCCAGCCTCTCATTTTTATTTGTATTTGCCCTTACAGTACTTGGAAACCCCTACACTTGAGAGGTTTTCATGGAAGACAATTTAGGTGATGCTCCAGTGAACAAGGTGGAGAATTATGGAGACAAGAAGAGAAGGGACAAGGGATCCGATGAAACTATCCTGTGTTGTCTGTTATACAACTTTAGCTTTTCTTGTAAGATGAGGAGTCATTACAGAGTTTTGCCCAGAGGAACGATAGGATTTGGCTTACATGTTAGAGTCACTCATTATTCATAAGTATCTATTAGCAACTCTATTCCTGGGACTGTTCTTGGTGCTAAAGAAGGTACACAAGAAACAGAGCTTTGTTGTAAGGTTTTTTACTCTCCTGATGGGGAAATAACAGGGAAAAGCAGCCACTAGTAACACAGGTCATATAGGCAGCTGTCAGTGTACAGAAAAGGCAAGAAGAAAAGAATACAGAGAAAATGGAAGACTAAGGACTGAAACAGTCACAGAACGCATCAAGGGGAAGACAGAATTTGAGCTGGGCATTAAAGGGTGGTAGTAGTTGGAAGACAGAGAGGAAAATAGTATAACTTAAGGGTAAGGAATGTCTCTGAATATACTGAATTGGATTTGGACAGGTTGGGAAAAACCAGCAAGATTGCAGAAGTCTGATGCTGCAAGAGGCGAAGGGTTACTGATAAGGACAATGAACAGATCATCATGTAACTAGCTAGTAGAAACGTTCCCATTCTCTGCTCTGATATCTTCAACTGGAGCTGAACAGAGTGGCCATATATTTGCATAATGGCCTCCTCCCTTGTTACTTTTTACCAATTAGCTGGGTTTAACAAGAAGCAATTATGACAATTACTTTTAATTACTTCTGCTATTCCCTCCTCACCCTATTCTTCCTTTCCTACCCCTTTGATTAAAAACTCACCCTCATTGTTGTGTAAAACTTTAAATAACTTAGAAGCTTTGAACAAAATGCCAGTTTACTGGAGGATGAGGAAGGGGGCTTCAAGACTGATGGGAACCAAAATTATGTATGATGGTTACTTTTATCTAGCAAACTGACTGGGCCATGGGGTAGCTGATATTCAGTTAAGTATTTTTCCTGGTGTTTCTGCGAAAGTGTTTTGGATGAGATTAACATTTAAGCCAATGGACTAAGTAAAGCAATTGCCCTCCCTAGTGTCAGTGGACCTCATCAAATCAGCTGAAGGTCTAAATAGAAGGAAAAAGCCAACTCTCCCCCAAGTAGGAGGGAATCTCTCCTGCCTGACTGCCTTTTGACTGACATGGGTTTTTTCCTGCCTTCAGACTCACACTGATGCATAGGCTCTTCCTGAGTCTTCGGCCTGCCAGCCTTTGGATTGGTACCACAACAGAGGCTCTCCTGGTTCTCAGGCCTTCAGATTCAGACTGGAACCACACCATCAGCTCTCCTGGGTCTCCAGCCTACCCACTCACCCTGCAGATATTAAGACTGCCCAGCCTCTATAATTGCACGAACCGATTTCTTGTAATAAATCTCTTTCTACATATATACATCCTGTTGGTTCTGTTTATCTAGAAAACACTAATACAGAAATGCATCTGAAAATTTCCCTCCTCTTGCTTTTGGGATGTGGGTTGCCAAGGGGTTGAGAACAGTGAAAGCAGGAGAAGGCTGGAAAGGTGTCATAATACTGGGACTTCTAAAAGCATTTATGGGCTTCCCTCAGGCCCAGAGCAGGGCATTACCCACTCTCATAGGGTTAATAAATGTCGGGGGGAGGTCACAAAACATGAGATTCTTCTAAGTAGCGGCCTATTCACCTTGGGACCTAAGGGACTGCCACTAAAAAAGAAACAGTCTGTACAGTAACAATTGAGTACAGATTGGAAGCCACCTGACCGTGGCACAGCCCTCAGGGAGGAGTGAGACACACAGCTGAATTCAGCCCTTAGACACACGCCTAAAGACATTTCCCTATAATAGTCACAAACATAAATACAATTTCTAGTGAATGCTTACTCAGTTAACAGATGCTGTGCTATGGGCCTTGGGTCCATTGTCTCATGTAATCTTTGCAACAATTCTAGAGGTAAAAATTACTGTCTTCACTTTTCAGATGGGAAAACAGAGGTCTAATGAAATGTATTAGTCAGGGTTTTCCAGAGAAACAGGAAAATAGAATGTGTGTGTGTATACATATATTTATAAACCTCTCTCTGTCTCATATATATATGAGACATATATGGAAATTATCTCATACAACTCTGGAAGCCAAAAAGCCCCATCATATGCCACTGCAATTTGGAGACGCAAGAAAGCCAGTGGTGTAGTTCAATCCAAGTCCATAGGCCTGAGAACCAGAGGAGCCAATGGTATACCAGGCTAAGTCCAAAGCTACAAGAACCAGGAGCTCTGATGTCCTTGGTTCTTGAGACAGAAGAAGGTGGATGTTCCAACTCAAATAGAGAGAGCAAATTAGCCCTTCCTCTGCCTCTTCATTCTATTTAGAGACTCAAAGTATTGGGTGATGTCTGCCCACACTGGTGAGGGCGATTCTGTAACTCAGCAGATGGATTCAAATGTTAACTTCTTCTTGAAACCCCTCACAGTCAACACAGAAATAATATTTTCCCAGCTATCTGGGCATCCCTTAGCCCAGGCAAGCTGACACATGAAATTAGCCATCCTGCAAAGTTAAGAGAAGTTACAGCTGAAGAGACTGAGGGTCCAAGACTAAAAATGTGTTGTAGGAATTGAATGAACTGTTCTCAGAAATGTGTGTAGCCAAATGTCTGGCATGTGATAAGACCTCAAGAAATGAAATTTTTTATGTTCACATTGTCATCATTATCATCACCATTATTATATTCTTCCTTCACTGTACTTTATCAACTACTAATACATTTATCTGGCTCTAATAAGGCTAAAATGCTAAAGGCATCACTCTGTATACGCCCTTTAAATTCAAAGCTACTTAAAAGTGTGTTTGTCGGCCAGGCACGGTAGCTCACGCCTGTAATCCCAGCACTTTGGGATGCTGAAGCAGGCAGATCACGATGTCAGGAGTTCAAGAGCAGCCTGATCAATATGGTGAAACCCCATCTCTACTAAAAATATTTTTTTTTAATTAGCCGGGCATGGTGGCGTATGCCTGTAGTCCCAGCTACTTGGGAGGTTGAGGCAGAAGGATCACTTGAACCCAGGAGGCAGAGGTTGCAGTGAGCCAAGATCGTCCAGCATGGGTGACAGAATGAGACTCCGTCTCAAAAAAATAATAAGTAAAAATAAAACTGTGTTTGTTAAAACTGTGCCACAGGTGTAAGGGATATTTGAGCTTCCTTCTTAGTTCCTTTAAGAAACAAAGATCACCCTCTAGTCTGAAACCCAATTCAAAACCTTTCACCAGGCTGGGCATGGTGGCTCACACCTGTAATCCCAGCACTTTGGGAGGCTGAGGCAGGCAGATCACTTGAGGTCAGGAATTCGAGACCAGCCTGACCAACATGGTGAAACCCCGTCTCTGCTAAAAATACAAAAATTAGCCAGCATGGTGGCATGCACCTGTAATCCCAGCTACTCGGGAGGCTGAGGCAGGAGAATCGCTTGAACCCGGGTGGCAGAGGTTGCAGTGAGTGGAGATCCCGCCACTGCACTCCAGCCTGGACAACAGAACAAGACTCCATCTCAAAAAAAAAAAAAAAAAAAAAAAAAAAAAAGAATTTTCACCACTGTCTCCCAGGTGTCCATGGGTCTTTCCTGTTTCCCAAACATCTTCTGACGGCAGCAGCAACCAAGCTCAAGGCCACCCATTGGCAACTTCAGTAGGGTTTTTCCAGCAGCATCTTTATATTCTCTAACCCAGAACTTACTCAAGGTATATAGTAGGTACTAAATAATTACTTGCTTAATGAAAACTATTTTCAAGCTTTCTCTTCAATCTTGTCTCTCCATGCATTCAAAAGTAATTTAGAGCTAACCATGTGGCTATCATGCTTACGTTGTTTTAATTGTATTTTATGTTTGACATCTACCCAGAAGAAATAGAGAAATATCCTTTAAGTTAATGTTTCTGCCCTGTGCATCATGAACAATGATTACGTTGGAATCATTTGCTAGTCAATGCCATTAATTACTTTTCCTTTTGTGGTGACTGTCATGGTCCTGTTGCTATTTTCCTCTCCAGACAGTAGAATTATACTGAAATATATCTATTAGTCATTACACATATATCTTGCAGGTTGCTTATTCCTGATACCACTTTAGTCCTGATTAAATACAACATGAACTTTGGCTTTGGACAAAGGAAGAGGCAAATCTAGCAGTGTTCCTTGAATTTATGAGGCTGCAAAATGAGTTACTGTGATTTCAGAGAGCACGGTTACCATATTAGGGAAGAAGCTCACGTGACCTTCTCCTCTGGCACTGGTGATCCCAATGGATTCACAGCCAGGGCTTGGCCTGGCTTCTTCTGCAGAGACTGTGATAATGTGCCCTGGGACCTGGATTTTATATGAATGTAGCATCTGCTCTTTGAGCACTGGAGAGAAAAGAGGGAATTAATCTACATTTCTTGATCCTTTATTATCAGACTCATCTCAATACTAAGCATTGTACAACCAACCTAATTCAAACTTATACAGGTGAACAAGTTTTATTTATTTTTTTTAAGACAGGGTCTCGCTCTGTTACCCAGGCTCGAGTGCAGTGTGAGACCTTGGCTCACTGCAACCTCTGCCTCCCAGGTTCAAGAGATTCTCCTGCCTCAGCCTCCTGAGTAGCTGAGATTACGGGTGCCCACCAACACACTGGCTAATTTTTGTATTTTTAGTAGCACAGAGTTTCACCATGTTGCCTAGGCTGGTTTCAAACTTCGGACCTCAAGCAATCCACCCGCTTCAGCCTACCACAGTGCTGGGATTACAGGGGTGAGCCACTGTGCCCAGCCCATGAAAAGTTTTATTAAACATGTTTTAGTAAATCTGTTTAGATGAGGAAGCTAAAGTTCTGATAAGCTAAATAACTTGACCAAGACCACACAGCTGTGACTAAGAAGTAGAGTAGGTTTTGAACCCAGGGTTATGACACCAAAGCTCCACTACTTCTCTGCGTATGGCCAAGAAGCCTAGAGATGAGATACGTGTTAAACAATGAGCTGAAATTTATAAGGACAGTGGTGCAGCTGGAACGGCGCAACAGTGAGAGGAATCTCAGGACCAATCATTAAGGTTATGAGATCTCTTTCTTCCGTGAGTCTCAGAAACCACAGAGTCACAACAGAAAAAGCAGATGATGTGATTGACAACAATCTAGAGTCTGCGTGATAGGTGCAGTGAAATTCCCAAGGTGAGAAATTTGGGGCAAAAAATGAGGGCATGGAGGAGTCCTGTCTGTGTGCAGAGGTAAATCACACCAGGAGGCAGTGGAGACAGACTGGAACATTGTGGAAGGATCTGCAGTCTAAGGAAGTGCGGCTGGATGAGGGTGGGGAGACAGGGAAAAGATAATACAAGCAATACTCTAGGAAAAGGATGGGCGATGTTGTTAACAGGGGGCAAATTTCAGAGTTGGAAATAGTACAGGCAGAGTCCAAAGCCTACCTCATTCTCTAATAAGCTGCTCCTCTCTAGTTATCAAGGTAGAATGATCTGATAAACTAATTGATGCTATAAGTGTCATGGGATATGCTGCCAGGGTTATCTACTTCAGCAGTAGCCTCTTCCCAGACAAAGCAAAGGTACTCGAAAGAGGATTCTTTAGTGATAGAATGACACACACTACCAACAGACACTAAGGGTTGTACTTGTAAGAGCTCGAGTTTCTGGATAAGGATGTTCTTCAGTACTTCCCTCAAATCCTATTACACAAGCAAGGTCTAATCTGCCTTAGAAAGCCTCAGCGCTGCCTGAGGCTCAGCTCTTGAATGGGTTTTGTAGAAAGGTTGTAGCTCTCAATTTGAGTTCCTCTTGCCACAGCCTACAGTCTCCAGGCATCCTCCCCCGCTTTATCCTCCACCCTCACCCTAGGCTGCTCTCCCTTTCTCATCTCTCTCCCTCACTCATCTCTAGCCACCCTGGTCTCTTCTCTGTTTCTCCAATATTCCTTTCTTCCCAAAAGACTTTGCACATGCGATTCTTTCTGTCTGGAAACACTTCCATCGACTTTTCAAGAGTCTGCTGCTTCTCACTGTTCAAGTCTCTGCCTGAAGGTCACCACCTCAAGAAGGCTTACCCAACCACCTGACCTCAAACAGGTCCTGAACCCACTACCCACAGTGCTTATCCCAGAGGGTACTTTGTGTATTTCTTACCCTCCAGCTCTCCCACCAGAAGCGGGGGCTCCTTAAAGCAGGGACTGCTGGTATGTGCTCAGCCCCTCACACAGCCTCACCACAGTAGGGGACCTGATAAATCATAATGGGCTAAATGAGTGCCGGAGTGATCCATGAGTAAGCATCTGAGAGAGGCAGTGGAAGGATGGGGGGGCAAGAGGAAGTGGTTCCATCAGCTGCCACTTACTCTTTTTCTCACAGTATACCTTCTCTTGTCAATTTTTGTTTTGTTTCTTTGAGACAAGGTCTTGCTCTGTCACCCAGGCTAGAGTGCAGTGGCGCAATCTTGGCTCACTACAGGCTCAACCTCCCAGGCTCAAGCAATTCTGCCTCAGGCCCTCAAATAGCTGGGACAAAAGGCACGCACCTCCATGTCTGACTAATTTTTGTATTTTTTGTAGAGACGGGGTCTTGACTTGTTGCCCAGGCTGGTCTCGAACTCCTAGGCTCAAGCAATCTGGCCACCTCAGTCTCCCAAAGTGCTGGGATTACAGGTTGAGCCACCACACCCAGCCTGTTTGTCAGTTCTAATAAAATTTCCCTGTGTGGAAGACTTGTAGGGGAGGAGACAAGAGGGAATTTCTGATTTTCATTGAGTCCCACTGTGCCCTCGGGATGATCCTGGGTCGTACACAGCCCAGAGCCCAACTCTGGCCATAGGAACATTGTTATAGGCTGAACTATTAACTTCCCAAATTCACATGTTGAAGCCCTAACCTCCAGAACCCAAGAATGTGATTGCATCTGGAGATATGGCCTGGAAAGAGATGATTAGGTTAAAGAGGTTGGTAGGGTGGGACCTAACAAAATCTAAGTGGAGTTTGTATAAGAAAAGGATATTTGGTGGTCGGGTGCGGTGGCTCATGCCTGTAATCCCAGCACTTTGGGAGGCCGAGGAGGGCAGATCACGAGGTCAGGAGATCGAGACCATCCTGGCTAACACAGTGAAACCCTGTCTCTACTAAAAAATACAAAAAAAAAAAAAAAAATTAGCCCAGCATGGTGGCGTGTGCCTGTAGTCCCAGCTACTCGGGACGCTGAGGCAGGAGAATCATTTGAACCCGGGAGGCAGAGGTTGCAGTGAGCCGAGATCGTGCCACTGCACTCCAGCCTGGTCGACAGAGCAAGACTCCATCTTTAAAAAAAAAAAAAAAGGATATTTGGGCACACAGAGAAACACTAGGAATGTGCACACATGGAGAGAAGACCACACGAGTTCACAGCAAGGAGGTGGCCCAGCTACAAGGCAAGGAGAGAGGCCTTAGAAAAAAACAATCCCACTGGCCTTGATTTTGGAGTTCCAGCCTCCTGAACTGTGAGAAAATAAATTTCTGTTGTTCAAGCCACCCAGTCTGTAGCATTTTTTTATCGCAGCCTGAACAGACTAATACAAACATTAATAGTCTTATTACATCATGGATAACTTCAATAGACAATGGTAAGTTGGACAGAGCAGACCTCCATCCAGGGAAATGCTGTGGGCGGGGGTAAAGGACACAGATTTTGCAATGATATCCCAAAGCCACCACTTGCTCCCTTGGGCATGTTACTTAACCTGTGAATCCATATCCTCTTCTATGAAATGACACTCATGGAAGGATCACAGGAGATAAGGTTTATAAAAGCATTTTTCATAGTTCTTAAAGGTCACTGCTCAACACATGCCAATGCCCTGCCCTCATCTTTCTGTCCAACTCGGTTACATAGGAGTAGTAAGGCCCTGGTTCTAAGAGAATTGGAAAATGCCAGATAGATTAGTAAAAATTATTGAGTGAAATAAATGCATATAAGCCTGAGTGTGTGCACAAATGCATGGATGAGGTTCCTAACATAAGGCAGGTGTGGCTGTTCTCTGAGCCTATTGTGTAAGTGTAAGCCTGGGATCCATTCTAATGAGTGGTTTTGTGCTATAATTGTAGTTGGATAGTCTGACTAACACCAGAGGCCACAGGTGACCCTGGTGGAACATTTGGAAGAAAAAGCCAGAATTTGATGGAGTACTTCACCAGTTTCCAAATGCCAAATAGAACTAAAATCGTATTACCGGCCAAGTAAAGAAGAATCCAGCTGAATTATTAAGAACATGAGTCATTTTGAGGCTCCTTGGAATTAACCATGTCTCTGAGAATTCACATTCTTTTGTAAAGATCTCCCTTAAATAACTATTTTAGTGTTACCTTTCCAAGGAGAAGAGACCTCTTAAAATCCCTTGGTTCCTGTTGAGCTGCCAGATCCCGAGGTGATCAAACAGGACAACAAGCCAAACTGAAAGAAACAACCAGGCCTTTATTCATTTACCACGAGAGTGAAGGCAAGAGACAAACAGAAAAAGGAAGGAGGGGGAAGAACTAGGGTTAAAAAGTACTGGGTCAGAGTACCCAATGGAGAGAAGAGTCTTAGTCAAGGTCCCCCTATAAGGAACATCTTGGTGGATGTACCTGAAAAGTGCCCCCGCCTCTAGCAGGGCTATAGATAAGGAGGACCCCAAATAGAGATGTCTTGGCTATGAATGCAAATATCTGTAAGTATGAGCAGTAAGTGTGGAGGGACTTGAATCCTTGACTGCACCTCCCTCCTCCAGACACTACGATGTGGGGAGGACAACTCTCTCCCATGAGACCTGCCAGGAAAAGCCTTGCAATTGCCTTTGGTCAGACCTGAGAGATCATACCTAGGACTTCAACCTGGAGCTGGACTCTTCACTATTGATAAGATCTCCACCACACGTTGGTCTGAAGCCATGGGTCTTAACCTTAGAGTCTGGAATTACTAGAGAATCTGTTTAAAACTATAAATCCTCTCCTCTGAAAATGCACATAAATATATTTGGCATAAAATTTCATGAAATTTATAAAACCATGAAGTCTACCTGTAAACCCAAGGTTAAGAAATCCATCACTACAGAAGAACAGATTACTCTGTCAGGGATTTGAATAATATATAGGCCCATGTGGCTTTACTGTGGGATGTCACTAGAGGATGAAATCAGGTAACCTGGCCAGTGACTGCAGAACCACTCTGATAGAACCCCAGAACTGGCTTCACCTGTGATATGGTTTAACCACCATGCTCATTTCTAAAGGTGAACGCTGGTATCGTGTGTGTGTGTGTGTGTGTGTGTGTGTGTGTGTGTGTGTGTGTGTAAAACAACTGATTGAATAAGTTTAACAACCCAGCAAGCACATATAGCTTGTGAGACTCAAGAAATACTTAAGTTGGTGCTCAATAATTGTATTAGTTTGCTTAGGTTGCCATTACAAAATGCCACAGACTGGGTGGCTTAGACAACAGAAATTTATTTATCACCATTCTAGAGGCTGAGAAGTCCAAGATTAAGGTGCCAGCAAGATACGTTTCATTCTGAGGCCTCTTCTCTTGGCTTGTACACAGCCACCTTCTCCCTATATTCTTATATGACAGAGAAAGAGAGAGCTTTGCTTTGCTCTGTCTCTTTTTTTTTTTTTTTTTCTTGAGACAGAGTCTCGGCCTGTCACCCAGGCTGGAGTGCAGTGGCACAATCTCGGCTCACTGCAACCTCTGCCTCCGGATTCAAACGATTCTCTTGCCTCAGACTCCAGAGTATGTGGGATTACAGGCGTGTACCACCATACCCATCTAATTTTTTGTATTTTAGTAGAGATACGGTTTCACCATGTTGCCCAGGTTGGTCTTTAACCCCTGAGCTCAGGCAATCTGCCTGCCTCAGCCTCCCACAGTGCTAGGATTACAGGCATAAGCCACCATGCCCAGCTGGTCTCTCTCTCTTCTTATAAGGACACTAATTCTATCAGCTTAGGCCCCACCCTTATGACCTCACCTAACCTTGCCACCTAAAAATCCGATCTTCAAATACAATCACAATGGAAGTTAAGGCTTCAACATACAAATTTTGGAGGGACACAGTTCAGTTCATCGTCATATTTAAACCAGTTCTTCCTTCTCGACCTCAAAAGGATTTCTCCCACTAAATTGAAAGTCTCTTTGCACTACTGGAGTTGAGCCAACCATGAAACAATGACAAGTTACTTCCAGAGATACCCAATATCCTTGGATTATGTTGAACATTTAGCATAGAACCTACCTATTCTTAATAATGCTTCTTTCTGCAAAGGAAAAATAAAATTTTTTCAAAAATTTTACAGATTTTTCTGCTGGGCTATATATATTGATGGGGAGTAACCACAAATTCACACCCCACTGTGAGATTAGATTATATTCCCACTCTATTTCAGCAAGGTTACAAACCCTACTGAAAGCATAGTGGCCATGCAGGGCAGAAACAGATGTAATATATACTTCACCCTCAAAATGTTTCATGGAGGGCATGTAGTCACCATTGACTTTTTTGGCTCAAGGTAAGATCTTGGTGGAAAACTGCCAAGCCACTGCCCTTTTAATACACATGGCTTATATATATCATCATTTCAGAAGCATTTATATTAAAATAAATGAGATGCATTAAAATCTGTGTGCTACCCTTTAACAAAATTTTTACAAATATCAAGCTCTCCTACTTCTTGAACCCAAATTAGCACTAGCAAGGCCTCATCCTCCTCCAGAGGGTGAGGGTTGTCAGTGCCAAAATGTCCCTTGTATTAGTTCATTCTCTCGCTGCTAATAAAGACATACCTGAGACTGGATAATTTATAAAGAAAAACAGGTTTAATGGACTCACAGTTCCACATGGCTTGGGAGGCCTCACAATCATGGTGGAAGGCAAGGAGCAGCAAAAGCACATCTTACATGGATGGTGGGAGGCAAAGAGGGATTGTGTAGGGAAACTCCCCTTCATAAAGCCATCAGATCTCATGACACTTATTCACTATCATAAGAACAGCATTGTAAAGACCTGCCCCTATGATTCAATCACCTCGCACCAGGTCCCTCCCACAACACATGGGAATTATGGGAGCTACAAATCAAAATGAGATTTGGGTGGGGACACAGCCAAACCATATCATCCCTGAACAATACAGCTTCTCCACTTCTGGAAAATTCATGTTCTTGGGGTGCTTAAAACACTATGATTCACTGCATTTTGCCTGAAAGGTGACTGAAACACTCATAAGACATTATCAGAAAAAAACTAGTTCAATTTGGAAAAATAATACATGGATTCAGTTATAGAAACTCAAAGGAATACATGAATTGGACTGAGAAAACAGTCACAGTAAGAGACCCTCCTCTAGCTCAGCAGCTAAGATTTCTCTGTTTCCATGTCATTAGCTAACATGCTCTAAATAATTTTAATTGTTCATATAGATCAGTAACTGAAGCTTTACAAAGTCCTACATGAAAGGTTGTTTTTCCATAAGTAAGTGCAGGCTTCAAATTAAAAATTCATTCAAAGTTACCAGACGAATTGCCCACCGAAGCAAATAATTGAAATTATCAGAGTATCAAATAAAAATGTTTGTTTACTTTTTTTTTTAATCTATAAAATGTTGCTAACAAAGTAATTTTTAGTTTTCATTTTTAAACTGTCAGTGCTTTTTTCCAGATACCATTCATCCCTGAAAAAAATCATATTTTGGTCTATAATTGCAAAAATTATTTTTCATGGGTAGTTTCATATTTCTAAATGTCACTTCATTTTAATTTTTGTAATTCTATCAATTTCATGTCTGGAGTTCTTCCCTGCCACCTCAGCTGAGCTCACATGCCCACTGGTAGGTGCTGTAGGATTTCCTCTCACAATTATAGCCTTAAGTTATTAATGTTTGAGACAGGAAAAGAGAGAGGAGGATTCTTATAAACGGCTCTGAGCATCTACTGAGGATGAGAAGACTTTAACTAAAATCAACTTCGCTCTTGAGAACACATTTCTCTTTGACGACTGAAACACCTAACCTTGTCATTCAAGTTAAACTCAATTGCTACCATTTTAAAATGTAGCGACTCAGTATTAAACTCAGTCGATTCAAGCCTCTGTTCCTCAGCTCCTTTCTCCCTGGGAATGGTTTTTACTGGTGGGTGGGTTTGCAGCACTGTCCTGGCATCAGGTGTAAGAGGCAACTGGAGTTGGCATCCACAACTGACTTCCTCCAAACCCAATCGAGTTTGCCTTAGGTTCACTAGCTCTGTCCCAGAATGCTGCAACCCACCTCCAGTAGGAAAAGAGGACATAGAATGAAGGGATTGGGAAAATCTAAGTGGCTTTTCTATGCTCTACCTCATACACAGTGAGATCTAGTGTATTAGTCCATTTTCATACTGCCATGAATAAATACCAGAGACTGGGTAATTTATAAAGAAAAAGAGGTTTAATGGACTCACAGTTCCACATGGCTGGGGAGGCCTCACAATCATGGCTGAAGACGAAGGAGGAGCAAAGGGACATCTTACATGGCAACAGGCAAGACAGTGTGTGCAAAAGAACTGTCCTTTATAAAACCATCAGATCTCATGAGACTTATTCACTATCACGAGAACATCATGGGAAAAAACCAGCCCCCATGATTCAATTACCTCCCACCACGTCCCTCCCACAACCCATAAGGACTATGGGGGCTACAGTTCAAGATGAGATTTGGGTGGGAACACAGCCGAACATATCATCTAGATTCTGTGAGACTCTCTCAGCTCATTACCTGGACACCTTACCTATACAGTCTCCAATGCCATGTTGGACATTCTTGGGTCAAGAGGAACAAAGTGTGGTCAACAAGGCTGGGGAAAGAGGAATCTTCAGTACACACTAGCATCCAAACCATGTCTACTTTCTCTCCAAATCTCCTCCTCACTCCCGCTGGATAGACTTTTATCTCCTTTCTTTCACTAAGGTATAATTTACATATAGTGTATGAACAATTCGATTAGTTTTAACAAATGTATACACTTTTGTAACCTATAGTCTTATCAAGATATAGAATATTCTATCACACCAGAAATTTTTCTTATGCTTCCCAACCCCCCATCAATTACCACTCCTAGGCAAACACTTTTCTGATTTCTATCATCACAGATTAATTTTGTGTGTGCCAGAATTTCATATAAACGAAATCATGCAGGGTGTGCTATTTGGGGTCTGGCTTCATCTACTCAGCATCATGTTTTTGAGATGCATGCATGTGGCACTATTAGTAATTTACTCCATTATATTGCATTGTATGAAATTTTTTTCCAATTTCTCCCTTCCATCTTTATTGATTCTCAAGATTTTGCACAGAAAACTCTTTGGGGTCTAGAAGAGCAGTAATTGCATCACAGTTTCCAAGACTTCAAGTTTCAAAAGCAAATCATTAAAAAAAAAAATACAGCTCCTGATTTGAGTTAGATACAGGGACAAAAAAGTAGCACATACTTGAAGGTTACATGGTCTACAAATGGTGGCAATATTTTCCTTGGGAGAGTGGTTCTGTTGGTATGTATTTTTTAAATACTCAAAAGGCTCAACCTCAAGCAGTAATAAACACAAGCAAAAGTGATTTAACCCTTAAATAACTCAGAAAAACCTCTCTGTACATACAAGTGAAACAATATGTAACACTTTCACTCAAAAAAAATTATAATAATAAAGGATTTGTTCATATATGTAGCTGAAATCTGCTGTTCCGGCCCACATGTCCCCAGTAAAGAAGGGAGTCACAGACAACAGGTGACTACTGTGGTTTTCTTACAGCCTTTTTGTACTGGGACACTATCACCACCACAAATTTATCCCTCTTGTTATATTTTTAAATTTTTAAAAAATTTTTTCTTCCTTTTTTGTGTTTTGTTTTGTTTTACAGCATGCCAAATGCTTCACATATGTGATGGCCTTCAACAATCTCTCCTTAAGTTTTTCTTTGCCTGAATATTCTGGAAGTAAAAGCACATTAAAGCAAGTAGGAGATGTAGGTAACCTTTCTGTGTCTGGGCCATTTTTGGCTAGAATCATCACTAATTTTCCTGGTCCTCCCACAGGTGCTCTGTCTGTGCCCACTGTAAACTGCAAGAAGAGTCTTTTCTGTTCATCCATAAATGAATGATTTCCCAGAACTCCCTCATCAGAACGGAGTCCCTGGTATAGCCACCGTCATATTCCGTAGTTTCTTCTAGTGCTTGGAAATCTAGATTCTGGCTTCCACATATAAGCAATTCAATTTCTTCTGGTCTGAGTAAGTACTTTAAGGGAGATTCATTGGACACCGTATGAAAACTTCTCCGAAAAGCCTTGAACTGTTTTTCTACTGATTGAGAATGTAGTCAGAATAAAGATTGACAAATTTCTTCCTGTTTTCATTTGTAATTGGAATTTTATCACCATTTTCCTTTAGAGCATACATCATTGGGTTACCAAAAGATCTGTCTGTGATACCTGGAAAGTGATCATCATGTCATCTTCCACATTCCCTTCATACTCCAATAAATCTTTTAAACTCTGATATAAAACTGGGTGACAGTCTCCCAAGTGATAAAAAGTTCCTTTTTTCCCCATTACCTTCCTGTAGACAACCATGGGAAAATGTACACCCAGTATACAGTTATTGTAAATAGCCAGACCCAGTACTATGCCAATCAGAGTAAACCAACCCTCAGTTTGAAAAGATGGATTAGCCGGGTGTGGTGGCTCACGCCTGTAATCCCAGCACTTTGGGAGGCCGAGGCAGATGGATCACGAAGTCAGGAGATCGAGACCATCCTGGTTAACACAGTGAAACCCTGTCTCTACTAAAAATACAAAAATTAGCCGGGTGTGGTGGTGCACACCTGTAGTCCCAGCTACACAGGAGGCTGAGGCAGGAGAATTGTGTGAACCCGGGAGGTGGAGCTTGCAGTGAGCAGAGATCATGCCACTGCACTCCAGTCTGGGTGACAGAGCGAGACTCCATCTCAAAAAAAAAAAAAAGAAAAAGAAAGAAAAGAAAGGAAGATGGATTAAACCAAAACAATTTTGTAAGTTCATCGTACGTGAACATACCAATATCTGGATTGAAGATTTCCTCCACGACCAGCTGAAAAAATTATTTGGAAACACCTCCCTCACCTTGTTCTCCTTCAAATTCCACATAGAACTGCTTCAAGTCTGCAGGATTTTCCATAGTGATCATCTCTAGCCGGACAAGTGCATCATCTATGATATGGTCACATCTAACAATGAGTCTCAAATATGGATTCAACTGCTGTCCTTGAACTAAGCTGTAGAGAACAGTGATTCTTCGTTCACTGTACATGCGAATTCTATTGTCATAATATAATCCCAAATTCTTTGTGACAGCATACGCTAAAAAGGGGTATGTCATAAAAGAGAATTTGTTCTGTTTCTACTTTGAAAACAGTATAATCTTTATGCATTTCTAGAACCTCCTTCAGTGGTTCATTAATAAACTCTTCAAAAGGGATAAGGGATTTTTGACAATCCAGGGTTTTAACACCAAGTTCATTTTCCAGGGGGTCCACTCAAGGACCTTTCTTGTTTCTTCTCTCTTCTTCCAAAAGCTCCTGAAGTGTCAGCTCACTGGACTCAGGGATGGGCTCTTCATCATCTTCCTCACTGTGATTTGTGTCCACTTCCCCTCCCACTACCATTTGCATAGTAAATCATTTTCAAGCACTTCGAAGCAGCAACAATGGCATCATCATCATTCACCAGATTTTGACTGTTAAATTCGTTGCTTATGACTTTGTAAGTAATAAGTTGCTGAACTGTCTCCATCATTCTCCGAATCTGGTCTGCATTGTATTTAGACCACAGTCTGATCAGCTTTCCTTGGGCTGCAAGGGGTAGCTTGCTCATTGCTTTGCAAAATAATGGCAAAGCCATTTCCAGATATTCAGGACTGTGGAGATTTCTGTTCTCCATTACTATAATGAACAAATTCAGATAATTAGGATCTTGAGAGTATACCTTGTGATACATCAAGTCACATTCCACGTTAGGTGACAAATATACAAGTGCATTGAGAAAGGCAATTTCAATTTTTTCATTAGAGAGCAATCTGGTGTAGACCCTTCTAATGGAATCAGTATCCACAGACACATCATCAGGGCCTAATTTTTGCAAATTGTTGTCTCCCTGTGAGCTATCACCTGTGCTTGAGGAAGATGCTTCTGAGTCTTCTTCCATAGCAGCAGCAGAACATGCAGCTTTTGCCTTTTCATTTTCATTCTTCTCTTCATCCTTTGCTTGAAGAGACTTCAGTTCTTCCTTGGTGTGTTGTTTAGCTTTCCAGAAGCTCTCTACCAATGCCTCAGCACTAGAAAAAACTCTTCCAATAACACAGTTAAGGGGGAATAATCCTCTCTTTCTCTACATAATTCAGTAATTTCATATACCTTCTCTTCTGTTAAGTAAGTCACATCTTTAAAATCTGTATGAAAATTTTACAGTTTATCTAGTCACCTGATAGACATTTAGATTATTCCCAATTTTTTACTACTATGAATAAAATTGCTATAAATGTTTACACACAAATATTTTTGGACATATATTTTTATTTATCTTGGGTAAATTGATCTACTAGCACTATGTGTCCCTAGATAAGGTGTAAACGTGCTGGGTCAAAGGGTAGATGAATGTTTCGCTTTATTAGAAACTGCCAGTTTTCCAAAGTGGTTGTACTTAAGTCTTTTTGGAGGGTAACTGCTCTTAGTACACATCATCTTCTATTCTGTTGTTTAAAAGATAAGTTCTACATTCTTTATCCTCCAAGCAATAGCTGCTTTAAAGCCCCACATATTTTCTTCCCTAAAAAGTTCAGATTTTACAAATACAAAATGCTATCGCTCTACTAAGAATTATAAAAGCTTATTTTAGAACAAAAAGCCAAGGATTTGACTCTTTGTTCACACTGTGTTCTTTCTGGTCTCCCCTTCACTGACAGTCTAAGATTTGTGGCTTAGTTTAAATGGCCAAAGAGCTACAGGGTCACAAGTGGTGAAGAGAAACAAAAACACGAGATCAGATTTTAAAATAATCAGCTAGCAATTTGGGACACCAAGCAATGCCCAATAAACTTGCCGAACAAGTTTATTCTAAAGGTTTGATAACAGCCAATGAACAGTGCAGGAAAAATACGTTGACCACGGCTGGGGACATTTCATTTACTATTTCTGTGGTATTTCCAACAGAGAAACAAGAGAATGAATTTGTCTTTCAGTCAAGAGCTATCACTATCAATGTATTTCTATGATGTTAGGAGAAATCCTGAATATTGCTATAAACGTTATCCCTCTGTATACAGATTAGAGCTATTGGGCTATTTTTTTTTTTTTTTTTTTTTTTTGAGACGGAGTTTCGCTCTTGTTGCCCAGGCTGGAATGCAGTGGCACGATCTAGGCTCACTGCAACCTCCACCTTCTGATTTCAAGCGATTCTCCTGCCTCAGCCTCCCAAGTAGCTGGGATTTCAGGCATCCACCACCACACTCAGCTATTTTTGTATTTTTAGTAGAGATGGGGTTTCACCATGTTGGCCAGGCTGATCCCGAACTCCTGACCTTGTGATCCGCCCACCTCAGCCTCCCGAAGTGCTGGGATTACAGGCATGAGCCACAGCGCCCAGCCCAGGCTATGATTTTTATATAGGCAACAAAAATTTCTTTTAAAAAAATTCCAAAAGTACATATACTAGTCAGTTGCAGTTCTCAAAGAATTATGACTCCCAAAAATTCATGACCTGGTGTAGCTCTTGCCCCTTCAATTGAAGCTGAATAAAGCAGGTTACTTAATAAATACTAGAATTCAGTGGAGGTGATGCTTTGCAACTCTGGAACTGAGCCTTTAGAAGGGCTGGCATCCCTGCTTTGTTGCCACTAGGAGCTCTGCACAGCCATCGAAGTACAGCTATTCTTCCAGAAGGATGATGTGAGGATGACACAAAGAGAAGGAGAGGATGTGAAGGAGAATCGGAGTGCAAGTGACAGTGAGAACTGAGGCCCCAGACGTAATGATCCCAAGTCAGTCATCTGATGTGGTCCAGTCCAGCATATATCACATGGAGCAGAGGCAAGCTGGTCCCACTATGCACCTTGTGAATTCCTGACCCACAGAATAGCAAACAAATAAAACTGTTATTCTTTTAAGCTACTAAACATAGAGGGTGATTTTCATGTAACAATAGAAGTAGTCTTGTGGGGAGTACCTCATAATCAGTTGACTGAAAACGAAAATGTTAGGCCTGATTTACAGATGCTTCTGTATGATAATGCAAGCATCACTCAAAAACAGACAACTATAGCACCACAGCCCCACCCAGGTGTGGCTGTGAGGGACAATAGGAAGTGAAATTCTCCCTGCAGGTAGAGATCTACACTGATTTATGAGAAGTAGCTTAATATTTGACTGATTGGGCAGAGTCTGCCGGGGCGGGGGTTGGGGGGAGAAACATGATTAGAAAAAATGACAAAATAGTTATTGAGAAGGGGAATATAAATGGAGTTCTCTGAATGCCCACCATGTAAAAATGTTCAGATTCCATGTGACTGTTCACTGAAGAGCTATCTCAGCAGAGGAGGATCTTATTAATAACATGGACAAGATGACCTAGCATGTGGATATCCATTTGGCTCTTTTCCACATCATCCCACTTCTTGCCCAACAACCTCATTAATCAATTGGTCACAGTGGCAGGGCTGAAGGGTATACATGGGCTCAGTAAGGTGGATCCAATCCAGCCACTGCTGAGTGCTCAATCTGCCAGCAGCAGAGGCCAGCCCTGAATCTCTGATGTAGCCTCACTACCTGAGAGAATCCTCTAGTCACCTGGAGGCATCATGGAAGGGGCAGTGGTTTGTTCCCACTGGAAAAGACACTTACTCTGCATGTAAATGTGCCTTCCCTGCCTACAACGCTTCTGCCAAAATCAGTGCTTGTAGACTCAGAGACGGCCTCATTAATTATCAAAGTGTCACACACAGCCTTGTTTCCAAACCAGGAGATCATATTCCATCAAATAAAATATGACAATAAGCTCATATGTATAGTATTGACTAGTCTTACCATGCTGCCAATCAGCCACCAGTCTGAAAAAACAACTGAATAACCTTTGGGAAACTTAGTTATGACACCAGCTTAGGGACAACACTTGGCAGGGAAGTTATAGCTAGTTATATCATATTACATAATAAGGAATTAAACTTTTAGTTATTCCGCTAGGAAAGAACGATGACCACCAGGAATGGGCAGAGGAAGAAGGAAATTATAACACCAGTTAAGCCTGTCTGTCCAGTTATAAAAACAAAGACTAGCAATTCTGGCTATTGTTTTTCTTACTTTCATATAAATACCTGTGTATATATTAACCAATTATGTTCCTTTCTTCCCCTTCTCTCATTAAGCTAGTATTGATCATCAGATGTGTTAATAGTTGGTTAGTCTTTTATCTCAGTATTCAGGTTACAAGATATCAAAGGAAAAGTGTGATGCAGCTTAAAGGGTAATAACAGTGCTGGAGAGGATGTGGAGAAATAGGAACGCTTTTACACTGTTGGTGGGACTGTAAATTAGTTCAACCATTGTGGAAGACTGTGGCAATTCCTCAAGGATCTAAAACTAGAAATACCATTTGACCCAGCAATCCCATTACTGGGTATATACCCAAAGGATTATAAATCATGCTGCTATAAAGACACATGCACATGTATGTTCATTGCGGCACTATTCACAACAGCAAAGACTTGGAACCAACCCAAATGTCCATCAATGATAGACTGGATTAAGAAAATGTGGCACTTATACACCATGGAATACTATGCAGCCATAAAAAAGGATGTGTTCATGTCCTTTGTAGGGACATGGATGAAGCTGGAAACCATCATTCTCAGCAAACTATCGCAAGGACAAAAAACCAAACACTGCATGTTCTCACTCATAGGTGGGAATTGAACAATGAGAACACTTGGATACAGGAAAGAGAACATCACACACCGGGGACTGTCATGGGGTAGGGGGAGGGGGGAGGGATAGCATTAGGAGATATACCTAATGTAAATGACGAGTTAATGGGTGCAGCACACCAGCGTGGCACATGTATACATATGTAACAAACCTGCACGTTGTGCACATGTACCCTAGAACTTAAAGTATAATTAAAAAAAAAAAGGGTAATAACATCACCCAGAGATGGATTAGATGACACATGAGACTTTGTATCCTTTTGGGGCAAGAAGGTTAGCAGGTGTTAGGTTGTTTGGGGGGTGGTTGCATCAAGTTAGAAAGTTAAATATATGTTAAAAAGGTATATATGGTGCCAAGTTAACAATGGGTTGACTACGTAGTTTTATGCATGCCAACTGGTCTACTAGCACTATGATTCCCAGAATTATCTTCTGGGAAACCTGAGCAAGATTTGGAAGGCAGAAGTGAACGGCAGCCATTGACTCTTCAAAGACCATCATTGTTAGTGCAACAAGGGATAGAAGCAGAAGTGCTGGCAGATTCCAGCCCTCATTCATGTTTTCCCTCCTCTGTATCTAGCTCTTCTTCCTGACTGCAAGCTTTGCTGACTGTGATAGGTAATTTTATGTGTCAACTCAGAGGGCATTTTGAGATGAAATTAACATTTAAATCAGTGAACTATTAGGTAAAGTAGATTGCCTTCCACAATGTGGGTGGGCCTCATCCAATACGTTAAAGGCCTGAACTGAACAAAAAGATCAGCCTCCCTGAGCAAGAGGAACTTCTCCAACAGACTGCCTTCAGCCTTTATCTGCACCATCAGCTCTCCAGGATCTCAGACTTGCCAGTCCCCCTGCAGATTTTAGACTTCCCAGCCGTCGTAATCACGTGAGCCAATTCTATAGATAGAAAGATGGGTGGATGGATGGATAGATAGATGATAAACAGATGATAGACAGATGGAGATAGACAGATAGATAGATGATATACAGATAGATGATATACGGATAGATGGGTAGATAGATAGGCAGGCAGGCAGATAGATCCTACTGGTTCTTTCTCTCTGGAGAGCCTGAACACACGGGCCAACAATCTTTCCAGGCCCATAACCAGATGCAAAGGCAACAACAGGGTTCCCAGGCTCCTTCCCAGTTTCATTCCTCAGCTGCTGCCCCTGCCTTCCCACATTCCTTTGTGAACTCTGCCCTTGTCCACTTGCACTAGCATTTCAAAAGGCACGGTTATAGACATTTCTCTGATCCTCCAACCCCTCCTTGTAAACTATACTTCTCCGGCCCCTTCCATAATGGTATAAGGCTTTATTACTATGATAAATCCCTTATTCTATAAAACTCGTAATGGTTCTGCTGTCTTTATTGTACCATGACTGATACAATATATTACCATTTTGTGCAAAAGAAATTGTGCTAACATTCTCAGCATAGGCAGTAAAGCACTCACACTGTAAAATGGTTCTCATTTCTTGTCCCATTCATCCGCTCATTCATTCACTGAGGAAACATTTGCTGAATACCTACCATCGGCCAGGTGCTGTTCTAAGACAGCAGACTTAAAATACACAAAGGGCTGTGATGTGAATATGATCAGCATCTAGAACTATAACCACTGAAGGGAAATTGCCAGGAGGAGATTTCAGTTCAATATTAAGAACTTTCTGACAATTAAAACTGCCTCAAAGGAATGGCCTCTCTGTTCTAAGGTAGTAAAGGCCTAGTACTACAGAAATTACCTAGCAACTTACTTACTTACTTCTGACACATCAGAAGCCCTGATGCATCAGTTAGCAGAGTTTGAATATTCACCAGGTTCAATTTTATATTTATATTTGATGATTCCAATATATTATATGCTATCTGTGAGATTTTGAGACTCTATATTCTGTCTGTATTCTAAGGTGACTATGAGATATAGTAGGATTATATAGTAGTCTCAGAATAATACCAAAAAGGGAAGAGAACAGGTGTCTTTTGTTTACCATATGCCAGGCAATATTCATTAGTTGTTTTATAATCCTCCCAAAACTCTAAAAAGTAAGTGTTATTATCCCCTCTCTATGGATAAAGACACTGAAATTCAGCAAGTTATAGTGACTTATCCAAACATCTCAGCCACCAATCAGAAGAAACTGAAAACTTTCTGACCCCAAACCTATGTTTTTTCTTATGCTGTATCACCCTCAAGTTTCAGCATTTTTATGTAAGAATTAGTATGGGTCGGGCACAGTGGCTCACGCCTGTAATCCCAGCACTTTGGAAGTCCCAGTCAGGTGGATCACCTGAGGTCAGGAGTTCAAGACCAGCCTGACCAACACGGAGAAACCCCATCTCTATTAAAAATACAAAATTAGCCAAGCATGGTGGCGCATCCCTGTAATCCCAGCTACTCGGGAGGCGGAGGTTGCGGTGAGCCGAGATCGTGCCATTGCTCTCCAGCCTGGGCAACAAGAGTGAAACTCTGTCTCAAAAAAAAAAAAAAAAGAATATGATTACTATTCATAATTATTGTAAGATTATTAACTTTCACATAATAAAGCATAATTCCCCATTTTTCAGGTCAAATCTTAATGCATGCATATTTCAATATATCTTAGAATATATATTGTATTAAATATATTAAGACAATAACACTACATCATTTGTCAAATGTTTTGTATGTTCCAACCACTCCAAAGTGCTTTACATTCTCAATTCATCCTCACAGGAGTCCTGCAAATGGAGATATTTTTTAGCCTTATCCTACAGATAAGAACAATGAAAATCAAAGAGGCTAAGACATGTTTCTAAAGTTGATCAGCAACTAGAAAGTGGCAAGGCTGGAATTCCAATTTTGTTCTGGTTGACTTTGAAGCTCCTTTTCCATGTTCTGGGTACCCTGGCTTACTCTCTCCCTTGGGCTGGGGCGGGGATGGTAGATTTTTCTTACCATATTTTGCAAGATGACTTGCTCTTTCTCCTATATCTTCCAAGATTATTTGCTGCCTTCTCCCTCTGGTTGTCTCCTTAAACAGCTTCTTGTTTATTTCTATAACAGTTTCTACTTTCAGCCCCATTTAAAATAAAAATTAGGAAGACTCACCCCATCAAGCCATTTCAATATGTGGAATTGGTTGAGCAAATAAAAAAAATTTGAGAATACTGAAGTTGCCATGGATGACATATTACTACCATTCGTTGTAATTTAGGTGTTGTAAGCTTTTTTTGTTTTTTCCACTTTGCTCAATCAAGCACTCCTAACTTGATGGTCTTGCTTCTAGCTATGATTCAAATCCACGGAGGATTTCATTTTGACTTTAAACTATAGCTGATTTGCTGTAGGAGATGCTTAAGACAACCAGAGATATAAATTGCCTCATCTACCGCCAAGGGAAAAATGATTGTATCTTGTAATATGAACCTCAGGATAGGGACGAGCTTGTTGGCTATATACTCCTGTTACCAACATCAGCTACAAAGAAGAAAAATAGAATTGAGGAGAAGATCATTTGTTTTCAGCTCATTACAGGGAAAGGAAAACTACGTTAGTATATATGATTCATACATAAAGAGGAACATATACATAAACACACAGTGGGAGAGAAGCAAGCTAGCATTTATTAAGTCTTAATATATACCAAGAGCTTCAGGTATCTTAAACAACCCTAAGAGATTTGGTTATTTCCATATTATGAAGGAAAGAATTGCAAAAACAAAAAAATCTGAGTTTATAAACCCCTCCTAAAGTCCAGATTTTCTGTACCATATTCTATTGACTTTATGTACAATCTTACATAAATTCCTCTTAGAAATTCTGAGATCGTTGTATATCACTTACCTTTAATATTTCAGAATGAAAATAAAGTCATGAATCTCTAAACGGGACTTCAGATTCATCTGCAGCCTCTACCAATTGTTCCCTCTTCTTTAGTTTTTCTTACCCTGTTTACAAGTGCCCCTATGTTTAAGTCTTGACAAAAATTGTTTGGAAGCTTTGATGTTTATATTGAAAGTGCATAGAAAAAAAATTTGTTTCTCCCACTTAGAAAGCATTAGAAAACTTCTAGCTACCTGGAGATGACATCTATTGTTATGAGGAGCCCAAAGCCCATCTCACTTGATTTGGGGGCAACATCTTGCCCTCCTGTGGAAAATCACCCTCCTCCTCGCTGGTGGTGTTGATGGAGTTGTCATTTAGGATGCCTCCCCTTTCCTGATTCAGGGGCAATAAACTAGGTCGGATTCTCCCTGTCCCCAACAAGGATTCAAATATCGTGCAGCAAACTTCAAAGACAGAAAACATTTGTAGCAGATTTATCCCAAAAGTGATGCTCACAGACACTGTCCATTATTCTCCTCACTCTGCCCACATGCTTGTCCCACTTATTGCTTATTTATTTATCTTTTTCTTTGGTTCTGTGTGCTATCCCATATCCTCCCATTACATTCCTTTATTTTTCTCTCCCTGTTATTAGCTAGAGGTAGCTTCTGTTGCCAGCAACCAAAGTGCCTGAGCTGACCATCCAACCATTGATAGGATACGTAGAGCCCCAGTTAGACATTTACAAGTCACTGCCTGGGACAAATTGTGACACTGGGCTCCCTGGGTCTCTCTTTCCTGGATGCTTGTGTCTCCTTCCACCTGTGTTTACAGGATGTGCACTTTCATTATCAATTTGCCGTGGTCAGCTAATCCCTTCTGAGATGATAATGCATGATAATAGCTAAAGCTGCATCACCAAAAGAGATTTTATTTCAGTAGGAAGCACAAGAAAACTAGAAAATGTGGCCGGGTGCAGTGGCTCATGCCTGTAATTTCAGAACTTTGGGAGGCCAACGTGGGTGGATCACTTGAGATCAGAAGTTTGAGACCAGCCTAGGCAACATGGTAAAACCCTGTCTCTACCGAAAAAAAATACAAAAATTAGCCGGATGTGGTGGCACACACCTGTAGTCCAAGCTACTCGGGAAGCTGAGGCACCATAATCGCTTGAACCCAGAAGGCGCAGGTTGCAGTGAGCCAAGATCCCCCCACTGCACTCCAGCCTAGATTACAGAGTGAAACCCTGTCTTAAACAAAAACAAACAAACAAAAAAGTAGAAAATGTGGCAGACACAGAAGAGTGAGACACTAATCGTGGAATTCCACATATGCTAAGAAAAGATGTACAATAAGTCATCCTGTGTAAACAGTGTCTTCCAAGACTCTCCACAATTCATGGAATTTCCCACTCAAGGACTCTGTGTCAATTTTTAATGAACCAGTTACTGAACATTGTACCTAAGACCATGACAACTTATGCTCAGCCATTCCATGCTCTTCCATACCCAGTGCAGACAAATTTATTGGGGTTTAATTCAAAATGTGCAAAAAAGAAAAATTTGCAAATTGTTTTTAAAAAGGTACCATCTACTCTCACTATTAGGAGCAAGTTTTACTACAGATTGCTCAAATAATAAATTCCTGGGATTGAGGCCCGTCTACATTACCTTGTGGTGCTTCTTTTTCTCTGTACACACTCACAGCGTAATCAGAGTAAACTACTGCAATGCATACCATCTTGCAGATGTTTCATTATGTTCTTCTATGAGATAGGCTTCTTAACCAAGGACAAGAGAAATTGTCAATTAATACCTGTCTCATTTAATCTGCAGGTGAATAGAGGGCTCAGACAGCTGTGTCTCCTCAGGGGCTTCTAATTAAAAAGGATTAAGAATATATATCCCTGCCGAGTTTCCCAGATTTCTCAATACAATCACTTTCACTCCAAGAACGTTGGCTACAGCACTATCCTATAAATAAATACCAGTCATATTTTGAGAAAGACTCAAATCAGATAACTAGAATTGCAAGCATGAAGTCAGTTCTAAATAGGTTCTGGACCCTAAACACTACAGATTCCTACTTTCCACTTTATCCCAGGCCCCTACCTGGAAAACGCTCCCTCCCCTCTGTTCAATTAAATCGTCCATGTCCTTTGAGGCACATGTCATTCCCTCCATGAAAGGTTCTGTGACCCACTGACCTCATGGTACATCCCTCTCCTGGGACCCATGAATCCCCTGAAATTGCAAGAGTCTCTTGAGGCACTTAGCATAGCTGGTCACACACTCTGACCTCGAGGCAAATCCCAAGGCTTCTCTCCTCCTGTTTAGACAATCTATAAAAAATATCCTTGGACCCTGCCAGATGGTCCGGGGATATTTTGAAGAACAGAGGTACAATTAGGGCACAGAGCTGACAGGGCACAGGAAGAAGATGTTTAGCTGGAGGAATAAAAATGAGGTGAATAGTCTGTTTTTAAAAAGATTTAAAAGGATTTTCTTCTCTTGTGTGTGGCGTAGGCTATAAGTAAAATTTATCAGGTCAAGATCAGCATTTGGTGTAACCTTGATCTACCTCTAGTCTAAGTCTAAATTTACAGGGATACAGAGAGCCCTTGAAGCTGGGCATGATTCAGACTAGCAGCAGGGTTGGAGTCTCCAGAGAAACTAGGTCCATAGGTAATAAAGAATTCCTTACACCTGCAGGGTTCTGTACATGGCATCTATCTAGGATAGAGGCTGGAAGCTGAAGGGAGATTCAGGGAGTCCTGGGTTCTGCTTCTGGCCGAATCCCATCCTATTAAAAATCATACACCACCTTGTAGAGTTAGTTGTCTATTTTAAACTCTTTCTAATTTTACTAATAGATTGGAAACCCCTTGAAGAGAATTATCTCCCTAGCAACCATTTATCATGCCTTCCACATAATAAATGTAAAGTGCTCAATGGTTTAAATTAGAAATGACTTCTTAGTGAAAAAAAAAAATCACATGGAGAAAAAGAAATATCCTAACCAAAATATCCTGCCCAACAAGTAAAACAGGCAATTTAATACAGCTATGCACAGTAGAACTCGCTAGAATAATTGCTTCCCAGACTGCAGGCTCCAAGGGGAAAGAATCACCTTTGTGCCCGCCACAGAGGAGATCAACAAATAACTATACTTAACTAATTAACTACAAGTAACTCAAAAGTTGTATTTCAACACCCCCCATATTAGTTTTCTATTGCTACTGCAACAAATTACCACAAACTTAGTGGCTTAAACTGACACAGAATTATTGTCCTATAGTTCTGTAAGTCTAAAGTCTAACTGGACTAAAATCTAGGTGTCAGGAGGGCTAGGTGTCTAGGTGTAGGGCTAAGTTCATTCTGAAGGCTGGAGGGGAGAATCTGGTTCCTGGCCTTTCTCAACTCCTAAAGGTGGCCTGCATTCATTGGCTCATAGCCCCTCCCTCCATCTTCAAAGCCAGCAGGGTAGCATCTTCAAATCTCTCTCTGTGACTCAGACACTTTTGCCTCCCTCTTAATAAGGACAATTGTGATTACAGGCAACCACAGTAATCCAATAAAGCTTCCCATCTCAAGACCCTTAACTTAATCTCATCTGCAAACTCCCTTTTGCCATGTTAGGTAACATATTTGCAGATTTCAGGAATTAGGATGTGGACATTTGGGGGCCATTGTTCTACCTACCACCACTCCCCCACCACAAACACACACACACACACACACACACACACACACAAACACACAAATGACTATGTGGCAATGTCAGACATTTGTGAAGCTCCCCAGTGCTGATAGAGGATTTTTAGAATTTTTCACATTGCTCCCATCAGAGAGATAAAAACAGAGCAAAGGAAAGATGCCACTACCCCCACCTTCCAGGGGAGAGCGGGTACATGTCTTCTCCTCTGTGGCCAGCCTCTCCCTTGACTTCTTACACTGCGGCTGCAACTACAAAGTTCATCGCCAACTGAAATGTATTAATCAAATAATTTTTATATGTGATAGGTGGTTATGGGAACCTCTTTTATAAAGGAAACGAAGTTAAAACCAGAGGATCACTTAAAATTGGGGTGTACCCACGTTTATTTTGTCAAGCTCCAGCATCTGTAATCCCAGATATTTGGGAGGCTGAGGCAGGAGGACTGCTTGAGCCCAGGAGTTTGAGGCTGCAGTGAGCTATGATCATGCCACTGCACTCCAGCCTGGGCCACAGAGGAACACTCTGTCTCTAAAAATGAAAAAGAATATTTTATCAAGCTCAGCATCCTGAATCCCACTCAGAAGGCTACTGCCCCCATGATTCCTTAGGGCTTTAGCCTCAGAGTGAAGCAATGTGGGAGCCTTCCCTAGAAAAATCAAATTTCTATGATTTGGTTTTTGAACAAAATAAGTAACAGAGGAGAAGAAAGAAAAACAGAGAAGACCAGAGGAGAAGAGGAAATGAGAGGGAAAGGAAAGGGAGGAGAGGAGGAAAAAGAGAGATGGTAGATAAAAATTTTCAGGGCATGCTTCCTTAGGAAGCAAAAACTTAGGCAACGCTTGCATCCGGTTTTCCTGAGGAGTGCAACACACTGGAATCTGGAGTGGAGGAAAGGACAGTAGAGTGGCAAAACATAGCAAATAGAAGGGTATCCTCTCCCAGCTGGGCACATCTTCAAAATCAAGTATATCGTGCCTATCACATGGACAGCCTCCAGATGCTACCCGGAAACTAGAACCACATGGGGAGGGAAGGAGAGCAATTGATCTGTAGGCTTGTTCTTGTCTCCCATTCTCATCAGTCCAAGTTCATATAAGTTGTGTTACCTGGTCGCTCTGGGAAGCCATTGGGAAACCAGACATCACTCCCTGAACACAGTCTTTATCTCAGTTCTAAAGGAGTAGGAAGGCCAGAGCCCTGTGAGCCTGGTCTTAGCTAACTCCAAGTTCAAACTCAACTGATCCACTGTCTCTAGGGATGCCTTTGCAGGACAGACCTTGATGGAAGCATGGGACCTCAAACCCCCCTGGTCTGTCTTTAGCTACTACATTCAAGGCCCCAGGAACTTAGTTAAGACAATTCATCCCCAGGGAAACTAGCTGGGCTTCCATCTTGCTTCTTCTTGGCCACAGGACCAAGACTCTATCACTTTAGTGCTGGATATGCTGTGGTTCTACATCCATGAGCACAGTGGAGGTCACAACAGCCACATTGCATAGTCACAGTGAGCTCTGTGATGTGTAGGAAGTGAGCCAGGGGCACAGCTGCCCAGAGAGCCCTTGCCACAGAGGAAGTTATGGTTCAAGACTTATGGGAAAGAAAAGATGTAACATGGGGCACTGAGAGGCACATAAAATTGGACCCGATACCAAACCCAAGCACACAGTAACTTGTACATAACACCAAATTATGCCATGGCGATGAAGTGCTTTGAATTTCAGTGGGAAAAAAATCTCCCAAAGCTGAGGGGACAACGACAGCATCAGAGAAGCAGCAGCTCTCAAGCTAAGCTATGAGGGAGAGCTTGTAATAAGTAATTCCCAAAGATGGAGGTTGCGTAATCACGCTGTAATCACATAAGTGCATCAGGTGCTGTCCTAGAAACTTTCCATTAAATAGTCCATTTAATCAACCGCTCTGTCTGGGAGAGTTAAGGATGTCATTCCCATTCAACTAATAAGGAAGCTGACAATACAGTTTAGTGGAGGTCATTCAAAGTAGCAAAAAGAGCTAAAGATGTGGAAGAGTTGACGGCTCATTAAGGAGAAAAGAAAAATATATTTTTAAGGGGTAGATAACCCCCAGACCCAGGAGGGTCTTCAGAGCTGGGCTGTCGAGTTGGAACATTATTTGGTGACAATGAGGCAAGCAGGGAAGGGTTATCTACTGAGGAATGACTTGTGTATAAAGTTTCAGAAGATAATCCTGCTGGTGGCATGAAGAACGAAGGCAGAGACCAATGGAAAGATAATCAGACTTCTGTCTTCCATGTAGAAGACAGAGGCCCTGGTGACCCTGAAAACTTGAAAGTTGACAAGATGGCAGGAAGGGTGAAGACAACCCCGGGGCTCTTCCACGAGCATATCACAGGTGGCCCAGTGCAACTGAGGGGAACTACATTCCCTATTTGTCCTTCTGCACTGATTGTGCAAAGCTCTCACCATGAGACCTGGCTCACCCAAAGGCTATAGACTAGTGTGAAACTTTCAACTCGCTGTGACTCTCCCAAAGACAGAGTGCATGAGGGCTCAGGACCAGCCCTGCCTTAATCCTCACATATCCTTTGTAGTCGCAGAATCATATCACTTGGCACTTCCATTTCCAAGCAGTTCTAGAACTTTCCAGGTGCACTTGCTAATTATCACAGACCACCGGGTGCTGGGAGAAGCAGCTACGGTGATCACAGCCATGAGCAGAGCACAGTTGGGCCCAAAACTAGTGGCTGCATGAAAATGAAATGCAGAAGACCTGTTTCTTTGCAATATGTTATTATATTCACCAGATAAACATGAAGCTCATGAATTATCTTTCATTCGGTAAGATTAGCAACTCTTAGGAAATGATTTCCTACCTGGGATGAGAAAAAATCTAATTTATTATAAATGAAATATGCAACCCTATATGCAAACACTTATAGGAGATGGGTTTGTATGAGCTTTGTGCTGTTACAGAAAGCTAAATTTCCCTGGAGACTCTGAAAAGGTTATCACACGTGGTTTCTTACTGTCAGCCTATGGGCGAGGCAGGGTCTGTGAGGAATGGTCTCAAGCAACAGCCTCTCTTAGGAGCCAGTAAACTGCACTCTCTGGAGTCTGCTCCCCACCTGCCCTCATGCCCTTCTTCCCCTCCTCAGCAATCACAGTTCCAAATCAGTTCCTCTCACTTCCTTCAAGTCTTGCCCCTCACCTCCATTTGAGAATTCAAAGTAGAGTTTAGATCTTTTACAGGTCTGCTGGAGAAATTGGCTCTGAAAACATGACTTAAATTAGAGCTTAAGCAACCAGAGAAAAATATTCAAGACCTAGAGAGAATTTCAGGAGAACATTTATACATATCCTGTTATAGTATAATAGGTGGAATGGTGGTCCCCAAAAATAGGGTCACGTGTGGTGGCTCATGCCAGTAGTCCCAGCATTTTAGGAAGCCAACGTGAGAGGATCATTTGAGCCCAGGAATTCAAGACCAACCTGGGCAACACAGCAAGACCCCATCTCTACAAAAAAAAAAAAAAAACTAGCTGAATGTGATGCTGCATGCTTATAGTACTAGCTGCTAGGGAGGCTGAGGCAGGAGGATCTCTTGAGCCCAAAAGTTCGAGCCTACACTGAGCTATGGTCACACCACTGCACTCCAGCTTGGGTGACAGAGGGAAACCGTGTCTCAAAAAAATGAATAAAAATGAAAAAGATACGTTCCCATCCTAATTCCCAAAACCTTTAAATGTTAATTTATTGGGGAGAAGTATGTTTGCAGTTGTGATTAAGAATCTTGAGATAAGATGATCCTGGATAATTAGGTGGGCCCTAACTTCAATGACAAGTGTCCTTATAAACAAAGGGCAAAGGGAAATTTGAGACAGAAGAGGGGAAGACACAGAGAATAGGAGGAAGCAATGTAACCATGGAGGTGGAGATTGGAGAGATGCAACCACACACCCAAGAATGCCGACAGCAACCAGAAGCCAGAGGGGCAATGGATGGAATATCTTCTGGAGCCTCTAGAAGGAGTATAGCCCTGACCCTGACAACAACCCCATTTCAGACTCCTGGCCTCCAGAACTCTGAGAGAATAAGTTTCTGTTTTAAGCTACATAATTTGTGATAATTTGTGACAGAAACCACAGAAGACAAATACACCTGGTTTTAAGCAGACAACTTAAACCATTGTTAATCATTTCTTCTTCCACTGCCTGCCGTGCCATATACACAGGCCTATACACATTAACAACACTACCGCCAATACCATCATCTTCTGAAAAGTTTTATTTGCATGTCGCTCTGCAGATAATAACCCTTCAGTGCCAGCAGAAGACTCAGTATGGGATTCTTGTTGAAATTGGTGGGAAGAGAGGACTGGGGATTAGTGGGAGCTGTCGGGAGCTACCTTGAGACCACAGAGGGACATCAGGCTGAGATCAGAATCAGCACAGAAAAGAGCAGAACTGAAAACAGAGACATCAAGGCAACACCCCAAAACACCCCTGGAACCCCCGAGCTTTTCAGTTAAGTGAGATAATATGTCCTTGCTTTATTAATTTGAGTTTATTGACCTTTTTTTCACTTGCAACTGACTTGATTCAGGACACAAAGCAACGCAGACCCCAAGAACATAAGCAATGCCTGAGGTTTTCTGTGAGAACAGCCTGAAAGCCAGTATCTATTTGAGTGATGACTCTCATCGGTTTTTGGTTTTAAAGTTAGTCCAAGAGAAAGTGAAAGAACAAATCAAAACATGAATTTTATCTGTGGTTCAGTTTTCTATGATATCTCCCCACCCAGTCCTGGCTACTGTGGCTTTGAGTCACCCATCTTTTCAGTTCAAAGTTGGTAATTCAATCTTGCCTCCTATCAGCATCTCTAGCCAATCCTCCAGCCTTCAGGGAAATGGTGCACAAAGTAATAGCTTTGTTGACATGGGAAAAGAGGAGCAGAACGTACCAAACATGACGTTAACTAGGTAAAGACATTGCTTCATGTCCTGCTGGAAACAATGGTCAAGTTACATTCCTCTTATCTGGAGCCAGAATCCGTCCAAGCTGTTAGCAAAGATACTCAATGTTTGTGATATGTATGGCACTTTATAGCTTATGAAGTGCTTTCTTTTTACATTTATTTTTATTTTTCAATAAAAATGGGGTCTCACTATGTTGCCAAAGCTGGTCTCGAATTCCTGGGCTCAAGCAATCCTCCCACCTCAGCCTCCCAAAGTGCTGGGATGACAGGCCTGAGCCATCGCTCATAGCCAAAATGCTTTCTCATCTATTTTCTCATTTAATTTTCTCTACCTCCAGCCTTCTAATGATAGGCAAGGACAGAATGGTACCCTGGCCTGCTGCAGATGAGGAAACTGAGGCTCAGTAAAGTTGAGTGGTTTGTTCTAGGCCAAAGAGCTAGTGACTCTAAAAACAAGACCCATGCAATCATGATGTAACAATGAATCTAAGGAATACTTCCTTTGCCTCAATAAGAACAATGAAGCTTTGCATCCCCTCCACTATCTCCCAAGTCACTAAACAAAGGCCTGGGTAGGCTTTTCTTTTTTGACTTGGCTGACTACTGTGGTAGATGAAGAAAGAAATAAGTCTATTGCATGATTCCAGAGCTGAGAAAGCCCTATGTCCCCAACTACCTCCTCCCCACCCCAGCTCCCACTACATCTGAAACTGGAGCAAGAGAGCCTTTTATTCCACCATTAGAGATGGACTGAAAAAAAAAAAAAAACTGTGTAACATCAAGCAGGAATTCACCATTAACTGTGAAATCACCCCACAATCATCCCTTTCACCTACATTTCCAATGACTTCTCACCAGCCTTCCATTTTACTCTTCCATCACCCCCTGCCCCCAAATGCAAGGCTTCCTAAGAGCAGACTTGAATGTGAGTGAGGGCAGCAATGAAAACTGCAGGGCACTGGGCATTGGGAGTATGTGTGTGTACAGGGGTGGACAGCCAGGGTAGAGAGAGGTGGGCTGGGAAAAAGGAGGGAATAATCCAGGTACCCTTTACTGCACCAGCTGCCACTTACACGTCATCTTATTTGATGCTGATGACCCAGCTCCTTTATGGAAGGCATTATTTCCTTCCCTGTGTAAATGAAGAAATCAAAGCTCTGGAAAGTAAAATAAGTTGCTCAGTTCAAGAGAAAATGACCAACATGACTATGTATGCACGATTACGTAAGAGAAGACTGTGATGCCCACCTTGCTAGGAGACTGTGTCTCCTTTGGTGGCTTTGAAGAAGCAAGTTGCCATGTTGTGAACTGTCTATGGAGTGGGCACGTGTCAGTGGCCCTTGGCTGATAGTAAGAAACTGAAGCCCACAATTCAACAGCCTGCCAGGAACTGAATTCTGCCAATAATCATGCATCCTTGGAAGCAAATCCTTCCCCCGTTGAGCCTTAGATGAGACCATAGTCCTGGTCAACACCTTGATTGCGGTTTTACAGAGGATCCAGCTAAGCCATGCCTGGACTCCTGTCCCATAGAGTTTATGAAATGTGTTAGTGTTTTCTTGGCATGATAGAAGAAGCTGAAAAGATACGTATCAGACAATACAGGAAGATAAGCATAGGAAGTGAATTTTCACCAAGGACTACTCAATTCTACAGTATTCCCCTGGCTTTTTGGCTCTTGCTTGCTTTTATAAAATCTGTCCCACTTGTTTCTTTTCTTGCAACAATAATAACAGTCCATGATCATTAATCAATTTCCCTTCATTTTAAGCCAACACAGTTGTGGTAAAACAATGTTTTGCAGTTGAAGGTGTACAAAGTTTGCAACCGTTTAAAACACCCTTCATGAGACTAAACCAAAATGGCCAAGGCCCCCTTTACCTGTGCATTTTCTAAAAACAAATCATCTTTAGAAGGGCAGCCTGATTAGAGCCTACACATGCCTCTCTCCTCCTGCCACTGCATCATCAGATCGGTTCTATGATGCTTCAATCATAGTTCTCAGACCTGATGGACCATCAAAATCACCTTAAAAGCCTGAGAGAGGCCAGGCGCGGTGACTCATGCCTGTAATCCCAGCACTTCGGGAGGCCAAGGTGGGCAGATCACAAGGTCGGGAGATCGAGACCATCCTAGCTAACATGGTGAAATCTGTCTCTACTAAAAATACAAAAAATTAGCTGGGCGTGGTGGCAGGAGCCTGTAGTCCCAGCTACTCAGGAGGCTGAGGCAGGAGAATGGCGTGAACCCGGGAGGCGGAGCTTGCAGTGAGCGGAGATCGCACCACTGAACTCCAGCCTGGGCAACAAAAAAAAAGCCTGAGAGAAAAACACAGATTCCAAGTTTAATGAGACTGCTATACAGCAGTGGTTCTCAAAGTGTGGTCTCCTGGAACTTGTGGAAATGCAACTTCCCAGGTCTTACCCCAAAACTCCTAAAACAGACACTCTCGGGGTAGAGCCAGCAATCTGCAATTCTGAGACTCACTCATATTTGAGAACCTCTGTGGTGTGGAATATTCACAGCATAGAAAATATAAGCAATAATAGTAATATGGGAGAAAAGGCAGTCTGTAAAGAAATGTATTCAATCTATTTCAATTTTTTAGGGAAAAAACCTCCTAGAAATCTATAAACAAAATATCAAAAGTGGTTATTTTTGGATGACGGTTTTCATTTTTCTTTGTCATCTTCTATACACATAGCTTTTCTAAAATAGGTATGTATTACTTTCAAAATCAAAACAAGTTAAAAGAAAAACAGAACTGTGAGATTGAAAGGCAATTAATTTAAAGTATACGGCACAAAATTTACCATTTTGAATATTGCATTAAGATATTCAAAAATTTTTTCCCTTTTCATTTCACACAGAAATGCGGAATAATTTTCCTTACCCCTATAATAATAGTGGAAGATAGGGCAAGGGGAAAAATGATGAGTTGCTTTGACTTCATAGAAATGCAAATTTCTCTCGTGAATTCACAGGTTAAAAACTGGAGAATCTGGCTGACGACTATTGTAATTGTGGTCTCTGTGTCTTCAGTGAAATCCTCAAGGTAATTTTTGTCAGTTTCTGCTCCATGTCATTTATCATTACTGACAATCTACTTCAATAGGTAAAATCAAAACTTAAAGGAATAGACCGGCCGGGAGCAGTGGCTCACACCTGTAATCCCAGCACTTTGGGAGGCCAAGGCGGATAGCTCACCTGAGGTCAGGAGTTCGAGACTAGCCTGACCAACATGGTGAAACCTCGTCTCTACTAAAAACACACACACACAAAAAAGCTGGGGGTGGTGGCATGCCTGTAGTCCCAGCTACTTCGGAGACTGACGCACGAGAATCACTTGAACCCGGGAGACAGTGGTTGCAGTGAGGGGAGATCGCACCACTGCACTCCAGCCTGGGCGACACAGTGAGACTCTGTCTCAAAAAAAAAAAAAAGAAAAGAAAAAAAGAACAATAGAACATAGGTCTGGCTGCATTTCTCAACTTTAATGTGCTCAGCAATTGCCTAGAAATCTCCCCAAGTATCTAGGGATCTCGTTCTAATACAGATTCTGATCTAGCAGGTGTGGGGTGGTAACCAAGATGCTGCATTTCCAACAAGCTCCCAGGAATGCCAAACGCCCATGCTGTTGGCCCTCAGACCGCCCTTTGAATGGAGCCCACATGAAGGTTTCAAGCCCATCTTGTTGAGTGGTTTTCAGCCTATAACACCAGGTGAATGGTTTGCTCATGTCTTTTGAACGGGCTGCACAGTCCCTGTTCCCTGAAGGAGCGTCGGCAAAACAGCCACCAGTGGAGATCTATTACCTCGGAAGCACCTTCCCCCAACAGTCCCCTCTCAGGCTATCCACTTACATTTTGTGTCCCAAATTGGTTCCTTCCAGTGGGTTGTCTCGCTGACTTCAAGAATGAAGCTGCAGACCCTCGCGGTGAGTGTTACAGTTCTTAAAGATGGTGCATCCGGAGTTTGTTCCTTCAGATGTTCAGATGTGTCCCGAGTTTCTTCCTCCCAGTGGGTTCATCCTCTCGCTGACTTCAGGAGTGAAGCTGCAGACCCTCACGGTGAGTGTTACAGCTCTTAAAAGTAGTGCTGACCCAAAGACCCAAAGAGTGAGCAGCAGCAAGACTTACTGACAAGAGCGAAAATGCAAAGCTTCCACAAGGTGGAAGGGAACCCGAGTGGGTTGCAGCCGCTGGCTAGGATAGCCAGCTTTTATTCCCTTATTTGGCCCCACCCACATCCTGCTGATTGGTCCATTTTACAGAGCGCTGATCGGTCTGTTTTTACAGAGTGCTGATTGGTGCATTTACAAACCTTTAGCTAGACATAAAGCACTTATTGGTGCGTTTTTACAGAGTGCTGATTGGTGCGTTTACAAACCTTTAGCTAGACACAGAGTGCCCACTGGTGTTTACAATCCTTTAGCTAGACAGAAAAGTTCTCCAAGTCCCCACCCGACCCAGAGGCCCAGCCAGCTTCACCTCTCAATTTTACTTATGGCAGGCTTATCTTTCCAACTCGTTTGTAAATATATACTACAAAGGCAGGAAAATGGGCCCACGATAGTGTTTTTCACAAAAAGTAGTTTCTGACATTGGTTAATGAGTCACAGTGAAAAATGGAAGATGCTAATCTTCCAAAAAGCATAGGCCAGGCACGGGGTGGGGGTCATGCCTGTAATCCCAGCACTTTGGGAGGCCAACGTGGGAGGATCACTTGGGCCCAAAAGTTTGAGACCAGCCTGGGCAACACAGCAAGATTCAATCTCTACTAAAATAAAAAAAAAATAGGCATATGCCTGTAGTCCCAGCTACTCAGGAGGTGAAGGCAGGAGGATCACTTGAGCCTGGGAGTTCAAAGTTGCAGTGAACTATGATCCCTATCTCCAAAAATAAATAAATAAATAAAAGGCATAATTATAAGTTGGCAGAAATAATTATATAATAAATTTTTTTTTTTTGGAGACAGTCTCTCGCTCTGTTGCCCATGCTGGAGTGCAGTGGCACGATCTCAGCTCACTGCAACCTCTGCCTCCATGGTTCAAGAGATTCTCCTGCCTCACCGTCCAAGTAGCTAGGACTACAGGCACATGCCACCACGCCCAGCTAATTTATTGTATTTTTAGTAGAGACGGGGTTTCACCATGTTAGCCAGGATGGTCTCGATCTCCTGACCTTGTGATCCGCCCGCCTCAGCCTCCCAAAGTGCTGGGATTACAGGTGTGAGCCACTGCGCCCAGCCTGTAATAATTAATATGGTGATATCTGTCTTTACAACAATCCCACCCATGAGGTTGGTGATATTTGTATCCTATTTTTCGAGATGAGAAAATGGAAGGACAAAGAATTTTAAAAGCTTGCCCACTTACTGGTAGAGGTAGCAAAGCCAGGACTTGAACCCAGGAAGTCAGGCCCTCCAAAGTCTTCTATCATTTTATTTACTTGCCTTTTTTCCCCATTCCTGTTCAACTAATGGCTATGATTTGTGTCAAAGGTCTTTTCAGAACCAAAAGAAAAGAAAAGACAATATTGTATTAACTGATATTCTGTCTACTTTTACTGTCAGGTGAGACAGTTGCTTGGAATAGTGAATCAGAATCTGAACGTGGTGCTTCTAAGACAATAAAGACAGGGAGAATCCTAAGCTGGCATTCAAAAAAACGTCGCAGATCACATCATTCCACATCTCATTGTGTAATCTGGACAGCTGAACCCTCAACAGATTCAGGGACTAGTTCAAGGTCACACACGCAGCGAAAAATGTAGTTGAAACCAATTTAGTAGGAGGGCCCCTACCAACCTCCTCTTGTTAGTTTGAATAGCCTGCATGAGAAGGAAAAGCAGCAGTAATATCAATTAGAAACAGGAAAGCTCATCTGCCTCCTAACTCCCTAAAGATCTTTCGGGCCCTTTAAAAAAAGGTAGTGTCCAAGACACAAATACCAAGTCCACTGAAGGTCTCACTAACCAAATTGTGTGATGAGGCATTTCTGCAGATGAATATTTTTTTGGAGCTCTAAATCATCTCATCCTTAAATTAAATAATTCTTCCCCCCCCACCCCCCCGCCTCCACAAGGTAATTTAGAATAAAGAAGATAGTGTTTGTAACACACCTTTCTTGCCCCCAACACACATGCACCTTGATCCCCTCATCTGTCGGGCTACAAAGTTCCTTTTAAAAAATATTTTTTCTAATTGATAAAATTTGCTTTTGCTCATTAACTTTCCCAGTTAAAAGCCCTGGCTAGATGCTTTTTAAAGTAACACAGATGGAGATACGGGAAAGCAAAGATCAGAAACATTGGTGAAAGCACTGAAATGTTTCTTTTCTAAAAAGATTCATTAGTGATCAGACAGAAAAAAAGGAAGAAAGGAAGGCGGGAGGGAGGGATAGACAGAGGGAGGGAGGAAGGAACAGAGAAAAAGAAAGAAGGAAGGAAGGAAGGGAAAGAGGGAGGGAGAGAGAAAAAAGAAAGAAGGAAAGAAAGAAAACCTAAATTTCTTTTCAGTTGCTTAACAAAAGAACTTCTGGAAAGCTATAGTCTCCATGCAGAAAATGATTTTAGCTATCAAATATTTTTCTAAATGCTCTCCAGATTTGACAATGGATTTTTCTAAACTCCCACATTGCCCTCTCTGGGGCCAGGACAGGCTAAACTGTGAAAATGAATGGTTGAGGAAAAGAATACTGAACTCTGCCATGTGACTGTTCAACTGTTAATCTACACCCAAAAATGAAAGTCCATTTCCATCCTTAAAAATAGTAAAGGGGAAGGAAAAGTATCTTTTCCATTTGGTCCATTTTCTTGGAAAGTTTGTTATTAAAGGAAACGGTGGCCAGGCGCGGTGGCTCACGCCTGTAATCCCAGCACTTTGGGAGGCCGAAACAGGCGGATCACCTGAGGTCAGGAGTTCGGGACCACCCTGACCAATGTGGCAAACCCCAGTCTCTACTAAAAATACAAAAATTAACCAGCCGTGGTGGTGGGTGCCTGTGCTCCCAACTACTCGGGAGACTGAGGCAGAAGAATGGCTTGAATCCAGGAGGTGGAGGTTGCAGTGAGCCAAGATCGCGCCATTGCACTCCAGCCTGGGCGGCAGAGCAAGACTCCGTCTCAAAAAGATAAATAAATAAAATAAAGGAAACAGTTATTTGTCTGGGAAGAGGTGGATAAATGTTCAAAGAATGTGAAGAAGAGAAACATCCCCTTCCTGTTATCACATCTGAGCTGACTTATTGAAATAATAACAGGAGAAGGAAATAAAAAAAAGGGAAAGGAAAGGAGGAAAGGCCAGAGAGGAGGGAGGAAGAGAGAGAGAGAGAGAGAGAGAGAGAGAGAGAGAGAGAGAGAGAGAGAGAGAGAATGAAAATAAGAACGATAATTTTGGGACCCAGCAATATGCTTGAGTTTGCGTTTGACTCTAAAAACATTCATAGTGAAACAGCGGCCTCCTCTGGTCACAGGCAGGAAATTCAAGAACTTCTGTTTCTTACCAAAGTCAATTTTAAACTATGAAAATGGATGGATTATTACATTGGAAAAGAACTGTATTCAACATTTACCAAATCTGCCGTTGTGCACTAAAACCGTATAAACTAGAAAACTCAACCCAAAATCAGTGTTCTGAGGGTGATGAGTTCCAGCAAAAATCCTATGAGAAATTAGAGTTGGATAGGATCTTGCTCACATTTAATCTATTCTCCCTCACAGTGATCTTCCCTAGTTAAATTAAGTAAAAGTTGAAAATTATCCTCCAGGGTGAAACAATTTTCCCAAAATGGTCACTACTGGTCTGCTTGTACTCCATTCGGAGCCAGATAGACCTAGATTTGAATGCTGGATTCATAGAGCTGCATAACTTTGGACCAGGACTTGCCCTGTTTTTCCATCTGTAAAATAGGCCCCATAGCACCTCTCAGGGCTTCTCTGCAGATGCAGTGAAAGCACACACAAAGCACTAAGCATGTAGGAAAAATTTTGACAACGTCAGGGCCCCTTCCTGTTGCTACCACTGAGTCCAATATAGCTCGTAGCTCACTGAATTGTATGTCTAATGTTTGTGTATTTTTTTTTGTTTTACTCATTTATAAAAGCAAAGATCGTCTTTATAACTTTTATTGCGGTAAAACGTGATATTTGGTAAGATATAATTTGCCATTCTAACCATTTGTAAGTGTACATTTCAGTGGCATCAATTATATTCACAATATCGTCCAACCATCACCACTATCCATTTCCAAAACTTTTTCATCACTCCAAATAGAAACTTTGTATCCGTTAAGAAATAATTCCTCCTCCCCTCCTCCTCCTCTCATTGCTGGTAACTTCTAATCTACTTTCTATCTCTATGAATTTGCCTGTTTTATATATTTCATGTAACTAGGATTATGCAATATTTGTCCTTTTGTGTCTGGTTTATATCACTTACCATAATATTTTTGAGATTCATTCATGTTGTAGTGCGTCCGGAATTGGTGGCTTCTTCGTCTCACTGACTTCAAGAATGAAGCAGCAGACCCCCGCGGTGAGTGTTACAGTTCTTAAAGATGGTGTGTCTGGAGTTTGTTCCTTCTGGTGGTTTCGTGGTCTCGCTGACTTCAGGAGCGAAGCTGCAGACCTTCACGGTGAGTGTTACAGCTCTTAAAGGCTGCACGTCTGGAGTTTCGTTCCTTCCGGTGGGTTCATGGTCTTGCTGGCCTCAGGAGTGAAGCTGCAGACCTTCGCGGTGAGTATTACAGCTCATAAAAGCGGCGCAGACCCAAAAAGTTAGCTGCAGCAAGATTTATTACAAACAGCAAAAGAACAAATCCTCCACAGCATGGAAAGGAACCTCAGCGGTTCGGGTGGCCTGCTTTTATTCCCTCATTTGGTCCCACCCACATCCTGCTGATTGGCCCATTTTACAGAGAGCTGATTGGTCCGTTCTACAGAGAGCTGTTCGGTCTGTTTTGACCGAGTGCTGATTGGTGCGCTTACAAATCTTTAACTAGACACAGAGTGCTGATTGGTGCGTTTACAATCCTTTAGCTAGACACAAAAGTTCCCCAAGTCCCCACCCGATTAGCCAGACACAGAGCAATGATTGGTGCGTTTACAAACCTTTAGCTAGACACAAGTGCTGATTGGTGCATTTACAATCCTTCAGCTAGACGGAAAAGTTCTCCAAGTCCCCACCCCGCCTACAAGCCCAGCCGGCTTCACCTCTCTCTGGCACTCCCATGGGTCTTTGCGGCACCTAGCCTGGGCACTCCCGCAGCCCGGACGGAGCTCGTTCCGGATCAAGCCCAGCGGACACCTGCCGGCCGCGCCAAGCGCAGAGCCCGCCGAGCCCGCGCCCACCTGGAACCGTGCCGGCCTGCGAGCGCCGTGCGCAGCCCCGGCTCCCGCCCGCGCCTCTTCCTCCACACCTCCCCGCCAGCAGAGGGAGCCGGCTCTGGCCTCGGCCAGCCCCAGAGAGGGGCCCCCACAGCGAAGCAGCGGGGTGAAGGGCTCTTGGAGCAGGGACAGAGCGGAGGCCAAGGCCGAGGAGGCGCCAAGAGCGAGCGAGGGCTGCTAGCAGTTGCCACCTCTCAGTAGCATGCATCAAAACTTTATTACATGGGGTGCAGTGGTTCACGCCTGTAATCCTAGCACTTTGGGAGGCCGAGGCGGGCGAATCACCTGAGGTCAGGAGTTCAAGACCAGCCTGGCCAGCATGGTGAAACCCCGTCTCTACCAAAAATACAAAAATCAGTCAGGTGTGGTGGGCCACACCTGTAATCCCAGGTACTTGGGAGGCTGAAACAGGAGAATCGCTGAACCTGGGAGGCAGAGGTTGCAGTGAGCTCCAGCCTGGGCGACAGAGCAAGACCCTGTCTCAGAAAAAAAAAAAAAAAACTTTATTCCTTTTTCTTGCTGAATAATACTTCCTTACATAGATATACAGTTTGTTTAGCCGTTCATCTGTTGACAGACACTGAGTAATTACCACCTTTTGGCTATTGTGAATAATAAGCATTGTTGCACAAGTAACTATTCAGGTCCCTGCTTTCGGTTCTTTTGTATGTATACCCAGAGCATACGGTACATTCCATGTTTCATTTTTTTTCATTTTTTTAATAGAGTCTCCCTATCTTGCACAAGCTGGTCTCCAACTCCTGGATTGAAGCAATCCTCTTCTCAGCCTCCCAAGTAGTTTGTATTACCGACATGAGCTACCACACCCAGCTATGCTTAATGTATTTGTGTGTGTGTATATATATATTTTTTTTTATTTATTTTTTTTTTTTGGAACCACCACCATAGTCTATTCCACATCAGGTGTACCATTTTACATTCCCACAAGCAAGCCACAAGGGTTCCAATTTCCCCACACCCTTGCCAACAGTTGCTGACGGGATTTTTCATTGTGCAAAACTGAAACTCTGTATCCATTAAACAACTTTGTTTTCCTTCCCCCTACCCTTGGCAACCACCTTTTCCTCACTCCAAACACAAACTTCCTACCCATTAAGCAGTAACTCCTCCTTTCCTCTCTCCCAGCTCCTGGTAACTTTCAATCTACTTTGTTTCTATGAGTTCGGCTACTTTAGATACCTCTTGTCAGTGGAATCATACAGTGTTTGTCTTTTTATGACTGGCTGGCTTCACTTAGCATAATTTCCTCAAGGTTCCTCCAAGTTGTCATATGTAACAGGGTTTTTTTTCTTTTTAAAAGCTGAATAATATGCCTTTGTATGTACATTGCATTTCCTTTATCCATTCTTCCATCAATGGACATTTGGGTTGCTTCTACCTCTTGGCTACTGTGAATAATTCTGCAATGAACATTGGTTTGAAAATATCTCTTCAAGATCCTGCTTTCAATTCTTTTGGCTATATACCCAGAAGTGAAGTTGCTAGGTTATATGATAAATCTATTTTTAAGTTTTTGAGGAATCTCCATATTGTTCTCCATGGCAGCCTGTACCATTTTACCTTCCTACCAACAGCACACAAGGGTTCCAGTTTCCCCACATCCTCTCCAACACTTGTTATTTTGTGTTTTTTGATAGTGGCCATACTAATATGGGTATGAGGTGACATTTCATTGTAGTTTTGATTTGCACTTCTCTAATGATTAGTGATGCTGAGCATCTTTTCATATGCTTGGTGGCCATTTGGACACCATCCCTGGAGAAATTTATATTCAAGTACCTTGCCCAGTTTTTAGTTTTTTGTTGTTGAGTTGTAGTAGCTCTTTATATATTCTGGGTATTAATCCCTTGTCAGATATATGATTTGCAAATATTTTCTCCCATTCTGTAGCTTAGCTTTTCACTTTGCTGACTCTTTCCTTTGATGTGCACAAGTTTTTAAGTTTGATGTAGTCCCATCTGTTTGTTTTTGCTTTTGTTGCCAAGCTTTTTGTGTCATGTATAAGAACTTATTGCCAAATCCAAGATGATGAAGATTTATCTCTGTTTTCTCCTAAGAGTGTTATGGTTTTAGCTCCTATATTTAGGCCATTGATTTATTTTGAGTGAATTTTTTTTCTTTCTGCTTTTGGGCTTTAAATAAAACAAAATTTTATTGAGCTGTAAAATTATTTATATACATATTTTTGGCTTACATTTATATGAGACATCCACTCCAAATGAAATTTCAAATGAAATTTTTGACATTTTATTTCAAAATTATACTTGTGTGGTTTTCTGCATATTTACAAATAGTAGTTGTAATTTTTTCTCTTATGATTTTATTCTCAAACTATAAATACTGACTTAGATACCCTTAATTCATCATAATCTGTCAAACATTTTCTGATTTTATTTCTCTATATTTTATAGAGGATATGTCTCAGGTTTGGGATAGTATCTTAATACAATAAAGTAACTTAACCCCTGAAAAAGGCAAACATACAGATAAAGTCTTACCAAAAAGCAATAATTTTTCAGTCAATTTGATAAGAAAGAAGGATGAACTATAGACACCCTGAATAAAAATTGAGGCATTGTTATTTTTTTACTCATCATTAAGAAATATGGGTTTTAATTAAATATAATTTCTATAATTAACTATTTAAAATTCTTTTTTCTCTTCTATAGTTTTTTATTGATATATAATAATTACACATAATTATGGAGTACATTTGATATTTGGTTAGATTAATACAATGTGTAATCAAATCAGAGCAATTAGAATATCTATCACCTCATTTATCATTTCTTTGTGTTTCTAACACAGAAATGCCAGATCTTCTCTTCTAGCTATTGTGAAAGGCACAATAAATTATTATTAACTATTGTCACTTTATTGCTCTACCAAACATTAGAACTTATTCCTTCTATTTAATGTATTTTCTTTATTGGGTAAGGAAATACATCCCCAATCCCCACTACCCTTCTCACCCTCTGGTAACCATCCTTCTATGTTCTACTTCCATAAAATCAACTTTGATTGAGACATATGAATAAGAATATGTGATATATGTGTCTTTCTGTGCCTGACTTATTTCACTTAATGTAAGGTCCTCCAGATTCATCCATGCTGGCACAAATGACAGAATTTCATTCCTTTTTTTGGCTGAACAGAATTCCATTGTGTATCTGTGCCATATTTTTTAATTCATTTATCCATTGATGGATACTCAGGTTGTTTTCATATCTTGACTACTGGGAATAGTGCTGCAATAAATATAGAAATGCAGATATCTCTTCAACATCCTGACTTCTTTTTTTTTTTTTTTTTTTTTTGAGACAGGGGCTCGCTCTGTCGCCTATATTAGAGTGCAGTGGTGCAATCTCAGCTCATCACAAACTCTGCCTTCCAGGTTCAGGCGATTCTCCTGCCTCAGCCTCCGTAGCTGGGATTACAGGCCTGCACCACCACTACTGGTTAATTTTTGTATTTTTGGTACAGATGGGGTTTCACCATGTTGGCCAGGCTGGTCTCAAACTCCTGACCTCAAATGATCCACGCACCTCAGCCTCCCAAAGTCCTGGGATTACAGGCGTGAGCCACCGTGCCCGGCCACTGATTTCTTTTCTTTTGGATATATACCCAGTACTGGGATTGCTAGATCCTACAGTAAATCTATTTTGAATTTTTGAAGAACCTCCATACCGTTTTCCATAGTGGCTGTACTAATTTACATTCTCATCAACAGTGTACTGGCATGAATTTGTCATTTCTTGTATTTTTTATAATAGCTATTTTAACTGGGGGAGATAATATCTCATTGCATATAATATCTGATTTGCATTTTCCTGATGACTAGTGATGTTGAACATTTTCCCATATACCTGTTGGCCATTTATATGTCTTCTTTTGTGAAATGACTATTCAGATCATTTGCCCATTCTTTAATCAGATTATTCAGGTTTTTTGCTATTGTTTGAGTTTCTTACATATTTTGGTTATTAATCCTTTGTCAAATGGATGTAAATATTTCCTCCCATTCTGTAGGTTGCCTCTTCACTCTGCTGATTATTTTCTTGCTGTGTAAGAAGTTTTTTAGCTTGACATAATCCTATTTGTTGATTTTTGCTTTCGTTGCCTGTACTTGTGAGGTTGTACTAAAAAAAAAAATCTTCGCCCAGACTAATGTCCTGGAGCATTTCCCAGTGTTTTCTTCTAGAAGTTTCATGGTTTCAGGTCTTACATTTAAGTCTTTAATCCATTTGATTTGATTTTTTAATATGGTGAGAGATAGGGTCCTAGTTTTATTCTTCCACATATGGATAGCCAGTTTTCCCAGCACCGTTTATTGACAAGACAGTTCTTTCCCCAATGTATGTTCTTGGCATCTTTGTCAAAAATGAGTTGGCTATATATGCATAGATTTATTTCTGGGCTCTCTATTCTGTTCCATTTGGTCTATGTGTCTGTTTTTGTGCCAGTACTATGCTATTTTTGGTTACTATAGCTTTGTAGTACATTTTGAAATCTGTTAGTGTGATACCTCCAGCTCTGTTCTTTTTGTTCAAAATTGCTTTGGTTATTCAGGGTCTTTTGTTCCAAGTGAATTTTAGGATTTTTTTTTTCTATTTCTGTGAAGAATGTTGCTATCTTTTGGATATTTGACACCCCCACCCCACCACCAACTCTCACATTGAAATGTGATCCCTGATGTTGGAGGTGGAGACTGGCAGGAGGTGTTCGCATCATGGAGGCAGATTCCTCATGAATGGCTTGTTGCCATCCGCCTGGTAATGAGTTCTTGCTCTATTTACAAAATCTGATTGTTAAAAAAAAGGCCGGGAACCTCCTTACCTGCTCCCTTCCTCCCTGTCTTGTCATGTGATCTCACCGGATCCTTTTCAGCTTCTGCCATGAGTAGAAGCAATCTAAGGCCCTTGCCAGAAGCAGATGCTGATGCCATGCTTCTTGTACAGCCTGCAGAACCGTAAGCCAAATAAACGTCTTGTATTTATAAATTACCCAGGTATTCCTTTACAGCAACATAAGCAGACTAAGACAAGTGTCACTGGTATTTTGATAGGGATTGCATTGATTCTGTAGATCATTTTAGGTGGTGATATGATTTGGCTGAGTCCCCACCCAAATCTCATCTTGAATTGTAGCTCACATAATTCCCTCATGTTGTGGGAGGGACCCAGTGGGAGATAACTGAATCATGGGGGCAGTTTCCCCCATACTGTTCTCGTGGTAATTGATAGGTCTCACGAGATTTGATGGTTTTATAAGGGGAAACCCCTTTTGCTTGGCTCTCATTCTCTTCTCCTGTCTGCAGCCATGTGAGAGGTGCCTTTTGCCTTCTGCCTCCTGCCATGATTGTGAGCCCTCTCCAGCCACGTGGAACTGTGAGTCCATTAAACCTCTTTCTTTCGTAAATTGCCCAGCCTTGGGTATATCTTTATCAACAGTGTGAAAACGGACTAATACAGGTGGTATGGACACATCAATATCAGTTTTTCCAATCCATGAGCATGGGATATCTTTTCACTTTTTGGTGTCCTCTTCAATTTCTTTCATCAGTGTTTTGTAGTTTTCACTATAGAGATCTTTCACTTGGTCGATTAAATTTATTCCTAGGGCTTTGTTTTTGCTTCGGTAGCTAGTATAAATGGGATTGCTTTCCTTTTCAGATTGTTCTCTGTTGACATATATAAATGCTACTGATGGCCAGGCATGGTGGCTCATGCCTGTAATGCAAAAACTTTGCAAGGCCAGGGTGGGAAGATTTCATGAGCTTAGGAGTTCAAGAACAGCCTGGACAACAAAATGAGACTTTATCACTATGAAAATTTTTTTAAAAATTAGCCAGCTGGGACTTTAGTCCCAGCTACTTGGGAGGCTGAGGTAGAAGGATCACTTGAGCCTGGGATGTCTAGGCTTCAGTGAGCCGTGATCCTGCTACTGCACTCCAGCCTGGGTGACTGAGCAAGACCCTGTCTCAAACAAACAAATAAACAACAAATGCCACTGATTTTTGTATATTGATTTTGTATTTTGCAACTTCACCAAATTTGTTCACTAGTTCTAACAGTTTTTTGGTGGAATCTTTAAGTTTTTCTAAATGTAGAATCATGTCATCTGTAAACAAGAATAATTTGACTTGTTTCTTTCCCATTTGGATGCCCTTTATTTCTTTCTCTTACCTAATTGCTCTGGCTAGGACTTCCAGGATTATATTGAATAAAAGTGGTGAAAGTGGGCAACCTTGTCTTCTTCCAGATCTTAGAGAAAAGGCTTTTGATTTTTCCCCATTCAGTAGGATGCTAGCTATGGGTTTGCCATATATGACTTTTGGCCATATAAAAGTCATATGGCTTTTATTGTTTTGAGATATATTCCTTCTATACTCAGTTTGTCAAAAGTTTTTATCATGAAGAGATGATAAATTTTATTGAATGCTTTTTCAGCATCTATGGTAATTATATGGTTTTTTGTTCTTGACTCTGTTTATGTGATGTATCATGTTTATTGATTTGCATATGTTGAACCATCCTTACATTCCTGGGGTACACATGATCATAATGAATGATCTTTGCAATGTGTTGTTGAATTTAGTTTGCTAGTATTCTGGTGAAGATTTCTACATGTATATTAATCAGGAATATTGGTCTGTCATTTTCTTTTTTTGTTGTCTCCTTATCTAGTTTTAGTATCAGATTAATGCTGAAATCACTTTGAATTAATTTTTATATATGGAGTGAGGTAAGAGTGCAACTACATTCATTTACACGTAAAAATCCAGTTGTCTCAGAACCATTTGTTGAAAAGACTACTCTTCCCCCACTGAAAGAACCTGGCACCTTTATCAAAAATCCATTCACCATAGATGTATGACTGTCAATTCCATTTTGGCCTATATGCCTATCTTTGTAAGTATCACATTGTTTTGATTACTATAACTTTGTATTAAGTTTTGAAATCCAGAAGTGTTAGCTTTCCAATTTTATTCTTTTTTTTTTACTTTTATTTTAGGTTCAGGGGTACATGTCCAGGTTTGTTACATACATATATTGAGTGGCATGGGGGTTTGGTGTACAGATTATTTCAGCACCCACATAATAAGCACAGTACCCAATAGGTAGATTTTTAAATTATTTTTCTTTTTCAATATTGTTTTTGCTATTTAGGGGCACTGTGCAATTACGTATGATTTAACAATTGGCTTTTTCACTTCTGCAAATAAGGCTGCTGGGGAAACTATTTTTCAATAACTAAACTGAAAAGATCTTAACACCTAATGCAACTTTTTTCCAGATACTTATAAGTTTTCTGGAAAACCTAGTGACTGTACATGAAGAATCAAGTTAATCAGAGAGCAGATACTACCCGTGACAAAATGTCTAAGTAATGAGACTATTCCTGCTCAGGAAATAAAAGCGAAAAAAAAAAAAAAAACCTGTCTCATTTACATGTTCAATCAATCCAATCAATCACCAGTGTTTATATTTCTATTAAACTTCCGTAAAAGCCCAAAGCAGAGTTTCATTTTTACTTTTTAAAATTCTAGTATCTTTGCTAAAAACAATGCCTACGAAATAATGTCTTTGGGAAGGATGTCACCCAAGCCGATACAACCAAATAAGTTTTGATCCCAAAAGTGGTCCCATGGGGAAGAAAGTATATTCCCAAAGAGGATGATTTTACCCAAAAATTCTCTACGGCAACTGCTGCGCTCAGAATAGGCTTAACACATGCATACATACATACATCCACACATCTACACACACGCATTCTAATTCCAATCCGGTCACATCTTGGTTTGGAGTGAAATTTTTTACAAGCATATTAGCTACTTGTTTATTGTTTCCTACATCAGCTTTGTTGTCTTATATATGAGACTCTGTTTCCAATCAGCTTGTTTCTGCACAGGCCTTCAGAGCGCCCAGCACAGCCCCAAGCTCCTGTGGCAGCCTCACCAGCTCATCTGTTCTACCTGCAGCCTTAGCTTGTTCTGCACCAAGGCAACAGTTTTTGTGAATCAGAGTTTGAAAGCCTGAGAAATGGCCGTGCGTGTTGGCTGATGCCTGTAATCCCCGCACTTTGGGAGGCCGAAGTGGGCGGATCACGAGGTCAGGAGATCGAGACCATCCTGGCTAACACGGTGAAACCCTGTCTCTACTAAAAATACAAAAAAAGTTAGCTAGGCATGGTGGTGGGCGCCTGTAATCCCAGCTACTGGGGAGGCTGAGGCAGGAGAATGGCGTGAACCCGGGAGGCGGAGCTTGCAGTGAGCTGAGATCGCGCCACTGCACACCAGCCCGGGCGACAGAGCGAGACTCCCTCTCAAAAAATAAAAGAAAGAAAGCCTGAAAAATCCAGCCCCACCGTGTGTTATCTCTACGTCACCCCGGGTGTGTTAGCCAGGGTCCTCTAGAGGGACAGAACTAATAGGATAGATGTATATACACAGGGGAGTTTATTAAGGAGTATTGACTCACATCATCACAAGGTGAGGTCCCAGAACAGGCCATCTGCAAGCTGAGGTGGCAAGGAAGCCAGTTCAAGTCCCAAAGCTGAAGAACTTGGAGTCTGATGTTTGAGGGCAGGAAGCATCCAGCACGGGAGAAAGATGGAGGCCAGAAGAGTAAGCTAGTCTAGTCTTTCCATGTCCTTCTGCCATTTTTTATTCTGGCCGAGCTAGCCCCTGATTAGATGGTGCCCACCTAGATTGAGGGTGGGTCTGCCTCTCCCAGTTCACTGACGCAAATGTTAATCTTTTCTGGGAACACCCTCACAGACACACCCAGGAATAATACTTTGCATCCTTCAATCCAATCAAGTTGCCACTCAGTATTAACCATCACACTGGGTCATAACCCAAAATGTAGTTCCCCGCAATCATCTGACACCTCCTCTCTCCTTGTGTTCCTTCTGCTCTGTGCCCTTTGCTTCTCTTCCTCCCAAATCATCCCCTTGTGCCCTCTAGGACGTTCAAACCCTGATGAAAGGCCGGCTCCATCCTCAGGCTTCATCACATCACTCACTTCCATATTGCAGCTTCCTGGGTTTGCACCCAATTGAGTAAAGCCCAGCACACACATCTACATTCCAGTTGCAAGGGGTGTGTGGGAGGGCTGGGAAAGGAAGCTGACCAGATTTTACCTTTAGAAAGCAGGACAATGCTCCCGAGGTGAGACGCTATCTATGCAAGGAGGGTGTTCAACATTTGGACAGCCACGGCTGGAAGATGTCCACTACCCAGGTTTTCATAGTCATAGGCAAGGGGAAGTTGTGGCAGTGGAGGATTCAAGATAATTTTTTTTATTTTTTTTTATTTTTTTGAGACAGGGTCTTGCTCTGTCACCCAGGCTGGAGTGCAGTGGTGCGATCTCAGCTCACTGCAATCTCCACCTCCCGGATTCAAGCCATTCTCCTGCCTCGGCCTCTCGAGTAGCTGGGATTATAGGTGCCCACCATCACGCCTAGCTAATTTTTGTATTTTAGTAGAAATGGGGTTTTGCCGTGTTGGCCAGGCTGGTCTCGAACTCCTGACCTCAAGTGATCCGCCCTCCTCAGTCTCCCAAATTGCTGGGATTACAGGCGTGAGCTACTGCACCCGGCCTAAATTTTACAGGAAGCAGGACTCAGTGATGGATTGGATGTGGACTACAGAGAGAGATGACTAGTTTTCCAGCCTGAGCAACCTGAGAGAAGGTGAGGCCATTTACTGAGATGACGGAAGAAGATAAAGTGAAGGTGGAAATGATAAGTTCAGTTTGGGACATATTGGCCTTGAGGGGCTTTGTAAATTTTCAGGTTCTGAGGCTCCAGTGGTGGCAGCAGCAATCACCCGTGGCCTTGTGTGTGGCACCCAGCATCTGTTCTAATTCCATCCATCACCAGCTGATTCTCATTTCCCAAGCCTTTGTTCAGGCTATCGAACTCCAGGGATCTGAGTTACCCTCTCCTATTCCTAAACACTGTCCCCAGCCAAACCCCACTTAACCTAATTACTAGGCATGTGAGCCTGGGCAAACCGCTTCACTGCTCTAGGCCTCGGTTCCTCATCTGTAAAATGAGAGGGTTACAAAATATGACGTCCAAGGGTCCTTCTACGTCCATTCTGGTTCTAAATAAAATGCGGCACTTTGCTGATCCACCGCGAGAGGGCACCAGAGAAACGTCCTCGCACAGGACCGCGCTGAAAGTGCCCCGAACCAGCCAGGCACGGTACCAGGCGGGATGCTGTGAGGGAGGTGGAAATAAGGTGGAACGCCATCCTTCCGCATCCTTCCGCATCCTTCCTACTCGGGCAAACCCTTAGATCTGGGAAAAACGTTCGATAAGCAGCAACCGCAGCCAACATTCTATTTATCCCCTTTATTTCTTTATCAAGACAAAAATCATTCTCCGGCTCTTCACTGCCAGAACCTGTTCGTTAAATGCACGAATTTTCAAGGTAAATTAGATCCAACTGGCACATTACAATCACCTGGATGCTCTTAAATACACCGATGCTCCGCTCCCAACCCAGAGCAGCGTGAGGGGCCACAGCCCTCCCTTTAGCTAAAAGATGAACTTGGGACAGATTCCTGCTTGGGACGGGTTCCTGCTCATCTCCCACTCCTGGACCCCGGAAACTCACAGCCTGGTTGCTAAGTCAGATTTAACTCCTTTGTGGACATTGCCAAAAAAGCTTGAGACGATCCTACAGGTCTCCAGCAGGGAGCACGGGGGTACACGTCATACCCTCAAAGCTGGGTCGGCAAAAAGCCCTTGATGCGTGGCGAGCTTGCTCTGTTATCCTTACTACGAGAAGCAGAGTGGCATCTTGCTCCTTGGATTTCTAGCATACAGTCCTGTTATGATAGCTAATCGATAAACTGTCTGGCTTGGAAATGCACGGTCTTCCAGTCTTTCCCTCTGTGTGCGGTCTAATCCCGGTCATGAACACGAAACACAAAAGCTGCTGTTTGTGGTGTGAGCCACACCTTCCTCCCTCACCTCTAAGATGGTGAGAAAAGATAAGCTTATCCGCCCAATTCATCTGACAGGGTTTGGGAGGACCAGATACATGTATAGGTACATGTTCTGAAGTGTATAATACAAATGCAATCTCCAGGTGGAATTATTTTAAAGGTGTGATTAATTTTACTGTTGATAATATAATTATACAAGGGTGTCATTGTTTTCAAGGTAACGTTCACATCACAGTGTTTTATTTACAATAGCTAAAATGTAAATGATCTAAATATCCAACATTATCAAATATCAAGTTGAGACCCTCCCTTTGTTAGCAAGTATTTGAGGACCTATAGCGTGTTAGTCTGTTTTTGCATTGCTATAAAGGAATATCTTGGCCAGGCTCAGTGGCCCACACCTGTAATCCCAGCATTTTGGGAGGCCAAGGTGGGCGGATCACGAGGTCAGGAGTTCAAGACCAGCCTGGCCAATATGGTGAAACCCTGTCTCTACTAAAAATACAAAAATTAGCTGGGCATGTGGCGCATACCTATAGTCCTAGCTACTTGGCAGGCTGAGGCAGAAGAATCGCTTGAACCCAGAAGGCAGAGGTTGCAGTGAGCCGAGATCATGCTACTGCACTCCAGCCTGGGTGACAGAGTGAGACTCTGTCTCAAAAAACAAAAACAAAAAAGAAAAAGAAAAGGAATACTTGAGGCTGGTAATTTATAATAAAAGAGGTTTAATTGGCTCATGGTTCTGCAGGTTGTACAAGCATGGCTCCAGCGTCTGCCTCTGGTGAGGCCTCAGGAAGCTTCTAATCATGGCAGATGGCGAAGGGAGAGAAGGTGATGTCACATGGCAAGATCCAGGGTTGCCGGGAGGTTCCAGACTTTTATACAACCAGGTCTCACGTGAACTCACCGAGCAAGAACTCACTTATCACCTGGGGATGGTGCGAAGCCATTCACGAGAGACCTGCCCCCGTGATCAAATCACCCCCACCAGGCCTCACCTCCAGTACTGAGAATCACATTTCAACATGAGATTTGGAGGGGGCACACGTCCAAACTCTATCATTTGGTGTGTCATCCCAAAGGGAATCTTTGTAACCATTAAAAAGTATGTTATAGGAAGATGCTTAATGATAAGGGGAACTACTCATGATGGATAATAAATGAAGGCAGATAGTACAATAAGGTACAATATGATTCTATTTAAATATGCATTTATATATGTGTATAAGTTAGACACGTGTATACATATGAAAATATAGGAGCAATACCCAAATGTTAGCAATGGTTATGTAGAGGCAAACCGGATCTGCCATATATGGGTGGCTTCTTGTGTCATTTACAGACAGAAGAACAGCTAATATGACAACTAAGTGGGTTTCCCTCCATTTAAATTTATTACTAATTAAATTGTGACCAGGTACAATGGCTCATGCCTGTAATCCCAGTACTTTGGGAGGCCAAGGCAGGAGGACTGCTTGAGGCCAGGAGTTTGAGACCAGCCTGGGCAATACAGTGAGATAGTTTCACTACAAAGAATCTTTTTAAAATCAGCCAGGCATGGTGGCATTTTCCTAGCTACCTGGGGTGGTGGGGCAGTGAGGGGAGTGGGGTTGGGGGGAAGTGGAAGGCTGAGGCAGGAGGATCATTTGAGCCCAGGAGTTTGAGGTTACAGTGAGCTATGATCACTCCACTGCACTCCAGCCTGGGTGACAGAGTGAGACTCTCTTTAAAAAAAAAAAAAAAGTGTGTGTCTGTGTATAAATGTGTGTGTATATGTATATATAAGCTATAAAAATTTGAACTTACATTAATTTTGGAATTTAAAAAACAAAAGAATAATTCAAGCAAATGTACTTCAAAGAATGAAGGACTTTTCAGTTTTACAGCTCTGAAAATCCTCATGTTGCATCTTGCTTTTCCATTCCTATTTCAAATACTGAACTCCTTTCTAGCTCAGAAAAACAATTATTTTGCCTGTACCTATCTTAGATTCTCTGGCTGGTTCTCTAGCCCTGTAACTTAGACTAACAAAAGACAAGTTAACAAAAGAAAATATACAGATGTATTAGATAATGGTTTTATGTGAAACGAGATCCTTCATTAGGAAATAAAGACCTAAAGAAATAGTTAATTCTAAGTATTTTTTTATATATACTAGGTTTGATGAAGAGTAGTACCTGGGGTTTGGGGTTTATATGGGTACAGGATAGCGGGAGGTGGCAGGCCAAATGGCGACATCTGGGTGTGAAAACAGGAATGTCCCCATTTAGGGCTGCAGGTTTCCAGGCCTGGGGGTGGGGCCTTTGCCAGGGAACTGCCCTCTTCTACCCAGTATTTCCCTGTCTCCTGTCTGTGTATCAGCTTGTTCAGAAGCCCATCACCTTCTCAGGAAGTTCTTGGAGGAGGAAGATAAAACAGCTCTCAGGGAACAGGAATGCTAATGACAGGTGTATATCAGGGGCAGCTCATACACTTGTATCTGCCAGATTATAAGCACCTTTAAGCAGAAATCATGCTTATCCATATTATGCCCCCCACCTCTTATGTATAATAGGTGCTCAATAAATGTTACATGGATACGTTTCTCAAATCACCAAGGTAAATTAGATCTAAATATTTTCAATCCAATTACAAGACAGAGAAGGAAAAAAGGACTAAGTTTCTTGTTAGTCATCAATATTGACCAATAGTTCACTGTTCTACTGGCACATTAAAATCACCTGGAGGAAGCTTTTAAATACAGTGGACTCTGGAACAACATAGAAGTTAGGGACAACCCCCCATGCAGTCAAAAATTCATGTGTAACTCTTGACTTTCCAAAGACTTAACCATTCATAGCCTATTGTTGACCAAAAGACTTACCAATAACATCAAGTCAATTAACACATATTTTGTATGTTATATGTAGTATACACTGTATTCTTACAACAGAATAAGCTGAAGAGAAGAAAATGTTATTAGGAAAATAATAAAGAAAGAAAATATATTTACTATTCATTAAGTGGAAGTGAATTACCATAAAAGTCTTCATCCTTGTCATCTTCATGTTGAGTAGGCTGAGAAGGAGGAGGAAGAGGAGGGGTTAGTCTTGCTGTCTCAGGGGTGACAGAGACAGAAGAAGATCCACGAATATGTGGATTCACACAGTTCAAACTTGTGTTGTTCAAGGGTTAAGGTATGATGATGCTCTGATCTCAACCCCAGAGATTGTGATTTTCTTAGCATGAGGAGGGAGGGTCTTGGCATCAGTATATTTTCAAAGCTACTCAGGCTTGAGCATATACAACTGATGTGTATGATTTCCTAATTTCACTGTCCCTCAATACCACCAGAAGAAAACATCAGCTACCTGGAAGCCAAATGGAGGCCATGTCATATTCTGAGCATCTGTCTACATGCACATTAAGCTATCATGTGCTTCCCTTAGACAAAAGATTGCACCTCTTCTGCAATTGCAGGAAACCCCAAGTGAAAAGGTCCTAATGAGCACAACAGGGAAAGAGCAAGGGTGGGACCTTCCAGTTACCGAGTCCCTCACTATCTATGCATCACTGCCCGCTCCTTGCTCCTAAAGACCTAGGAGTTCCTCCCACTGCCCCTCCTCTTCACCACTGCCACATCCCAAGTGTGGCTATCAGTTATTAGTAGCAGAGACACTGAGTACATATCTATGGAACTTTATTACTCTTCACTTTATTGCTGTCCCAGAAAATATCTATGGAAACTTATTTACTCTTCACTTTATTACTGTCCCAGGAAACAAGCATAAACAAGTACCTGTGTATACGTGTGTGCAACTGAAATTTCTATGAGGAAACAGGAACTAAAAATAATAACGAACACAGGAAGTAAAAATAGTATCATGAAATCTCAATGTTAAGCCCTTGCCTATGTTTGATTTTGACATTTTCGTAGATTCTGACCTTTCTTGTAGGCATTTCTGAACCCATTTGCAATTATCTGGGGTAATTCCCTCCAGTTCTTATCATGGAGAGCTACCCTTATCTGCATCATAAACAGGTGAAATTCTTCAAATTTTACCCAGTTTCCAGGACTAATGAAAACTCTAGCTCCTTTCAGAACTGGGTTCTTAATTGTTGGTCTCCATCGAAAAGAGAACAGTGAAGAAAGTTCTTCAGAATCTGTTCCCTTACAGTTTCCTGTGTGGCTCTGGATTTATCTCTTGACTTTACAGAGATTGCTCTTCCTCTTCTCAGAAGTCTCTGTGTCACCAGAAATCCCTCTCCCAGTGTCTCCATTTGGTCACTGTCTTAGTCTGTTTTGTGCAGCTATAACAGAATACCCGAGACTGGGTAATTTATAATGAGCAGAAGTTGAGTGCCTCATGGTTCTGGAGGCTGGTGAAGAGAGCAAAGATCACAGGGTGGCCATCAAGCAGACCATCTGGAGGCAAAATCCCATATCTAAGAAATTCAGAAGTCATTACATTTCTCTATTATCTAAAGCTACATCTGGCACCAGACCTCTTTCCCAAGAATTTGTAAGTAACTAGAATTTCTATACATCTCCAGAATGCATGCATGTCGAAACACACTGTGCGACCTTTGCTGACATCAAAGCACCAAAATGTCTACAAATGTAATTATTTATAATGACCTGTGTGACTAATATGGTCCAAATTACCCTTAAGCTCCCACTGTAAGGTCCATAAATATCACTAAGGGAAATCCACTGCAGTGCACTCAGTCCTGTCTTACTGAGGCACCCCACTGCACTCCGCTGCAGCATTCTTTCTATCAAATAATACTTTCCTCTTCAAACCTATACTGCTGTTGGTATATTCTTTTACCCCCGTGTATTAGTCTGTTCTTATACTGTTAATAAAGACATACAGGAGACTGGGTAATTTATAAAAGGAAGAGGTTTAATTGACTCACAGTTCCACATGGCTGGGGAGGCCTCACAATCATGACACAAGGTGAATGAGGAGCAAAGTCACATCTTACTTGGCGGCAGGCAAGAGAGAGCATGTGCAGGGGAACTACGCTTTGTAAAACCATCAGAACTTGTGAGACTTATTTTCAATCATGAGGACAGCATGGGAAAAATGCACCCCCAAGATTCAATTATCTCCCAGAAGGTTCCTCCTATGACACATGGGCATTATTACAATTCAAGGTGAGATTTGGGTGGGGAGACAGAGCCAAACCATATCACCCCACAAGCCAACCACTCTCATTGCTGGGGCTCTGACACCTCACCCAGAGGCTGGAAAGTCCAAGATTGAGGAGCTAGCATCTGGCCAAGGCTTTCTTGCTGCATCATGCCATGGTGCGGAAAAAAGAGAGGGTGAGAGAAAGACAGAGAGAAAGAGGGAGAAAGAGTAAGAGATTGTGAGGATCCATGGCTGTTAGCTGCCTAAACATTCACTGAGAAATCACTGGCATGAGGCAGATTGAGGAACGGAAAAAGAGCATACAAATTTATGTAACATGTACACATAGGAGCCTTCAGAATGAAGACCCAAATTTCCAGTGAGTTACAGAAATTTATGTACCATTTTTATGTTACAGAAAGAATGGGGGCTTGGATTCTTGTAAAACAGGTTATGGGAGAGGGGAGAAGAGGAATTCTATTGAGCGGCAATAAGTGATTGCTAGGGAGGATGATTGGGTGGAGAACAGAGATGAAATTGTAAATAGTTTTCTTTGGAATTTAAATGGACTTGGAAACAGCCATTATACTTATAAAAGTTCTGCTCTGGTGTGGTCACATCTTAGTTTTCTTTTCTGCAACAGATAATGAGACAACAGGAAGAGAAAGAAAGAGTCATTATTCTCCTTGGTAGCTCTGTGTATTAGTCTGATTCGTCTGTTCTCAGGCTGCTAATAAAAGACATACCCAAGACTGGGTAATTTATAAAGGAAAGAGGTTTAATGGATTCACGGTTCCACATGGCTGGAGAGACCTCCCAATCATGGCAGAAGTGAAGGAAGAGAGCAGAGTCACGTCTAACATGGTGGCAGGCAAGAGGGCATGTGCAGGGGAACTGCCCTTCATAAACCATCAGATCTCATGAGACTTATTCACTATTGCAAGAACAGCATGGGAAAACCTGCACCCATGATTCAATTACCTCCCACAACACATGGGGATTATGGGAGCTATAATTCAAGATGAGATTTGGGTGGGGACACAGCCAACCTATATCAGTTTGTATCTTAGGCAGATAAAGGAACTTCAGTTTGTTTGGGAGAGCTCTTGGGGATAGGTGGTCAGAGACCTTGAGGCTTCTTCATTTCAGCATGGCAGAAATGCCATATTGTGAGGTATTGCTTTCTGAGCCCCAACAAGTTCAAACTTGTAAACTCCAACTAAGCCCCACCTCCAGAGTCTGTTGCATTGGGGATTAATTTTCCAACACATACTTTTTGGGGAACACATTCAAGTCATAGCAGTCACTAAGATTGTCTTAGTGTGTTGGTGAGTTCGGCCACACGTGAAGCATCTTTACCCATCTGCTGTGGTTTGAATGTGCCCCCTTCTCAAATTCATGTTGAAACTTATATTAGTCCATTTTCATACTGCTATGAAGAAATACCTGAGACTGGGTAATTTATAAAGAAAAAGAGGTTTCATGGACTCACAGTTCCACATGGCTGGAGAGGCCTCACAATCATGGTGGAAGGCTAAGGAAGAATAGAGGCACATCTTACACGGTGACAGGCAAGAAGGCATGTGCAGGGGAACTGCCCTATATAAAACCATCAGATCTCATGAGATTTATTCACTATTATCAGAACAGCACAGGAAAAACCCACCCTCCTGATACAATTACCTCCCACCAGGTCTCTCCCAAAACATGTAGGAATTATGGGAGCTACAATTCAAGATGAGATTTGGGTGGGAACACAGGCAAACCATATCATTCCACTCCTGGCCCTTCCCAAATCTCATGTCCTCACATTTCAAAACCAATTGTGCCTTCCCAGCAGTCGTCCAAAGTCTTAACTCATTACAGCATTAACTCAAAAGTCCACATTCCAAAGTCTCATCTGAGACAAGGCAAGTCCCTTCACTTAAGAGCCTGTAAAATCAAAAGCAAGTTAGTTACTTCCTAGATACAATGAAGGTACAGGCAATGGGTAAATATACCTGCTCCAAATGGGAGAAACTGCCCAAAACAAAGGGGTTACAGGCCCCATGAAGTCCAAAATCCAATAGGTCAGTCATTAAACCTTAAAGTTCCAAAATGATCCCTTTTGACTCCATTTCTCACATCCAGGTCATGCTGATGCAAGAGGTGGGCTCCCATGGCCTTGGACAGCTCCACCCCTGTGGCTTTGCAGGGTATAGCCCACCTCCCAGCTGCTTTCAAGGCCTGGCATTAAGTGTCTGCAGCTTTTCCAGGTACACGGTGCAAGCTGTCAGTTGATCTACCATTCTGGGGTCTGGAGGATGGTGGCCCCCTTTTCACAGTTTCACTAGGCAGTGCCCCAGTGGGGACTCTGTGTGGGGGCTCCCACCCCACATTTCTCTTCCACACTGCCCTAGCAGAGGTTCTCCATGAGGGCCCTGCCCCTGCCGGAAACTTCTGCCTGGACATCCAGGTATTTCCATACATCCTCTGAAATCTAGGCAGAAGTTCCCAAACCTCAATTCTTGACTTCTGTGCACCCGTAGGCTCAACACCACGTGGAAGCTGCCAAGGCTTGGGGTTTGCACCCTCTGAAGCCACAGTCTGAGCTGTTCCTTGGCCCCTTTTAGCTATGGCTAGACCAGCTAGGACAAAACAGGGCACCAAGTCCCTAGGCTGCACTCAGCAGGGGAGCCCTGGACCTGGCCCAGAAAACCATTTTTCCCTCCTAGGCCTCAGGCCTGTGATGGGTGGTACTGCTGTGAAGGTCTCTGACATGCTCTGGAGATATTTTCCCCATTGTTTTTTGGTGATTAACATTCGGCTCCTTGTTACTTATGCAAATTTCTGCAACAGGCTTGAATTTCTCCCTAGAAAATGCATTTTTCTTTTCTGTTGCCTCATTAGGCTGCAAATTTTCCAAATGTTTATGCTCTGCTTCCTCTTGAATGCTTTGCCACTTAGTAATTTCTTCCGCCAGATATCCTAAATCATCTCTCTCTAGTTCAAAGTTCCACAGATCTCTAGGGCTGTAGCAAAATGCTGCCAGTCTCTTTGCTAAAGTATAACAAGAGTCACCTTTGCTCCAGTTCTCAACAAGTTCCACATCTCCATCTGAAACCACCTCAGCCTAGACTTTATGGTCCATATCACTGTCAGCATTTTGGTCAAGGCCATTCAACAAGTTTCTAGGAAGTTCCAAACTTTCCCACATCTTTCTGTCTTCTGAGCCCTCCAAATCCCTAGGAAGTTCCAAACTTTCCCACATTTTTCTATTTTCTGAGCCCTCCAAACTGTTCCAACCTCTGCTTGTTACCCATTTCCTTTCTTACTCTTCCCCTCTGTATTGAGACTTCATCTCAAAAAAACAAAACAAAAAAACAGTGTGTATCACTTCTCCTTTTGCTCTCTTCCTCCTGCTCCAGCTGGCTTCCCCTTTGCCTTCCACCATGATTGTCCATGCTTCCTGTACAGCCTGTGAAACTGTGAGCCAATTAAGCCTCTTTTCTTTATAAATTACCCAATCTCACGTAGTTCTTTATAGCAATGTGAGAATGGACTAATACAATTAATAAAACATTTCAGAGTCATTTCAGAATCTAACCAATGACTTGGACTTTTCCAGCTTGAGATGCCAGCTTTCCTCTTGCCTCCCCAAGACAATTTTATTTTTGCCATGTCAAAATTTCTTAAACATAGTATCTACCAAGGTACAATAGGAACATTTCCTTGTAGAAAGCATGACCATTTCTTAACTTATAAAAACAAGCTCCATGGCAGAGAGGGATCCCCTCTGAGGCCCCACCACATGGCAGTGGCAGCCTGGGATCCCACTCCCGGGATTAGTGATATTGCTGGAGTCTGTAGATCTGAAACATAAGAATTATCCTGGACAAGCTGTCTTCATAAGAGAGCTCTTAATAAATAAAAATCAGACCAACTTTTCTGGGCTATTACAGAAAAATGAGCAAAAGAAAATAACAACTGAAGGGTAGCAAATATAACACCTCAAAATTTGACACTTTGGCATAAGGAACCTTTCTTTTCTTTTTTATTTTATTTTATTTTTTTTTGAGACCAAATCTTGCTCTGTTGCCCAGGCTGGAGTGCAGTGGCACAATCTCGCCTCACTGCAACCTCCGCCTCCCAGGTTCAAGCGATTCTCCTGCCTTAGCCTCCTAAGTAGCTGGGATTACAGGCATGCACCATCACGTCTGGCTAATTTTTGTATTTTTAGTAGAGACGGGGTTTTCCCATGTTGGTCAGGCTGGTCACGAACTCCTGACCTCAAGTGATCTGCTCGCCTTGGCTTCCCAAAATGCTGAGATTACAGGCGTGAGCCACTGTGCCCGGCCGACATAAGGATTCTTCTGAGATGAAGGCAATTGAGAAGAAGCAGATAGGAGAAAAGCTCTCTGCCCTTCCCCTATTTGCCTAAAAGCAAAACAGATTTACATCAGGGTCCCTCCTCTCGTCTTTACCAAAAAGAGATGACTTTACAGCCTTATCAACCTGAAGATGGCACCAGAGGAATCCACATGACAAACTAGCCTTTATCCACCCTTAGTTTCCTTTCTGTTTATTTGCCTTCCCACAATTTGCCACCCCTAAAGACTGAAGGTCCTTTTCCTTGTCTTGTCACTTCTCTAAAGATGTACTGCTCTTTGTTAAAGGTACTATATACAGCAAAGTTCTCAGCCACCTCTTTGACAGTTACTCTTTCTCTGAGTTTTCTCCCATGTGTATATGAAATATACTTGTTAATCAGCTTCTGTTTGCTTTTAATAATCTGTCTTTTGTTACACAGATCCCAGTTAAAAACTAAGAAGGATAGAAAGAAAAATTATTTTCCTCTCACAGGCAATTACAAGTTTTAAAACTCAAATATAATTTTTTAAGAGAATTTCAAGATCAACTGCTTAAGAAAGAGCAGTATCAATAAAACTCTGGTAGAATTCTCAAGTGTGTTCCTTATAAAAATTGAGTGAATAATATAATTTTAAGTAAAACAAATTGTGTATGCCCTGAACAAGATTAAGAAAAATTAAAAAAAAATGAAACAGTTGATGGAATTTCATGTGTATTTGTACTATAGATTTTTTTCTGGTGTGCAGAGTTATAGGAGAAATCTGAAATTCAACCAGAAAAAAATATTTTAGTAAATTTTTCCTATCTTAGCTAAGATATAGATTATGGGTTTTAATTCTTTTTTAATTCCCAAACTGGGGTACTTCAGACTCAGCTATCTGAACATGAATTATTGAGTAATACAGCAGTGACACAGGGCTCACCCACAAATTGCTAGTTTGATTACAGCTTCCATATTTGCTTTAAAAATCAGGCCGGGCGCAGTGGCTCACCCCTGTAATTCCAGCACTTTGGGAGGCCGAGGCAGGCAGATCACGAGGTCAGGAGTTCGAGACCATCCTGGCCAACATAGTGAAACCCCGTCCCTACTAAAAATACAAAAATTAGCCAGGCATGGTGGCATCACCTGTAGTCCCAGCTACTTGGGAGGCTGAGGCAGGAGAATCGCTTGAACCTGGGAAGCGGAGGTTGCGGTGAGCCGAGACGGTGCCACTGCACTCCAGCCTGGGCAACAGAGTGAGACTCCGTCTCAAAAAAAAAAAACAAAAAAAAAAACCAGTACAAAAATTGAACACACTTTCAAGGTAGCTTTTCCATTATTTAAAATTCAATATGAAAATGTTTATTTTTATTCTAATCACTTAGATCACTTTTAAGTCTAGATTAACTTTTATATATTTAACAGGGCGGTGAATAACTTTACAAGTGGATACAAAACTGTAATTAGAATAAAGGCATTTTCCAGCTTGTTCTCTACAAATGCCAATTTTCACTTGATTTGTCAAAACCAGAGCTAGAAGCTTCCAAAGCGAACTTGGCACCATCTCATCATCTCAGAACACTGAGAACATTGAGGCCCTGCAGCTTTGTCGATGTGGGCTGCGGGAGGGAGAGAGAGACACAGCAGGTGGTGACCACTAATTGGTCACAATGATAAAGTAGGTATTATTATCCCCACTGCAGAGGTGCAGAAAGAGACACAGAAGCATTGGTGTTTTGCCCAGGTTCACACAGCTGGTCAACAGAAATGTCAAGGTTCAAGCACACAGGGGGCCCACCCCAAAGCCCATGCACTTCCTCTCCATTCAGACGCCCTGTTCTCAATACAGAGGGGAAGAGTGAGAAAGCCTGGACTGCCCTCGACAATAACTCTGACTTCTCTGTAAAAATTTCCAATTTCTTCTCAGAAACTCCCTAAGATAATTTTGAAAATATATTCCTTCTGACAGCTAAATGTCATAATAAATGTTTTTATTACCAATTTAAGTAGTTTCAAAGGATGCTATGTCTGGCTATGGTAGATTACTGCAGTAATGGTCCCTAAGGAGTCACACTTCCCTGGATCCATGACCCTGGAGAGTTCCTTCCCAACTGGACACACGGCTTGCTTTTGCCAAGGGTTATGAAAAGGTGAATCAGGAAGAAGCCTGAAAATCACTTGTGTTCTGGGGCTTGCTCCTGCTACTCTTTGGAACCTGCAGTCACCATGTAAGGAAGCCTATGCTAGTCTACCGGTGGAAGAGAGACCACGTGAAGCTCTCCTGGCTGAGGTTCCTAGACCAAGCAGCCTTCCAACTGACACATACGTGAGGCCACAGGGTGTGAGAACATGCAGCCCCAGCTGAGCTGAACCGCCAGCTGACCACGGAGCTCCACCAACCCAGCCAAGTCCAGAACTACCCAGCTAAACCCCCAGATTCATGAACAGCATAAGTGCTTGTTGTATTAAGCCACTAAGCCTTAGGGTGCTTTTGTTACCTAGCAATTGATACACTTACATATTATAAAATTTGATATTTTCAAATAAAACTATTATGTCAGTTTTAATGTATCCAGTGTATCCAAAATCCCAAATCAATTTAATGCTCATCATCCATTCAAAGGATACATTTAAAAACTCAAAAATTTCACATCATTCCTTTTTTCTTTTAGCCCCATTTTCTAATATCCTATTATATCCTATTACCCTATCAAACTTCTCTAGAACAAAGATCTAGATAAATGTCTATGTTAAAAGTTTTGGCATTTCCTATGACCATAAAGCTCCAACTATTTTTTTAAAAAATCACTTATGGATTGTGTTATCACTGCAATTATTATTGGTAGACGATTGACCAATATAAAAATATATCAGCTAGGCACAGTGGCTCATGCCTGTGATCCCAGCACTTTGGGAGGCTAAGGTGGGAAAACTGCTTGAAGCCAGGAGTTCCAGACCAGCTTGGGCAACATACGGAGATCCTGTCTCTACAAAAAATGTAAAAATTAGCCCCAGGGGTCATGGCATGTGTCTGTAGTCTCAGCTGTTCAGGAGGCTGAGGTGGGAGGATCGCCTGAATCCGATTTGAGGCTGCAGTGAGCTATGATTGCGCTCTTGCACTCCAGCCTGGGTGACAGAGCAAGGCCCTGTCCCCCTCCACCGCCAAAAAAAAAAGTGTATGTATATATATATATATATTTTAGTAAAAGGTACCAAGGTTTATTTCAAGTGAATGACACTCCATCCCTACCTTGACTTTCTATCCATTCCCCAAACTAAACAACTCTGTTCCTGGAGCCATTACCACTTTCCCATCTGCTGGAGTTTATATATATATACACAGAGAGAGAGAGAGAGAGTTTATATATGGGTATATATATATATATATATATATATAGAGAGAGAGAGAGAGAGAGAGAGAGAGAGAGAGAGATACATAAAAATATCAAATATAAAGAGTAAAATTTCACTGGAAATAATCTCTTAAATGAAATGGATATTTTTATTTTTCAATTAGTTCATGTATCCAGTCAGTGGATCTTATTTTTAGCTAGACAGAGTTCTGCATCAATTCTATTTCTACTTTTCATTTTTGTAGATGCAAGCACAGAAAAGCCTTGTTTGAAGACTACTGGGAGTGAAAGAAGTTTAATTACGGCAGTTTTATGTGCCACTCAATTCTCTGACCTCTTGAATTATCTGCACCAAATCAGAGATATCATCTATAATTAATGATTTATCACCTGACGACTTGATTAGGTCCTTCTTCAAACTGATTAGGAGCAAATAATTAGAAACCACCTGGCTTACCGAAGGATTAGCTTCCTGGTCGGTGGTGTCATTTACTTTCCGAACACACCACTTCTCTGTGACCATTTGTTTGGTATCCCAGAGGTTCTTCCTCTAAGTACAATCCAGGACAGCTGAGAGGAGTCTCTTTTTTTAATAAAATGGGAGCAAGATGACTGTCAAAAGGGAGGGAGGGAAGAGAATGTGCAGTTTATCACAAGCACATTCCCAAGCAGATCAGTTTTAGGAAAGGGCATTTGACATTGAGTATCTAGATAAGGATTCCCCTTAAACCATCTGCACCCTTGAACCCTTGGAAAGTCACATTTTGGTTCAAGGATCATTGCTCTATTGGGTCTGATGCACCTTACTCCAGCTGGTGGCGAGAAACTCCCTGAGACTTGAAAGGTTAATACGAGACCTGCCAGTCATTGTCTGTTTCCCTAGTTTTCCACAAAAACACATCTTTTATGCAAGGGCTCTTAGTAAAAGGTATCAAGATTTGTTTCAAGTGAATGACACTCCGTCCCTACCTTGACTTTCTGTCCATTCCCCAAACTAAACAACTCTATTCCTGGAGCAATTACCACTTTCCCATCTCCTGGAGTTTAGGAGTGAATTGTAAGATTATGGTCACTTGAGACCTAGTCCTGTGACATCACTGGTCCAACTATTGAGTCTATTCAAACCTTAAAAAAAAAAAAGTCAATAAATCCTTATTCCTCAAAATGGCCATGTCTGTCATATAAAACTGATTTCATCAATATCATAAAAAACTCAACCTTCATTTAAATCTGGAGGCAAGACATCAGACAGCATGTATGAGGTAAGGGAATATTTAAAATCTCTGAAACTTTGAAGGGGAGTTCATGGATGCTCAACTCCTGTCACCAGAAACACCCAATACCCTAAAGACTAACAGTAAAACTGAGTGTGCCTGTAATCCCAGCACTCTGGGAGGTTGAGGCGGGTGGATCACGAGGTCAGGAGATCGAGACCATCCTGGCCAACATGGTGAAACCCTGTCTCTACAAAAAAATTAGCCGGGCGTGGTGGCACATGCCTGTAGTCCCAGCTACTCGGGAGGCTGAGGCAGGGGAATCGCTTGAACCTGGGTGGCAGCGGTTGCAGTGAGCCGAGATCGCCCCATTGCACTCCAGCCTGGCGACAGAGCGAGACTCCATCTCAAAACAAAACAAAAAACTGAGTGTGAACAGAGAAAGGAGGACAGGAGTGGGAGAAGTCCCAGCTCACCAAGCATATCCGGCCCAAATAATCGAAATACAAACTCAGGTGGAAAAGCCATTTCTGTGACAAAGTGGACACACTAGACAGGAAGTAGGATCTTGACATCTCACCAGAAGCCAAACAGGAATACAGCATCTTAGAATTTAGAAATGGCAATCAAGATCTTTAAAATGTATATAAATGTTCCCAAAGCTACCTCTTCAGTATTCCCTCAGGAAGCAACTGGACCAGTGCACAGAAATATCCAATATGGGTGTTCATCATGTTTTCTTAATAACAAAATAAAACCCCTGGAATCCTTCATGCCCATCAGCAGGGAATTGGTTATGTAAATTACGGTGAACTATGACTATTATGATGGATGTGGCCATGACTTACAGTGACGCAGACCTTTTTAGAATGTCAAGAAAATGTCTACAACTTGTATCATTAAGAGTAAAAATCAGGTTAACAAAACTGTATGTTAATAAAATATAAACTCACTTTTAAGTGTGTGTGTGCACACATGCACACCCCATGCATATATTCAACAAACCAATCAAGGACAATCAAATGTTACCATCTTGATTGAAAGTGAGGGGCCTATAATTAACCAACCATTAATGTCTAAAATACAAGGTAATGGCACCACGCGGAACACCCAAGCACAGAGTACAGCAGAACAGAACACAGGACATCCTGTAACCAAATCATTCTTGGGAACAGCCCAGGAAGCCCCAGGTGGTGTTCAAGACAAGAAACTAAGTATCGAAGTTAAAAACGATGAAGCTGGTGCCCAGAAAGCTGAAAGTAATCCCACTAGGGCCTCTTGGGCTAAAAAAATCTAACTTCGGCTTGACCTGGGTATGAAGTATGTTGAAGAACATGGAAAAAAAAATTCTGAAGGATTATGTGATTCCTGAATTTTTAAAAAAATATTAGGGACCCTGGATTTGGGTTTTTTAAAAAAGCGTCACACCTCCCCAACCTGAGGGTAGTTGACTGTACAGAAAGTGCAAGGTGTGCACACATAGTCTAAATCCCTTGTCATTTTTAATCCCAAGGGACTGCCTGTAATCACAGCACTTTGCGAGGCCAAGGCGGGTGGCTCACCTGAGGTCAGATGTTCGAGACCAGGCTGGCCAACGTGGTGAAACCCTGTCTCTACCAAAATATACAAAAATTAGCTGGGCAAGTGATCCTAGCTACTTGGGATGCTGAGGCACGGACAACTGCTTGAACCTGGGAGGCGGAGGTTGCAGTGAGCCGAGATCACACCACTGCACTCCAACCTGGGTGACAGAGTGAGAAGAAAGAGAGAGAGAGAGATAGACAGACAGAGAGAGAGAGAGAGAGAGAAATAAATCCCAAGTGACAACAGCAGAGGATCTACTGCACACAAGTTAGAAGCCGTCAGCCCAGTTCGACAGCAGTGACATGAAGATGTGCGTGACTCACATCTCACTCAGGAACACAGTCGAGGTGGTGGACTCAGTGACAGCAGAAATTGACTTACTGAAACAGTAGAATGTATGGGCTAAAGGTTGCTTCAAGATGTAGAAAGAATAGACCAGAATAAACTCCATTGTCGACGAATGAGGTTTTCTATGCAATGCATTCTATTGGTACATGGTGGAGGCGGAGAGGCATATGACAGGCAGAAGAATGGAAACAAGGTGATCCCAGGAACACGACCTGGGAGGGTTTCTACCCCTGCACTGTTCAGCAGGAGACAGTATCTTGCCAACAGCATCCATACTCCATGTGTTTACAGAAGCCTTACACATTCATGATTTGTGTTCTGAATACTCCTTTTTCCTTCTACCAACAATGACTTCCTTTAGAGAAGCCTAGGGGGATTGTGACACTGCCTTTTTTTTTTTTGAGATGGAGTTTTACTCTGTTGCCCAGGCTGGAGTGCAGTGCGGCACGGCAATCTCAGTTCACTGCAGCCCCACCTCCCGGGTTCAAGTGATTCTTCTGCCTCAGCCTCCCAAGTTGCTGGGATTACAGATGTGTGCCACCACGCCTGGCTAATTTTTGTATTTTTAGTAAAGGTGGGATTTCACCACATTGGCCAGGCTGATCTCGAACTCCTGACCTCAAGTGATCCACCCGCCTCGGCCCCCCAAAGTGCTGGGATTACAGGTGCGAGCCACAGCACCGGCCATGACACTGCAATTTTGATCTCACACATTCTCTACGTAAGTGGCTGAATATTTTGAGTATTTCTTTCTCTCCTTGTATTTTCATGACTTCCCCCCAACCTGCTCAACACCTCCCTTCTAAGGCAACTGTCACAGGGATTCCCTATCCCAGAATAGGTTTGCATCAAAAAGCAGAACTGCCTATAAAACTTGGGTATCAACAAAAAATTTGCAAAAAGACACAAGGTAAGGGCTCCCCACTGCAACCCAGCTTCACTGTCCTCATCCCCATAACCACACACACACAGAAAAGGCAATAGCCAGCAGGGCACGATGGCTCATGCCTGTAATCCCAGCACTTCGGGAGGCTGAGGTGGGTGGATCACGAGGTCAGGCATTCGAGACCAGCCTGACCAACATAGTGAAACCTTGTCTCTACTAAAAATACAAAAAAATTAGCCAGGCGTGGTGGCGGGCGACTATAATCCCATCTACTCGGGAGGCTGAGGCAGGAGAATCCCTTGAACCTGGGAGGCGGAGGTTGCAGTGAGCCGAGATCACGCCACTGCACTCCACCCTGGGTGACAGTGTGAGACTCCCTCTCAAAAAAAAAAAAAAAAAAAGGCAATAGCCCCTGGCTGGGGATACAGTCAGGAGAGCTCTGTGGAAGGGGAGGGACCAGAACTTGGGGGAGGCATCCTGGCAACGTCCCAGAGAGGAGACAGAACACCGGGGACCAGGCTGCAGAAGAATCCTGGGTGAGCAAAAGGATACACTAGAGAGCCCACCATCACGCGTGAAGGAGCTCGTGGATGGATGAGGACACTGGTCACTGCTACAGTTATCTTTGCAGAAGGAAGCACCCCGCCCCCAAACCTTAAGAACTGAAAGGGAGAGGAAAACTGAGGATGTTTTCTGCCAGCCTGGTGGGAGGGAGATGAGCCTGAAAATAAATGAAAACTAGTGGGGAAAGGCATGATTGTTCCTCTATAGTTGACTTTGAGCACTCATTTCCTCTGCACACACAGGCTCAGCTATTGGTGAGGAAAGCAGCCCAAACTGCTAAATCTCATTTACACCAGAGTACAAACTGCTGGAATAACTTCATGGAGCAGGTGTTAAAGCTGGCTTCAGTCATCCCCCAAGTCGGATGCACTGGCTACAGAGAGACATCTTGTGTCTTAAAGATGTACATATTGCTGCTGTAATGCCTGAATATATTTAAAATAAAGAGGAATGTGCTCCAAATCACTGCTCAACATCAGAATGTTTGGAGGCTACCAAACGAATGTGACTCAAACATGAACATGGATGAGTCATCAGAGGATCCTGTTAAGATGGAAGTTCTGGTTTAGTGCCTCTGGGTGGGGCCCAAGTTTCTGCATTTTTCTTTTCTGAGACAGGGTCTCTGTTTCCCAGGCGGGAGTGCAACAGTATGATCACAGTTCACTGCAAGCCTCAAATTCCTGAGCTCACCTCCCACCTCAGCCTCCTGAGTAGCTGGGACTAAAGGTGTGAACCACCACGACTAGCTAAGTATTTTATTTTTCGTAGAGATGGGGGTCTCACTATGTTGCCCAGGCTGGTCTCGAACTTCTAGCCTCAAGTGCTCCTCCTGCCTCCCAGTTTTCTGCACTTCCAACAAGCTCCCAGTGACACCGACGCTGCTGGTGTCAGGACCTCCACTGTGAGGAGCAAGTAGCTACACCACAGGGCTCCCCATGCGCCAGGGAGAGGCTCTTCTAGTGACAGGAGACAATCTTTTCACTGAGGGCAGGGATGGATGGGGTAACATTGATGGGTAAGGTTTGTAAGGGACTCGAGAGGCTCAGATCTGGGGACTCTGACAGGAAGAGAAAGGCAGCCCAAGACTGTATTTACCTTGTTTGGTGATTCTGTGAAAGACTCAGGCAGCAGGCCCCCGGTGATAAAATGTGGAGTGATTCAAGAGCTCAGTCAGGCCAGTCAGAGCTCTGCACTTCACCCCAATATTTTCACAGGAACCCCCCCAGCCTGCTCCCATCGGGATAGGCAGGAGACTGGAAAAGAAACAGTGCCCAGTAGGGGCAACGTTAGGTCAAGATGCCATGCAACTGTAATGCACCTTTTGTTGTTGTTAAAACTTCAAGCGCTACAACAGCGTTCTCCTGATGATCACGAGTTATTTCAATAAATGGCATTCCCAGGAATCTTCTCCCACGGCCGCTCTCCCGCCAACAATTCATACTCATCCTCCCATCCAAAAAGGCATAGAACCGCCCAGACACTTTTCGTTATTTTTATTGTTTGACAAGCATTTACAACGTTCCATTCATAGACCTAAAAACATAAAAATAGACCTTCTTTCAGCTTATAAAAGAAATATATAAGAACTTTTGACATAGACACGTCATGACCTTATGTACAAGAGACAATGGCACCCTCTCCAAGCACCAGACTTCCGAGTGTTTTCAGATGGATGTGTTGCACTGGAGCCAGTAAATGCGACGATTAGAAGCCTCTGCTTCCGTTTTCCATCTGGACGCGATCGAACCGGAGATGATATGGAAAAATGCAGTGATACAAAGGGTATAGAAACCATTCTAAAGCTTTTTCAGAAAACCAGAAGATATAGCAAAAATTTAATAGAATAAAACTTTCAAAAGATCAAGCTCGAAGCCCTGGAAACCCGAAAGGCGGGGGGAATACAGGGTGGGAACGCAGGAAAAGCAGGCAGAGGCACAAGAGCATGATGTACTGAACTCTCTATTGTCTGGAAATATAAAGTCATAACTGATTTTTATAAAATATAACTCCTAAAGCTACTATAAAATTCAGGTCTTTAAAGTACCTACTGATGTGTCAAACACCAAATAGATATTTTCCCCAAAAAGAAAGTTTTCATAGTATTTTAAACCCTTCTTAGGAAGTGGACATTGTGACATGGGAAAAGAAAAAGCTATAAACCTTTTTTTAAAAAAAAAAAAAAAATTGAAAGTGCTATAACTTGTTTTTCTTCTTAGTATTTGGATATCTGTTTAGACTGTTAATGTTTTGAGCATGTTTACCCTGTTTCGTTGGCATGAAGAAAGTGTTAAACACAAGAGAAGTTTTTAAAGAGGTTGTTCTGTTTAAAGGTTTGGTTATGGACTGTCAGGGAAGGGGAAGGTAATCTATGGATGAAGATGCAATTTTGATGGAAAAACCAATGATCACCATGGCAACCCCATGAGAAGGAGGCTCCCCTCCCTGCCATGTGCAACAGACACACACACCGCCCACCGGGGTGTCATGTTTAATCCAACCAAACTCCCATCTCAAATATAGATTCAAACATTAAAAAAAAAAAATCCGCTTTTTGGAAGAAAAGTATATCCTTCGCATGAGCTTGCTGGCCTTTCATATATAAATATAAAACCACCACGCCTCACTCTCTCTGTAAAAGGTTATATCCTCATTTTTTAGGCTCAGGGATACATACACTAACACTGTAAAATTCTCATCTATTTGTGCCCCTGTATCTCAGGTAAAATACAAAAAATAGTGTTTCTTTTCTTTCTCTCAAGCGATAAATTTGGATCTCTTTTCAAAGAGTTTGGCATCTCTATAATTCTATGCAAAACTAGAGCTTCCGAACATGGACACAGAGTAAGACCAGCCATAGACCAAAACAGGAAGGAAAAAAAAAAAGAGGCTCATTGAAACATGAATCGCCACCCTCTCCTCACACATTCTTAAAATACACGGAGATTCTCAGACATGGAAGAGGGAAGGGTACAGTCAGAACACGGCAAGCTGTACACATTTCATTTTGTGTGTGAAAGAGGTTTCCCCAGCTAGGAGACTGATTTCAGATAGAAGGATCGTGTGTGTGCTACTATCCCTTAAATTAATCTGTTGTACATCCGTTAACTCCTGGGGTGATTTGCTTTCCAGTGCTATAGAATCTTTTTTCTTTTAATTGTTCAGGCCCTGATTTATTGAGAATAAATAAAAGCCCTTAGTAATATACAGAAGATAGGACTCAAGCTTATTTGGGATTCTGATCAATTCTTTCTGATGTTGTTGAAAATGACAAAGTTGGGTGGCTACATGGCTTCAGAACCAAGTCAGCTGCCAAAACCGTGTGTGCAAGAGCGCGACCTAAGGGGACATTCTTGTCGACGGTACAGGAGGGTGGGCAGAGTTAGGGCAGGAAGTATCTACACACATTCTCTACGGGGCAGGTGACGCAGTCAGATCTCAGTGTTCAGTTTCCTGGAGGGGGCAAAGTCTTCACGCCTAACCCAAATGACTTCCTCGCTTGCGCTCTCCAGGCCTCCATTGATCCCCGACAGGGCAGCTTGCTTCTTGAGCTGTGCCATGCGGGACGCGTGACTATCCAGGGTTTTCCGGCCTCTTTCCCGCTGACTGATGGAGGTGGCCTGAAGCCGCTCCTGCAGGTCTCTGTCCACTGAGGCACCCTTCACGGACTCACAGAACTCATCATCGTCACTGAGGATGTCTGTCTCCTTGATGTCATCTTGCTCCTCATACTGAGCAAGATCAAACTGCTCCTCTACCCATCGGTCAGTGTCCCCACCACCGGGGGGCTGCTGGGACTCTTTCTCCGGGCTGCTTGCGGAGACGGCATCAGAATCAATGGTAAACCTGTTTCGAGCCAGCCGCCGCCTCCTCCTCCCAAGAGACTTGCTTGGGGCAGACACTGCACACACACACAAAAATATAAAAATAAAACCCCCACATGCTTTACGTGAGATGAAAATCCAGAAAGCAAAGGACAGGAGAAAATAAAAACCAAAACGGTATGCATTGAATGCCTTGATGTCTTTTGGGGCTTAAAGTCTACATATCACCAATCTGTCATGGAGCATTTACCTTGTCGAGGTATCTGGACTTAGAGGATGTTCTAGCAACTGATGCAAGGGCAAGGGGGAACCGGGGCACACAGGAGAGGTTGTAGGTTATGGGCAAAGGGGCACTCAACTCCCTCTGAAATAATCTACTGTTCTAGCCTGTGCACCTAAGAGATGGGTAACACAGACAGCAGCTGCTCTCAAGTAGACAGACCACTGATTTGGGGATCAGTTAGTGAGTTAGTGTCCTCAATCCTGGCCATGTCCCATGGCCCAGTGCTATGAAGATCCCCAGGGCTGTCCCAGGGTTGTTTAGCTGGAATAGGTCTTTAGTAAGGGTGGGGGTGCATCTATGGTTTTGCTGTCTTTGTAGAATGTGCATCAAGGAGGCAGAAGCACCAGTGTAAGTTACTTGTTTTCTGGGAACTGGAACATAACATTTCTTGGGATCTGCAGTTAGATTAAGGGCACCACGTCACTCTTAGAGAGCCTATGAAAAAGAGTGGCTCTCAAAGACATGGGATCTTCAGTTATTTCCCTGTCTTCTTTCTGACAAAGTCCCACATGAGCTAGGAAGCTAAGCAAATGTGTGCCTTAGTCTCCCCCAATTACAGTCTGTGTATCACTCATTCTTCTCCAAAGCAATTAACATATCAGTGCCTCATTGGAATGAGAAATAAAAAACCGATGACATCCAAGCAGTTTGATCAACAAAGTGCTGTATAAAGTGACTACCAGTTAAGAAAAATTCATTCTTTCACCTACTGCCCTCTAGGAAGCCAGAATTAAAAACAAGCAAACAAAAGACACCATCCGATCAAGCCAACAATCCCACCACACACATACACGAGACTGCTCACAGGGAAGGCTTCTGCTTCTCCCTCGAGAGTGAAGCGGTTGTTGCATTAGACACGAAAAGGTGAAATGCAACACGGGCTTTCCAGTGGAGGGGAAGAGTCTCAACGCCAACTGGGAGCTGCTTTCCTGAAACCTAAGCCCCAGAACCATCCAATTGCTTCAGTGCTGCTAGAAGATGCCTCGTGTCTCAATTACTGCCAAATGCAGCCTTGACTTCGAACCCAGCAGGCACAGGGTTAGAGTGGTCAACGAGGGGCTGAATTGGCTCTCATGGCAGCCATCCTCTGCTTCAGACCCCTGCGTGTCCATCACTATTCCTGAGTGTTCCGCCATCTAAAACTGTGGAACAAATGGACACTACTGTTGGTTGAGGATGGGAATAAAAGCCATTTCCAGGCAAAATGGAAAAAGGGAATAGAAAATAGGAAAAAAAACAAACAAACTCTGACTTCTATTGAGAAGAGACAAAAATTCTTGTTCACTTTTATCTCAGCACCAGCAAAATACAGCATCCCTCTCTCCAATCACCACATTAGAACTACCCCAACTCAAAGCTACTGGAAATATTTGTTAATGATTTGCATGCTGAAGTATCTAGGAGTAAAGTGTGTTAATGTCTACATCTTTGAAATATGTCAAAAATAAGATGAGGTGATGGATGACAGATGGATTCTAACAGATGAGTGATAATGAGAATATAGAAAAACATTATAGAATATAGATGGTAGGTATGAATTCTTTCAGCTCTTCTATAAGTTTAAACATTTTCATAAGAAAATAGATAGAACAAAGAAAAAAATTTTTAATTGGGTTATTGGCAAACGTATAGTACTTTAGGCTGAATATGGAAGCAGAGTATTTGGCTTTACTATCCTAGCCAAACAGAACAGAGGGAGAAATAAACTACCTGAGTATTCAAGACAAAGCAAAATGAAGCATGAGTATCTGTTCCTAGTATGCTTAAGAACCCGGCTACCATTATTGGGTTCTTCCCAGTCTTTCAGGGATGCAATCTTTGACTATTTCCAGTGGTCACTGTTAAGACTGACCAGCTATGCTGTGCTGATCTACTCAGGCACCATTTTAAAATCCTCTGACATGAAGATTCTGAGGATAGTGAGATGCCTCCAAACAAAGTGATACAGACTTTCTTCAGCCAAAAATGAGCCATCAGGCAGAAAGATCTTTCAATCAGCTAAATCCAACAGGCTATGACATCAAGGCTTTCTCTTGGTAATCATGACGGACGATGGTGTTAAATTGTGGGCTGGTTTTGTTTTCTTTCCAAATGGATCTCAGCAGGAAAACTTCTGAGTGACAGACTAACCATGCTTAGTTTCAAAGTAAATGCAGCTCTGAATTTAGGTTCATTGATTAACAACTGAAACAGGTTGAGTTCCCTGAGGTTGAGACACATATTCCCAAACCTTTTTAAACATTTCCCTAGCAAACAAGAGGGGCAGATAAGACAAATCCAAGATAAAAATCTCTAAAGTGAGTTATAAAGGACCAATAAACTATTCTTCCATGGCGACCCCATGCGAAACTGCGCATATGGACGTATGAAAGACTCTTAGGATACATCAGAAAACTCAGCAAAGTGCTGGGTGTTCACTGCACTAAGTTTTCAACAAACATTTATCAATTGATTGGAGAAGAGGTTTACAGTAACTAGTCCCCTAAATTAAATTTAAGGTGCTTGAAGAATGTAATATCCCATGTCAAGCCAGGTAGGTTTTGTCTATGAAAACCTTCAAGCATTCACACTTCTGTCCATCCCTCTTCAATAGGTAGGATGGTAATGGGTACAAAGGCCAGAAACTTTTCTGGCAAGTGCAAAGGGGGCCTTCTTTTAATGAAATCCTCCCTGCAAAATTCTGGGCTGCCTCTTAAGAAAGGTTTGATAAAAATGTTAGTATCTTGATGTCATTAAGTCCCTAAGTATTAAAACAGCCTTCTTCCTAGATACATTTTGCTACCATTGACAGGTGGCAGTATTTATTTTATTTCTCTATTGCTCCACTGTAATGGATTAAGTCCTACAAGAATATTTATGCTGGGACCATTTAAACTCTAGATTCTTGTTTCCAAGAATAGCTCGAGGCTTCCCCAAATTAACATGGAGACTAAAAATAAAGTTGCAGGCACAAGGTCAGGATAAAAACTGGAAGTGCCATGTGGGCTACCAAACCTAGAATCCTTACTACTGAGAGCAGGCATTGCTGTGCTGCCAGGCCGTGAAGCCACCATGTTCTCAGAACAGAGGGCTGTGACCTTGCTGAAATGTGACACACGGCTTTCTGCTAGACAAAGCTGGCTGTCATGCAAAGCAGCGACTCTCATTCTGCAAGCAGGCTGAGACAGCCTCTCCAGAAAGAGGATGTGTCTGCAACCCGACTTGGCAAATGAGGGAGGAGCTCACCAGCCAAAAGGAGAAGGGAGGCAAAGGGAAGGCTTGAGGGAGGACAAGAGGAATGTAGATACAGGGCGGATCCCCAGGAGCCACTGGGAAGGAGGCAAGGGCAAGGAACCTCACACCAGGGAAAAACCGTCCTCCTACATCAGCCCCCACCAGGCCACACCTCACCCCCACTCAACAAGGAGGTCAAGCTCACTGGAGTTCTACTGCGGAGTGGGGGTGACGGGAATCTTGAACGTCCGAATCCCCACAGTACCTGCCCTGCTCATGGCCGGCCTGGCCCCCTTCAGTGCACACAATCTTTTGCCTCCAAAAGGGACATATTGCTGGGATGAGGGAAGGCTCTCGGTTTTGAGGAGCTGTCTTCTGTGCTTATCACGCAGGATTGAATGCACAGCCTTTAGGAAATCCTTTCGGCTCTCTGGGGAGCTAGGAAAAGAAGATTTACAGATGTTAGAGAATCAGGGCTTAACACATGGGGAACTTCTAAGGTTATCAGGTGCAACCAAATAAATATCCCTTAGGGCCAAAGGCTAAAGACTGAGGCCTTGACTCCAATTTCTATGCTGAGCGGTGATTTCACGCCAGTGATAAAGAGCACATAACTCCTTTCCCTTCATGCTTTGTGATCTATCTCCTGGCGCTGATGTGGGGCAGAGTAGCCCATTAACGAACAGATCTATGGACAGTGGGAGTTTGTACCAAGAAGCTGCCAAATTCTGCTCCTGGCACTCAAGGCAGAGTTTTTCATTATAAAATGTTTTTGAGGGCAAATGAACCACAAGATTCTTGCGGCTCTGCAGAGCACCCAAAGGCCGACGTCTCAACGTCCTAATGTCCTCTAGAGCTGAGCTCCCTCCTGGTAAATATCAATGGTTCCCATGACACATTTCAACATGTATATATTAAGGCTGTAAAGAACTATAAAATCTTCCCAAGTCCTAATTCTCATGGTTAAAAAAAAAAAAAAAAAGTGCTTCCTAGGAAGAGTTATTTTTCTTATTATATTCCCAATATTTTTACCCAGGTAAGTTTTACCTGGTATTCCCTATTAACAATAAATACGGCATCCGTGTAGGCAGGGCTACTAAACCCCATGGACCTTACCAACAAAATCACAAACAGATGAGCCAAAATAGACGGTAAAGGTGGTGCTCAAACCCCACGAGGTTATACAAACAACATTTCACTTATAGTCCTGACAGCTTCCCGGGGATCTGCCTTTTGTTGACCTCTGTCACCCAACACAGAGAGATCTGATGTAGCAACACAAAACATGGGTTTTGAGGTTAAACCCACCATTTATTTTCTTTTTCTTTCTTTTTTTGACACAGAGTCTCGCTCTGTCGCCCAGGCTGGAGTGCAGTGGTATGATCTTGGCTCATTGCAACCTCCACCTCCCAGGTTCAAGTGATTGTCCTGCCTCAGCCTCCCAACTAGCTGGGATTAAAGGCACCTGCCACCAGGCATGGCTAACTTTTGTATTTTTAGTGGAGACGGGGCTTTGCCATGTTGGCCAGGCTGGCCTCGAACTCCTGACCTCAAGTGATCCGCCTGCCTTGGCCTCCCAAAGTGCTGGGATTACAGGCATGAGCCACCATGCCCAGCACCAGTGTTCATTCTCTATAAGGCCTTAGGCTAAGTACCATCTCTAAGCCTTGCTTCCCCATTTGTAAACTGGAGTAAGAATTGTATTAGGTTGGTGCAAAAAATAATTGCAGTTTTTGCCATTAAAAGTAATGGCACTTTTAATTACTTTTAATGGTAAAAACTGCAGTTTCTTTTTGTACCAACCTAATACCTTGGTCTGACTAAATGAAATAATGAATGTAAGGTGTTTAGCATAGTTCATGCTTGGTAAAGGTACCTTCTTACCATACTAACATTATAAAATATTGCTAATAATCATAATATTGATTCTATTGTCTTTTGTAGGTAATCCATAGTATATTAGTACTCACTGTGTGAGGTACTGGGTAATTACTGAGTAAATCACTGAGTATCTACGATTAAATTAAAGTTAGCCAGACGTGGTGCTCACGCCTGTAATCCAAGCACTGTGGCAGGCCGAGGCAGGCAGACCACGATGTCAGGAGATCGAGACCATCCTGGCTAACATGGTGAAACCCCGTCTCTATAAAAATACAAAAAATTAGCTGGGCATGGTGGCACATGCCTGTAGTCCCAGCCACTCGGGAGGCTGAGGCAGCAGAATGGCATGAACCCAGGAGGCAGAGGTTGCAGTGAGCCGAGATCATGCCACTGCACTCCAGCCTGGGCGACAGAGCAAGGCTCTGTTTCAATAAATAAATAAATAAATATATATATAAATAAAAGCATGATTCAATACGGGCACATTTAAAGCCAAATATATTAAACGCCATCTGTTGGAGTCATCTATCTTGTATTTTTAGAAAAATAAAAGAATAGGTTTCATATGGGAGAAGACCTCAAATTCTCATGGCGGAGGGAGAGAATACAAGGAAGGGCAAAAGAGGGTGGCAGGGTAGAAGAAAAACAACAAGAAATAAGTAGAAGCCCACATCATGAGCCCAGCTTCCCCTCAAGACGTGCAGGTGATCAACACAGGCTGACCTCCATATGTGCTCCAAATGATCAGGAATCCCGATAACACCTTCACAAGCTGTCAGCTCCTCCCAGCTGACTCTCCATTTACTGCATCTCAGTGATGTTACAGTACAAACAACGTACCAAACACCAGAACACAACGTAAGACACCAAACCGTTCCAATCTGCAGAAATGTCAACACGGCCTCGACTTTACAGGCCCAGGCTCACCTGCAGCACAAGTGAAAGACCCTCTCCGGCCTCCCTTCAGACTCGGATTTTACATGGACAATTTCACACACGGCATTTGCCTCTGCATCTAAAGAAATTAAAACAACAATGAATCAGGGTATGTTTCAAGTGGATTTATTTACATGTTTGCAAAAGCATTTTTCAGCTGTGATAGAGGATTAATAATGCAGAACACTGTATAAGATCAAAGATATTTTCCTACTATTTCACAATCTAAAGAGATGAAGCGACTGAAAGCTTAATGGATGCAAAGAAGAGAACACTTGGAAAATTTCCAGTTGGTAAAATCTTCTAGATGGTCTAAAAGGTCAATCATATGGACCGAACTTTTTTTTTTTTTTTTTCTTTTTTGAGATGGAGTCTCATTCTGTCATCCAGGCCGGAGTGCGGTGGTGTGATCTCAGCTCACTGCAACCTCTGCCTCCCGGGTTCAAGTGATTCTCCTGCCTCAGCTTCCTGAGTAGCAGGGATTACAGATGTGCACCCCACGCCCGGCTAATTTTTGTATTTTTGGTAGAGACAGGGTTTCACCATGTTGGTTAGGCTGGTCTCGAACTCCTGATCTCATGATCCACCCGCCTCGGCCTCCCAAAGTGCTGGGATTACAAGCGTGAGCCACCGCGCCCGGCCTGAACTCACTCTTCCAGCCATGCAGTCTGGTTAACTGAACTGTGCATTTCAATTAAATGATTAATTGTTTTGGCAACAGTTGGACTCAGTGGAGCCAAAGCCTCCTATGCAGATTTCATCCGGCCAGGGATACGACAGGTAAGCCTTTGCTGTCTGTTAAGGGAGGCTTCCCCCAGGTGGCTGGGCCTAAAGCCCTGGAGACCTAATTGGGTTTCTCGTCCCCAGCCTACCCCTGGAGTCTGCTTTGAACACAGCAGAAAATGGTATATCAAGAAGGTAAGGGACAATTTTAAAATAATTTTGAAGCTCTGTAGTGCCTATAATAGCACAGTACTTTAAGTCATGAATAAAGTGTTTGTGAAAGGAACAATTCACTGCAGACATTCAGGCCATACATTGTGAAGTCTCACTTTTATCCAGTGGTTCAGAACCCTGGTCACAAACCCTCACTGTGGTTGCATGATTTAACCCTAACCAGAATCTATCTGCAAAAAATTGTACAAACTTTCCAAACTAAAATAAAAACCTAGAAATTCCACGTTGTGATTCTCAAATCCACTAGAGTGGATTTCATAATGAAAGACATCTTGACTAGCCTTTATAACTCAACTAAAATAAGCTTTTATCTTGATGGTTTTAAACTTGACTTGAATGAAAAATAGAGAGTGAGAATGGAATGTCGTATTACAAAGATGGCTTTGTCTTCAAAATTTGAAGTTTTTATGTGTTTACTCCTCAACGCAGGCGAAATTCCTGGCTTAGAAGCTGTCAGTTTGCTACAGAAATAAACTTTCCCATTTGTAAACCTGGCATGAGGAAACAAAGGAACTAGATAATTCATAACCTACGATTCTAAGTAAGACTTTAGTATTTAAGTGCTCAAACCTCAAAATGCTATGTATTGCTGCCCTAGACTCACAACTTACAGGTGCCTGCAAATTCATATATAAATCAATTTTGCAAATCACATCATAAGTAAAAGGGCATCCGGCAAATCTCTACTGGAAGCTTAGAGAGAAACCTTCTAAAACAAATAATCATTCCAAATATATTTGCCCTACATGGTTTTTGCATTTGAGTTTTCCTACTGTAAGGCAGAAAAACTGTGAAGGAAGAGATGCCTCATTTAATTTGGAAGAGTAACTCAAAGTGTGCAAAATATGGCAAGAGGGTTCTCCTCATGACGTTGGACTAGGGTGGGTTGGTTTTCTGAGGATCAGATCCAGTTTTACTGCTTATGACAAGTGGAAACAAGGAGGCTAAAAAACAGAAATTGGATAGTAGGAACTTGTAGATGCCAAAAGCATAAAATAGAAATTCTCTTGATCATGCACCTGCAGGTCTCTACCACCAAGGCTTTTCTTTACCAAAGCTGCACCTGCTGTCCAAGTGGGACAGGGAACAGATGTGGCTAAAGAGTTTCCATTTGACTCTCCAGAGATGCTCATTCCAGGATGTGCCTGGGAGAGCCACACAGTCCATTCCTCCTCTTGAGAACTTGGCTTCAAATTAGGCCCAGGATGGGGAGCTTCTGGGTCACAGAAATATCACTTTTCTTAGTCAGTACCCCTGCTACTCATGTGTTTCAAGCATCGTCTAATTATATTATGAAGTATACTTATAGCTACCCAACAACTCACTTCACTGCTATGTGGATCACAGAAAAAGAATCAACATTTCAGGTTGGGCATGGCAGCTCACGTCTGTAATCCCAACACTTTGGGAGGCCAAGGCGGGAGGCTTGCTTGAGCCCAGGAGTTCAAGCCTAGCCTGGGCAAAATAGCAAAACCCTATTTCTACAAAATATTTAAAAAATTAGCTGGTTGTGCTGGCACATGCCTGTAGTCCCAGGTACTTGGAAAAGATAGCTTGAGCCTAGAAATTTGAGGCTACAGTGAGCTATGATAGCACCACTGCTCTCCAGCCTGAGCAATGGAATGAGACCCCATCTTTAAAAAAATTAAAATCAATGTAAAAAAGAATCAACATTTTAAAAGCCTTCACACTAACAGCAAAGATAAAGATTTGTAATACTTTAGGGAAAAAACATGTGTAGTCAATGCTTTTTAGTGCTTTTGGTGGTATTTTTGGATCTCTCAGTTGAAAGGCAAGTGAGTAGTTTATGTGGGCTTTGTTTGCTCAGTCTCAAGGATTCTTTCAAGAAGCACAGGCTCACTGTACTCAGGTGGTAGTCACTATAGTATTAATCTATAGAATAGAATAACTAGAATCTTTTCCAGGAATTTTGAAGACATTACACATCCATTCACTCAGTTCATTCATTCACTTGGTTCATTCATTCATTCATTCAATATTTAATCAATGGCTGGGTAAATAAGAGGCAATAGAGAGACCGAGAGACAAGAGAGTTAAGCATAGGGAAAAAAAAAAAAAAAAGACGGTAGAAGAGTTAGACCAAGAGTGTGGATTCAAACAAATAATTCCTACACACATCAGAAATATGTGTGTGAAATACCCAGCACAGGTGAGAGTTTACCTGCACTCGCCAAAGCTCGAACCTGCAGCGCTTCCGTGGGGATCATGTGTCGAAATCTGAAGGGGTCCCAGTCCTCATAAATGGAAAGCCTGTGAGATCCTACCTGCAGAGGAGAAGGAACCAGCTGCATAAGAAGAATCTAACCTGCCCCGGACCAGTTCCCTGCATTTTCTAAACCAGCGACAGACTCTCACGCAGTAACTCTAGGCGTGCCCAAAGGATCTTCACCCCCATGAGCTCCTGTCCATCCAGCAGGAAGTGAGAGGCTGCGTGATAAATACGTTGAGGGGAGGGTGTGCAAAGAAGTTTGCTAAGCAAATGCAGTGAAGAGAGACACACAGAGAAGAGGAGAAAAAGGATCCCAAAAGAAGAACAGGGGCAACAGAGAAGGGGAAAAGTAGCGTTAGGAAGGTTCTGGGCCATGGCAGACCCAATCACCAATTGAGTCCAGTTGGTTCCAATTCACAAAAATGAGACCAATTCATGTTTGTGCTCTAAACATAAGCCTGCCTGAAAAGATGGCAGGATGAGTGATCTCAAGCATCCTTAGCAATGCTTAAGAAAGAAAAAAGATCATAAAAAGGCTCATACTGACAAAATGGTAGAATTATGCAGGCATAACTGATAAGCAGATAGAGAAATAGTTTCAAACCATGGGGTAACATAAGATGTCTTACAAGTTTCTTCTTCTGTTTGGAACCATCTTTATACACAAGGACCACAGCAGTTTTGAAGACTGGAAAAAATAAAATAAAGACAGTTATGGTATGTCATGTGTAGGGTTTTCCCCTTGACATCACCAACTTGTGGTAATAAACACTACAGTTATGAAGAGGACGTTGAGATCCCAGTTAACTGACTCCCACCCACCTTCCATTCATTCATCACATCTGTGAAAATCAAAAGCCTATTGAGACACAAGTTTCCAGGTTCAAAATAAACATAGAAAGCCTACATAAATGGAATTAACCTATGGCCCAAAAAACTTTTGCGTAAAATATGTTAGGTATGATACAATTTCAAGGTTAAAACTTCAGCTGATACATATTCAACAAAAATGTACTAATTCAGTAGATGGAGGAATAATATAAACGTCTTTCACAATAACAATGCAATTGCTGAAGATGATTTACATTTATGCAAATTAAGGTAATAGTGCACATAGACAGTGATAATTTAGGAAATATAACTCATCTTTTGACCTAAAGAAACAAAAATGAGTTTATGAAATAGAATTCAACTGTATGTCTTCCAGAATGACTGAATCAGGTAAGCTCTCTAGGAGTGGTAAACATGTAGTTTCATTCTTATATTCTTTCGGGGGTGGGGAGATACAATGGAGTTATGCATAATCTTCCAGAGAATTTGTTAAGCAATGCCAAGCACATTTAACCTGCAGTGATTCTGATTCTTCCTAGAAGGGTAAGTAGAGTTGGCACCCAGAAGGAATAGAAGGGTGACTGACTCCTGCCTGTCCTTTGTTCTCTGTGTCAGCGTCTCTGCTATGGTCCAAATGTTTGTGTTTCCCCAAAATTCATACCTTGAAACTAATCACCCTTGTGATGGTTTCAGGAGGTGGGCCTTTGAGAAGTGATCAGGCCCTGAGGACTCTGTCCTCATGAATGGGATGAGTGTCCTTATAAGAGACTTGAGAGAGATGCCTTGACCCTTTCGCCATATGAAGCCACAGCTAGGAAGTAGGAGAAAGCAGGATCTTGGACTTCCAGCCTCCACAACTGTGAGAAATAAATCTCTGTTGTTTGGAAGCTGGCCACTTTATGGTATTTTGTTATAGCAGCCCAAATGGACTAAGATAGTCTCCATTATCCCTTCATACTGACCCCAAGGAATAGCCCAGTCACACAGCGGCTGAAGGAGGCACAGCCTTGTACACCAGACACAGAATTACAAAAGGAACAAACATTCAGAGAATTCTCAGGGATGGGCCACCAGGCTCACAGGCCCTTTGGAGGCCAACTGGAAGTATCTGGTTCAATTTCTATCCTACGGAGGGCAGGTCGGTCTTGTCTCCTCTTTGTGTAAGATCATGCTAATCTCCACTGCAGGGAAATAAGCGCTGAGATGCAAAGAAACTGACTCCAGCCACTCGGTCTAGACTGCCCATAGCCCTTCACACCTCACAGCATCTGACCCCTCAAGGTTCCCAGAGCACAGACTGGCAGGTTCCCCACAAAGGTTCACACTGACCCGAGGAGGCCACACCAGCTCTTCACAGCAGCTGAGCACAAGCAACCTGAGAAGGCCTTTTATTCCCACTATGAAGCCTTCAGAAATCAGAGAGGCTGGGACAGCTAGGTCCTCTTAGAAATGAAAGAGCTCTACCCCAATGACTCTAATCTCAGAAGCGCCACCATGCCACTGGGACCACAGCTCAATGCTATGATTCCCTCGATTTCCCTCAATCTTAACCATTGTGGATCACAGCAGGAGGGCCAGAAAGTGAGCTTCAGCCTGGCACCGGGACCTCAGCCTCTCCCTTAAACTTTCCCTAATCCTCGGAGCTAGTGTTACTCAAGTGACTCCACAGTGTTGCCCGATCCCTTCAGACATGGCCTTGATGATCTCCAAAACTCATGCTACCTTTGCCAGCCTAAAGCATCCACTCTGTGCCCCAAAACGTGAATGTCAAATACCCTTCAAGGCAGAAGGCTATTTCTATTTTTGTTTGTTTCTGTTTAAGGCAACAATCACCAACATTTGGTACACATGAGCCATCCTGTGAAACATCAAGGCGCTTCGTTGGCAGCAAGTCAACTTCGGTTTCAGAAGAAAGCTGCACTATTTCCTGAGGTTAGAGGTTTAAACCAAAACAAGACAACCACATTTTAACCCCAAATCTGCCGACTGAGGGTAACCATGATCCTTCCTTCACAGCACCTCTTCCTTATTTCAACTCCTTGCTCAGCCTTTCTGCTAGTTCTGCCTTGCTACTTGAAATCACACCCAAACCATCAAACTTGTCTCTTTAACGGCTGGGAATCCACAGAAGCTCATCATGACTACAGCCTTTGTTCATAATCCCAATTTTAATCCTTCCCCTTCTCTTTCCTATTACTCTGGAGAGGATTCTGAATAATGATAAACACGTCTTGTACCTCAGAGCCTTCAGTTTTTCTCTTATGAACTACAGCCCCTATTGAGTTTGCTGACAGTGTGATGCCCATGAAGCTGGAGTATGCAGTCTCCATTTACACCAGGGACAGGTGCTGTGGGCCCGCCTTCCTGGAGACAGCACCCACACCGACTTCTCATAAACAGCCCAGGAGGCAGGGAACAGAGTAATGTAGAGTCCACTATCGGAGCCTGTGCAGAAAGTGGTACCTAAATCCCCAACCTCAAAACCAGCATTTTCCTGAATCACTTACACCATGGGTTGGCAAACAAGGGCCCTCAGGCCAGACCCAGGCCTGCTGCCACCTGTGTGGTGCAGCTGCTGATCCAGCCATCTCATTCATTTACATGTTATCTAGGGCTGCTTCTGGCTCCAGTGGCAAAGCATGTGGCCTCTTGGCCCAAAGCCTAAAATGTACTATGTAGCCTTTAACAGAAAAGAGGGTCGGGCGCGGTGGCTCATACCTGTAATCCCAGCACTTTGGGAGGCCGAGGCGGGCAGATTACAAGGTCAAGAGATTGAGACCATCTTGGCCAACATGGTGAAACTCCATCTCTACTAAAAACACAAAAATTAGCTGGGCGTGGTGGTGCGTGCCTGTAGTCCCAGCTACTCGGGAGACTGAGACAGGACAATCGCTTGAACCTGGGAGGCAGAGGTTGCAGTGAGCCGAGAACGCACCATTGCACTCCAGCCTGGCAACACAGCGAGACTCCATCCCCCCAGAAAAACCAAAAAAACAAAACAAAACGAAACAGAAAAGAGTTTGCCAACCCATTTTCTCCTACTTAAATTATTTTCTTATTCTAAATCTCTTGATTTCTAACTACAGTGAATCTGTAAAACTGAGGGCAAAGCCATGAAAAATCTAAATGTTGACCTCTATGACTGCTAGTCTGTAGTCCCACATCACTGTGTGGGTCATTTACATCAATATCCTGCATCCCATGAATGACCCATTAAGCAGCATCCAGGAGATCCCAGACTCCTCCAAGAAGAAATCACTATAGAAGAAACACAAGTGGTGATGTTGAAAAGAAAGCAAATACTACTTCCCCCCTCCCCCAAAACACCTACCCCATCAAAAACTAACAACTTGTTAAAATACCCCCAATATTCCTTTGAATGGCCTATTTAGTCACATGCTTTCTCTGCACTTACATTTGTTTTGTTTTGTTTTTTTGAGACAGAGTCTTGCTCTGTCACCCAGGCTGGAGTCCAGTGGAACGATCTCAGCTCACTACAACCTCTGCCTCCAGGGTTCAAGCGATTCTCCTGCCTTAGCCTCCCAAGTAGCTGGGATTACAGGCACCTGCCACCACATCCAGCTAATTTTTGTATTTTTAGTAAGGACGGGGTTTCACCATATTAGCCAGGCTAGTCTTGAACTCCTGACCTCAAGTGATCCGTCCACCTTGGCCTCCCAAAGTGCTGGGATTACAGGTGTGAGCCACCACACCTGGCCTCCTTTGTTATTTTTAATGAAATGACCTCAACAGCTACAGGGGCTCTTTGGAAATTTTGGGAATATTAGTAACTTTTCAATGAAGGCTAAGTCATTGAAATACAAAGTCCAATGGATCTTTGCATTAAATACTTTGATTTTAAAATCACTAGGACATTCCATTTGGGGATACTTTGTTCACATCATGGAGGAAAAAAAAAAGTTTAGTTAAGAAGGAGAAAGCAACCTCCGTTCCCAGCAAGCCCACAAAAATAATATAAGGCAAGAGAATAAGGCAGATTTCCATTATATTATGTTCCTACCCATGAGTCTTTTAGCAAGAGGCTAGGACAAAACGCAACCTAAAACAAAAGCATGGAGTGTTGATAGTTTTATATTCATGAACAACACAGCAATATGCCAATAAGCATTTACATTGCAACAACAAGCTATGTTTCCTAAATTATATGCTAACCCATGTTTTTTCTCTCTCTCAAAAAGCATATTACAATACAATCACATGAGATCTCTAATTGCAGCAACTGCATCCATCTAAACTGGTTTATTAAAAAATAAGTCATTCGCAAACATCTCTAATTTCACTAGTATTGAGTGGCAATGCGATTGGGATGCACCTCACAGCTGATCCAGGCACTCCAGAGTTGCCACAACAGCTCAGCTGAGAACCAGCATCCTAAATCCTGGCCTTAAGACCAAACAGCAACAAAGTCAGGAAGCAAATAAAAGATCTAGGACTGGGGGGTCTCAGAAACAGAGGCCATTTTGTCTTGATTTTTCACTTTATTTTTCCTTGGTTTATAATTAACCCATTATTTTGAAAAGACACGCAGAGCAGCAGCCAAAAAAAAAAAAATTCTTTTCCTGCCTCTGTGTTTATGTCTGGGATAGACTTGGGCACAGCCATTTCCGCCCACCCATGTGGCTGAGTGACCACATAGGGCAATTTAACTCGAAGGTTTCATTTAGTGTTTGTGAGATGTTGGTGGCTACGGCAGGAAGACCGATTCAAGTAACTGCAATTAACTTTATTTTTAATCAATTGGGTCTTGAAAAAGAAATGTTCTTGTTTTGAAAACTAAGCTAGACTTTTCCCCCTCCATAAAACGCTTTTCTGATACACACCGAATGCTGCCAACTCTGGTTCCTTTTTCCACTTGCCCAGCGAGGCCGGCGGGTTCAGCCAGATCACGGTAGTGTGCAAAAGCAGGTCTCCCATGCTCAGATCTGCAACCTGAAAGCCAGAGACGTGACAAAGCTTACTGGGTGGTGTTATCAATACTCAGATTTTCATGATGTTTGAAAATTCAGCATGCTGATATTAATTTTACTTCAAGAAAATACTGCTCCTAAAAACATTTGCTTAAATATGTGAGATAATGCTAAGTTAAACTGCTGGATTTAGCCATTCCACAATGTAACATATCAAAACATCATGTTGTACACCATAAATATATAAAATTTTTACTTGTCAATTTCATGTTTTTGAGAAAAGAAATCGCACCAAAATGACAGACTACATTTTTTAAAAATATTTTCGATTTGTGACTGTCTCAATAAACACCACCTCCCATCAAAACAGGCTGAAGATACAATATCCAGTTAACCTTTCCAATGGGAAATAATAGTATCATTATGTTCTAGCCAAGTTTGAGCTAGGAACAATACAATGAAATTTTAACGAAAAAAAAAATCCTTTAATTCATATGAAATCTCCTAATTGAAAAATAAATCCTCTCCATTCCCAAAGAAACACATGGAATACAGGGGAGAGAAAAGGCTCATCTTTTTTTTCCCCATTTATTCCATGCTTGTCTACTAGAATTTCAGAAAAGGATGGCAAATAGGTACAAACTGGGGCTCTGAAATTCACATGCAGTTAGTCTGTCAAAACTGATCTACAAAACTGGAGATGTTTTGTGTTCAGAGACAGTTTCCCAAGGAGATGCTAATGGCCGTCCATGACAAAGATCCACCCCCAGATAACTGCAGACATTTCCACCAGTGAATATCCACTTTTGGGAAATGTAGGCAAATTATTTCTTCTTCCAATCCATTTCAAAGACGACTTTATTTCACTTTAGATGAGGGAGAGAGAAGCCAATAAAGAGTTTGAAGATTCCTCTATTGGCACAGGCAGCGTGAATGCTGGAATCCCAAGAGACCATGAGGTTTAGTCGCTCACCCCCAGCGGTCACACGCTAAACTGTCTCCGACAGACAAGTGCTGGTTGCAGAGCCATCTAGACACGATGATCCAGAGAGTCTGATGCAAGTTCAACGTCTATGCCTCACAACAGTCCCGTCTGCTTTTCTCACTGCAGTCACTGGCCTCCTTCCAAATCTAGCTGGGTTTCCTATACAGCAGCAACCTGGCGACCCGCCACTGAACACAGTGCAGTTTGGATTGCCCTTCTCGAGCCACCAAAACAGGCTACCGTGCTGAGATGTGGCTCCAGCAGTACAGGATACAGAGGTATTGTTGCCTCCCTTGATTGAAATTATTATAATCATCACTGTCATTATTACTAAGCTATAGTACCATTAGTACAATCAAGGGTTAAAATAATTTTTAAGCAGCCATATTATTTTGTCTATAGATATTAAGTAACTCATCAACCAAACCCCCAGGATATGATCAGCCAAGGTAATGACATAGTCTCCACTACCTATCCCCCGAAGACCCACATAGAAGAGGAGGAGTTACATACAAAAGACAAATTCCCAGAGGCCACAGCCCCTGGGAGTACGTCTTTAAAAGTGATTAAAGGCCAACATGGTAGACTGTCCAAACTCTACTTCTTCCAACAGAATTACATTATCTGCACCTTCTGCCATGTGATTTTCCAGCACCTCCCACTAGACTAGGCAGGGTACACACATCGCCGCCCGGATGACTTTGGGTGTAGGCATGTGACTTAGAGCCCACCTTCCAGCCATGGGAAGGACTTGCCCAAGACAGCCATTGCTGCTTCAGCCTGGATCCTGGAAGGAAGAGACAAGGAGCACACCAGAACCTTCAGAACTGGAGCTAACCAAGAGAAACCAAACCTTGGTTGACCTACAAAGCCACATACGAGATAAATATCTGTTGTAGAGAACCACTGAGATTTCCAGTTATTTGTTACACAACTGAAAATGGGCTGATGCTGTTCCTGTGCACAGGGTTTTTCTCTGGACAAGCTTCCCAGGGCAAGTGGACTAGGGGGTCAGGGTGCTCCCTCTGGCCACAGCCTCTCTCTGGGGCTTCCACTGGTTCCCTTCTGAATCCTCCTCCCAAACCCCAAGAAAGAGTTCTGCTGGGAGGCCTCCACCTTACTAAGGACTGGGATGCCCGACTGAGTCAGCATTTTTAAGGACTTCTTTTAAGGGGAAATGCCCTCTTGCATTCTTCTTCCTCCTAGTTAAGCAAAAGGGATTTCTTAGCCTAACTCCCCAGAGTTTAACATGGGGGTAGGAGGTTGAAGGCCCAGTTTCATCAAAAAGCTGTTTCTTTGCCAGCTTTGTTCTCTGTGAACCTATTTGCCTTCAGAGATATCTTAAGGAATGTTGGTTGAAGACCCAATTCAGGTACCTTGTGTTCCTAGAATGTTACCATTTTACAATAAACCTGCTGTTACCAGCAGATACTGATAAATGTTCCTATTCCTCTTTACAAACTTCATCAATCCATTCTAGGCTGTTACTTCACATTGCCACTAAGAGGGAACCACAAGGATCAGGAATTACTTTTGTGAAAATCTGAATATAATTTGGGTACCTCCACAATCACCCGCCTGAGTCTCCGTAATTCTTCCAATATACTGCTGAGAGCAGTGGAACAGAATTGTCATTGATCTTGGCACAGACCATCCTATTTCCCAAGACTCATTCTCCCTAGGGTTTTGTTCTTACGGCATTGAGGCTGCTGCATCCTTTCCAGTTTAAAGGCCATTCTCCTCAATGGAAGAAAAAGAGATGAAATGGGGCTTAAGACTTGAGTAAAACCAACTGCCTTGGAGTAATTGATTCCCACTGGGGGTCTATTTCCTGCTCGTTTGTCTTATCCTTCCACAACAATATCTTCTCTTGCTCTCTTTGGCATCTTTTCCAAGCCAGAAATTTTCTGGGCTTTGCACCTCCTGGTAAAAGTAGGATTTTCCTCCTCTTCAGTCCTGGTACTCAGCCAGTGTCCCTCCTTCCATCTTTTGCACATTTCTTTTTACAATCTCAGCCCACAAAAAATACTTTGTATAGCACTATATCACTTTGTTCCTCACTGGAAAGATTTCTTACATATCAGAATTTCATTTTAAAGGACTTCCAGGTTCACTGAAGCCATATTCCCTTTTACAGTCTCTGACTTCTGATCATATTCATCTTTTTTTCCTAAATTCTTTGCAACCCAATATCCATTTCGCCTTCTAATCTTTAGCATCATGGTCATTTGCTCCTAAGGTCATTACAATCTAATAATTAATTTGGCATATAAAGAAAATGTAATATGACGTAATGAAAATGTTCATTTCCATGGCCCAGTAAAATGCACTTCTGTCAGAATGAAATAAACCAAAGGATGGGAGGACTTCTTATAATAAAAAAAAGTTTACAGTATTATTCATATTAGTCAATAACAAAAAGCATTAAAATTCTGTGATCAACATAAAATCAAGGTATAAAATTACCTTCAAGATATAACTAAACATATACATAGATATTAATTTAAAACAATCAAAATCAACACCAAAATATGGTAAGTTCTATGTCTTGAAACCATAGTTTTCTTCTTGCCTTTTTCTGTATTTTGCCCTCTTCTTTAATAAGCATAATTTTTTTCTTCTTATAAAGTTTTATAAGAAAGTGAGAGCTAAGTCCAGGGTGGCAACCTTCATCTTTTCTATACTCTGATAGATTAAATTACCTGCCAAGTAGTCTCAGAACATTCTCATGCTCTGCTTGTAATGTTATGTAAAAACAAAATTGTGTTGCAGTTGAAAACTACATATCCTCTACAGCAGACCTTCCTGGGCTATCAGATCCTGACTGTACACTGTCTTTGAGAGCCTGTGCGATTCTTTGTAAAGTGTAGGTAACAGACAGATGTGTAAATTCTGTCCAGTCTGATACTGGCCTAGCTGATTTCCTCCAGCTGTGGAAAAACCAGTTTGTCTCATTTACAATTCACCTCAACATTTCTTCACTCCATATGTAAACTTCTGTGATTGTGATTTTTCCAATGAACCTTTACAACACCTGCCTGGGTCCTTCACATCTTATGAGTAAAATAAATTATGAGAGGTCATAATTTTACCTCTTTCAGAAAATTATCCTTTAACAGCCTGAAAACTTGTTTTGTTTCATTAAGGACAAAAAAATGAGCCTGGATAATGGCCTTTAGTATCTCTGGAGATAAGGTGCTTTCTCTAGCCTACACTAAACAACCAAACTTTGCCCCACCCACACTGCTTTTAACCCTGCTGCTAGTCACAGCAAGAGTGTTTTTCCTCTAGGTTCCTTCCCACATTTTCTCTTTTTTAAGGTGGAAAGAAAAACTGAGTCTAATCTCTAGTTGAATTTGAGCATACAGAGGCATTGACGAATGTTACTATATATCATATCCCTATGATTCCTCTAAGTATTATTGGCATTTTGTAATTGAAAAATAATAATTGTATGTATTCAGGGGTACACAGTAATGCTTTGATATATGTACTGTATAACCCATCAGATCAGAGCAATTAACTTATCCATCATCTCAAACATCTACCACTCCTCTGTGTTGGCAACATACTTTTATTCAGGTAAGTGCATGTTAATGACTCAGGCACAACTTTTAGCTCACCTTAAGTCTTTCTCAGGTGTATCTGTTCCTGCCACTGCTCTTCTAAGTAGGTTTTTGGGTAGATTTAACTGATTCAGAGTCATTTGAAATTTTCATTCCTTTGACAACTATTTTTTGGGCACCCACTATGTGCCTGGTGTCATTCTAATCTCTGGAGGTAGAGCCTTGGACTTTCATGACATTTCTAGAAACAGCCCAGATTGTGGTAATGGAAGTTCACTTTCACACTTAACACAGAATAAAGCCAGAGATCCCCAGGGTGAGGAGCTGAACATCAGGAAAACATTTCCTACAGGAAGAAATAGTCCAGCTGAGGAAGAAAATTCACATTGCAGCCTTGGATAAAGCACAGATGTTCCACTAAGAAAAACAACAGCATCCTAACTATTTTACTTACAAGTAACACCTTTTTAAAAAATAAATAAATAAATAAAAGCAAACTCAAACTCGGCTTTCCTGACAGATGTCCTGAGAAGATGGGGACCCTCACCTCTTTTTTCTCACCAGTCTGTTCAGCAATCAGCTGGTCAAACACAGCCCCAAACTCTTCATGGATTTTCTGCATCTCATTGATGTGACTGGCAACCTTGTTCATGGTCTTGATGGCCACTGGAAGAAAACAGGTTGTGAAATGAGAGGCTATTTAGAGACCCTCATGGAGACTCAGGCCTGCCGGGGGTCCCAGGCCGAGGCCTACCGTCCAGGTGGTAGTGCTCCTCGCTCTCCGCATCGGTCAGGGCGAACAGCTCCCTGAGCAGAAGTGGGTACTTGAGGATCCTCTGGATGGGCTTGATGAGGTACGACTCCAGCGTGGATGAGTGCTGCTGCTTCGGGTTCTGGGCATCCAAGAATGCCTTGAAAGCCGTGTCTGTCTTGGCTGGCAGGGTTTAAACACAGGTCATGGGGGTGGAACGCCCACGTGACTCCCTTCCCACAATTTCCCTCCCTTCCTCAGTGACTCCAAGGTGCCTTTTTGCAGGACTGAGCAGAGAGTGGGTGGCAGGAAGAGGGACAGGTAGGGGAGGGGGCAGTCAGGGAGACCACAGGCAGTCAGATCTATGTATTTATGTGTTGGGGGTGGGGTGGGGAGAAGCCTGATGAGTTAAAGGATGACGGAGTGTAGACTGCAGACACCCGGATTTCCAGCGGCTGCTCTTTATCCTCCTCCTATTACACATGTTTTTTTATCCTGATGTTTTGACACCTGGGGCCTTACTGTCCATGGGGAGACTGCCCCGCCCACGCTGGCCAGTTCCTGGAGATAGTAAAAGACTTGCCAGGAAATGTGCCTTTTATAGAGTCCCCACACACTGCCACCTCCTGTCTGAGGCTCTTACACCCTGGGCCACCATTCCCCTGTCCTAATCATCTCAGGGTGGGGAGCACACATCTCGGCTTCGAGTGCACCACAGAGCCCGGCCTCCCCAGTTCCTTCCCTCAGAAACCCCAAGAAAGGCTCTTGGCCACATTTTCCCCTCGCTCCCTCTGCCTCCTGACACTGCATGTCCTCATCTGGCCCGCATGGCATGGGGTGCCCCTGCCTCTTGGGAACTGTGAGTGACAAACTAATAATCATCCGTCCCCTGAGCTGTTGGCCCTGTCATCCCAAAATAATGATAAACCTACATTCTGAACACTCCTTACCCTGGTTTTCCTAATCTTTCAAGCATTTCACTGCTGGAAAAACCTCTTTTGAAAAAGGCAAGCATGCCGTGCACAGTGGCTCATGAATGTAATCCTAGCAGTTTGGGAGGCAGAGGCGAGCGGATCACTTGAGGTCAGGAGTTTGAAAGCAGCCTGGCCAACCTGCTAAAATCTCATCTCTACTAAAAATACAAAAAAAAAAAAAAAAAAAAAAGCCAGGCTGGTGGCAGGCGCCCATAATCCCAGCTACTCAGGAGGTGGAGGCAGGAGAATCACTTGAACCTGGGAGGCGGAGGTTGCAGTGAGCCGAGATCGTGCCACTGCACTCCAGCCTGAGTGACAGAGGGAGACTCCGTCTCAAAAAAAAAAAAAAAAGAAAGAAAAAAAGAAAAAGAAAAAGAAAAAAAAGGCAAGCAGATGCAGAAGCAGCAGCATCTCGCAGTGCCAGTGAAGCAGAGCAAGGCAGGATCTCCCACGGTGATCTACTCAAAGTTAACTCGGTGGCACCACCTGTGGGCATCCGTGGGCTCTGATCTGATGCAGCTCAGGCAGCACTTTCCTCACCAGCCTTGCCTCCTTCCTCAGTGTCCCAGCTGGTTTGGGAAGCAGCCCTGGGGAGTTGTGGGACCCCAAACAGAGGTACCTGGCAGGGGATGATACGAAGCCGTGGCTAATGTCTTCCAGGTGCAAAGGAATGTCAGGGGAGGGCAAAATATGGGAAGAGGAGGGGACAGTGTATCCAAGCAACGTAACAGTGGACACACGCTGCCTCTGGGCTGGTGAGCACCTGGGGGTGATGGGGGCTGTGGCACGTCCAGCGTGGGCACTCTGGACGTTTCCAGTGTGGAAACTCCACACACCCCTCCCCCATACCTCGCCCAGTCACCTCTCCATTTGGCTATTCCTGAGCAGCATCCTTTATGATAAACCAGTAAATGAACACAATCAACATTGGAAAAAGCACATTCTTCACATTCATCTGGATGACTTTCCCCCATTGGAAATTCATTTCCAATGAATATTCATCTGGATGACTTTCCCCCACTGGAAATTTAACATGGCACTCCAGTGACTCGATACTTTTCATAACAGCACCTGGAATGTCACAGGAACTCAAAAATCTCTTCAATAAATAAATACCCTCTCCCCGCAAAAAACAGTGGGAGTGTATATATAATTTTTATATATATATATACACACACACACACGTATATTTTATTAGAAAGTTTAAAATATAGAAATTTAAAAGTTTAATGATATATATTTTTTATTAGAAAGCTTAAAATACAAAAATTTAAAAGTTTAATGATATTTATAGATTTTATTAGAAAGTTTAAAATATATAAACATTAAACTTTTAAAATGTCTAATAAAAATGTCTTTCCATCCCCAGTGGTTAGGGGTATGAGCTAAGACTAAAGATGCTATAAAAGGGCATCAGAACATGATTCTTCTGTCTTTTTTTTTTTTTTCTGAGACGGAGTCTCGATCTGTTGCCCAGGCTAGAGTGCGATGGCACACTGTGGATCACTGCAACCTCTACCTCCCGAGTTCAAGCAATTGTCCTGCCTCAGCCTCCCGAGTAGCTGGGACTACAGGCATGCACCATCAGGTCTGGCTAATTTTTTTTTTTTGTATTTTTAGTAGAGACGGAGTTTCACCATGTTGGTCAGGTTGGTCTCGAACTCCTGACCTCAAACGATCTGCCCACCTCGGCCTCCCAAAGGGCTGGGATTATAGGTGTGAGCCACCGCACCCAGCCCTGTCTTTAATTTTAAAACACAGCAATCATGGGGGAAGACCTCATAAGACCACAATCTTGTTATCCCTTTTAAGCCCCATTAAGAGAACAGACTCCCTGGGTTGGCATCATTTCTTGTCTTTCCAAAGCACAAAATCCTGAAGAGAAAGGACACTGGGAAGAGTGGCCGACTGGCCCCATGTGACAGGAGAGCTGGGCCGGGCTGGGGGCCAGCATATGTGGAACTGATGGATTTTGTGGGGCATCCCAAGTCTAGGGCCACATCTAGAAGGACCTAGGAACTCTTCCCCAACAAAATATTCTCGTCCAAAAATATGGCTGTGGGTATTTCACCCATCGACTGAATTCCATATCAGAGCAAAAGACTGCACAGTTCACAGCGCTTGGCGCAGTCCAGGAGCGTCACTCCTCCAGGCCAGCTGTGAGTCCGCGATGAACATGAACATGCACTTTGTTGTTCTCAGAGTTATCCTGACACTCTGGGCTCATTAGACAATTAGAAAATATGGGTCAGCTGGGCATGGTGGATCACACCTGTAATCCGAGCACTCCGGGAAGCCAAGGCGGGCAGATCACCTGAGGTCAGGAGTTCAAGACCAGCCTGGCCAACATGGTGAGACCCCCGTCTCTACTAAAAATACAAAAATTAGCTGGGCATGGTGGCGTGCACCTGTAATCCCAGCTATTCAGGAGGCTGAGGCAGGATAATCACTTGAACCTGGGAGGCAGAGGTTGCAGTGAGCCGAGATCACACCACTGCGCTCCAGCCTGGGTGACAGAGTGAGACTCCATCTCAGAAAAAAAAAAAAAAAAAAAAAAGAAAAGAAAAGAAAAATATGGGTCATTCCCACTGTTTTAAGGGATAGTTTTGAAAGATAATATAATATTTTTCTTATTGAATTAAGAAAAAATCCATGGGGGCAGAATTTAATCTAATTGAGTGATTAAAAATAACACAAATTGCTCAAGGGCAGAGATGGGTATATAATTTCACTGTGGAGCAAAGCACTCTAAAATTGTTACTTTAACAATCTCGTAACAATTAGCATTCAATAAAGGTTTTAAAAGAAACACACTGCACACACAGAGCCATATGCCCAACACAGCACACGGGAAAGGTCAGGCAGCATGACAAGGAGAATCCCAGGTCCCCTTTTCATTTGAGGTTCCACCAGAACTCTGTTGCACAGACCACCACTACCGTTAAGACTGTTTTTATCTGGGGCAGGCTCTTTGTTACCCAGAGATCTGTATTGTGCTAATACTTCCTATAATAGGTTTTAAATTAAGTCAAGCTAGTTCTCTTTGGCAGCAAACATAAACACAAGAACATTATTTACATATCCGGGGACCTGATCAGCAGCTGTTTACTTGGCAGCTACAGTGAAGTGTTAAGGAACAGCAAGCTGATTTCCAGAGATTCTTTAAAATCAAACTTTCTGTTGGTGCAACTGTTTGCCAAGAAAATGTTTCCTTAATCCTTTTACCATCAAAAACCACCATATGCTGAACTATGGCGACATAACCACTTTCTGGAGACTCTCAGAATGTTCCACCGTCTTCTCAGAGCACTTAAGGAAAAGCAGCTTGCCCATATAAAAATTCTACTGTGTCCTGCACAAAAATAACTACAAATGCAGCAGTTTTCAAGGATAACTGAGACAACTTTAGAAGTGCTTTTGGGAGCTGTTATCACACTCCCAGGAACAAAAGTAGGTGAAGGAAAGATAAAATTCCACAAAAAGGTATACGGTAAGTCCTCACTTAATGTAGTCAGTAAGTTCTTGGAAACTGCAACTTTATGCAAAATGACATACAATGAAACCAATTTTTTTCCTCATCAACATTATAACAAAATGATGTTGAACAAAATGACATTAGTTGGGAACCTGCTGTACATCGTGTCACTTAAAAGTCACAGTTTCCAAGAACCTGTCGACAACGTGAAGTGAGGACTTAGTTATGAAGTGTGGTAGGTTATAATCGAAATTAAAGAAAAACAGAAATAAAGCAGGGAATTTCTAAACCCCCTACGTTTTTACATAACTGCAAAATGACCCATCAATTCTGGCCCCAAATAGCAAGGTAAAACTTTCATTACAAGAAAATTGACAAAACCATTAATTCAAGATATTGGCCAGGTAATCCTAGCACTGTAGGAGGCCGAGGTGGGCGGATCACCTGAGGTCAGGAATTCAAGACCAGCCTGGCCAACATGGTGAAACCCCATCTCTACCAAAAAATACAAAAATTAGCCAGGTGTGGTGGCAGGGGCCTGTAGTCCCAGCTACTCAGGAGGCTGAGGCAGAAGAATCGCTTGACCTGGGAGGTGGAGGTTCCAGCCCAAGTGACAGAGCAAGGCTCTGTGTCAAAAAAAAAAAAAAAAAAAAAACAAGGCAGGGAGCAGTGGCTCACGCCTGTAATCCCAGCACTTTGGGAGGTCGAGGCGGGTGGATCACCTGAGGTCAGGAGTTCGAGACCAGCCTGGCCAACGTGGCGAAACTCCATCTCTGCTAAAAATACAAAAATTAGCCAGGTGTGGTGGTGCACGCCTGTAATCCCAGCTACTCGGGAGGCTGAGGCAGGAGAATCACTTGAACCTGGGAGGCAGAGGTCGCAGTGAGCCAAGATCGTGCCACTGCACTCCAGCCTGGGCAACAGAGTGAGACTCTGTCTCAAAAAAAAAAAAAATGAAAAAAAAATGAATACATTACATTGCTCAGCACCCATATCAGTGGCTTGCTGGAACATCTATCTGGCAACCAATGACTCTTAGATTTCTGCCCAAAAGCCCCCAACCACTGTCAGCCACACAACTGACAAGCAACACACCCCCACCTCCACATCCTCAGAGGCCTTACCTTTCACCAGGACCTTGGGAACTTTTGTGTGGCTGGCGCAGAAGGCACTGTAGAGCTTGAAGCGGTCAGCATAATACAGGAATGATCCCCCCAGAGAGAACAGCACTTTCTGGATTTGACGAGAAAAGGCACAGTTGGTTGTTTCCTTCCTCCACTGGAAATATCAGCAGGTTATGGCAGGGAGCTCACATCTGCCTGGCCCACCCCACAAATCAACATCTTCCGTGCCTGTCAGAGCCTTTCTTTGCTATCAAATGCCCTAAAATTGCCCATTACAAAGTATGTGCTTGTACAAGTTTGTGTAAAAGGTGTTGGACTTTTTGTCTTCTTAGTATTTATAGGGTAGATGTCCCTGGTTTTCCAGGTCTGTGTCTTTTAATAACCTATCCGGGCTGTTTGAATGTTGATGAGAAAGTATATACTTTGGAAAAGTCAGAAATCTCAATTCTCTCATTAGCTCCTGTTGGCAAACTAAATAAAGGCAGGAAATGCTCATACCTCCCGCCCCCGAAGCAGAAAACATGTTCCTCTGATCACTATCTTCATGCCTTCCAAAACCACCTTCTCCTCTAGCAACTAAGAACATAAGCAATATTAAAGGAAGAAACACGCTCAACTATGGAAGTCAGGTATCATCTCCCCAGCCTCTCTGCCCTGTCCCAGTAGGATCACAACTGGGTAGAGGCCTTCTCATTAAGATTTTACTATGCCTGAGAAGATACTTTGTATCCCACACATTATATATAGAGATATGTTATATGTAAATATATAATATATAGATATATATAAATATATATTCTATAAAATATATATTTTATATAATATATAAAATATATAATATATAAAAATATATAATATATAATTAATATATTATATTAATATATTATATTAAAATATATATATATATATATGGCCTCAGAAAAACACCTTCTGTTTCACACTGAAAGAGTCTTGTTTAGAGAGGGACCTTATTTAGCTTATTGAGGCTTAGAATTAAAAGGCAGGGTTCAAGCAAAGAAATAAGGTTTTGAATTTGAGTAACAAACTAGGTTCCCCAAAGTGCAATTTATCTAATGAACAATGCAGAGGATTCTGAGTCTGTCCATGACCAAAAAAAAAAAAAAAAAAAAAAAAGGTTTATTTTAAACCATACATAATTGGTAATTAGATGCCTCACTACTCTTCTTACGTGTTCTCCTTTTCCTCCTTTACTTTCCAAGCCCTCCGCAAATCTCCACCCTGGCTTGGAGGGTGTCAGCAGGAGTACCCTGGGTACTGCCATCGGACTCTGTGAGGGAGTTATCCTTGGAGCCTGATATGGTTTGGCTGTGTCCTCACTCAAATCTCACCTTGAATTGTAGCTCCCATAATCCCCATATGTTGTGAGAGGTAACTGAATAATGGAGGCAGGTTTTTCCTGTGCTGTTCTCATGATAGCGAATAAGTCTCAGGAGATCTGATGGTTTTTATAAAGGGCGGTTCCCCTGCACACGCTCTCTTGCCTGCCGCCATGTAAGATGTGACTTTGCTCCTCCTGAGGCCTCCCCAGCCATGAGGGACTGTGAGTCCATTAAACCTCTTTTTCTTTACAAATTACCCAATCTCAGGTATTTCTTCATAGCAATGTGAAAATGAACTAATACAGAGTCATACCCAAGAATTAAGCAAAAAAAGTTGTGGAAGAAAATGTGCTAAATGTAACCCCTCCCTTTAGCCATCCTAAAGCCATTCATTTATTTAACTTAATATTTACTGTTTATTTACCCTACCATAACCACAGATGAAACACTAAGGTATTCACTTATTCCTCCCGCCTTAAAAATTGATTCTCAGGGAACAATGTGCACACAAATATGAGGGTTTATACACAAAGACTCCACTTCCCCAATGTTTCTGTTCTGTAGGACTTCAGAACGCTTCTCACAGGCTGACGTACATTGCAAATTTCCAAATGAAAATTTTATCAAAACTTATTTGACATCAGAACTAATTATTTCCTTCTGATACTACCTTGAGACTAGTGCTCTATGCAACACAGTTTGAAGATTTTAACAAGTTTTTCTTTTTCTTTTTTTTTTGGTCAAATATACAATGAGGAGTTTAAAAAGAGCAGCAATTGTGGAAATCAGCAGCAACAGGTTTGGGAGCAAATCTGGAAACCAACTCAGAGAGCCTGGAGAGAATCCTGCAGGCAGGCACACTAGTGTTCATGAGCCATCTCACCTTACAGATGGAATGGAGACAATCAGATTGTGCCATAAACAGCAAAGTGAAGGTATATGAAGAGGGTCCCACTTATGTGGAATTGAGAAGAGTGATGGTTGAGTATGGAAGTACCGGTTTGGTATCCTTGATCCAAAATACTTGTGACCAGAAGTACTTCAGATTTCATATTTTTTCATATTTGGGAATATCTGCATTATATTTACTGGTTGAGCATCAAAAATCGAAAATCCAGAATGCTCCAATGGCCATTTCCTTAGAGCAACATGTTGGCACTCAAAAAGTTTCCAATTTTAGAGCAGTTTGGATTTCAGATTTTCAGATTTGAGATGCTCCACCTGTCACTAAAAGAAGCAATGTACCTGCCTCTCCCTAGAATAACACTGCTCTCAGTACACTCAAGTCTATATCAAAGTTCTGGTACCCAAAGTCTCCTTTTTGTGAATCTTTTTAGTGATTAACTGGACCCAAACTCAAAGAACCAGCCCCACAGCAAAAGACTTGTAAATGAATATAATGAATGTTAGCTACTTTAGGTTAAAACGTAGTATTTTAAAGTATGTCTATAACCATATTTTAACCAACCCTGGCCTCCAGAATATATCCATTTTTATTAAGCAGCTTTTTTGTTTATCTAACTACCAGGCCACATTATGTGTTCTACTGTGCAAATTATCAATTTACTAATTTAGAAAACAGGTATCACTACAATGAACCTAACTTATTTCAAATGAAGAGCATAACCACCAACAAGCAATTTTTGAACACAAAAATGAACTATATGGAGTATTTAGGGTGAAAGATATATTATTGTGCCTACAACTTTCTCTTAAATGGTTTTGGAAGAAAATATTTTATATGTACACATAGACACACCATACATGCATAATGTACACACATGCACATATGGATACATATACACATAGGAGACAGGGAGGGAAAGAAAGAATAAAGCAAATGTAGCCCAATGCTACCATTTGGGGAATCTAGATGAAGGGTATTCAGGAATTCTCTGCACTATTCTTGTAACTTTTCTGTAAGTCTGAAATTATACCCAAACAAAAATGAACACCTATAATATATACATATATATTCACATACTTATGTGTGTTTGTATGTAATTCTTAGTAGCTCCTGTTGCAGAGAGGCAATGTAAAGAGATAACACATACACAAAAAAACATATATTGAGGTAGAATATCGAGGTGAGGCAGTCTTTACCCCGGCTCCAAAACTTGTACCCTAACATTACACAGCTAGATTCCTGCAAGTGTTAGAAGGCAGGCAAAGTGTATGGGGGCCTATACACATATGAACAGCTCATTCTTAACACAAATGCAAAAGAAATTGAGTGGAAAAAGGATCAAACGACAGCCATTGCAACAAACAGGATTAGAAAAATTGGATATTCATACACACACAAATTAACTTTGATTCCTACATTAAACCATAACAAATTTAAGTTCAAATAGATCAGAAGTCTAAATGTAAAACTATAAAACTTCTAAGAGAAAACTACAAAACTTCTAAGAGTAAACACAGGAAAAAATCTTTAGGCAAAGATTTCATAGATAAGACACCAAAAGTGTGATTCAAAAAGGGAAAATTTGAAAAACTGTACTTCATCAAAATTAAAAACTTCTGCTCTGTGAAGGGCACTGTCAAGAAAATGAAAAGATGGGCCTCAAATACAGAAAAAAATATTTACAAATCATGTATCTGATAAAGGACTTATAAAGGATATACAAAGAACTCTCAAAACTCAATATTAGTAAACAAATAACCCAGTAAAATAAATGAGCAAATTATTTGAACAAACACTTCACCAAGGTGGATATACTGAGGGCAAAAAACAAGCACATAACAGAAGACGCTCATCATCGTAAGTCATTAGGGAAATTAAAATTAGAACCATAATGAGCTGCTACTACACACCTGTTAGAATAGCTAAAAAGAGAAAGTGACTGTGACCTCAGCAGAACAATGAGGAGGAACTGCTGGAGGGAGCTGCAATGGTATAACCACTTTGTAAAACAGTTGAGCAGTTTCTTAAAAAGTTAAACATACCCTTACCATATGACCCAACCATTCCCTTCCTGGGTACTTAAGAGAAATGAGAGCATATATCCATACTAAAACTTGTACACATATGTTCACAGCAGCTTTATTTGTAATTACCAAAAACTGGAAACAACCCAAATGCCCAAGAAAGGTGAATGGATAACAAAGTGTGGTCTATCCATTCAATGGAAGACAATGCAGCAATGAAAAGGGATGAGCTCTTGATACACACAGCAATATGGACGGATCTCAGTACAACTACGCTGAGTGGAAGCAGCCCCAGAAAAACGGGTACTTGGTATGGGATTCCACCAATATAAAATTCCAGAATGCAAACATATTTAACATAACAGGGAGCAGAGCATGGAGCAGGGGTAGAGTGGGAGGGCAGTAAGAGGCAGAAGAGAAAAACCACAAAAGGGCAGGACAAGACTTTCAGGAGAAATGATTATGTGCATTGTCCTGATTGTGACGATGGTTTCATAGGGGTGTGTGTGTGTGAATTCATCAAATTCCACACTAAGTATATGCAGCATATTCTACTGCACAATTATACCCCAATTAATCTGTTAAAGCACATGAGGGTGACACGTAAGCCAACACATGAAGCAATGTGCTTTGTTAATTGGAGGTGCAACACAGGAAATCTGCAATAAAAGAAAGCCAAGCAGGGGAGAGGAAATAAGCATCCTTGCTAAGGCACTAGTCATAAATCCTCATTAGGCTGCAAGGACACCGTGTGCTGGAAGATTGTCTTTCCCCTGGATAATGATAAGCATTTCCATTAAGCAAAGTTTCCCAGAACACGATAAATTAATTTGTTTACTGGGTAACCAGAAGTGCCTTTTTTTTTTTTTTTTTTTTTTTTTTGTAAGACGGAGCCTCGTTCTTGTCCCCCAGACTGGAGAGCAGTGCTGCAATCTCGGCTCACTGCAACCTCTGCATCTCAGGTTCAAGCGATTCTCCTGCCTCAGCCTCCTGAGTAGCTGGAATTACAGGTGCCCACCACCATGCCCAGCTAATTTTTATACTTTTTGTAGAGATGGGATTTTGCCACGTTGGCCAGGCTGGTCTCAAACTCCTGACCTCAGGTGATCTGCCCGCCTTGGCCTCCCAAAGTGCTGGGATTACAGGCGTGAGCCACCATGCCCAGCCAGGAGTGCCTATTCTAATTCACTGATAGCTAAAGCATTAAAGGCCCCCACATAAACCAAACAAAAGGTCAAGGTTGGTACTTCTTCTCACGTAAAAGCCAGCAGCTGCACCAGTTTAATGCAAATTGATGGCATTGGGCTTCCCTTAGCCAGACCAGCAAGACACACTCCATTCCCCTCCCTCTCAGACACCCTTAGGAACAGACCCCACTGTGGCCCTCCAATGAAGACATCAACACGATCAGGGGATTCAACTTGAGCCACACTATAGCCCTGACGCTGGAGGCAGCTTTGCACTATTTACCTTAAATTGATCAACCTTCTCAAGCTTTTCCAAATCAGGTACCAGTCTCACTCCATCTTCTAGAGTTTTAAGGAATTCTACTTGAAACTCTACCATTTCCGTTAAATTTCCAAAAAGCACGTCAAGCTAGAAATAAAACAGAATTTAATGCACCTCATATCTCATTAGTCTTCCTAAACGTTATTTATATCTGATTACAAGGTTTTTCTATCAATTCTTATCAATTAAGAGAATAATCCCACTACCAGAGAGCGGGGCAGTTTTTTACTCTTCATGAGCACACCAAAGCTTAGCAGGCAATAATTTCAGCTAGTTACAATTAAATAAATTTAAAATGTTTTCAGTGTTACGCATGTCCCCATTTTTCCTCTTTACCAACAAGTCAAACCACGGTATGATGGTCACAAAGTTGAAACCATTTCCAGCATACCTCATCCTGGGTGAGAAAAGTTTCTTTTTGAAGAGGCTTTAGGTATCTCTCCATAAGACAGTTTAAATCCTAAGAATTGAAAAGAGAACTCATTAGCTTATGTGTTTTATTTTTTATATACCCTAGAACTTAAAGTATAAAGCATATGTTAATGTCTATAAAAGGATCTAGAAGAGAACAAACAGATCCTGTCCCGAAGGCTAACGTTAGAGACTTTAGGTCGTTAAGGTCCATTTCATGCAGGAGTAAGCCAACCTTTTCTGTCAATATTTTAGGCTTCGAGGACTAAAATACGGTCTCCATTGCAACTTCTTCAACTGTAGCACCCAAGCAGGCATAGACAATATGTCAAGGAATGAGCGTGGCTGTGTTCTCATCAAACTTTATTTGCGAAAACAGGCAGCGAGCTGGATTTGACCTGAGAGCCGTCGTTTGCTAACCCCTGATTTAAAAGACTAAGATATAGATACTTAAACAGATCACCCTGCTTTCGCATAGGAAATGTGACCAGGTGTCAGAACAAGTGATAACACAAAGACAACAGACCTGGCAGTCTTCTGGCTAGATTCTAATTAGATTATGAAGATCATACCCTCAACTTTTAAAAAAATTAAATGTAGCTTTCTTATTAGGTCAACAACACATACATATATATATATATATAAATGAATTGCCGTGAAAATCACTAGGCTTCCTTAAAAATCACAAGAAGGCTGGGCGTGGTAGCTCTCACGCCTATAGTCCCAGTACTTTGGGAGGCCAAGGTGGGAGGATCGCTTGAGCCCATGAGTTCGAAACCAGCATGGGCAACATGGTGAAACCTCCTCTCTACAAAAAAAAACAGAAAACGGGGCTGGGCATGGTGGCATGCACCTGTGGTCCCAGCTACTCAGGAGGCTGAGGAGGGAGGATTACTTGAGCGCAGGAAGTAAAGGCTGCAGTGAGCTATGATCACACCACTGTACTCCAGCCTGGCCAACAGAGTGAGACTATCTTAAAAAAACAAAAAAAACAACTCAAAACAAGCTTTTAACATTCAGAGTATAGGCAAAATTCCAGGAGAAACCAAGACGCTCTTCATGAACACAGTTTAAATCAGCTGTTAATGAAAACCAGCAGACACACCAACTTCACTCCTTTACGAGGCAGAGGGAGGGCAGGGGGAGAAAAAAGAAACATACCTTCACGTAGGTGCGCTCCGTCTCCAGGAGCTCGCAGATCACCTTGCGCAGCTTATCTGCATCCGAGAGTTGTCTCATGGTCGCCAGCTGAGGCCCCGTGGAGTCCTGAGGAGATGGGCTCTGGTCAGAGGGGTTCATCTCATGCAAACTGCGGCAAAATGCGGCCACCTGTTCTGTACTCTTCGGAGCACAGGGGGGAAGGGAAGGCAGAGGTCATTATCCCTCATTAGACGCACCTGACACCTGGACCGCCTAGAGGTGTTCTCCCTGGTTAGTCAACTGTCACATATGAATGTCGTCTTGTGTTTCCACAAATTGCTCCACATTTAGGAGAGCTTCTTGAATGCTCATAACAACCAGGATAACAATTGCTAACATACACTCATCGCTTACCACACGCCTAGTGCCGGTCTAATGCATTTCATCTGCCCACACGGTAAGGACAACGGAAGCCCAGAGGGGTTAAGTAACTCATCCAAGATGATGCAGTACGTAAGTGGCAGAGCTGGGATTTGAACCAGGCAATCTGGTTTCAAAGCCTATGGATCTTAAC